>NC_000007.14:129381779-130006779 GCF_000001405.40 Homo sapiens | reverse complement strand
AATCTGTCATGGACAGTCACCATGGTCACCATACATCCGGTTCTCTGTCTCTGGCTTTGGCTCCTACTAGCTGACCTCACCTACCTCAAAGTCACTTGAGAGAGTCAAAGCTGCTATGTGTCTGGGTGCCCCAAGAAACTGAGTTCCTTGTCTATGTGGGGATGATAACCCCCTCCCCAATTCAGTGCCCGACCTCATCAGTGCGCCCCAAAGCTGCAGTGCACCGTCCAAGTCTCCAAACCAGTTGTGAACAGTCAGGTTAGCTTCCGATCCTTACCCCCAAACCCCGGGGACTGAATGGAGGCCAAGGATCTACAGGGGAGGGGACACCTTCCTGGTCAGCCATCCTTGGTGAAACCCCATCTCTACTAAAAATACAAAAAAAATTTAGCTGGGCATGGTGGCATGCGCCTGTAGTCCCAGCTACTCCGGAGGCTGAGGCAGGAGAATCACTTGAACTCAGGAGGTGGAGGTTGCAGTGAGCCGAGATCACACCACTGCACTCCAGCCTGGCAACAGAGCGAGACTCCATATCAAAAAACAAAACAAAACAAAACAAAACAGACACTCATTGGAACTTCTCAACCGCTCCTTTCCCCTCCACCACATGACCTTCCTGTGATGGCAGCCCTGGCACTCAGCAGGTGCCTGGTACAGAGAACATGCTCAGGAAATATTTGTTACCTAAATGAACAAATACATGTTTATCATCAATGTAGGAGTTTGGAGGCGGAGCTAACTTTGCCTTGCAACCTTGGCCTGGGGACGAGGGCTTCCATTCTGGTCCCTTGAAGAACCTACTTTGAAAGGGGTCCGGAAGACATGACTGGCCTCCTCTTGATAAGAAGAAGGCAGACCAGCATAGGCAGTGGAAGGGGAAAGCAGCTGGAGATTGGAAAGAGGAAATTTAGAGCTATGCTTAGGCTAAGAAACAAAGAGCAGGACTGTGTGCCCCAGCAAGCATGTGGCCTGACGTTGATAGCATTAGGAAAATTTTGGGCCAGGTGCGGTGGCTCACACCGGTAATCCCAATACTTTGGGAGGCCAAGGCAGGAGGATCACTTGAGTGTAGTTCAAGACCAACCTGAGCAACATAGTGAGACCCCATCTCCATAAAAAATTTAAAAATTAGCCATTGCACTCCAGCCTGGGTGACAGAGACCATGTCTCAAAAAAAAAAAAAAAGCACATTTTCACATAACATACACTTCTGTAGCTCTTCTCCATCTCATTTGTTCTCAACATGGGAGAGCAAAAAGAGAGAACTGACATGGAAACCCTTGGGTTTTTTTTTCTGTCTTGTTTGAGACAGAGTTTCAAAAAAGATAAAAGCCTTGTCCAAAGACTACAAACTTGTCGCCCAGGCTGGGGTGCGGTGGCGTGATCTTGGCTGACTGCACAACCTCCACTTTCCAAGTTCAAGTGATTCTCCTGCCTCAGCCTCCCGAGTAGCTGGGATTACAGGCGTGCACCCCCATGCTTTGATAATTTTGTTTTTTTGTTGTTTTTTTTTTTTTGAGATGGAGTTTCACTCTTGTTGCCCAGGCTGGAGTGCAATGGCATGATCTCAGCTCACTGCAACCTCTGCCTCCCAGGTTCAAGTGATTCTCCTGCCTCAGCCTCCCTAATAGCTGGGATTACAGGCATGCACCACCACGCCCGGCTAATTTTTTGTATTTTTAGTAGAGACGGGGTTTCTCCACGTTGGTCAGACCAGACTGGTCTCGAACTCCCAACCTCAGATGATTCGCCCGCCTCGGCCTCCCGAAGTGGTGGGATTACAGGCGTGAGCCACTGCACCCAGCCTAGTTTTGTATTTTTAATAGAGGTGGGATTTCACTATGTTCGGAAGGCTGGTCTCGAACTCCTGACCTCAGGTGATCTGCCTGCCTCGGCCTCCCAGAGTGCTGGGATTACAGGCATGAGCTACTGCGCCCAGCCCCCGTTTTTTTTTTTTTTTTTTTTTTTAATTAAAATAAGGATAACTAACCTTGTTTGGAGCTTTATAATTCACAAAACCTATACAAAAGCGTTGTCTCATTTGATCCTATGATACCTCTACAGAATTAGGTCAACAGACATTATTCTCAACTTTCTTTTGCAGATGAGAAAATTTTGAACTGCAGAGTCAGTAAACCAAGTAAGATCTCTAACCCAGGTCTATCCAACTCAGGGCTCTGCACTCTTTCTGCTATAGTTTACTTTTTGTTGATTGCATTAACACTATTACAACTTAACAACCAGTAATTAAATAAAAAGGTAGAGGGGGGATTTTTTGTTTGTTTTGGAGGGTTTTGTTTTTCTGGAGACAGGGTCTTACTCTGGTGCTCAGGCTGGAGTGCACTGGTGCAATCATAGCTCACTGCGGCCTCGAACTCCTGGGCTCAAGTGATCCTCCTGCTTCAGCCTCCTGAGTAGCTGGGACTATAGGACCACAAGCACGTACCACCACGCCCGGCAGAAAAAGATAGTTTGAAAAGTATCTTGTAAAACATAAGGCTTTGGCCAGGCACGGAGGCTCACGCCTGTAATCCCAGCACTTTGGGAGGCCAAGGCGGGCAGATCACCTGAGGTCAGGAGTTTGAGACCAGCCTGGCCAACATGGCAAAACCCCGTCTCTACTAAAAATACAAAAATTAGCCGGGCATGGTAGCAGGCACCTATAATCCCAGCTACATGGGAGGCTGAGGCAGGAGAACGGCTTGAACCTGGGAGGTGGAGGTTGCAGTGAGCCAAGATTGTGCCACTGCACTGCACTGCAGCCTGGGCAAGAGAGTGAGAGTCTGTCTCAAAAATAAAAATAAATAAGGCTTTATTTATACATTTAAAAATTTGTTGGCTGGGCACGGTGGCTCATGCCTGTAATCCCGGCGCTTTGGGAGGCCGAGGTGGGTGGATCACAAGGTCAGGAGACTGAGACCGTCCTGGCTAACAGGGTGAAACCCCGTCTCTAATAAAAATACAAAAAATTAGCTGGTCGTGGTGGCGGGCGCCTGTAGTCCCAGCTATTCGGGAGGCGGAGGCAGGAGAGTGGTATGAACCCGGGAGGTGGAGTTTGCAGTGAGCCGAGATCTTGCCACTGCACTCCAGCCTGGGCTACAGAGCGAGACTCTGTCTCAAAAAAAAAAAAAAGAAAGAAAATTTGTTTTAGGCTGGGCACGGTGGCTCATATTTGTAATCCCAGCACTTTGGGAGACCAAAGTAGGAGAATCACTTGAGCTCAGGAGTTCAAGATTAGTCTGGGCAACATAGCGAGATCTCATTTCTACTAAAAATAAAAAATTAAAAAATTGGCCGGGTGCGGTGGCTGACACCTGTAATCCCAGTACTTCGTGAGGCAGAGGTGGGCAGATCACCTGAGATCAGGAGTTCGAGACCAGCCTGGCCAACACGGTGAAACTCCGCCTCTACTAAAAATACAAAAATTAGCTGGGCATAGTGGCACGCGCCTGTAACCCCAGCTACTCAGGAGGCTGAGGCAGGAGAATCACTTGAACCTGGGAGGCGGAGGTTGCAGTGAGCGGAGATCGCGCCATTGCACTCTAGCCGGGGAGACAGAGCAAGACTCCATCTCAATAAATAAATAAATTAATTAAATAAATAAATAAATAAATAAATAAATATAAATAAATAAAAATATTAGCCAGGTGTGGTGACAGGTGTCTGTAGTCCCAGCTACTTGGGAGGCTGAGGCAGGAGGATCACTTGACCCCTGAGATTGAGACTGCAGTGAGCTATGATTGTGCCACTGCACTCCAACCTGGGTGACAGGAAAAAAAAATTGTTAATGAAATTGAGATACAGCACACAGTCAAAGCTACTTCTGGTCCATATGAAATCTATCTAGCAGAGCAAGGACTGTTTGTATGGTGAGCAACCTGCCCAGCTGCACAGACGTGTGAATTATTAGGGGTGAGGTGGGGAGGCAGCATGAGATTTGAAGTCACAGAATCTGAAGCTTAGTTACAGTTCTGCCTCTATTATTAGCTTTGTTGCGTTAAGCAAGTCATTTTGCCTCCCGGCATCTGTTTCCATGTCTATGAATCTCAGACGTTAATTATACTGTTCCCTTCATCAGAGTATTTTGAGACTTAAGTGAGGTAAAATGCTGGATGAATGCTGTTGTCTTACAGATGAGGAAAGACTTGCCCAAAGTCACACAGCCAGTGAGTGGCAGAGCTAGGACTCAAATCCAGCTCTCCCGGCTATAGGTCAGCTCTCTTTCTACCATGTTTGCATTTGATACATATAGTTGGTGGTCTACAAACTAACTTTTTGGGGAAGCGTATTATTATTATTATTATTATTATTTTGAGACAGAGTCTTGCTCTTGTCACCCAGGCTGAAGTACAGTGGTGTGATCTTGGCTCACTGCAACCTCCACCAGGGAGGCCTCTTTTTTTTTTTTTTTTTTTTTTTGAGACGGAGTCTCGCTCTGTCACCCAGGCGGGAGTGCAATGGTGCTATCTCAGCTCACTGCAAAATCTGCCTCATGGGTTCAAGTGATTCTCCTGTCTCAGCCTCCTAAGTAGCTGAGATTACAGGCATGCGCCACCACGCCTGGCTAATTTTTGTATTTTTAGTAGAGATGGGGTTTTACCACACTGGCCAGGCTGGTCTCAAACTCTTGACCTAAGGTGATCCGCCCACCTCGGCCTCCCAAAGTACTGGGATTACAGGCATGAGCCACCGTGCCCAGCCTATTATTCTTAATTGTTGTTTTTGTTGGGGATGGATATGAGTTGTGGGTAAGTACTTCAGAGAGGGAGTTACTGGTGATCAGGCATTTCCCTTAGATTTCTAGTACAGTTTATCAGCTGTCCAACACCCGTGCCCCTTTCTTACTTCCCAAAATGACTGGGATGGGCTTGTTTTTGTTTTTGTTTTGAGATGGAGTCTCGCTCTGTCACGCAGGTTGGAGTGCAATGGCATGATCTCAGCTCACTGCAACCTCTGCCTCCTGGGTTCAGGTGATTCTCTTGTCTCAGCCTCCCGAGTAGCTGGGATTACAGGCACACGCCACCACACCTGGCTAATTTTTTGTATTTTAGTAGAGACGGCATTTCACCTTGTTGCCCATGCTGGTCTCGAACTCCTGAGCCCAAGTGATCCATCTGCCTCAGCCTCCCAAAGTGCTAGGATTACAGGCATGAGCCACCACGCCTAGCCAGGGGTTGGCTTGTTTACACACTCCCCAGCATTGGCAGGTAAGGGACATACAGCATCATATCTATCGATATGATACTTATATCTACTGTATTTACCCTGTGGGCAGAGATAAATGTGCAGCCCTCACCTGGCTTCAGGGCTGGAATTTTGCAGAGTGGATATCGAAGGACCTGCATGGTCCTCTTCATTCACCAAAGGGTGAATTCATTCACCTTCGTTCACCAAAGGGTGACTGGGTGCCAGTTCACAGAGAGGAGGAAGATATGAGAAAGAGCATACCTGAGGGAGAGTCAAGAGTTTCAAATGGGGCCGGGCGTGGTGGCTCAGGCCTGTAATCCTAGCACTTTGGGAGGCCGAGGTGGGTGGATCACCTGAGGTCGGGAGTTCGAGATCAGCCTGACCAACATGGAGAAACCCCATCTCCACTAAAAATACAAAATTAGCAGGGCATGGTGGCACACGCCTGCAATCCCAGCTATTAGGGAGGCTGAGGAAGGAGAATCACTTGAACCCGGGAGGCGGAGGCTGCTGCGAGCCGAGATCGCACCACAGCACTCCAGCCTGGGCAATAAGAGCGAAATTCTGTCTCAAGAAAAAAAAAAGAGTTTCAAATGGGGCCGGGTGTGGTGGCTCAGGCCTGTAATTCCAGCATTTTGGGAGGCCAAGCTGGGTGGATCACTTGAGGTCAGGAGTTCGAGACAAGCCTGGCCAACACGGTGAAACCCCATCTCTACTAAAAATACAAAAATTAGCCAGGCATGGTGGCACATACCTGTAATCCCAACTACTCAGGAGGCTGAGGCAGGATAATTGCTTGAGCCCAGGAGGCAGAGGCTGCGCAGTGAGCAGAGATCGCACCATTGTGCTCCAGTCTGGGCAACAGAGTGAGACTCTGTCTCAAAAAAAAAAAAGAGTGTCAATTGGGTCATAGTTAACTCTGAGATATTCATTAGACATTCATGGCTGGGCGCGGTGGCTCATGCCTGTAATCCTAGCACTTTGGGAGGCCAAGGCGGGTGGATCACCTGAGGTCCACAGTTGGAGACCAGCCTGGCCAACATGGTGAAACCCCATCTCTACTAAAAATACAAAAATTGTATTTTGTATTTTTAGGGTGCGGTGGCTCACACCTGTAATCCCAGTACTTTGGGAGGCCGAGGCGGGCGGATCAAAAGGTCAGGAGATTGAAACCATCCTGGCTAACGCAGTGAAACCCCGTCTCTACTAAAAATACAAAAAATTAGCCAGGGGTGGTGGCAGGTGCCTGTGGTCCCAGCTACTCGGGAGGCTGAGGCGAGAGAATGGCGTGAACCCGGGAGGCGGAGCTTGCAGTGAGCCGAGATCATGCCACTGCACTCCAGCATGGGCCACAGAGCGAGACTCCGTCTCAAAAAAAAAAAAAAAAAAGAAAAAAAAAAGAAAAAAAAAAGAAAAAGAAAAGAAAAATGCAGCCTAGTCCTTTCAAGCTAAAAGGAAATGCATTCTAAATTGGACTAGGGAGGAGTCAACCTTCCATCAGGGTGGCAGAATAAGAGTGTCAATTTCTGTCTCGCTGCAGGCCTGGGACCTTCTGGCAGGTAAGGCCAGAGAGCTTTGGAGGTGCAAGTGGGGACTCAGGGTGCCACCCTCTGACGAGCTCTTGCTTTCTTTACAAGAAGATTTATTCCCAGTCTTCTTTCTCATTTTTCTTTGTTTCTCAGCTCCACACCTATGTTTCTAACCACCTCCTAGATGTTTCCATCTGGATATCCTGTTGTCACCTCAAGCTCAATATGACCAGAAGCTACCTCCTGTTTCTGTCAGTGTTGTTTTTGTTTTTGTTTTGAGATGGAGTTGTCGCCCAGGCTGGATGGAGTACAGTGGCAGTGATCTCAGCTCACTGCAATCTCCACCTCCTGGTTTCAAGCAATTCACCTGCCTCAGCCTCCCGAGTAGCTGGGATTACAGGTGCCCACAACCACACCTGGCTAATTTTTTTTTTTTTTTTTTTTTTTTGAGACGGAGTCTCGCTCTGTCACCCAGGCTGGAGTGCAGTGGCGTGATCTTGGCTCACTGCAACCTCCGCCCCTCCAGATTTAAGCAATTCTCTGTCTCAGCCTCTGGAGTAGCTGGGATTACAGGCGCGTGCCACTGCGCCCGGCTAGGTTTTTTGTATTTTTAGTAGAGACAGGGTTTCACCATCTTGGCCAGGCTGGTCTTGAACTCCTGACCTCGTGATCCACCCGCCTCGGCCTCACAAAGTGTTGGGATTACAGGCGTGAGCCACCGCGCCTGGCCAATTTTTGTATTTTTAGTAAAGACGGACTCTCAGCATGTTGGCCAGGCTGGTTTCAAACTCCTGAGCTCAAGTGATCTGCCCACCTCAGCCTCCTAAAATGCTGGGATTACAGGCATGAACCACTGCCCCCATCCACTGTTGTTTTTTTTTTTTTGAGACAGAGTCTCACTCTGTTGTCCAGGCTGGAGTGCAGTGGAGCCATCACAGTTCACTGCAACCTCCAGGTTCACGTGATCCTCCCACCTCGGTCTCCTGAGTAGCTGGGACCACAGGCGAACAACCACCACGCCCAGCTAACTTTTGTATTTTTTGTAGAGACATGGTCTCACTATATTGCCCAGGCTTGTCTCAAACACCTGGGCTCAAGTGATCCTCCCCTCAGCCTCCCAAAGTGCTGGAATTACAGGTGTGAACCACCACGCCCAGCCAGGTGTTGTTATAATTATCCCAATCACTCAGGCCGGAAATCTCAGCGTCATCTTTGATATTTGATGTCTCCCTCTCCCTCGCCTCCAGCCATCAGTCTCCAAACCGGTCGCCTCATCCCTCCTGCATCTCTTCCATCCTCAAGTGTCTCCTCCTCACTTGTCTTGCTCTCCCAGAGACCAGGTTATCATGGCATCATGTCTAGACTGCTCTCTGAGATAGATCTGCCTCCAGGCTTTACCCTGTCTAACCCATCTTGCACACAGTCCTGCCAGATTAATTGCTTCAAAACGCCACTTTTACCAAGCCAATGCCATTTGCAAAATCCTTCAATGACTCCTCATTCCTAGGGAATTGGGGCTTTTCCAGTCTGATTTCAACAACCTGCAGGGCCTGGTGGCTCATGCCTGAAATTCCCACACTTTGGGAGGCCAAGGCGGGCAGATCACCTAAGGTCAGCAGTTCAGGACCAGCCTGGGCAACACAGCAAAACCCTGTCTCTACTAAAAAAATACAAAAATTAGCCAGGTCTGGTGGCACATACCTGTAATCCCAGCTATTCAGGAGGCTGAGACAGGAGAATCACTTGAACCCAGGAGGCAGAGGTTGCAGTGAGCTGAGATTGAGCCACTGCACTCCAGCCTGGGCAATAAAGCGAGACTCTGTCTCAAAAAATAAAATTAAAAATAAAAATAAAAACAACCGGCAGGGCGTGGTGGCTCACGCCTGTAATCCCAGCACTTTGGGAGGCCGAGGTAGGCAGATCACGAGGTCAGGAGATCGACACCATCCTGGCCAACATGGTGAAACCATGTCTCTACTAAAAATACAAAAATTAGCTGGTCGTGGCGGCGCGTGCCTTTAGTCCCAGCTACTTAGGAGGTTGAGGCAGGAGAATCATTTGAACCTGGGAGGCAGAGGTTGCAGTGAGCGGAGATTGCACCACTGTACTCCAGCCTGGCGACAAAGCGAGACTCTGTCTCAAAAAAATAAAAATAAAAATAAATAAATAAAAATAAAAACAACCTTTGTCAACTTTAATTCTGTGAGAAGAGTCTTCCTCTAGCCAGCTGGTGTACGTATATACTTCCTGAACAAACCGCTTAGTGTGCTCACCATTCCCGTGTGTTTCCCCCAGGCTTGGAATGGTCTTCCTCGTGTCTCTCTCCCTATCTCAATTGTATTTACCCTTCAAGACTCAGTGCTAACCCCAACTTCACACCAGTTCACGATTCATTGCTCAGAACTCCTGTAGAATTCACTGCCTATAACATACACATTTATTTCATATATATATGTTTCATTTTTTTGTAGAGATGGGGTCTCGCTATGTTGCCCAGGCTGGTCTCAAACTCCCAGCCTTGCACAAGACCTCCTGAGTATCCCAGTGTGCTGGAATTACAGGGATGAACCGCTGCACCTGGCCTTTTTTTTTCTTTCTTTTTTGAGGCAGGGTCTCACTCTGCTGCCCAGGCTGAGTGCAGTGGCACAATCATGGCTCACTGCAGCCTCAACCTCCCAGGCTCACGGGATCCTACCACCTAAGCCTCCTGAGTAGCTGGGACTACAGGCACACACCACCATGCGCAGCCAATTTTTTATTTTTTGTAGACATGGGGTCTCACTATGTTGCCAGGCTGGTCTCGAACTCCTGGACCCCAGCCTCGGCCTCCCAAAGAGCTGGGATTACAGGTGTGAGCCACCACACCTGGCCTATTTCTTTTTTATTTTTCTTCCAAACACCAACTCAAACTAGAACACACACATACATTTCTTGCTCACATATCATCTTGCAACATCTCTGTTTTTGTTTTTTGTTTGTTTGATTTTTTGAGACAGAGTCTTGCTCTGTCACCCAGGCTGGAGAGCAGTGGCACAATCTTGGCTCACTACAACCTCTACCTTCCGGGTTCAAGCGATTCTCCTGCCTCAGCCTCCTGAGTAGCTGGGATTACAGGCATGCACCACCATGACAAGCTAATTTTTGTATTTTTGTAGAGACAGGGTTTCACCATGTTGGCCAGGCTGGTCTTGAACTCCTGACCTCAGGTGATCTGCCCGCCTTGGCCTCCCAAAGTGCTGGGATTACAGGTGTGAGCCACCATGCCTGGCCATCTCTGCTTTACCATAGTGATAAGAATGTAGGCACTGGAGAATAAAAAGGGAAAAAAGAAGGTGGAGTCTGGAATCAGATTCCCTGAGGTCAAATCCTGGCTTTGCCACTTATTCCCTGTATGACCTTGAGTAAGTCACCTAACTTCTCTGTGCCTCATCCATAAGATGGGGATACTAATATTATTTACCTTATAGGGTTTAATGTGATGATTAAATGATTTAATACACAAAGTACTTATAAACATACAATTACCATGTGATCCAGCAATTCTGCTTTTGTGTATATACCCAAAAGAACTGAAAGCAGGCTGGGCGTGGTGGCTCACGCCTGTAATCCCAACACTTTGGGAGGCCGAGGCAGGTGGATCACTTGAGGTCAGGAGTTCGAGACCAGCCTGGCCAGCATGGTGAAACCCCATCTCTACTAAAAATACAAAAGAATTAGCTGGGCGTGGTGGTGCACACCTGTAATCCCAGCTACTAGGAGGCTAAGGCAGGAGAATCATTTGAACCCGGGAGGCAGAGGTTGCAGTGAGCCCAGATTGTGCCACTGCACTCCAGCCTGGTTGACAAAGAGAGACTCTGTCTCAAAAAAAAAAAGAAAAAAAAATAACTGAAAGCAAAGATTCAAACAGATGTGAATATACCAATAATCACAGCAGCATTATTCACAAAAACCAAAAGTGGGAACAACCCAAATGTCTATCAGCTGATGAATGGATGAACAAAATTAGGTGTGTACCTACAATGGAATACTATTTAGCCTTGAAAAGGAATGAAATTCTGATGCATGCTATCACACATAAGAGACTTGAACACAGTATGCTACCTAAGACAGATGCAAAGTAAAAATATTGTCTGATGCCACTTATATGAGGTACCTAGAATAGGTAAATTCATAGAAACAGAAAGTAGAATAGAGGTGGCCGGGTGCGGTGGCTCACGCCTGTAATCCCAGCACTTTGGGAGGCCGAGGTGGGCAGATCTTGAGGTCAGGAGATAGAGACCATCCTGGCTAACACGATGAAACCCTGTCTCTACTAAAAATACAAAAAATTAGCCAGGCTGAATGCACCTGGCTGAATGTGTTCATTTTCATCTCCCTGGGAAGGTAACCATCTGAGTTCTGAGATGTGCCACAGGTATCCTCTGTCTACAGTCTTTCTTTTGAGACAGAGTCTCTCTCTGTTGCCCAGGTTGGAATGCAATGGCACAATCTCGTCTCACTACAACTTCCACCTCCCAGGTTCAAGCGATTCTCCCGCCTCAACCTCCCTCACAAGTAGCTGGGATTACAGGCATGCGCCACCATGCCCAACTAATTTTTTTTTTTTTTTTTTGAGATGGAGTCTCGCTCTGTCGCCCAGGCTGGAGTGCAGTGGCGCGATCTCAGCTCACTGCAAGCTCTGCCTCCCGGGTTCATGCCGTTCTCCTGCCTCAGCCTCCCAAGTAGCTGGGACTACAGGCGCCCACCACTGTGCCTGGCTAATTTGGTTGTATTTTTAGTAGAGACGGGGTTTCACCATGTTGGTCAGGTTGGTCTCGATCTCCTGACCTCAGGTGATCCACCTGCCTCGCTCAGCCTCCCAAAGTGCTGGGATTACAGGCTTGAGCCACTGCACCTGGCTAGAGTCTCCCTTTTTTTTTTTTTTTTTTTTTTTTTGAGATGGTGTCTCAGTCTGTCGCCCAGGCTGGAGTACAGTGGTGCGATCTCAGCTCATTGCAACCTCCGCCTCCCAGGTTCAAGCGATTCTCCTGCCTCAGCTTCTGGAGTAGCTGGGACTACAGGCGCACGCCACCAGCCCAGCTAATTTTTGTATTTTTAGTGGAGACGGGGTTTCACCATGTTGGTCAGGCTGGTCCCAAACTCCTGACCTCAGGTGATCCATCTGCCTCGGCCTCCCAAAGTGCTGGGATTACAAACGTGAGCCACAGCGCCCAGCCTACAGTCTTTCGTTACTGGTTTTAGTATCTATTATTACTTAGTGTATCATATTATCCGTTCATTCAACAAGTTTTTTGGTTTTTTTTTCCTGAGACACAGTCTCGCTCTGTCACCCAGGTGGAATGCAGTGATGCCATCATGGCTCACTGCAGCCTCAACCTCCTGGGCTCAAGTGATCCTCCAGTCTTAGCCTCCCAAGTAGCTGGGACTACAGGTGTATGCCACCATGCCTGCCTAATTTTTAAATTTTTAATAGAAATAGGGTTTTACTATGTCGCCCAGGCAGGTCTCAAACTCCTGGTTTCAAGCGATCCTCCTCCCTCAGCCGTGTGAGCCACTGTGCCTGGCCCATTTCTTAAGTACCTACTCTGGGTCAGCCATTGTGATAGGTGCTGGGGATACAACAGTAGGCAAAATGGATACCAGCCTACCTGGTACACATAGAGGGCATATAACCTAGTGTACAGAAGATGACCATAGGCTGAGGACGGTGGGTCCTGCCTATGATCCCAGCTACTCAAGAGGCTGAGGCCAGAGGATCATTTGAGCCCAGGAGTTTGAGGCTACACTGAGCTATGATCGTGTCATTGTTCTCCAGCCTGGGTAACAGAGCAAAACCCTGTCTCTTAAAGAAGACCATAAAGCAGAAAAATTCATTTTTCTTTCTTTTTTTTTTTTTTTGAAACGGAGTCTCGCGCCGTTGCCCAGGCTGGAGTGCAGTGGTGCAATCTTGGCTCACTGCAAGCTCCACCTCCCGAGTTCACACCATTCTCCTGCCTCCGCCTCCCGAGTAGCTGGGACCACAGGCGCCCGCCACCTCGCCTGGCTAATTTTTTGTATTTTTAGTAGAGATGGGGTTTTACCATGTTGGCCAGGATGGTCTCAATCTCTTGACCTCGTGATTCGCCCGCCTCAGCCTCCCAAAGTGCTGGGATTACAGGCGTGAGCCACCACACCCGGCTGAGAAATTCATTTTTCTAACAAACATGCAGGATCGAACTATCCAAAGGTGTACTCTCCTCCCAAAGTTGTGACTTTGAGAGCATGATACCCCGTACACGCACTTCTAACAAGGGTTTTGTTTGTTTTATTTTGTTTTGTAGCTTTTCTCATGAAATAGCTTTGAGAGCCCCTGGCACATTCTTTTAAATAACCTCAGTGGTGGCAAGGCCTTAAGTGGTTTATGGCAGCTCTGACTTTCAGAAATAGCTAAAAGGCATTCAGAGTTAAGTCTGGCAAATAATTCTCGTGATAAAGCTAGGTAATAACACTGCGGGTAAATAAATATACAAATAAGACTCTCCGGAGACTGATTCTTGTCTTGCTCAAGAAGTGTTTCTGGAAGCAATTCCAAAACCGGAGAGCCAAGAATGCTGCAGGCATAACAGCATCACCGTTGAGCTTCTGAGAGTGAAAAGGGCAGCAATTATCTGCCTGTGAAGCTCCACAGCGTGGCAGGGTTGTTTCACTCCACAACCTTCGAGCTTCTTTTATTTATTTATTTATTTATTTATTTTTAAATTTTTTGGTTTTTTGAGATGGTGTCTTGCTCTATCGCCCAGGCTAGACTGCAGTGGCCTGATCTTGGCTCACTGCAACCTCCACCTCCTGGGTTCACGCCATTCTCCTGCCTCAGCCTCCCGGATACCTGGGACTACAGGCACCCGCCACCGCGCCTGGCTAATTTTTGTATTTTTAGTAGAGACGGGGTTTCACTGTGTTAGTCAGGATGGTCTCGATCTCCTGACCTCATGATCCGCCCCCGCCTCGGCCTCCCAAAGTGCTGGGATTACAGGTGTGAGCCACTGCGCCCAGCCATTCAAGCCCCTTTTAAACTTGAGAGCCTATGGCTCTATTTGTGTATTAAAAAACAATCTCAGGCTGAGCACAGTGGCTCACACCTGTAATCCCAGCACTTTGGGAAGCTCAGGCGGGCAGATCACTTGAGGTCAGGAGTTCGAAACCAGCCTGGCCAACATGGCAAAACCCCGTCTCTACTAAAAATACAAAAATTAGCCGTGTGTGGTGGCACATGCCTGTAATCCCAGCTACTCGGGTGGCTGAGGCACAAGAATCGCTTGAACCTGGGAGGCAGAGGTTGCAGCGAGCCGAGAGCGTTTCACTGCACTTCAGCCTGGGCAATACAGTGAGACTCAGTCTCAAAACAAACAAACAAAAAAACCAAAATGAAACAAAAAAACACAATCTCATTACAGGGCAGTCATAACTCCTAGGAGAAGGAAAGGGCCTTAGGCAGCATCTTCCAACCCCCAGTCTGTGCCAGCCACATTTGAGGACAGGGCAGCGCCAGGGTGATGATGGCCCAGCTACAGGTGCCAGCATCTAGATGCAGGTGCCAGCTCTGTCCCTCACGAGCTGGGACCGATGGCATGTTACTTAGCCTCTCTGTGCCTCAAAATCTTCTTCTTTAGAACGGGAAGTATAATGGCGACCACCTTGTACCCACTCCATAAGAGAGGGGTGAAAATTAGATAAGTCAAGACATTGTAGGGCATGGAGAACAGAGCATGGCACACGGTTGGCAAATGAGTATTTTTCCAAACAGATTTTTGGTTCTTCAGAAGCAGGGGCCATGTTTGCACTTTCGTTTGGTATGGGACCGGGCATAAAACTCAACATGACATGCTCAATAAAAATGTATTCCAGCCGGGCGCGGTGGCTCACGCCTGTAATCCTAGCACTTTGGGAGGCCGAGACGGGTGGATCACAAGGTCAGGAGTTCAAGACCAGCCTGGCTGACATGGTGAAATCCCATTTCTACTAAAAATACCAAAATTAGCCAGGCTTGGTGGCATGCGCCTGTAATCCCAGCTACTCGGGAGGCTGAGGCAGGAGAATTGCTTAAACCTGGGAGGCGGAGGTTGTGGTGAGCAGAGATCGCGCCACTACACTCCAGCCTGGGTGACAGAGCAAGACTGCCTCAAAAAAAAAAAAAAAAAAGTATTCCACAGCTACTTGGGAGGCTGAGGTAGGAGGATTGCTTAAGCCTGGGCTGTTGATGCTGCAGTGAGTCGTGATTATGCCACTGCACTCCAGCCTGGGCAACAGACTGAGACCCTGTCTCAAAAAGAGAGAAAAAAAAAATTATTTCAGGGCTGGGCACAGTGGCTCATACCTGTAATCCCAGCACTTTGGGAGGCCATGGCAGGAGGATTGCTTGAGCCAGGAGTTTGAGATCAGCCTGAGCAACATAGTAAGACCCTGTCTCTAAAAAAGGAAAAAATTAGGCCAGGCTCAGTGGCTCATGTCAGTAATCCCAGCACTTTGGGAGGCCGAGGCAGGTGGATCACTTGAGGTCAGGAGTTTGAGACCAGCCTGGCCAACACTGTAAAACTCCATCTCTACTAAAATACAAAAAATAGCCGGGTGTGGTGGCGGGCACCTGTAATCTCAGTTACTCGGGAGACTGAGGCAGGAGAATTGCTTGAACCAGGAAGGCGGAGGTTGCAATGAGCCAAGATTGCACCACTGCATTCCAGCCTTGTCGACAGAGCGAGACTCCCTCTCAAAAAAAAAAAAAAAAAAAAATTATTCCAGAATAAAGCCCACATCCTCCAACACCCCCAAGAGCTCTGTGTCCTGGTACTCGCGTCTGCTTAGACACCAGCTCCTTGCCTTCCTCTTGGGGACTTTCACTGTGATCATGTCTCCCCTTGGGCTTTGGTTCCCCACAGTACAAGACTCAGAGGCAGTTCCCTTTCTGGCAGGTGGGCAGCAGCGGGGTGTGCGAAGTCAGCTGAGCAAGAGGGGCACAGGAAACACAGGGCCCTCTGTCTTAAGTTCTCACTTCAGCCGTTTCATGGGGACCATATTCTCGTGATTTAAAATAGAGCCCTCCTGGTGGCCAGGGCAAGCTTGCAAGGCACACCGCAGCCTAGCTGGCCCAATGTGGCAGTGGGGCTGAATCTCCCAGCCCGCCAGCCTGCCTGCTTGTCTGGCTGCTCTGGAGAAGAGTGGCTTTGTTTTGGGGTCAGGTGCTGGCTACCGGAAGCTGCAGGAGCTGCGAGGAGCAGTGCTTGAGAGAAGGCTGTCATTCCCTGGAGCACCAACTCCTCAGAGGCCTCTCCATCACTGGGGAGACCTCAGGATCCCCAACTAGCTGGCTTCTCACTGGCTTGATTCTATTTTTAGACACTGTGGTAGGTTGGATGATCTCCAGTCCTGAACATGCTCCCAAGGCACCAGCAGAATTTTCAGCACCTCAGGGATATGTTTGTCTCTTCCCCAGAACTGACCAAAGAGCAGAAAACCAAAAGGTTACAGTAAGGGGCAGAAGGTCAATGTTCAGCTGCCTCTCACAAGGGCAGGTCTTGGCCAGAGATGAATGGTGGCTTTTCATGGATGATCTGGTCCAAACCCAGCCCACTGTGCCTAAGCAGAGATGTGATCACAGTCCTCCCAAGCCTTCTGCCCCTCCAGGGCCCAGTTCAAGGCCTCTCATAGTCTCATAGCCCTAGGATTTTTGTTTTTGTTTTTGTTTTTTTTTTGAGACAGAGTCTCGCTCTGTCACCCAGGCTGGAATGCAGTGGTGCGATCTTGGCTCACTGCAACCTCTGCCTCCTGGGTTCAAGCAATTCTCCTGCCTCAGCCTCCTGAGTAGCTGGGATTACAGGCACGTGCCACCATGCCCGGTTAATTTTTTGTATTTTTAGTGGAGATGGGGTTTCACCATGCTGGCCAGGCTGGTCTTGAACTCCTGACCTTGTGATCCGCCCGCCTCGGTCTCCCAAAGTGCTGGGATTACAGGCATGAGCCACCGCACCTGGCCGGAATTTTTTTTTTTTTTTTAAGATATGGAGGTGGGGAGTGTAGGGGCACTGGTCTCAAACTCCTGGGCTCAAGTGACCCTCAGCCTGTCTCCCAAGTAGCTGGGACTATAGATGTGCGTCACCGTGCCCAGAGTCTTAGGATTGATCACAGCTGAATGCTTCCCTTTCCAGCCTTCCTCAGACTCCTCCAGCAGGTCCTCCACACGCAAGTGGGCATCAATGTCACCAGGGTGGTTTGTTATAAACAGATGCAGATGCCTGGGCCCCACTTTAAACTCATTAAATCAGAGTCTGTAGGGTGGAGCCAGGCGTCTGAATTCTTTAACAGGGCTCGGGGTGATTCTGATTCACACCAAACTCTGAGAGTCAAAGCCCTAATCAGTCATGTTCTCTTTGATCTTCACTTCCTTGATTGAGACTAGAAACCCCCGAGGCTTGGATTGGGGCCAACATCATTTCTGCCTCTCTAAAAAATAGTTTCTGTTGAAATTATGCAGATACCAGATCTGCAAAATGAAGGAGTTTCTATTTGCCTGGGGATTGGCATTTCCCACACATCAGATTCTGCTTTTTAAATATAAAATGTGGGCTGGGCATGGTGGCTCACCCCTGTAATCCCGGTACTTTGGGAGGCAGAGGCCGGCGGATCACTTGAGGTCAAGAGTTCGAGACCAGCCTGGCCAACATGGTGAAACCCCGTCTCTACTAAAAATACAAAAAATTAGCTGGGTGTGGTGGCACATGCCTGTAGTCCCAGCGACTAGGGAGGCTGAAGCATGAGAATTGCTTGAACCTGGGAGGCTGAGGGCAGTGAACCAGGATCACGCCACTGCACTCCAGCCTGGGCAACACAGTGAGACTCCATCTCAAAAAATATATATATCTATATATGTATATATATATGCATATATATAAAATAAGAAGGGTCACTGGCCAGGCGCAGTGGATCATGCCTGTAGTCCCATCACTTTGGGAGGCTGAGGCAGGTAGATCGCTTGAGCTCAGGGGTTCAAGACCAGCCTGGGCAACATGGCAAAACCCTATCTCTACAAAAAAATATAAAAACCAGCTGGGTGTGGTGGTAGGTGCCTGTAGTCCTAGCTACTTGGGGGGCTGAGATGGGAGGCTCACTTGAGCCTGGGAGTTTGAGGCTGCAGTGACCTACTATTGCACCACTGCACTCCAGCCTGGACATCAGAGTGAGGCCCTGTCTCTAAAAAAAAAAAAAAAAAAAAAAAAAAGGCCAGGTTTGTTGGCTCATGACTGTAATCCTGGCACTTTGGAAGGCCAAGGTGGGAGGACTGCTTAAGCCCAGGAGTTCAAGACCAGCCTGGGCAGTATAGCAACACCCCATCTCTAATTTTTAAAATTAAATTTATTATTATTTTTTTGAGATGGAGTCTCACTCTGTCGCCCAGGCTGGAGTGCAATGGTGCAATCTCTGCTCACTGCAACCTCCGCCCCAGGGATTCAAGCGATTCTCCCACCTCAGCCTCCTGAGTAGCTGGGATTATAGGCACCCACCACCACGCCCGGCTAATTTTTGTATTTTTGTAGGGACAAGGTTTCACCAAGTAATACAAAAACTACTTGGGTGTGGTGGCAGGCGCCTGTAATCAAAGGTACTCGGAGGCTGAGGCAGAATTGCTTGAACCCTGGAGGCAGAGATTGCAGTGAGCGGAGATTGCGCCACTGCACTCCAGCCTGGGTGACAGAGTGAGATTATGTCTCAAAAAACGAACGAGTTATATGTGTGTGTGTGTGTGTGTGTGTGTGTGTGTATATATATATATAGAGAGAGAGAGAGAGAGAGAGAGAGAAAGGGAGGGAGGAAGGAAAGGAGGGGAACTGCTCTATCCCTCCCCTGACAAGACCTTCCCTTCCCCATCCTTCCTCGCCTCTCCCTGCTCTCTGCCTCAGTCCCAACCGGAAAAATGGGACTTAATGAAGATTGTTGGTTCCTTCCACATGCTTGAGCCATTACCAGGGGTGCACACCAGTCTGGCTGCTGCCCTAAGGATGTCAACAAGAGCAGGAAGCCCTGGACCAACCAGGCAGGCATTCTCTTCCCAGAACGATGGGAAAACTCCAAATGGAAGCCCATGACAGCCTCCACCTGGCAATCCTCATTCAACCCCAAACTCAGGCCCTCAATCCCCCTGTACAGCCTGTGTTCCACAGGTTGTCATGGGGAGGGCGCTAGGTGAAAATACTATATAAACTGCATGCTTTTTATTTATTTTTTTTTTTCAGACAGAGTTTTGCTCTTGTTGCCCATGCTGGAGGACAGTGGCACAATCTCGGCTCACTGCAACCTCCACCTCCTGGGTTCAAGTGATTCTCCTGCCTCAGCCTCCCGAGTAGCTGGGACTACAGGCGTGCCCCACCGTGCCCAGCTAATTTTGTATTTTTAGTAGAGAGAGAGTTTCACTATGTTGGTCAGGCTGGTCTGAAACTCCTGACCTGAAGTGATCCACCCATCTTGGCTTCCCAAAGTGCTGGGATTACAGGCGTGAGCCACTGCGCCTGGCCATAAACTGCATGCTTTTTGCGAGTGGTTCTTCTGTCCAGCCCTTTGACCCTGAACTCTCTTCCCCATATGTAGCCCCCAGTAAAACCCTATGTCTCCTTTGCTGGCTCTGGGTCTCTTCTTTGGCCTCTTGAACCTGGTGCCTTTCCCATGGGAGTCAATGGGGGTTTGATACAACAACATCACCTCAAACATTTATCATTTCTTTGTGTTGAGTATGTTCAAAATCTACTCTTCTAGTTGTTTGAAAATATAATAGGTACAGCCGGGCACAGTGGCTCACGCCTACAATCCCAGCACTTTGGGAGGCCGAGGCGGGCGGATCACAAGATCAGGAGATTGAGGCCATCTCAATCTCAATCAGGAGACTGAGGGTCCAAACAGACCCTCTGGCTAACACGGTGAAACCCCATCTCTACTAAAAATACAAAAAAAAAAATTAGCTGGGCGTGGTGGCGGGCACCTGTAGTCCCAGCTACTCGGGAGGCTGAGGCAGGAGAATGGCATGAACCCAGAGGGCGGCGCTTGCAGTGAGCCGAGATGGTGCCACTGCATTCCATCCTGGGTGAGAGAGCAAGACTTCATCTCAAAAACAAAAAAAAAAGAAAAAGAAAATATACAATAGGTCAGGCACGATGGCTCTCACCTGTAATACCAGAACATTGGTAGGCCAAAGCGGGAAGATCACTTGAGCCCAGGAGATTAAGACTGCAGTGAGTCATGATGGCATTACTACACTGCAGCCTGGGCAACAGAGCGAGACCCTGACTCAGAAAAAAAAAAAAGAAAGAAAGAAAACATACAATAAATTGGTGTTAGGCCAGGCGCAGTGGCTCACACCTGTAATCTCAGCACTTTGGGTGGCCGAGGCGGGTAGATCACCGGAAGTCAGGAGTTCGAGACCAGCCTGGCCAACATGCACTCCAGTCTGGGCGACAAGAGCAAAACTCCATCTCAAAAAATAAAAAAAAATTGGTGTTAAATACAGTCACCCATCAGTGCTATAGAACACTAGAACCTATTCCTCCTACCTAGCTGTGCTTTTGTATCTGTTAACAAACCTTTGGCTAACTCTCCTCCCCAACTATTCTACTCTCTACTTCTAGAGAGAATCGACTTTTTCAGTTCCCACATAAGAACATGCAATATTTATCTTTTTGTGCCTGACTTATTTCACTTAACATCATGTCCTCCAAGCTCATTCATGTTGCCACAAATGGCAGAATTGTTTTCTTTTTAATTGCTAAATAGCATTCCATCATGTATATATATACGCCTTATTTTCTTTATCCACTGATGGACACTAAGGTTGATTTTATATCTTGGCTATTGTGAATAGTACCGCAGTAAACATGGGGATGCAGAATCCTTTTGACATGCTTATTTCCTTTAGTTTGGATATATAACTGGTAGTGGGATTGCTAGATCATATGGTAGTTCTATTTTGGGAAATCTCCATACTGTTTTCCAGTATGGCTGTACTGATTTACATTCCTACCAATAATATATAAGAGCTCCCCTTTCTCTGCATCCTCACCAGCATTTGTTATTTTTTTGCTTTTTGATAACCATTCTAACTAGGACAAAATGGTATCTCAGCCGGACGTGGTGGCTCATGCCTGTAATCCCAACACTTTGGGAAGCTGAAGCAGGTGGATCACCTGAGGTGAGGAGTTTGAGACCAGCCTGGCCAACATGGCGAAAAACCATCTTTACTAAAAATACAAAAATTAGCCGGGTGTGGTGGCAGGAGCCTGTAATCCCAGCTACTCAGGAGGCTGAGGCAGGAGAATTTCTTGAACCCAGGAGGTGGAGGTTGCAGTTAGCCGAGATCGTGCCACTGCACTGCAGCCTGGGTGACACAGCGAGACTCCATCTCAAAAAAAAAAAAAAAAAAAAAGATATCTCATTGTGGTTTTGATTCGCATTTCCCAGAATATTAGTGATCACGATTTTTTCATATACCTGTTGGCCATTTGTGTGTCTTCTTTTGAGAGATGTCTATTTAGCTAATTTTCCATTTTCTTTTCTTTTTTAAAAACAGAGACAGGAAGGCTGGGTGCAGTGGCTCATGCTTGTAATCTGAACACTTTGGGAGGCCGAGGCAGGCGGATCACCTGAGGTCAGGAGTTCGAGACCAGTCTGACCAACATGGTGAAATGCTGTCTCTACTGAAAATACAAAATTAGCCAGGTGTGGTGGCGCATGCCTGTAATCCCAGCTACTCAGGAGGCTGAGGCAGGAAAATCGCTTGAACCCAGGAAGTGGAGGTTGCAGTGAGCTGAGATCATGCCACTGCAATCCAGCCTGAGTGACAAGAGCAAAACTCCATCTCAAAACAAACAAACAAACAAAAATAGAGACGACAGGATCTTGCCACATTGCCCAGGCTGGTCTCAAACTCCTGATCTCAAGTGATCCTCCTGCCTTGGTCTCCTAACGTGCTGAGATTACAGGTGTGAATCACCCTGCCTAGCCCTATTCTGGATATTAATCCCTTGTTGGATAAGTAGTTTGCAAATATTTTCTCTCATTCTGCAGGTTGTCTCTTTACTCTGTTATTTCCTTTGCTATACAGAAGTTTTTTGGTTTGATATAATCTCATTTGTCTATTAAAATATGCATTTATATTTTCATTATGAAAGTAGTAAAAAATAGAGCAAAAAAGGTAAATTTCACTGGTACATGGGTACAATCACTTCTAAAAAATAACTTTACCTAGTCAACTTGAACATGTTCATATCCTGGAATCCAGCAATTCCAGTCCTAGGTATACATCCAGAGAAACTAATATACACTCGCACCAGACCATGTATATAGGAACAGTCATGATCACATTGTTCCTAGGAGCAAAAAATTGGCAATGATCCAAATTCCACCCAAAACAATACTGGCCAGACATGGTGACTCACACCTGTAATCCGAGCACTTTGGGAGGCCGAGGTGGATGGATCACCTGAGGTCAGGAGTTCGAAATCAGCCTGGCCAACATGGCGAAACCCCACCTCTACTAAAAATACAAAAAATTAGCTGGGCATGTTGGTGCACGCCTGTAGTCCCAGCTATTCGGCAGGCTGAGGTGGGAGAATCGCTTAAATCCAGGAGGCAGAGGTTGCAGTGAGCCGAGATTGCACCACTGCACTCCAGCCTAGGATACAAGAGCAAAACTCCGTCTCAAAAAAAAAAAAAAGAATAAAAGAAAAAGAAAAATCTCCAAACACAATATGCTCAACACCTCATCCCACATTTTCCTCTCAAGGCTGCTCCTTCTCCACTGTGTCCCCTGTTCGTGTTCACAGCATCCCACCCTCCCACTCACCCAGGTTGGAAAGCCTCTTCCCTCTGCCTCACCCCAATCAGTTATCAAGTACCACGGATTCCACCTGGAGAATGTCTTGCAAGACTCTCTCCTGCCAGCCTGATTCAGATTGTATTTACCTCTTGCCTGAATCTCAGCTGTGATAGCAGCTAACTGACACTTTTTCCTCCAAGCTCCCCTCTGATCTAACCTTTACCCTACTACCAAGCTTATGATCTTTCTAGAGATGGGGTTTGGAGATTTCTAACAGACAGTTGGAAATGTGGACCTAGAGCTCAGGAGAGAAGTCTTTCCCTTCATCCTCTGCCCTACTTTAGTCTCTCAAACATGTTCAGTAAAGATGCTATAACTTTTTTTTTTTTTTTTTTTTTTTAGACAGGGTCTAATTCTGTCACCCAGGCTGGAGTGCAGTGGCACCGTCTCAGCTGACAGCAACCTCTACCTCCTAGGCTCAAGTAATCCTCCCACTCAGCCTCCCAAGTAGCTGGGACTATAGGCGCATGCCACTACACCAAGCTAATTTTTGTATCTTTTTAGAGACAGGGTTTCGCCATGTTGGCCACACTGGTCTCGAACCCCTGGGCTCAAGTGATCCGCCTGCCTTAGCCTCCCAAAGTGCTGGGATTACAGGCGTGAGCCACCGTGCCCAGCCAAGATGCTGTAACCCAATTATCCTCTCAGTGTAACCAGGACTGGCTGCCTTGATGCCTTCCGGGGTTGTATCCCACTTTAGACTGATATCTGGACCTAGAACTGTGGTCTCTGCCCAGGTGGAATTATGATCCAGTATCCCTTATTTATTTTTTTTTTCAAAATCTACCCCAACATGGCCGGGCACGGTGGCTCATGCCTGTAATCCCAGCATATTGGGAGGCCGAGGCAAGTGGATCACCTGAGGTCGGGAGTTCGAGACCAGCCTGACCAACATGGTGAAACCCTGTCCCTACCAAAAATACAAAAATTAGCCGGGCGTGGTGGCACATGCCTGTGATCCCAGCTACTTGGGAGGCTGAGGTAGGAGAATCACTTAAACCAGGGAGGCAGAGGTTGCAGTGAACAGCAACTCCGTCTCAAAAAAAAAAAAAAAAAAAAAAAAAATTAGCAGGTGTGGTAACTGACCTGTAGTTCTACCTACTCGGAGGCTGAGGCAAGAGGATCACTTGAGCCCAGGAGTTTGAAGCTGTAGTGAGCTATGATTGTGCCACTGCACTCCAGCCTAGGCAATGAGCAATACTCTAAATCAAAAAATAATAAAAATAAAAATGAATGGCTGGGCATAGTGGCTCACGCCTGTAATCCCAGCACTTTGGGAGGCTGAGGTGGGTGGATTACAAGGTCAGGAGTTTGAGACCAGCCTGACCAACATGGTGAAAATCCATCTCTACTAAAAATACAAAAATTAGCCAGACGTGGTGGTGCATGCCTATAATCCCAGCTACTCCGGAGGCTGAGGCAGGAGAATAGCTTGAACCCGGGAGATGGAGGTTACAGTGAGCCGAGATCGTGCCATTGCACTCCAGCCTGGGCAATAAGAGCAAGACTCCGTTTCAAAAAAAAAAAAAAAAAATCTACCCCCGTCTTTGAGTCTTTTCTGCTCAATCAACTTATGGTACTTACTCATAACATCCCAAATTACCCGAGTGACTCTTCTTTCTGTGACCATTTCATTTCCTTCAGTAAGATTCCTGAACCCGAAGTGAGGAGCTCTTCCTTTTGACCAGTAAATCTCTCTCAGCCCTCCAGAGAAAGGAAAATGAAGGAGCAGGTGTAGAAGATAGATGTGGGGGTGGCTGGGACTCTAATTTACTCTTCCTCCAGCTGCTCTTGAAGCTTGCAGGTGCCTCCCTCTTGCCTCTCTGAAATCCACCATGAAGATGTCTCTGCTTGGGCAGAAGTTCCACCGTGACTGACTTTATTCTCCCACCTCCTCCGCCCCCGTGGAATTCTCTCTCTCACACACACATACCTGGACCTGAAAGGAGGCTCTAGCAGCTTTTAAATCAGGTTCTCCAGACAAGCTGGGAGACGGAAAGGAGCATTGCTCCACCCACATGCCAGGCCAGCTGTTTAGTCCTAGGGCACCCGCTGCTCCCACCTTTGTGCCTCCCTGTGGAAGAGGTATCCTCCTGACCTCCCTCTCCTCCCCTCTCCTCATGCCTTCTCTGAGCTCCTTCTGGGCCAGTCATGCTGGCTCACACCTGTAATCCCAACACTTTGGGAGGCCAAGGTGGGAGGATCACTTGGGGCCAGGAGTTCAAGACCAGCCTGGGCAACATAGCAGGACCTTGTCTCTACAAAAAAATTTAAAAATTAGCCAGGTGAGGTCCAGGTATGGTGGCTCATGCCTGTAATCCCAGCACTTTGGGAGGCCGAGGTGGGTGGATCACCTGGGCTCAGGAGTTTGAGACCAGCCTGGCCAACATGGTGAAACCCCATCTCTACTAAAAATACAAAAATTAGGCAGGTGTGGTGGTACACGCCTGTGATCCCAACTACTCGGGAGGCTGAGGCAGGAGAATTGCTTGAACCTGGGAGGCAGAGGTTGCAGTGAGCCGAGATCACGCCATTGTACTTCAGCCTGGGTGACAAGAGTGAAACTGCGTCTCAAAAAAAAAAAAAATTAGCCAGGTGTCATGACGTGCACCTGTAGTCCCAGCTGCTCGGGAGGCTGAGGTGGAAAGATTGCTTAAAGCTGGCTGCAGTGAGCCATGATCACACCACTGTACTTCAGCCTGGGCAATAGAGGGAGACCCTGTCTCAAAACTTAAAATAAAATAAAGAAATAAAGCTCCTTCCATCCTTACAGTTCCATCTTTCTTTTTTTCTTTTTTCTTTTTTTCAAGACAGAATCTTGCTCTGTCCCCCGGGCTGGAGTGCAGTGACACGATCTTGGCTCACTGCAACCTTTGCCTCCCAGGTTCAAGTGATTCTTCTGCCTTAGCCTCCGGAGTAGCTGGGATTACAGATACACGCCCACCACTCCCAGCTAATTTTTGTATTTTCAGTAGAGACAGGGTTTTACCACGTTGGCCAGGCTGGTCTCAAAGTCCTGACCTCAAGTGATCACCCTACCTCGGCCTCCCAAAGTGCTGGGATTATAGGCATAAGCCACCACGCCCAGCGACAGCTCCATCTCACACAACTGATTCTGAGACTCAAGCTCTTAGATTGAGCATGGGAGGAGAACAAAGTTGCAAATATTTCCACTTTAACATTTTTGACCCTGTCGCATTCCATTTCAGAGTTTTATGTCATCTCTGTATATGTTTCTAAAACCATATATTGACCTTTAATTAAATTAAAAAATACATTTCAAGAGCTGAGTACATAGTTATCTTAATGGGAATCTTGGCATCAAGTGAATGGAGGCCTGGATCACGGCCTTGTTCACCTTTGCTGAGTTAGGGGTGGCTTGATGGGAGCAGCCTGAAGTGAAAAGATGTAGGCTCAGTCCCTAATTGCCTGTGTCACTCACAGCATGTGATGGGCAATTCACTTTCTCTCTCATCTAAAACATTAGGATTGATAACACCTGTTCTGCCTTTTTCACAGGATTCCTGTGAAAATTAAATATGGAAACCTTTGTAAAAGTCCCTTGTAGGCCAGGCAGGGTGGCTCATGCCTGTAATCCCAGCTACTCGGGAGGCTGAGGCAGGAGAATCACTTGAACCTGGGAAGCGGAGGTTGTGGTGAGCCGAGATCGCACCACTGCTTGCCAGCCTGGGTGACAAGAGCGAAACTCTGTCTCAAAAAACAAAACAAAAACAAACAAACAAACAAAAAACCCTTTGCAAAGTGTGTAAAATCCTGTACAAAGGTGAGATACTGTGATCATCATCTAGGGCGCCAGCACTGGGAGATGGGGCTTCTACTGTTCGTATCTGTGTAGGATTCCATGGCCCTATGTGACTTAGCTGCCTGACTAGGACCAGAGAGTGTCTCCTTGCCTATTTTCTTTTCTTTCTTTTTTTTGATACGGAGTCTCGTTCTGTCGCCCAGGATGGAGTGCGGTGGTGCAATCTCGGCTCACTGCAACCTCTGCCTCCCGGATTCAAGCGATTCTCCTGCCTCAGCCTCCTGAGTAGCAGGACTACAGGCACCGCCACCACACCCAGCTAATTTTTGTGTTTTTAGTAGAGATGCGGTTTCACTATGTTGGCCAGGCTGGTCTCGACCTCCTGACCTCAAGTGATCCGCCCGCCTCAGCCTTACCCAGCCATCCTTGCCTATTTTCTCAGCTTGATAATGATCCAAAGCAGTACCAGCTTAGCTAGTGTTTGACTGAAGCGAGAGAGAGAGAGAGAGAGAGAGAGAGAGAGAGAGAGAATGAATCAGAGAGAAGTGTGCAGACTTTGGTTTTAGGATTGGGATTTTGCAGGGTGGGTGTCAGAGGACTTGTATGATCAGTGCCTTACTTACCCTTCATTCAACAAAGAATGACTGTCAGGGGTTTGGTCTGAGCTCATGGAGAGAGGAGAGAAGGAAGATGAGAGAGGAGCATATTTGAGGGGGTGTCTACAGTTTTAATTTGACCACAGTTAAGTTTGAAATACTTATTAGAAATGCATGGGAAAGGCCGGACATGGTGGCTCATGCCTGTAATCCTACCACTTTGGGAGGCTGAGGCAGGCGGATCACGAGGTCAGGAGATTGAGACCATCCTGGCTAACACGGTGAAACCCCGTCTCTACTAAAAATACAAAAAATTAGCCGGGCATGGTGGTGGGCGCCTGTAGTCCCAGTTACTCGGGAGGCTGAGGCAGGAGTATGGCGTGAACCTGGGAGGCGGAGCTTGCAGTGAGCCAAGATGGCGCAGCTGCACTCCAGCCTGAGCAACAGAGCAAGACTCCGTCTCAAAAAAAAAAAAAAAGGCCGGGCATGGTGGCTCATGTCTGTAATCCCAGCACTTTGGGAGGCCGAGGCGGGTGGATCACCTGAGGTCAGGAGTTCGAGACCAGCCTGGCCAACATGGTGAAACCCCATCTCTACAAAATATACAAAAATTAGCCGGGCATGATGGCAATGCCTGTAATCCCAGCTACTGGGGAGGGTGAGGTGGAAGAATCGCTTGAACCCGGGAGGTGGAAGTTGCAGTGAGCCAAGATCGTGCCATTGCACTCCAGCCTGGACGACAAGAGTGAAACTCCATCTCAAAAAAAAAAAAAAAAGAAATAGTAGAGAAATCTTTCCCAGAAGGCCTGCAGCCACCTCCTCTTCATGTTTCAGAGGTAAAAAAAAAAAAAAAAATGCACATTTCCATTCTTAAACAGATCTCTAGCAAGATAAAAAGATAATCATCATTGTCTTTAGCACGGATCTATGTGGGGGTGGGGGTGGGTGTGGGAGGGCAGGGGAGTCAGTTTCCCACACAAAATTGGAATCCCAGCACTTTGGGAGGTCGAGGCTGGCAGATCACAAGGTCAGGAGTTTGAGACCAGCCTGACCAACATGGTGAAACCCTGTCTCTACTAAAAATACAAAATTGGCCTGGTGAGGTGGTGTGCACCTGTAGTCCCTGTACTGTAATCCCTGCACCTGTAATCCCAGCTACTTGAGGGGCTGAGGCAGGAGAATCGCTTGAACCTGGGAGGCAGAGATTACAGTGAGCCAACATTGTGCCACTGCACTCCAGTCTGGATGACAGAGACTCTGACTCAAAAAAAAAGAAGAAATAAATAAAGAAAGAAATAAAAACAAAGAATAAAATAAAATAAAATGTTCTTGGGGCCAGGCGTGGTGGCTCACGCCTGTAATCCCAGCACTTTGGGAGGCCAAGATGAGTGGATCACAAGGTCAAGAGTTCGAGACCAGCCTGGCCAACATGGTGAAACCCCGTCTCTACTAAAAATACAAAAATTAGCCAAGCATGGTGGCATGCGCCTGTAATCCCAGTTAGGAGGAGGGTGAGACAGGAGAATTGCTTGAACCCAGGGGGGTGGAGATTGCAGTGAGCCAAGATTGCGCCACTGCACTCCAGCCTGGGTGACAGAACGAGACTCCGTCTCAAAATAATAATAATAATAATAACAATAATGTTCTTAGCTTTAATTAGAACCACCTCAAACCTACTCACCTGGATTGGAGGGAGGCCCAATATTAACTATTCCAAGGATGGGTTCCACTCCCTTGGATCATCACTAACCCTGGGCACCTAGACAGGATCCCATGGACTCCCAGTCTTTCAGCACTTAGAGGCCCTGGTTGGCTTTCCTGTGGCTGCTCTGCCAGACAGAGCTGCTGCTTCAAATGCTGGTCCCCACCATCTCTCTGGCCATGGACGTTCCAGAGGATCCTGCAGCCTCCTAGTCCAGCTCCCTGCTCGTAGCTTAAGGATTTCTTCCACGGAGGCTGCCACTTCAGCATCTCCACCCCTCCCCCAGGCCCCAAGGCCTCTACCAACCTAGTTCTTCTTCCCCGTCCTTGAGCCTCTCCTAGGGTCTGGCTGCTTTCTCATTTCCAACCCCTGAACATCCTACAGCTGTCCGAGACGATAAAATCTAATCTTGCTGATAGATTACACAAATGACTCCTCACCTCCTGTGATCACCTTCTAGAGGAAAAGGTTTCCCAGAAATCAGAATAAAGGCCTGTGTACCACACTGGGAGGGGAAAAATACCTTTCATTCCTCCTAAGGCATCCACAGAGGTAAAAACAAACACGAGCTGATTCTCAGTAGATTATTCTGCTACATATATCATGTATGCATTTACATCTCAGCCTAACAAACAAAAAAGAAATGAAAGAGAGGTTTCACCTGTGCTGTAACTATGCATGTTTCAGTCTTCCTGTCAGCCTTAGAAATAATTTAAGGGGCTAGATGCAGTGGCTCACGCCTGTAATCCCAGCACTTTGGGAGGCTGAGGCAGGCGGATCACCTGAGGTCAGGAGTTCAAGACCAGCCTGGCTAACATGGTGAAACCCTGTCTCTACTGAAAGACAAAAATTAGCTGGGCGTGGTGGTGGGCGCTTATAATCCCAGCTACTAGGGAGGCTGAGGGAGGCGAATTGCTTGAACCCGGGAGGCAGAGGTTGCAGTGAGCCGAGACCACACCACTGCACTCCAGCCTGGACGACAGAGTGAGACTCCTTCTAAAAAAAAAAAAAAAGAAATAATTTAAGGACAGATACTCCATATTACCAATCTTTGTATTCTCAAGGTGGGTGCTTAATAAATATTGGATGAATGAATGAATTGCCTGTCTAATTTAGAACCCTCAGTACAATATCGTATTTACTGGCCACTTTAGAGGCTTAACTGCCAATATCTCTGTCATTCTATTACCAACAGAGAGCTGCTGATTGTCAGAGCATGATAGCAGCTCATCCTCCTAGACATGGGGCAAGTTTGCATCAGGTGAAATGTTTGTACTGGAATTTTCTATCGTTTGTGTCCAAATCTCTGCTACTTGTGAAGATCAGTTCCATGATTAGTCAATAGACATGATGTTCTTGATTCCAGAAAGTTAATAGCCAAAGTGTCAATTATTTAGCAGATGCAAACTTATCTGAGTTGTTTTTTTTTTTTTTTTTTTTTTTTGGATGGAGTCTTGCTCTGTCACCCAGGCTGGAGTGCAGTGGCTCAATCTCGGCTCACTGCAAGCTCTGCCTCCGGGGTTCACGCCATTCTCCTGCCTCAGCCTCCCAAGTAGCTGGGACTACAGGCGCCCGCCACCACGCCCGGCTAATTTTTTTTGCATTTTTAGTAGAGACAGGGTTTCCCCATGTTAGCCAGGATGGTCTTAATCTCCTGACCTCGTGATCCACCCACCTTGGCCTCCCAAAGTGCTGGGATTACAGATGTGAGCCACCACACCAAGATTTTTTTTTTTTTTTTAAACAGGTTCTTACTCCGTCACACAGGCTGGAGCACAGTAGCATGATCACAGCTCACTGCAGCCTCAACCTCACAGGCTCAAGCAATCCTCCCACCTCAGCCTCCTGAGTAGCACCACCATGTCCAGCTGAGTTTTGTATTTTTTTTAAAGATAGGGTTTCACCATGTTGCCCAGGTTGGTCTCAAACCCCTGGGCTCAAGCAATCCTTCTGCTTCGGCCTCCCAAACTGCTGGAATTAGAGCATGAGCAACTGTGCCCAACCTGAGAAATTTTACACCCAAGAAGAGCCCTGGAAGAGCATTCATATGATTGGGTAGGTTTGTTTGTTTGTTTGTTTGTTTTGAGATGGAGTCTCACTTTGTCGCCCAGGCTGGAGTGCAGTGGTGCGATCTCAGCTCACTGCAACATCTGCCTCTTGGGTTCAAGCAATTCTCCTGCCTCAACCTCCTCAGTAGCTTGGATTACAGGTGCCCGCCACAATGCTCAGCTAATTTTTGTATTTTTAGTGGAGACAGGGGTTTCACCATGTTGGCCAGGTTGGTCTCGAACTCCTGACCTCAGATGATCCACCCACCTCGGCCTCACACAGTGCTAGGATTACAGGAGTGAGCCACAGTGTTGGGCAGGGTAGATTTTCTGTTTGTTCATTTACTTGTTTGTGTGTGTTGGGGTAGAGGGGTGGTTTTTGTTTTGCTTTGTTTTGTGTCTTGCTCCATCAAAACCCTGGCTTCAAGGTGTTAAAACTGACTAAATAATAAGCAGCTGAATCAACACTGGTCTTGAGACAGAGGTGCCATGAGATGAAATGTTTCCACCTGTGCTGAAAATAAACATTGTTAGCACAACTGAGCATACTGCAACTGGGTTTATTCCATTCCAGTGCACAGGGCCAAAGAGGTCTCCTTAGCACACTTAGCCCTTGTGACTCAAGATCTCCTTCTCTTTACCCAGAAAGAGAAGTAGCTTGGAAACACGCTCAGTTATCTCAGTAACAAACAAATTGCTATCCCTCAGTGAGAAAATTTAATTCTGTGATTTGTGTGTGAGCTCAAGAGACACCAATCAAAACCCTGAAGGGTTTAAGAGAAAGATCTAACAACCAACACTCATTTCTAGAAAACAAGGTGTACCACACAAATTTATAGATTTTTTTTTCTCTATTTAATTACTGATCTTGTAAGTAGCTGGAATGCAGTGGGAAGCAAACCCCTGGACTATAATAAAAAATATTCCTGCCCGGCGTGGTGGCTCATGCCTGTAATCCCAGCACTTTGGGAGGCTGAGGCGGGTGGATCACAAGGTCGGGAGATCGAGACTATCCTGGCTAACATTGTGAAACCCTGTCTCTACTAAAAATACAAAAAATTAGCCGGGCATGGTGGCAGGTGCCTGTAGTCCCAGCTACTCAGGAGGCTGAGGCAGGAGAATGGCATGAACCCAGAAGGCGGAGCTTGCAGTGAGCCGAGATCGCGCCACTGCACTCCAGCCTGGGAGACAGAATGAGACTCCATCTCAAAAAAAAAACAAACAAAAAAAAAAAACAAAAAAAAAATTCCAGACCAGGTGAGGTGGCTCACGCCTGTAATCCTAGCACTTTGGGAGGCTGAGGCAGGCAGATCACAAGGTCAGGATTTCGAGACCAGCCTGGCCAACATAGTAAAACCCTGTCTCTACTAAAAATACAAAAATTAGCCAGGCATGGTGGCATGTGCTTGTAGTCCCAGCTACTCTGGAGGCTGAGGCAGGAGAATCGCTTGAACCTGGGAGGTGGAGATTGTAGTGAGCCGAGATTGCACCACTGCACTCCAGCCTGGGGGACAGAGTGTGACTCTGTCTCAAAAGCAAAAAGAAAACAATAGAAAAGGAGGTGAGGCACCCTATCTAAGCACTGATTACATCTTTACTGAGCACTTGACTGTACACTCCAGTGACTCTGCTGGGCCTTAGGAATACATCGTAAGAGAGGTCTGGTTTTCACACTTGTAGAGCTCCCAGTACCATCAGAGACATTAATCAACCGACTACACAAAGACAACTGAACTTTAACATTCCTTTTTTTTTTCTTCCAAGAGACAGGGTGTCGGCCGGGCGTGGTGGCAGTGAGCTGAGATCGTGCCACTGCACTCCGGCCTGGCAACAGAGCGAGACTCTGTCTCAAAAAAAAAAAAAAGAGAGAGACAGGGTCTCAGTCTCACTCTGTCACCCAGGCTGGGGTGCAGTGGTGTGACCATAGCTCACTGCAGCCTCAAACTCCTAAGCTCAAGCCATCCTCTGACCTCAGCCTCCCAAGTATCTGAGACAACAGGTGTGCACCACCACACCCCGCTAATTTTTCGATTTTTATGGAGACGGAGTTTTGCTATGTTGCCCATGCTGGTCTTGAACTCCTGGGCTCAAGCCATCCTCTCACCTTGGTCTACCAAAGTGCTGGGATTATAGGCATGAGCCACCATGCCCAGACTAACATTCCACAAATATTCTAGTCTCCTGGCTCTGGCCAGCACTTTGCCCTGGCCACACTCTGATTGTGCTCCAGCTGCAGCCAAAGATAGATTCCTCCCTAACACAACATTATGGACATCTCAGGGGATTTTTCCTTTCCTCTCTTAACAGCCCAGAAAGACAATCTGTTGCTAATGAACAAAATTAAGCTAATTTTTTTTAGGTGTGTGTGGGTCAATTATTTACGTAAAAATGTCTTCAGAGGCAGGGCGCGGTGGCTCACGCCTGTAATCCCAGCACTTGGGAGGCCGAGGCGAGCAGATCACCTGAGGTCAGGAGTTCGAGACCAGCCTGACCAACATGGTGAAACCCCATCTCTACTAAAAATACAAAAATTAGCCAGGCATGGTGGCGTGCACCTGTAGCCCCAGCTGCTAGGGGGACTGAGGCAGGAGGATTGCTTGAACCTGGGAGATGGAGGTTGCAATGAGCTGAGATCACACCACTGCACTCCAGCCTGGGTGACAGAGTAAGACTCCATCTCAAAAAAAAAAAAAAAAAAGAGAGAGATGCAACAAATTTCCATCAATTGACCAACAGTTAAATACATCATGGTACCTCCATATGATGGACTAGTTTGCAACAGCTAAAACAATGATAGGGGTAGGGGCAGGTGCTCATGATATAGTAAGTGAAAAACGGTGATACAAATGTATATATACAACATAATTCAACTACACAAAAATATGTGAACATAAAAATAAACATATGCCAAATATTAGGGAAGTTTTCTCTGGGAGGTGGGATTATGATTTTTTTTCTTTTCTTTTTCTTTTTTTTTTTTTTTGAGACGGAGTCTCGCTCTGTTGCCCAGACTGGAGTGCAGTGGTGCAATCTTGGCTCACTGCAACCTCCACCACCCAGATTCAAATGATCCTCGTGCCTCAGCCTCCCGGGTACCTGGGATTACAGGCATGTGCCAACACACCTGGCTAATTTTTGTATTTTTAGTGGAGGCAGGGTTTTATCATGTTGGCCAGGCTGGTCTCGAACTCCTGACCTTGTGATCTGCCACCTCGGCCTCCCAAAGTGCTGGGATTACAGGTGTGAGCCACCATGCCCAGCCTTTTTTTCTTTCATTTTTAAGAAACAGGATCTTGCTCTTCTAGGCTGGAGTGTCATGAGGTACAATCATAGGTCACTGCAGCCTCAATGTCCTAGACTCAAGTCATCATCCTGCCTCAGCCTCCTAGTAGCTGGGACCACAGACTTGCGCCACCACATCCAGCTAATTGGGAGGTGGGATTACAGATAGCTGTTATTTTCTTTTTCCTTTTTTTTTCTTAACTGACTAAGCTCCAAGACCGTTATTTTCTTTCTTTTTTTTTTTTTTTTTGAGAAGGAGTCTCGCTCTGTCATCCAGGCTGGAGTGCAGTGGCGTGATCTCGGCTCACTGCAATCTCCGCCTCCCGGGTTCACGCCATTCTCCTGCCTCAGCCTCCCGAGTAGCTGGGACTACAGGCGCCTGCCACCACGCCTGGATAATTTTTTGTATTTTTAGTAGACGGGGTTTCACCGTGTTAGCCAGGATGGTCTTGATCTCCTGACCTCGTGATCCACCCGCCTCGGCCTCCCAAAGTGCTGGGATTACAGGCATGAGCCACCGCGCCTGGCCTCAAGACCATTATTTTCTTTACATGTTCCAGGTTTTCCCCACTAAGAACATATTCTTTTTTTTTTTTTTTTTTGAGATGGAGTCTTGCTCTGTTGCCTAGGCTGGAGTGCAGTGGCATGATCTTGGGTCACTGCAACCTCCGCCTCCCAGGTTCAAGCAACTCTCCTGCCTCAGCCTCCCAAGTAGCTGGGATTACAGGAGTGTACCACCACGCCCAGCTAATTTTTGTATTTTAGTAGAGACGGGGTTTCACCATGTTGGCCAGGCTGGTCTTGAACTCCTGACCTCAAGTGATCTGCCCACCTTGGCCTCCCAAAGTGCTGGGATTACAGACGTGAGCCACCATGCCCAGCCAGGAACATATTACTTTTCTTTTTTCTTTTTTTTAAGACAGAGTTTCGCTCCTGTTGCCCAGGCTGGAGTGCAATGGCATGATCTCGGCTCACCACAACCTCCACCTCCTGGGTTCAAGTGATTCTCCTGCCTCAGCTTCCCGAGTAGCTGGGATTACAGGCATGCCCCACCATGCCCGGCTAATTTTTTGTATTTTTAGTAGAGATAGGGTTTCTCCATGTTGGTCGGGCTGGTCTCGAACTCCTGACCTCAGGTGATCTGCCTGCCTCGGCCTCCCAAAGTGCTGGGATTACAGGCATGAGCCACCATGCCCGGCTGGAACATATTACTTTTCAAATCAGAAAGGAGGCTGGGCGCGGTGGCTCATGCCTGTAATCCCAGCACTTTGGGCGGATCACCTGAGATCAGCAGTTCAGGACCAGCCTGACCAACATGGTGAAACCCTGTCTCTACCAAAAATACAAAAATTAACTGGGTGTGCTGGCGGGCACCTGTAATCTCAGCTGCTCGGGAGGCTGAGGTAGGAGAATCGCTTGAACTCAGGAGGCGGAGGTTGCAGTGAGCTGAAATAGCGCCACTGCACTCCAGCCTGGGCGACAGAGTGACACTTCGTTTAAAAAAAAATTAAATCAGGAAGGATATTAAAAGTGAAAAATAATTTCAGGTCTACAAGCCACTGTGGTTATTCTATTTGAATTCTAAATGTTCCCTCAGTTTTCCTGCCAATCTTATTCTGTTTCCTTTTGAGGAACTAATAGCTTGTAAGGTAGGGGTGAGCAGTTGGATTTATAAGTGTGGAGAAGCATCCTGGCACCTCTCTGAGAGTTTCCTCCCAAACCAGGCCACCTCCCCAGCCTTGGCTGCCCTCCGAGGGAGTGGCCCACATGCAGGTGAACTTCACACTCCACAGTATCCGGGCAGGAAGCCTTCCATTCCACTGGCCTCTGGAGGAAGCCCGCAGCTCTGAGCCCAGTTGCCAGTGTGGGAGGGAAACTGAGACTGGGAACTCACTGCAGAGCAGACTCCAGGGACTGTCTCACACCTTCCCTACCCTAAAGACAAGCATTTCCAAAAGCTACTGCACCCCTTTTCCTCCCCTTCAGGGTTGGGGAGAGAGATTTGAGAATTGAGGGTAACCCTGGCCGGGCACGGTGGCTCACACCTGTAATCCCAGCACTTTGAGAGGCCGAGGCGGGTAGATCATGAGGTCAGGAGATCAAGACCATCCTGGCTAATACAGTGAAACCCCATCTCTACTAAAAATACAAAAATTAGCTAGGCATGGTGGCAGGTGCCTGTAGTCCCAGCTACTGGGGAGGCTGAGGCAGGAGATTGGTGTGAATCCGGGAGGTGGAGCTTGCAGTGAGCCGAGATCTCGGCACTGCACTCCACTCCAGCCTGGGCAGCAGAGTGAGACTCCGTCTCAAAAAAAAAAAAAAAAAAGGAATTGAGGGTAACCCAGAAGTCAGGAGTTTAACAAGAGAAAATACCAGGCATGACAGACAAGTCCTGGCTAGGTCTTGGCTGGATGGAAGCAGGGAAGCTAACTGGTCATCGCTGGTGGCTGGGACCAGCCTTGTGAGTAACCAAGAGGCCAGGCCAGTGGTTCTGAGACCCTGAGTGTGTTTCAGAAGGTCTCAGATAAAGAATGTGGGAGGTTTACCCCTTCTTTGTGCACTGCTTGAAAATCCCAGGCAAGGAGGTAGCTTAGATAATGTAGCATACACTGAAATTCTTCTGTGCTGAGACACTTATTTCCTGTCTTTATTCAATGCCAGTGAATACCAGAAAGTTTCCTTTTCAGGAGCTTGAAATTCAGGCATCAGGAAGGTGAACAGAGCCGCAAGCAAAGGCACATGGACACGTGTGAATCACACAAGCACTAAAAGCCACCATGGAGTGGAGGAGGGGAAGGTGAGGCCTGGGTGGGGCCTTCTGCAAGAAAACAAGGAATATCTGTTTAGGGATGGGGGTGGGGAGAGAAGGAAAATAGCCTCAGGGGACCAGAAAGTCAAACACTGACTTCAGGAAAGGCAGTGTCTGCACAAACGTTCCTTCTGAGGCAAGAAGATACAGGTAATGGCGGAGCACGGTGGCTCACATCTGTAACCCCAGCACTTTGGGAGGCCAAGGCGGGCAGATCACCTGAGGTCAGGAGTTCAAGACCAGCCTGACCAACATGGAGAAACCCCGTCTCTACTAAAAATACAAAAATTAGCTGGGCGTAGTGGCGCGCCCCTGTAATCCCAACTACTCGAGAGTCTAGGCAGGAGAATGACTTGAACCCGGGAGGCAGAGGTTGCAGTGAGCCGAGATCGCGCCACCGCACTCCAAGAGCAAGACTCCATCTGGAAAAAAAAAAAATTGGTTGGTATCTACATCAAAATGGGCTTTCTATCTTTTCCTCACAGAATTCAACTTACTCTCCCCCGACTCCAGTCTTAGACAACACTACTGGCTACGTGCAGGACAGTCACCCCCTGTTTTCCTGCCAAGGGCTGATGGTCACCCCATGGAGTACTGGAGGTTGGGAGAAGGGTTAGAGTTATCTTTCTAGTACCATTCCCTCCCAGAGAGGAGAGAAGTTTCTACTTAAGAGTGCAAGGTAGAAAAGCAGGAGGGTTTGTAAAGCTCCTACCCTCAAGTAAATGCATAATTTGCCTGTCCTAACGTGGCTTCCTAGAAAACAGAGCTAGAGGCAAAGCCCAAGGGTTAATGTTTCACTGGGGTGGGCTGCAAGCCCAGGGCAGCAAGAGTGAGGAAGAGGGGAAGCTAGGCAGCTGAGGAAGGAACGTGTTCTCATTATGGATGACAGGTCGTTGTGTTTTCATTCATTCGGGGGCCTCCAAGCGTTAGAAGAATCACATGGGGACAAAGCAGCAGCAGAATGAGCCACTGCGGGCTCCTTCCGGCCTCCTCTCTCTTTTCCATAAAAGTCCACCCCACGGTGTTAACTCCCCTTCATGTGCAGGTTGTGTTACTGGGCCCCTCTCAGCAGCTACTGGGGAGCCAGAAGGTCCTGGAGTCCAGTTTGGTGCTGGAGCTGCTGCACCTTGGCCCTCACTCCTAGGGGAGGTTGAGGCAGTGGCTGTGTGAGGAAAGAAGCCATGGCAGTGACAGCTGTGCCTGGAGAGCCACAGAAGGATGCAGCCGGCACTGCCCTCACTACGCGGGAAGCACTGCAAGACTGAGAGACTGAGGCAGGATCAAGGCCTGGGAAGGAGTGGGGCTTAGCAAATCTAAGGAGGTTTATAAACTGGGTCCAGAACATTGACTTAGGGAAAAACTGTTTAGATTCTAAATTTGATGTTCTGAGCAGCCAGATGTATTGTGACTGCAACTTCTGTAAGCACCGGTTTTAAAAAAGCATGTGAATTGAAAGATTTCTTGTGTTCTCTCCTCATGACAAAATGATGCAACTATCTTGGCCGGGTGTGGTGGTTCACACCTGTAATCCCAGCACTTTGGGAGGCCGAGGCAGGTGGATCACTTGAGGTCGGGAGTTTGAGACCAGCCTGGCCAACATGGTAAAACCCCATCTCTACTAACAACACAAAAATTAGCTGGGCATGGTGGCAGACGCCTGTAGTCCCAGCTACTCGGGAGGCTGAGGCAGGAGAATGACTTTGTCTTTAAAAAAAAAAAAAAAAAAAGATAGAAAAAGATGCAACTGTCTGCAAGGCCTAGAGGCCTTCCAAGTTTGCGCTGGGCTTGAAACTATGTAGACGGCCTAGATCACTGGCCCAACCACTGTCCAGGTTTGGAACAGCTTCATTTATTTCTTTATTTTTTTGAGACAGATTTTCACTCTTACTGCCCAGGCTGGAGTGCAATGGTGCAATCTCAGCTCACTGCAACCTCCGCCTCATGGGTTCAAGCGATTCTCCTGCCTTAGCGTCCTGAGTAGTTGAGATTACAGGCATGTACTACCACATCCAGCTAATTGCTAATTTTGTATTTTTAGTAGAGACGGGGTTTTTCCAAGTTGCTCAGGCTGGTCTCAAACTCCTGACGTCAGGTGATCCGTCCGCCTTGGCCTCCCAAAGTGCTGGGATTACAGGTGTGAGCCAACGTGCCCGGCCTGGAACAGCATCATTTTTTTTTTTTTGAGACAGAGTCTCACTCTGTCACCAGGCTGGAGTGCAATAGCGCGATCTTGGCTTGCTGCAACCTCTGCCTCCCGAGTTCAAGTGATTCTCCTGCCTCAGCCTCCCAAGTAGCTGGGACTACAGGCATACGCCACCACGCCCAGTTAATTTTTGTATTTTTAGTAGAGACAGGGTTTCACCATGTTGGCCAGGCTGGTCTCGAACTCCTGACCTCGTGATCCACCTGCCTTGGCCTCACAAAGTGCTGGGATTATAGGCGTGAGCCACCGTGCCTGGCCTAGAACAGCTTCATTTTTAGCCAAACAGAATGTGATAGGAATCAAGCCAATCATCCTACAGTTTGGTAAAATTATCCTTCACCCCTTCCCCTGCTTGACAATACAGAGCTGTCAGCTGAAGGCACGATGGATCCTTTGCTGTGTGACCTCTGGAGGAAGGCCAAAGACATTTACAGGTCAAGCAACCAGAGCACCCTGGAGAAACCAAAAAGGCTTTAGAAACAGCAGGAGAAAGTAAGAAAGAGAGAAACTGAAGGAAGGGAAAGAAATCAGAGTCCTGCTTTCCCACTTTAGCTTTCTTTTCCTTTAGTCAACTAAGCAAATGTATACATCTCACTTTTCCCTAATGCAACCTCATTTCTCCACCAGCAAAATTAGCAGAGGAGTCCTGGCTTGCATTGTCGGGAATAAGAAAACTTTGGAGGGCGGGGTGCGGTGGCTCACTCCTGTAATCCCAGCACTTTGGGATGCCGAGGTGGGCAGATCACCAGAGGCCAGGAGTTCGAGACTAGCCAGGCCAACATGGTGAAACCTCGTCTCTACTAAAAACACAAAAATTAGCCAGGTGTGGTGGCACACGCCTGTAACCCCAGCTACTAGGGAGGCTGAGGCAGGAGAATTGCTTGAACCCAGGAGGCAGAGGTTGAAGTGAGCTGAGATCACACAAAACAAAACAAGAAAAAGAATTTGGTTAAGTATTGCCAGACTTAACTTTTTCTTTTTCTTTTTCTTTTTTTTTTTTTTTGAGACAGGGTCTCACTTTGTCACCCAGGCTAGAATATAGTGGCATGAACATAGCTCACTGAAGCCTCAACTTTCTGGTAGCCTCAACCTGCCATGCTCAAGCGATCCTCCCACCTCAGCCTCCTGAGTAGCTGGCACCACAGGCACATGCTACCACGCTCAGCTAATTTAAAAATTCTTTTTGTAGAAATGGGGTCTCCTTGTTTCCCAGGCTGCTCTTGAACTCCTGGGCTCAAGTCATGCTTTCACCCTGGCCTCCCAAAGTGCTGGGGCTACAGGCATGAGCTACTATGCCAGGCCATACTTAACCTTTTTTTTTTTTTTTTTTGGAGACAGAGTCTCAGTCTGTTGCCCATGCTGGAGTGCAGTGCCACGATCTCAGCTCACTGCAATGTTTGCCTCCCAGGTTTAGCGATTCTCCTGCCTTAGCCTCCTGAGTAGCTGAGATTACAGGTGCCACCACCATACCTGGCTAATTTTTGTATTTTTAGTAGAGACGGGGTTTCACCTTGTTGGCCAGGCTGGTCTCGAACTCCTGACCTCAGGTGATCCACCTGCCTTGGCCTCCCAAAGTGCTGGGATTACAGGTGCCCACCACCACACCTGGCTAATTTTTGTATTTTTAGTAGAGACAGAGTTTAAACATCTCTGTCTCATAACAAAAAATGATAAGCATGTGAGGTGATGAGTATGTTAAGTAGCTAGATTTAACCATTTCATCATGTATTCACATATCCAAATATTATGTTATAATATTATATGACACAATACACAATTTTGGCCTGGCATGGTGGCTCACACCTGTAATCGCAACATTTTGGGAGGCCGAGGCAGGAGGCCGACAGAGTGAGACCCCGTCTCAAAAAAAAAAAAACACAATTTTTATTTGTCAACTATACCTTAATAAAAAGAAATAGCTAATAGCAGAACCATATATATTATTACTATGTGTGTACATACATGTATACACATATACATACACATAGATACATATAAATACTGAAATTCACTTGTGTTTTAAATAAATATATATTCAAACTTAAAACATCTTAGGCCAGGCGCAGTGGCTCACGCCTGTAATCTCAGCACTTTGGGAGGCTGAGGCCGGTGGATCACCTGAGGTCTGGAGTTTGAGACCAGCCTGACCAACATGGAGAAACCCTGTCTCTACTAAAAATACAAAATTAGCTGGGTGTGGTGGCACATGCCTGTAATCCCAGCTACTCCGGAGGCTGAGGCAGGAGAATCGCTTGAACCCAGGAGGCAGAGGTTGCGGTGAGCCGTGATCGCGCCATTGCACTCCAGCCTGGCAGCCTGGGCAACAAGAATGAAACTCTGTCTCAAAAATAAATAGATAAGATAGATAAAGAGGCTGGGTGTGGTGGCTCACACCTATAATCCCAGCACTTTGGGAGGCCAAGGCAGGCGGATTACCTGAGGTCAGGAGCTCGAGAGCAGCCTGGCCAACATGGTGAAACCCTGTCTCTACCAAAAATACAAAAATTAGATAGGTGCGGTGCCAGGCGCCTGTAATCCCAGCTACTCAGGAGGCTGAGGCAGGAGAATCGCTTGAACCTGGGAGGCAGAGGTTTCAGTGAGCTGAGATTGCACCACTGCACTCCAGCCTGGATGACAAGAGTGAAACTCCGTCTCAAAAAGAAAAAGAAAAAGAAAAAGAAATGTCTCTGTGGCTCCTGGGTGGGGAATAGACTGTAGGGTGAGGGGGAAGTCACTATGGGCAAAAGCAGGAGCAGAGAGGCCAGTTAGACTGGATCGCACAGAGGATGGTGTCTCACTTTAGGTGTGAGACACAGGGAGAAGGGCTCAGGTTTGGCAAATATGTTCAAGGGGGAGTCTTGTGGAATTTGCTGATGGACTGGGTAATGGGGATGATAAAGAAAAAAACAGTAGGCCGGGCGCGGTGGCTCACGCCTGTAATCCCAGCATATGGGAAGCCAAGGCAGGTGAATCACGAGGTCAGGAGTTCAAGACCAGTCTGGCCAACATGGTGAAACCCTGTCTATACTAAAAATACAAAAATTAGCTGGGCACAGTGGCAGGCGCCTGTAATCCCAGCTACTTGGGAGGCTGAGGCAGGAGAATCGCTTGAGCCCGGAGGGGCAGAGGTTGCACTGAGCCGAGATCACGCCACTGCACTCTAGCCTGGGTGACAGAGCAAGACTCCATCTAAAAAAAAAAAAAAAAAAAAAACACAAAGCAGGCAAGGGAGACTCTAAGGGCTTAGTCTGGGCAGCTGGTTGAATGATGGTGCCATTTGCTGAGAGGGGGAACTCTGGAGACACAGACCATTTCTTTTCAGAGGAACATTAATGTGTTAGAATGGCCTAGATCCTGCGCGATGAAATTATCTGTACACTACACCCCCTGTGACATACAGTTTGCCTATATAACAAACCTGCACATGCATCCCTGCACCTAAAGTAAAAGTTAAAAAAAAAAAAAAATGGAGTGGCCTAGTAGATTTCTGGTCATGAAGGAGGTAAAATTTTGGTTTGGCCTTAAAAATAGTAAGTTTCGGCTGGGCGCGGTGGCTCACGCCTGTAATCCCAGCGCTTTGGGAGGCCGAGGCGGGTGGATCACAAGGTCAGGAGATCGAGACCATCCTGGCTAACACAGTGAAACCCCGTCTCTACTAAAAAATACAAAAAATTAGCCGGGCGTGGTGTCAGGTGCCTGTAGTCCCAGCTAGTCTGGAGGCTGAGGCAGAAGAATGGTGTGAACCCGGGAGGCGGAGCTTGCAGTGAGCCAGATCGCACCACTGCGCTCCAGCCTGGGTGACAGAGCGAGACTCCGTCTCAAAAAAAAAAAAAAACAAAAAAAGTAAGTTTCCCAACACCTGCAAATTAAACTGACTGAATTAACAAGGTGGCACAGCAGATTGCAAGTGGCATGCGCTTTGACGTTGGGGACTTGGATTTGAATCCTGATGCTTCCATTTACCGTCTGTGTGACCTTGGGCAACTTACATGACTTCTTTGAACGTAAGATTCTTCATCTGTGCAACAAGCAGAATAACATCTGTCCTGCCAGGTTGGTTGGTTGTAAGTAATGCACCTTGGTACAGTGCCTGGTTCAGAGTAGGCACTCAGGATGTGAGGTTTCCTGCCACTTTATACGGACCGTTAGGAAGAATTAACTTTGTGAGCTTCCAAGGAGCTCCTTTAAGCTTTTAATTTTTTGTTGCCTTTTCAGCCGGTCTTCCTTCTTCATTTCATTCATTTACTATTTGAACACTTACTATGTACCACATACCACTCTAGACATTGGATATACAACAGTGAATTAGACAAAGGTCCCTCTCTTCCTGCACTTACATCCTGAATTAAATAAAGTATATGAGTAAAACACAGTATATGAGATGGTAGTAAGTCCTCGGGAGGAAAAACAAAAGAAAAAGGAAGAGGATGTACTGGGGTAGAGTTGGTACCGCAATTTAAGGTGGGCACAGTGGCTTATGCCTATTATTCCAGATACTCAGGATGGTGAGATGGGAGGATCGCTTGAGCTCAGGAATCCAAGGCCAGCCTGGGCAAAATAGTGAGAACCTGTCTCTAAAAAATAAATAAATGGCCGGGCGCGGTGGCTCACGCCTGTAATCCTAGCACTTTGGGAGGCCAAGGTGGGTGGATCACGAGGTCAGAAGTTCAATACCAGCCTGGCCAACATGGTGAAACCCCACCTCTACTAAAAACTACAAAAATTAGCCAGGTGTGGTGGCACGCGCCTATAGTCCCAGCTACTTGGGAGGCTGAGGCAGAAGAATCGCTTGAACCCGGGAGGCGGAGGTTGCAGTGAGCCGCAATCATGTCACTGCACTCCAGCCTGGGTGACAGGGCGAGACTCTGTCTCAAAAAATAATAATAAATAAATAAATAAATAAATAAATAGGCTGGTCGCAGTGGCTCATGCCTGTAATCCCAGCACTTTGGGAGGCCGAGGCGGATGGATCACCTGAGGTCAGGAGTTCATAGACCAGCCTGGCCAACATGGCAAAACCCCGTCTCTACTGAAAATACAAAAATTAGCCAGGCATGGTGGCAGGTGCCTGTAATCCCAGCTATTTGGAAGGGTGAGACATGAGAATCACTTGAACCTGGGAGAGGGAGGTTGCAGTGAGTGGAGATTGTGCCATTGCACTCCACCCTGGTTGACAGAGTGAGACTCTGTCTCAAAAATCAATCAATAAATAAGCTGGGTACAGCGGCTCATGTCTATAATTCCAGCACTTTGGGAGTCTGAGGTAGGAGGGTAACCTGAGCCCAGGAGTTCAAGACCAGCCTGGGCAGCATAGCGAGACCCTATGTCTACCAAAAAAAAAAAAAAGTCAGCCAGGTATGGTGGCACACAGCTGTAGTCCCAGCTACTTGGGGGCCTGAGGTGGGAGGATCACTTGAGCCTGGGAGTTTGAGGCTGTGTGAGGCATAATAGCACCAAGACACTCTAGCCTGGACGACAGAGCAAGGCCCTATCTCTAAATAATTAAATACTAAGGTGCTCAGGGAAGGCTCTACTGAGAAGGTGACATTTCAGCAAAGACTCAAAGGACATTAGGGAGCAGGCCATATGCTTATCTAGGGGAAGAATATTTTAGGCTGAGAAAGTAGCAAAGTGCAAAGGACCCCAGGCCGGGGCATGCTTGGTGTATATGAGGAACAGCAAGAAACCCAATGTGGGCTGGTCTGAGTGCAGTGTTTACAACTCTTGATTACAGATTTCTTTGTTCCTTCTCCATCCCCACTGCTTCACTTGACTAGTCTTAAAATATATATCTACATGTGAAAAAAGAAAAAATGAAAAAGACCAGTGTGGGTAGAAAGGAGTGAGTGACAGAATCGGATAGGGCAGCTCCTGTAGGGCTTTGAATGCCTGTGATGGCTTTGACTTTTACATGATGTCACGATGTGAACTGGGAAGCTCTTGGAGGGTTTTGAACAGTAGGGAGACAAGATTTGCTTTATAGTTAGGCTCACTGGCTTCTGAGTTGAATACAGGGTTTGAAGAAGTGAGGCCAACTGGGAAGTGATTATAGCAATCTATGTAAGAGATGATGGCTTGGTAGAGAAGGCAAGGAAAAGATTCTGGATATATTTTGACGGTAGGGCCAACAGGATTTCCTGATAATTGGATGAAGGGGCTAAAGAACAAGAAGGGTCGGGGACCGTAATTCAAGGCCCTTGGCCTGAGCAGCTAGAAGAATGTATTAGGTTGAACCAAATGAAATCACCAATATTTGATAGTTCTTAACCTTAAAAGGCAATTTCATATATTTCAACTTAATAGTTGTCATTGACTGAGATGGGGAAAAGTATGTGAGGAAGAGGTGAGGAGGTGGTATCAGAAATTTATTTTTGGACATGAGATGTCGCACAGGCAGCTATGTATATGCCTCTGAGTTCAGGGGTGTCTTAGTCTTTTTTCTGTTGCTATAACAGAATAACACAGAGCCCTCACAACCTAATCACCTCTTAAAAAAGAAAAGACAGCTGGGTGCAGTGGCTCACGCCTGTAATCCCAGCACTCTGGGAGGCCCAGGCAAGTGGATCACCTGAGGTCAAGAGTTTGAGACCAGCCTGACCAACATGGAGAAACCCAGTCTCTACTAAAAATACAAAATTAGCTGGGCGTGGTGGCACATGCCTGGAATCCCAGCTATTTGGGAGGCTGAGGCAGGAGAATCGCTTGAACCCAGGAGGCAGAGGTTTCTGTGAGCCGAGATCACGCCACTGCATTCCAGCCTGGGCAATAAGAGCAAAACTCCATCTCAAAAAATAAATGAATAGTCGCCGGGTGCGGTGGCTCATGCCTATAATCCCAGCCCTTTGGGAGGCTGAGGCGGGTGGATCACCTGAGGTTGGGAGTTCGAGACTAGCCTGACCAACATGGAAAAACCCCATCTCTACTAAAAATACAAAAGTAGCCGGGTGTGGTGGCACATTCCTGTGATCCCAGCTACTTGGGAGGCTGAGGCAGGAGAATCGCTTGAACCCAGGAGGCGGAGGTTGTGGTGAGCCGAGATCGCGCCATTGCACTCCAGCCTGGGCAACAAAAGCAAAACTCTGTCTCAAAAATAAATATATTAATTAATTAATTAATTAATTAAAAATAAAAGAGAAGCTAGGTGTGGTGGCTCACGCCTGCAATCCCAGCACTTTGGGAGGCCGAGGTGGGTGCATCACCTGAGGTCAGGAGTTTCAGACCAGCCTGGCCAACATGGTGAAACCTTGTTTCTACCAAAAATACGCAAAAAAATTAGCTGGGTATGGTGGCGGGTGTCTGTAATCCCAGCTACTTGAGAGGCTGAGGCAGGAGAATCGCTTTAACCTGGGAGGCAGAGGTTGCAGTGAGCCAAGATGGCACCATTGCACTCCAGCTTGGGCAACAAGAGCTAAACTCCGTCTCAAAAAAAAAGAAGAGGTGAGACCTTTAAGAGTCTGGGTGTTACTCTGTCACCCAGGATAGAGTGCAGTGACTCGCTTGATCATAGCTCGCTGCAGCCTCCAACTCCTGGGCTCAAGTGATCCTCCCACCTCAGCCTACCAAATAGCTGAGACTACCGGCATGCGCCACCACGCCTGGCTAATTTTTAAAACATTTTTATAGAGACAGGGGTCTCACTATGTTGCCCAGTCTGGTCTCAAACGATCCTTCTGCTTGGCCTTTCAAAGCACTGGGATTACAGGCATGAGCCACTGCACCTAGCCAATATTCCATCTCTAAATATCATCACATTGGCAAATTTCAACATGAGTTTTGGAGGGGACATTCAAACAATAACATGGGGGCAAGGGCCCATATCAGGAATGTACATTAGGGAGTCAAAGTATAGATGGCATATAAAGCTTTGAGGTTGGGTAAAGTCACTTAGGTATTAACTGTAGATAAAGAAGAGTAGATAGAGACGTGAGAACTGAGTCTGGGGCTTCCGGCATTTCCAGACCAGAGAGACGAGAAAGCAGCGAAGGCAAGGCAGGAGGCTGCAACTGACAACATGCGGGCTCCGAACAGGGGAGGTGGCCCAAGTGAGAGCTCTTTCAATGTAGGCATGAATAATTTCCAGCCTCACTTCCTCCTTGAAGCTCGGCATTGGGGAGTATGTGTGTGTGTGTGTGTGTGTCTGTGTGTGTGTGTGTGTGTGTGTACGGGGGACAGGATAATACTTTATAGATGACTAGCACATCAGAGGTTGCATCATCTCCTATTTGATCCTATTTGACCTAGGCAAAGGAAGTACAGGTGCTATCATCCTGTTTTATAGATGAGGAAACTGAGGCATAAAGGTTCAGTTACTTGCCCAAGTTATATCAATAACAGGTAAATCCTAGGCTGGAAGGGGTCTTCTTCCTCTAAGTCCCATGGGCTAACTGAATCATGCCACATGCTCCTGAAATCTGACTACTTCTCTGGGGACAAACTGTTACAAAGTTACATGTAGATAACTTGAAGCTTTTATTTCCACAGCAGCAAAGAAACTACTGACACGATTACCTTCTAGAAGGGCCTAGACCTGTGATCACAAACGCCAAGAATGCCAGCTCAAAATGAACCACTTTCCCAGTGAGAAGCAGTGAAATGGAATTGGGGGGCTTTCTGGGGGGGGATTTTCACACTTGGTGGGGACACGGATCAATTCACTTTGGTTCCAGAGCTGTTGGAGTTAACAGGTAACTTCAGAGACAGAGCAGCTTCTGGCCTGGGCTCTGCTACTCATTCCACCAAATAACCAGTTTCATCTTACTCCGTCTGAGTGTCTTGCTGAAAGCATTAGATTCTCTCCAAACTTGTTTTCTTGCCCTGGAGAAGCTGCTCCTGAGATCGGAGGCTTCGTGGGTCAAGCTTGGCCCTGCCCTGGGCAGAGATAAACAGGCCCTGAATACATTTCCCAGATTGCAACACTGGTGAGTCAGGCAGGGTCGGACAGCTGTTCCTCACAGGCACCCCCTGGCTATACCTGATAAGGAAGACCGTCACTCATTCCAGCACAGGGCACAGGGTGGCTGCGTGTGCACCACATATAAACAGACACTCCCAGCCTCAGTGTTGTCTTAGAGGAAATGACAGACATTCTGAATGGCAGAATACATTGGTGAGCTTAGCAAACTCACTTCTGCTCAAGGAGGGCTCCAGTTTCATAAGCCAAAATAAGTAAAACCAGGGCTGTCATTTGGCTGTGCTTTGGGACTGCTTTTTGAACCTACCTGGTCAAGGGTGGGCTCAGCTCTGGAAAGAAAAAGGAAGGATTAAAGTGGAGGGATGAGGAGGAGGTCAGAAGAGGGGAGGTGGGTTTATGAAGGAACAAATGGCAAAATGCCCAGAGAAAAAAGATGTCTTATAAAAACATGAACATACCTTCACCGCAAAGAGAGGGAATCAATGCCATGGCATCTTCAAAAACAGGAAAAAAGGCCAGCACAGTGGCTCATGCCATTAATCCCAACATTTTGGGAGGCGGAGGTGGGAGGATCACTTGCTTAAGCCCAGGAATTTAAGAGCAGTCTGGGCAACACAGTGAGACCCTGTCTCTACAAAAAATTAAAAATGAAAAAGTAGCCAAGTGTGGTGGCATAGCACATGTAGTACCAGCTACTCGGGAGGCTGGGGCAGGAGGATCACTTGAGTCTGGGAGGTTGAGGCTGCAGTGAGCTATGACTGCATTACTGCATTCCAGCCTGGGCGACAGAGCGAGACCTTGTCTCAAAAGAAAAAAAAAAGAAATGCTGGGCGCGGTGGCTCATGCCTGTAATCCCAGCACTTTGGGAGGCTGAGGCAGGCAGATTACCTAACGTCAGGAGTTAGAGAGCAGCCTGGCCAACATGGTGAAACCCTGTCTCTACTAAAAATACAAAAATTAGCCAGGCATGGTGGTGGCGCACCTGTAATCCCAGCTACTCAGGAGGCTGAAGCTGGAGAATTGCTTGAATCTAAGAGGCGGAGATTGCAGTGAGCGGAGATCATGCCATTGCACTCCAGCCTGTGTGACAACAGTGAATCTTCGTCTCAGAAAAGAAAAGAAAAGAAAAGAAAAAAAATCCCCCAAAAAATGAACAGACAGATCTTGAGACCAAAAAAAAAAAAAAAAAGAGAGTGGCTACTCCTTAAATGATATACATGAGCAAAAAATGGGGCAAATGGAGGATTGATATTAATAATTATATGGTAGTACCACCATCACATTATACCTTGTAATCAACACTTCACATTACCTTTATGAAAGCCATTTATAGTTTACAAGGAGTTTTTACATTAATCTTTTCCATTTACTGCATCAACACATTTGAGTGGGTAAGACATTGTGAGCTACATTTTACAGATGAGAAAACTGAGGCTCAAAGATACATGAAATTAACTGAGATTTAAAAGCTGGGAAGGGGTAGGTTTGTCTTAAGTAACCCAGACCTAGATACATAACTAAAGACACAATAACTTGGCTGGGCATGGTGGCTTATGCCTGTAATCCCAGCACTTTGGGAGGCTGAGGCAGGAGGATCATTTGAGGTGAGGAGTTCGAGACCAGCCTGATCAACATGGTGAAACCCCGTTTCTACTAAAAATACAAAAATTAGCTGGGCGTGGTGGCATGTGCCTGTAGTCCCAGCTACTAGGGAGGCTGAGGCAGAAGAATTGCTTGAACCCAGGAGGTGAAGGTTGCAGTGAGCTGAGATCGTGCCGCTGCACTCCAGCCTGAGCGACAGAGTGAGACTTTGTCTCAAAAATAAATAAATGAATAAAATAAAGACACAATTTTTTTTTTGAGACAGAGTCTTGCCGTCAGGGTGGAGTGCAATGGCGTGATCTCCACTCACTGCAACCTCCACCTCCCAGGTTCAAGTTGGGATTACAGGAGTGCATCACCATGCCTATTTTGTATTTTTAGTAGAGACGGGGTTTCACCATGTTGGCCAGGCTGGTCTTGAACTCCTGACGTCAGGTGATTTACCCACCTCGGCTTCCCAAAGTGCTGGGATTACAGGCGTGAGCCACCGTGCCCAGCCAAAAATAACCCTTCTTTGTTTTTTGAGATGGAGTCTTGCTTTGTCACCCAGGCTGGAGTGCAGTGGCGCGATCTCGGCTCACTGCAACCTCCGCCTCCCGGGTTCACGCCATTCTCCTGCCTCAGCCTCCCGAGTAGCTGGGACTACAGGCGGCTGCCACCACGCCTGGCTAATTTTTTTTTGTATTTTTAGTAGAGACTGGGTTTCACTGTGTTAGGCAGGATGGTCTCCATCTCCTGACCTCATGATCTGCCCGCCTTGGCCTTCCGAAGTGCTGGGATTACAGTCGTGAGCCACCACACCCGGCCTAAAAAAAAAAAACCCTTCTTTAGGATGATTCCTTTATTAAAAAAAATTTTTTTTTGTAGAGGTAGGGATCTTGCTATGTTGCCCAGCCTGGTCTCGAACTCCTGGCTTCAAGAGATCCTCCCATCTTGGCCTCCCAAAGTGCTGGGATTACAGGTATGAGCCACCATACCCAGCCGGATTCTTTTTCAGTGACTGCTCAGAGGGCTAACTAAATCTTCATTGCATTTTTAAGTAGAGCAGCCCGCATTCTCCAGTATCATCTGCAACTAATTTCTCTAAACAACCTTTTGATTATTTTTTGCCTAGTAAGCATTGGTGAAGAGTAAAGCACCAGGGAAAATTTCTAGGCTCTACTCCATGTCCTTGTTTCCGAAGTGTCCCTTCCTTAACCTGTTCTATCATAACCTAACCTGTTTCTGGACTCCACACTCTGGGTTCCAGAAACAACATCTTTGGGTCCTCTAAGCTTGCCACTGTTGCTCTCGGGTTGGGGGGAAACTTTGGAGGGCACTCAGACCTTCCCTTATTTGCATAGGACATTATGGGAGCAGTTAACTCACCTTGAGTAGTCAGACAGGTATTTTCAAAGTGGTGATGCCTGCTAGAATCTTAAAGTCAGTGGTTCTCCAACTTTGGCCTGATCAGAATCATCTGGGGAGCTTGTTAATGACTAGGATGTCCAAGCCCCACCCCAGAACTTCTGAGTCAGAATTCCCAGGGGTGGGGCCTGGCCATCTGTGAGCTTAACAAGCCCCCCAGGTGATTCTGAAGAACACCAAAGTTTGAGAACCAGTTATAGCACTGTCTTAGAGTTAATCAGGTGAAAGACAGTGGGAAGTCATTTTAGGAGAGGAGGTAGCAGTAACAGAAGTGCAGAGAGCCCAAGAGGAGACACTGTCAGGAAGACAAATCTCTGCTCTGTCTTTATCTCCCTTGAACAAAGTGGTCAAATAAAGGAGGTTATAGAAATCTCTTCGTTCAGGCCGGGTGCGGTGGCTCACGCCTGTAATCCCAGCACTTTGGGATGCCAAGGAGGGCGGATCACCTGAGGTCAGGAGTTCGAGACCAGCCTGGCCAACATGGTGAAACCCCGTCTCTATTTAAAATACAAAAATTGGCTGGGCATGGTGGTGGGCACCTGCAATCCCAGCTACTCTGAAGGCTGGGGCAGGAGAATTGCTTGAACCCGGGAGGCGGAGGTTGCAGTGAGCTGAGACCGGGCCATTGCACTCCAGCCTGGGGGACAAGAGCGAGACTTTGTCTGAAAAAAAAAAAAAAAGAAAGAAATGTCTTCGTTCAGACGTGTCCTCCTTCTCTGTGTGGTTTTCTATGCGCAATGCATTTATTTATTTTGAGATGGAGTCTCACTCTGTCACCCAGGCTGGAGTGCAATGGTGTGGTCTTGCTCACTGCAACCTCCGCCTCCCGGGTTCAAGTGATTCTCCCGCCTCAGCCTCCCGAGTAGCTGGGACTACAGGTTTGTGCCACCACAGCTGGCTAATTTTTGTATTTTTAGTAGAGACGGTGTTTCACTACGCTGGCCAGGCTGGTCTCAAACTCCTGACCTCGTGATCCGCCCCACCTCGGCCTCCCAAAGTGCTGGGATTACAGGCGTGAGCCACCGCACCCGGCCATGCAATTTATTTTTATTGTTTTTTAAAGCTAGTCAAGTGAAGCAGTGGGCGTGTAGAAGGAACAAAGAAATCTGTAACTGGTTGTGATCAATTAGTTTTAAACACCACTGCACCTGGACCAGCAGCTATGTACAATTTGAAAGAACAATACACTCCTTTCAGAAACAGCTAAAATAGCCCACCTTTTTCAGAACATAAAGAGAGGTTATCAAGGGCTGGGGGGGAAGGGGTTATTGTTTAATGTTTGGGATGGTGAACACGTTCTGGAAATGGGTAGTGTGATGGTTGCACGACATTGTGAATGTATTTAATCCTATTGAATTATACCTTTAAATATGGTTAAAATGTTAAATTTTATGTTACGTATGTTTTACAATTTAAAAAGCACAAGTTTTTTGAGGCATGAAATGATAGCTGCAAAAGATGTTCAATCTTAGCTCATTGCTGCTGCCCCAGGTGTGTGTGCATAGGAGATTATGTAAGGAAGGCTCAACTCACAACACATGGTCTGACAAAGTACAAGTGTATATTCATGGGAATGAGGGAAAAGATAAAACTTTTGAAAAGGTAGTGAAAATATGACATAAATATAGGCGATGCCTGGAACACTCTTCACTGGCCCCTTTGCCTGGTTGACTCCTGAGTTCCATATCACTTCTTTTGGAGGACCTTATAGGGCAGTATTTTTCCAGACTTCACTGTGCATAAGAATCACCTGGGGACCTTGTTAAAACTGCAAATTCTCATTCAGTAGATCTGAAGTGAAGCTCTAGCGGCATTTCTAACAAGTTCCCAGGCGATGCTGATACTATAGATCCACAGGCTATACTAGGGGGCTGCGTAAATTTAGTCTTTCTTTATCTTTTGGAAACAGATCTTGCTCTGTTGCCTAGGCTGGAGTGCAGTGGCATGATCTTGGCTCATTGCGACCTCTGCCTCCCGGGTTCAAGCGATTCTCCTGCCTCAGCCTCGCGAGTAGTTGGGACTACAGGCGCCCGCCACCACGCCTGGTTAATTTTTGTATTTTTAGTAGAGACGGGGTTTCACCATATTGGCCAGACTGGTCTGGAACTCCCGACCTCAGGTGATCCACCAGCCTCGGCCTCCCAAAGTGCTGGGATTACAGGCGTGAGCCACCGTGCCCGGCTAAATTTAGTCTTTCTTAGTTCACCATTATATCCCTCATGTCCAGCAAGGTGATTAGCACGTAGGAGGTGCTAAATAAATATTTATTGGATGAATGAAGTATTTAAGGTTGGTGTAGGAGGTTCACACACTTTGCGAAGTTGCCTCATGCTCTGTAGAATAAGGATATTAATACTAAATTATTTCTGACCTTACCACCTTGCTGCGTCAACTCTAATCTTTGAAATAGTGGCCGTAGACACTGCATACCCTGGTATGCAAGCCTGAGGAAGCCTTGCTGTGGTCTACAATCCTTGGAAACAAATTCTCTCCAGCCAACGAGGAAGCGGAGTGCAAGGAACCTGCTGGTGTGGGGATTTCCAGATTTTGGTGCCTGAGTAATTGCTACCTTGGCCTCCTCCAAATCAAAGAAATTAACAGCTTGTTAAACAGAGTGTTAAGGGAGGTTCATTACCCTTAAATCCACGAATGTAATAATATTGCCATTATTTACTCTTATCGTTTAGGATGATGATAACGACAGTGGCAGTTGAGGGATGAAGTAGGTGGGGAAGTTGGGGGAGGGGACAGAGGGTGTGAGACAGCCGGAGAAAGAGGAACTACAACTCCCAGAACTCCCCGGGAAAGCCCACGCCGCGGCGGCGCCCCACCCCTCTCAGCGACCAGACCCGCCCCTCCGATGACGTCACAGAGGTGACGTCACGGCGCCCAGAGCGAGGCTGGGGTAGGGAGGCCGACTGAGCAGGAGTCGTCCGCTTATAGTGGAGGCTGCTAGGAGCCGGTCAGAGGGTGAGTGGGGAGCAGGCGAGCGAGCCACAGCAGGCAGGAGGGAGCGTCGCGCGGCGCAGAGGAGCGCCGGGGCAGGGCCGCGGCGGAACCACAGCCGGAGAGGGGCAGCCCGAGCCGGGCGCCGCAGGGTCCCCACCCCCACCCGGCCGGACAGTGCCCGGTGTTCCCCCGTGCGGGGGGCGGCGGCGGCGGCTGACGGGACCGCCGGGACCGCGGGGGTGTTGCCACCTCCACCGAGGAGCCGGCGCGGCCGCGGGCTCCTCAGAGCCGGGGCCCCGGGCCCGTGACAGACGGGCCGAGGAAGGGAGAGAGGCGGCGGCGACACCATGTCATCTCCCAGTCCGGGCAAGAGGCGGATGGACACGGACGTGGTCAAGCTGTATCCTTCGTGGAGGGGAATTCGGGCTGTGTGTGGGGGGCGGTGTGGGGATGCCCAGGGCACCCCCGGAACCACTGCAAGGGCCCTGGGGCACTCCAGGCCACTGTCCGAGACTCCCCTCCTCCCCCAGTGCCTACGGCGGCTCCTTGGCACCTCCCAGGGGCCGAGAGCCTTTTCAGCTCGCCTTTTCTCCGCAGCACCCCGAAATACGCGTTGCTGCTCGCTCTTCCTGTATCCCCAGAGCCTGTGACTTTCCTCCGCGACGTTTGGACTCCCGAGACGGCCTTTTTTCTTTTTGCACGACCAGTCGCCTCACTCTCTACCACCGAGCCCATTTTCAGGGTTTCTCTCTCCTGTTTGCTCGCTTTGGATTTAGGGAATCAAGGCAGAAATTCCCGAGAGGGAAGCCTTTCTCCGTTTCTTGAGATGCCCCCATTTCCTCCAACCACAATGCTGCTTGAACTGGGGTCACTCAAGCGACCTCTTTTATCCCTAATTCCTTTCTATATTAGGAAGAGAGTCTCCTGCTCAGGGCCCCCTCTTCTAAGAAAGAGCTCTGTGTGTTTTCAGTCAGTCCCTCCTGTTAAGCTTTCTGGTCCCCGGGAGAACCCTACTGTTTTCCTTTCCACTGACAAAGCCTGTCCCACCCATAGTTGTATGTGATGAAGACCCCCGGGCCCTCCAGCAAGCCACCCTCCATATTGTGGGTATGACAGCTGGGGAAAGAGGAGCTCCTGGACAAAATAAATAGTCCCTGGACTGGCCACTTGGGCAAAACTTCCTCTGTGAGGGTCAGGTTCTTGGGGGAATACTTGCCCTGATGTCGCCAAGTGACACCCTTTATTTTCTGCCCCCTCCCCCCAACTTTATGCACTCTGGAGGTTGCAGTGGGAAAGCTATAACTGATAAGAGCCCTTCAGGCAGTGGTTTTGGTTGGAGTCCAGACTGATTATTTCAGGACCAGCTAGAGAAATTCGCGAAGGTTCCTGTGACAAATCGAGAATTTTTTTTTTTTGAAGGGTAGTTTAGAGGGTAGGGGGAGCCCAGAGTTCTGAACAGCTAGTCCTTGGGGAGGGGGGCAAGTGGGGGCTTAGAGGGTGGTAGTGTGGAACACAGTTTAAAAGTCCTGTCTCCTGTTTCTCTCCCTCCTCCCCATCCCCCCACCGTTTCCCCCTGTTGCAGGGTTTTGTTTATATAACTCAAGTTGTTTGGCTAAATTCTTCAGGTGAATACCTTTTTTCTTCCTTTTATTTGTTGCTGTTTTTGATTGAGTGTTTTACCTCTTTGTAGAGATCAGTGGTTATTGTCAAAAAATTCAGTTAGGGAATTTGCTGAAGTTTTAAAAAAGTAGTTTTTGCATATGGTTTGGCAGTGGGGGATGGGAGGGAAGTTGTCTGGGCAAGAGATTTTTAAAAAATAATCTTTTCAGAAATAAGGTGTTTTTCTCCTTGCTCAGGGAAAACTTGGTTAGAAATTAGGAGCAGTAGATAGACTTCTAAGTTTGTGGTTTGGAGTTTAGAATTTTTGGGGGAGTGGGAGATTAGAGCGGAGCAACTAATAAAGTATAGTGTACCCAATATATGTTCAGGCGCAAGTGAAATCAACTCTTTATGAGCTGTTTGTGGCTGTGATTGTTTTGTAAATGTGTGAATGATACCAGTAATGTTGGCTTTTCATAAGGCTGCAGGAAAACTTGTAACTATGACTGTGTGTACATTTTACACAAAGCAGTTTCGGGTTTTATTTTTGTTTAGAAACTAGGAAATGACATAGTGGCAGCATCTGAGTTATTTTTATCTTGAATTGAGAGTTACTGTCACACCTAATGCGAATTTCTACCTAATGTTTAATTGGGATGGAGTGGGGAGACAATTCCAGCTGTTTGTGATCGTTGTCAGAGTCTCAAATTATGTACATAGACATATTTTTAAAAGATTGAGGATAAAGAGGGGGGCCTAACTTGACCTGATGCCTTTTCCATACAGTGCCTTTTGTTCATTTAGTAGTTGTGGCATCTAGAATGATTACCGCATTTAGGAGTCGGGGTGTGGGGGGTGGAGAGGGAGAGGAAAACAGACAAAGAACAGCAGGGTGTCTTTTTTTTCTCCCCCTAAGTGGCTTATTTCATAGCTTATTTTTAGTAGAAGATGAAGAAAGGCAAAGATGCATTGGCCTTCTGTTCTTTCCCCACCTTCCTTCCTTTCTGACAAAAGAAAGCAGAGGCGCTTTAAAATTGTAGATCTGAGATAGGAGGATAACAGTTTCGAGATTTAAAAGCCAGAGGTTATCTTTGTTTCGTGTTTATTTTCTGGTATAATGGAGTTTGGAAGTTAAAATGTTTCGGATTTCCTTTTGTGTGTGTTGTGTAGGTGAGAGATTTTGTGTCCTCCTTTCTCTGTTGAATTCACAGATCAGTAGGCCCAAATGGAGCCAACAATTTTTGAGTAAGGTATATTTAGCAGAAAATTTAAGGAAAAATTCCCCAGCCCTCTACTAAAATGAGTACAATTGTGTGAAAAGGCTGGGGGTTGAGAAAGATGGTGGAGAGGAAGTAGGAAGAAAAGGTCTGAAGGAATGCACTTCTTGCCCCCCATGCCCCTTGATGATTTCTTTGGTGTGGGGGGCGATAGCTGGTTTCCTTGCAGTCTCCTGTTTCAGCCCATTTTTGGATGTCTCCTGAGCGTAATTATACCACCACGATTTACAGCCTGGCAGGGAACCTATATAGTAGGAAAGTAGCAGTGTGGGGGTAGGGAGAGAAGAGGATGTGTAACTAATTGGCCGCTGCCTTCCACCACCTCGCTCGGTTCTTTTGGAGACACCGTCTCTGGTTGTTGTTTGGAGTCAGTGATATTTCTTTTGTGACGGGTTGGTAGGAGAGCTGACTCCCAAGTTATGCAGGGAGTGAGTGTTTTGCACCAATGCACTTAATAATCTGCTGGGTGATTATGTTCTGAAACTCTGACTCATTCATTGTTTCTCTTCTGATCCTTTGCTAAGGGTTGTGCAAACCTCCCCAGGAGCCTAGAAACTGATTTACATGACTTTTGGATCCTTTAGGAATGTGTCCCAGTAAAAAAACCTTGCAGTTAGCCCAGATCCTATGGAATAGTCTCGAATAGTGCGGCCATTTGTTTGCAAAGTCAGGTAGATTGGTGATCTGTGCTGCCCAGAGCCTGGCAACCTTTGAGGTTTCCACCTCCAACCAGCTGATTATTTAGATTGTCTGAGAGCTGGGGCTCTGGTGACCTTAAAGCGTGATTTGCCCTAAAGGAATATCGGTTTAAGTTCTCCCTGGTGGAGGAACAAACAGCTCAGATTACACGGGTTTCCTTGTTGGTGGGGGTTACTCGTCTCACCCTGTTGCACAGCCCTGGTGATCCTTTCATCTGTGAACCAGTGGCCCCTGCTGAAGGCTAGAGCTGCTTGTTTTGGAAAAGCGTATGCAGGCAAAAGGCCGCAGGCACCGCTCCTCAGCGCTCATTGGCCGCCCTGTTACTACCCGGAAAAGGAGGAGGGGAGGAGCTACCAAACAGCTGATGGAGTATGTGACAAGAGAGTGTGTTTATATACAAAAGAGGTGGGGGCTGGGGAGGCCCTCTGAGTGGTGTTACAGGAACAAGTGTGTTTTCGAGGGGTAAAAAGAGAAGAGGAAAACCTGACCTGTTAGAGTACAAGAAATGTTTAGAAAAATTAAGGTTAAATCAGAAAAGTAGATCGGATAATAATGGGGACCGGCATACACCATATGTACAATTTTGTAACTTACAATACCAAGAGTTTTCAATGATTCTTCTTTTCAGAGGGAGTTCAGTAATAGGATCCCCCCCTTATTTATTTTTACATTTTTTGTAGAGACCGAGGTCTGACTAGGTTACCAGGCTGGCCTCCCAACTCCTGGCCTCAAATCTTCCTCCTGCCTTGGCCTCCCAGAGTGCTGGAATTACAGGTGTGAGCCCAGTGCACCTGGCCCAGGGCATGCCACTTTAAATGCACTTAACTGACTCATTTGCAGGGATTCCAAAGTATGGCAGAAATGTCAGCTTCCCTTAAGAAAGCGTCAAGTGTGATAGAAAGGGACGGTGTCTTACATTAAAACGGCCTGAGTTAATTTTACAGAATCGTTGGTGTCTGCTTTAGGGTTTCAGAAGCTTTCTCTAACAAATTCAAAACCTCAGATGTGGCCAAGTGTGGTGGCTCACACCTGTAATCCCAGCATTTTGGGAGGCTGAGGCGGGAGGATCACCTAAGTGTAGGAGTTTGAGGGTCCAGTGAGCTAAGATCATGCCACTGCACTCATGCCTGGGCAACAGAGCAAGACTCTCTTAATTAAAAAAAAAAAAAAGCTGGCACAGTGGCTTATGCCTGTAATCCCAGCACTTTGGGAGGCCAAGGCGGGCAGATCACCTGAGGTCAGGAGTTCGGGACAAGCCTGGCCAACATGGCAAAACCCCGTATGTACTTGTACTAAAAATATAAAAAATTAGCCAGGCGTGATGGTGCGGGCTTGTAGTCCCAGCTACTTGGGAGGCTGAGTCACGAGAATAGCTTGAACCCATGAGGCGGAGGTTGTGGTGAGCCTAAATTACACCATTGCACTCCAGCCTGGACGACAGAGCAAGACTCTTATCTCAAAAAAAAAAAATCCTCATATGTTTGGGTACTTGCTTTGTGCCAGCATTGTGCTGGGAGTTTAGTAGTGAAAAATTCAGTATGGGTGGTCATGGTGCTTATGCAATTAGTTAAAACTTTTTTAGTCGGAAAGGACAGGCTGTGTTAGGTCATTGCTGTGTGTAGTGCCTTTTTGAGTAACTTGTATTTACTTAGAGTGGACTTTTCAAGGAATAGAAAGGTTAAAATGAATTTTGTGTGCTAGGATGTATATGGGGATCTGTACACCTGTTTAAAAAAATTTCAAAACTAAAATATTAAAATATGTAGCCATTTGTCTTTGACTTAACTTTGGTATTTTGCTGTTAATCAGTAGTTACTCTATCCCTAAGTTAGTAGTCTTTGTTACTCTTTAATTTGTGTTCAAAGGGTAGACAGTTCCCTAAATCTTTTAACTAGTTCTAGTGTCAATTGGGAACCTGTGGTTTGCCTCTTTATTTCCAGTGGACTCTGTTTTAGTGAGATGATGAGATGAAAGTTGGCACAGCTTTATGGTCTTCAAGCTAAAAGTTAAAGATTTGGCAACTCTCAGTGTTCTGAATTTGTCTTCCCTGCCTAGATTTTGGTGACAAATATAACATACTGGTACTTATTTTGGTTAGGCAGGAACCTACATGAGTAAGCATTCACAGCTTCAGAACATCTGATTCCTGCAGTGCAGTTCTAGTAAATTACACGCAAGCCTAAAAATTCAGCTTTTTGGGAAAAAATGTTTCGCAGATGTGACCCATAAACGTCCCTCCTGTATTTGTGTATGTATGTTAGAACAACCTAAGTTTGTTGGTTTTCTAGTGTTGCAATTTTCTTAGCCCCTTGACCTGCATTTTATAGATATATTTAAACATTGGTATTCTTTTCAGTCTTAACAGATTTGATGGTTCCAAGAATCATTGGATTTTTAGGCATGTAATCCAGACCTTACATTACGTTATAATGTTTGCAACGTAATAGCTTTTTACCTGTAGACCTACAGAGTGTACCTGTTAGTAAAATACTTAAAAGAACTTAGTTGGATTTCAAAAGTAAAAAGATAATTGAGAAAAACATAGGTTACAAGAAGGAAAACCAGTCACCTGTAATCCTAGTTCTTTAAACAGTAGTTCTCAAACTTTAGTTTGAGATTGCACCACTGCACTCCAGCCCGGGGGACAGAGCAAGATTCCATCTCAAAAAACAAAAAACAAATAATCACCTGGAGAGTTTGTTAAAACAGGTTACTGCATACCACTCCTGGAGTTTTCTAATTCATTGGGTCTAGGGTGGGGTCTAAGAAGTTCGCAGATGATGCTTCTGGTCCAGGACCACTGTTTAAGAACTGTTGGCCTTAAATGTTAACCTTATGGCTTTTTTCCTATATCTTTTATTCTCCCCAGGATGTATTGTTTTCAACCTGTTGATCATACTGTATGTGTCTGCCCTGTTTTTGCTTAATATTTTTGCAACTGTTTTTCCCAGTTAAAAATAATGACTAGGGGCCGGGCGCGGTGGCTCACGCCTGTAATCCCAACACTTTGGGAGGTTGAGGCAGACAAATCATGAGGTCAGGAGATTGAGACCATCCTGGCTAACATGGTAAAAACCCATCTCTACTAAAAATACAAAAAAAAAAAAATTAGCCGGGCGTGGTGGCGGGCGCCTGTAGTCCCAGCTACTCAGGAGGCTGAGGCAGGAGAATGGTGTGAACCCGGGAGGCGGAGCTTGCAGTGAGCAGAGATAGCGCCACTGTGCTCCAGCCTGGGCCACAGAGTGAGACTTCGTCTCAAAAAAAAAAAAATAATAATGACTAGGCTGGGCACAGTGGCTCATGCCTATACATCCAGCACTTTGGGAGGCTGAGGTGGGCAGATCACCTGAGGTCAGGAGTTTGAGACCTGCTTGACTAACGTGAAGAAACCCCATCTCTACTAAAAAATACAAAATTAGCTGGGCGTGGTGGCGCATGCCTGTAATCCCAGCTACTTGGGAGGTTGAGGCAGGAGAATCAATTCGCTTGAACCTGGGAGGTGGAGGTTGCGGTGAGCTGAGATTGCGCCATTGCACTCCAGCCTAGGCAACAAGAGCGAAACTCAGTCTCAAAAAAAAAAAAAGTAGCTCATGTAATATGCCATCCCATGGCTGTGCCATTGATTTAATTCTTTGCCATTTTTCTCTGATGAATAAGATTGAAATTAACATCTTTGTGCATAGGCTTTTCTTTGGGTTATTTCTGTTTTCCCGAAATGGGATTCTAGATCAAAGAAGGTAAACATTTGAATTAAAATATTTAATTAAAAATCTCAGAGCCCTACACTCAGCGGGCTCTTGTTTTGTTGTGTTGTGTTTTAGTTGGTATCGTTTTGGCACTGAAATAGCCTGGCATAGTGATTAAAGATGAATTCTAATTTCCTCATTGTTTAAACTTTGATGTTTTTTGTGATAATGGTGATCCTCAATTTAGGCATAATTTTGTATTCTCAGAGTGCATACTGCAAGTCGGTAGGTTAAATATATTTATGAGCAGATAGATCTAACAGGAACTGTAGAATTAGTTTTGGCATCTTGGATTCTTTTTTGTTATTGAGGTATAATTGACATACAGTTAACTGTACATATTTAAAGTGATACTTTTGATAAGTTTTAATTTTATGTATCACCCATGAAGCTTATCCTTATCAAGAGAGGAGACATATTTATCTTCCCCCAAAGTTTCTTGTGGCCCTTTGTAATCTTTCCCTCCCTCCCTTCCAACCATTGATCTCATTTCTGTCACTGTAGATTATTTTACATTTTCTAGAATTGTATATATAAGCGGAATCATTCAGTACATACTCTTTTTGTGTGGGTTCTTTCACTTATAATTCTGAGATTCACCCATGTTATTTAGTTCATTTTTTTTTTATTGCTGAGTAGTATTCTATTATGTGGATATACCACAATTTGTTTATGCATTCACCTCTTAATGCTTGGTGGCATTTGGGTTATTTCCAGTTTTGGGCTATTACCAGTAAAGTTGCTATGAACATTGTATGGATATACGCTTTTTTTTCTCTTGGCTAAGCTAGATCATGTGGTAGGGTTTGCGCATGCGCGTGCGTGCGTGCGTGTGTGTGTGTGTGTGTGTGTGTGTGTGTGTGTGTTTTGAGCGCATGCGCACGTGTGTGTTTTGAGACAGGATTTCACTCTGTTGCCCAGATGAGAGTTCATGGTGTGATCTCAGCTCACTGCAGTCGTGGCCACTTGCCTGGCTAATTTTATTTTTTTTGTAGAGATGAGGTCTCACTGTTGGCCAGGCTGGTCTCAAATTCCTGGGCTTAAGTGATCCTCTGGCCTTGGCCTCCCAAAGTGCTGGGATTACAGATGTAAGCCGCTGTGCCCAGCCATGTTTAACACGTAGTTTGAATTTAATGTTTACTGATGATGGTCCATATTTCACACCCAAATAAAATTGTGACAACGGTTGTTTCACTTGTGTGTTTTGTTTTGTTTTGTTTTGTTTTGAGACGGAGTCTTCGCTCTGTCGCCCAGGCTGAGTGTAGTGGCGCGATCTCGGCTCACTGCCAGCTCCGCCTCCTGGGTTCACGCCATTCTCCTGCCTCGGCCTCCTGAGTAGCTGGAACTACAGGCACCCGCCACCAAGCCTGGCTAATTTTTTGTATTTTTAGTAGCGACAGGGTTTCACCATGTTAGCGAGGATGGTCTTGATCTCCTGACCTCATGATCTGCCCACCGTGGCCTCCCAAAGTGCTGGGATTACAGGCATGAGCCACAGCGCCTGGCCTCACTTGTGTATTTTAAAGGAATCATGTTAAATTACATGCTCTTAAAGCACTGATTTATTTTTTATTATTAACCTTATTTTATAGTATATGAATTTTGTTAATTTTTTTATCAATAAAACAAATTTTACCACAATGATTGTGATACCTTTCACTTGAATAATGATTTAAACACTTTATCTTCCTTTTTTAAAGACAGAATCAGTCTCGCTCTGTCGCCCAGACTGGCTCTCTGCAACCTCTGCCTCCTGAGTTCAAGCGATTCTCCTGCCTCACCCTCCCGAGTAGCTGGGATTACAGGGGCCTGCCACCACACCCAGCTAATTTTTGTATTTTTAGTTAGAGACAGGGTTTTGCCATGTTGGCCAGGTTGGTCTTGAACTCTTGACCTCAGGTGATCCGCCTGCCTCTGCCTCTCAAGTACTGGGATTACAGGTGTGAGCCACGATGCCTGGCCAATCTGGTTTTTTGTTTGTTTTTGTGTTTGTGTTTTTAGACGGAGTCTGGCTGTGTTGCCCAGGCTAGAGTGCAGTGGTGCGATTTCAACTCACTGCAACCTCTGCCTCCCGGCGCTTGGCCTAAAGCATTGATTTCTAGCTGAATTTGGTTAAAGCTGATTTGGTAGCTACTCTTCTCTCCCCACCCCCATTTGAAATTAGTAAATTAAATTTTTATTGTGAAATATTTTTGTTAGCCTGAGCTACATGGCAAAAGCCTATTTCTACCAAAACAGATAAAAAATTAGCCAGGTATGGTGGCATGCACTTGTAATCCCAGCTACTCTGGGGGCTGAGGCAGAAGGATCACTTAAGCCCAGGAGGCAGAGGTTGTGGTGAGTTAAGATCATGCCACTGCAGTCCAGCCTGGGTGACAGGGCAAGGCCCTGTCTAAAAAAAATGTTTTGTGGCCCTTTGAAATTACACTTTAGGAATCTGGCCGGCCATAGTGGCTCATGCCTGTAATCCTGGCACTTTGGGAGGCTGAGGTGGGCAGATCACCTGAGGTCAAGAGTTCAAGACCAACCTGGCCAACATGGCGAAACCCCATCTCTACTAAAAATGCAAAAACTAGCTGGGTGTGGTGGTGCACACCTGTAATCCCAGCTACTCAGGAGGCTGAGGCAGGAGAATTGCTTGAACCTGGGAGTCGGAGGTTGTGGTGAGCCGAGATTATGCCACTGCACTCCAACCCCGGGGAACAGAGCAAGACTCCATCTCAAAAAACAAAAAAAAAAACACATTACACTTTAGGATCATAGTCACAAACAGCAATTTTATTTTTATATTTGCTAGTAAGGCTCTATATCTTTGTGAATAGGTAAGCACACTTTTTGTTGATGGTATTATTTTCTTTGTAAAGTATTGATAAGATTTTTTTTAACATTTCTTTAGCATTTCTAGTGAAGTTTACAGCAGTTGATAAATATTTCTGGAGCACTCTGTTGAAGTCTGAATAATATCTTCAATTTTCACATGGAATAAACTCAGGTGAAAGGAACTAACAGCAGCTCAGTGACAGAATGGGAAACAGACTATAAGAGTTAGGATATCCTTTGATATCATGCTTTCCTGGAATTTTTGTGTGTGTGAGAGACGGAGTTTCACTCTTGTTGCCCAGGCTGGAGTGCAATGGCATGATCTCGGCTCACTGCGACCTCTGCCTCCCAGGTTCAAGCGATTCTCCTGCCTCAGCCTCCTGAGTAGCTGGGATTACAGGCATGTGCCACCACGCCTGGCTAATTTTTTATTTTTAGTAGAGAGGTGATCCCCCTGCCTTGGCCTCCCAGAGTGCTGGGATTACAGGTGTGAGCCACCGCGCCCAGCCTGGAATTTTTTGAAGCTTTTTTTTTTTTTTTTTTTTTTTTGAGACCGAGTCTCACACTGTCACCTAGGCTGGAGTGCAGTGGTGTGATCACAGCTCACTGCAGCCTCGAACTTCCGGATTCTGAACTCAATCCTCCTGCTTCAGCCTCCCGAGTAGCTGGGACTACAGGCGTGTGCCACCACACCTGGCTTACTTTTGTATTTTTCGTAGAAACAGGGTTGCGCCATGTTGGCCAAACTGGTCTCCAACTCCTGGGCTCAAGCGGTCTGGCTGCCTTGGCCTCCCAAAGTGTTGGGATTACAGGGGTAGCCACTGTGCCTGGCCTTAAGTTAATTTTTAGTGAAATGGTGCTTAAAATTTTTTTTTGGCATCTTAAGAGTTATTTGATAGGTTATTGGACACTGCCATAATAAAATTAGACATTGATTTGTAATAGTTGTTGTTACATTCTTTCTGATAAATTATAAACAATTTATCTTATGGACATTTACATGTGTGTTGCTAAAAAAAAATTAAAGCTGGATTCAGTGGCTCATGCTTGTAATCTCACCACTTTGGGAGGAGTGCTTGAGCTCAGGAGATTGAGGGTGCAGCAAGCCATCATTATGCCACTGCACTCCAGCCTGGACAACAGAGTGAGACCCTGTCTCAAAAAAAATTAATATTACTGACAGCTGGAACTTTTAGTTTGGCTAACAAAAAGGTGACCTGGCTTGTACCTGTTTTAGTTTGGAGCAATGATAGTATGTTTGGTGAGTAGACTGTTTTGGTATTCAGACACAGGAATGGTGCCCTGAGCATATAAATTCCAGTGTCTTGGCCAGACGCAGTGGCTCATGCCTGTAATCCTAGCACTTTGGGAGGCTGAGGTGGGCAGATTGCTTGAACTCGGGAGTTCGAGACCAACCAGCCTGGGCAACATAGTGAAACCCTGTCTCTACTAAAATACAAAAAATTAGCCGGGCATTGCTTGAACTCAGGAGTTCGAGACCAACCAGCCTGGGCAACATGGTGAAACCCTGTCTCTACTAAAATACAAAAAATTAGCCGGGCGTTGCTTGAACTCAGGAGTTCGAGACCAACCAGCCTGGGCAACATGGTGAAACCCTGTCTCTACTAAAATACAAAAAATTAGCCGGGCGTGGTGGCTTGCGCCTGTAGTCCCGGCTACTTGGGAGGCTGAGGCAGGAGAATTGCTTGAACCCGGGAGGTGGAGGTTGCAGTGAGCTGAGATGGTGCCATTGTACTACAGCCTGGGCAACAGACTGTGACTCCGTCTCCAAAAAAAAAGATTCCAGTTTGTTATTTTCTATGCTGAAGTGTAATTCGAGTGCATTGTAGAAACTTTTGAAAACACAGTAGTCTGTTGAGAGGCTGTTGTTGCATTAGTGATTCTCAATTGGGTATCACATTGGAGAAGAATTAAGCTTTTGGGGGCCCAGGTACTATGGTTATTGTAATTTCTTCTCTGTACCTCACCAGATGCTTGGGGAAGGTGTCTGGTTGTTTATAGGCTGGTGCTCAAGGGGGTATCTGCCCATGACCAGTAGAACCCAAATCCTCAAGAGCCTGGGGAAGCCCTACATGGCAGCCATATGCTTAAGAGGGAAGGAGGATCCTTTTTGCCTCTCCCTGCTTTGTAGGTATCTAGGACGTTATGTAGGCAGTGTGAATAGTTGCTGCTGATCTTCTGACCTGTCCCTGCAGAGAAGTCAGAGAGAGGAGTAGGTAGCCCTTGTGAAGGGAGAGGCTTGGCTGGACTTTGCCATTCTCTGGAAGACTTTGCCATTCTCTAGAAGATAGGCATGGTTGGCGGGTCTGTCAGTGGACTCAAAAAAGGCACCTGTTCTGTAGCACTTGGAGGATCCATATTTAGGATATCAATTAATTGAGAATGTAATCTTTGTCTTTGGTTCAATCTCCTGGTTTCTAACTTTTAAACCATTTTTAGGGAAGCATTATATGTGAAGGTAGGAGATACTCCCTACATACAAAATCATGTTATTAATGTTGTGAATTATGCATTTCCTTTTTAGTATTAGGCAACTTTTTTTCATATATCAAGTTATCATGTACACTTTTCAAGGTTTTTTGGATTATAAAATCTTAGTTGAGGTAATATAAATAGAAAACTAGATACAGAGTGCGTGTCTGGTTTGTGTTACCTCAGAAGCAATTGGGCTGTCACTTAGCCTAGCAAAAAGTAAATTTAGTTGTTTTGTCCAAAGGGTGCCAGTATAACTTTGGTAATCTGGATTTTGCTTTTCTTTCTTTCTTTCTTTCTTTTTTTTTTTGAGATGGAGTCTCATGTTGTCGCCCAGTCTGGAGTGCAGTGGCTCCATCTCGGCTCACTGCAATCTCCGCCTCTCAGGTTCAAGCGATTCTCCTGCCTCAGGCTCCCGAGTAGCTGGGATTACAGGCACGCGCCACCATGCCCGGCTAATTTTTTGTATCTTTAGTAGAGATGGGGTTTCACCATGTTGGCCAGGCTGGTCTCAAACTCCTGACCTCGTGATCCACCTGCTTTGGCCTCCCAAAGTGCTGGGATTACAGGCATGAGCCACCGTGCCCAGCCTGGATTTTGCTTTTCAATTTGATGACTATGTTGCATAGACAGTTGCTGATAAGTTGATTAATTTAAAAATTCAGAATTTGGTTGGACATTTCCATTGTAGCATTTGTATGTAGAAGGTTGATTGGTTAAAGTCATATCAGTAAGAGATCACCAAGAGTAATATATAGATGGATATAATGTTTTCATGGTCTTACTGCTGGATGTTTACTACCCTTTTGCTATTCTTGAATCTAAACCTGTAAATAAATTAGTGATTCTCCTTGGCAGCAAAGCTTGGAACTATATAACTCTTTTAATTGTATTCCGAAAGAAGGAAACTGGGTAACAAATGCTCACTTTCGCTGGTTGCAGTGGCTCATTCCTTCAGTCCCAGCTACTGGGAAGGCTGAAGCAGGAGGATTGCTTGAGTCCAAGGCTGTAGTGTACAATGACTGTGCCTGTGAATAGTCACTGCATTCTCCCACCTGAGCACTATAGTGAGACCCTGTCTCTAAAAATTAAAAAAACAGTCACTTTTATATGGCATTTGGTTCTCACAGCTGTGAATTGTACTTGATCAGATCATTAATTCAAACTAGAGGCCGGGCGTGGTGGCTCATGCCTGTAATCGTAGCACTTTGGGACGCCAAGGCGGATAGATCACCTGAGGTCAGGAGTTCGAGACCAGCCTGGCCAACATGGTGAAGCCCCATCTCTACTAAAAATACAAAAGTTAGTTGGGTGTGGTGGCAGGCGCCTGTAATCAAAGCTGCTCGGGAGGCTGAGGCAGGAGAATTGCTTGAACCTAGGAGGTGGAGGTTGCAGGGAGCCGAGATCGCATCACTGCACTCCAGCCTGGTGACAGACTGAGACTCTGTCTCAAAAAAAAACAAAAAAAACAAAAAAACAAAAACATCAAACTAAGCCTACAAGTACATAATCTTGTGAGGGGAATCTTGGACAGTTTGGGTCGGCTTTGTTTTTTTTTTTTTGAGACGAAGTTTTGCTCTTGGCGCCCAGGCTGGAGTGCAATGGCGTAATCTCGACTCACCACAACCTCCGCCTCCCGGGTTCAAACAATTCTCAGCCTATCGAGTAGCTGGGATTACAGGCATGTGCCACCATGCCCAGCTAATTTTGTATTTTTAGTAGAGACGGGTTTCTCCATATTGGTCAGGGTGGTTTTGAACTCCTGACCTCAGGTGATCCACCCGCCTCGGCCTTTCAAAGTGCTGGGATTGCAAGCATGAGCCAGCCTTTTTTTTTTTTTTTTTTTTTTTTTTTTGAATGAGGCAGTCTCTCTCTCTGTTGCCCACGCTGGAGTGCAGTGGTGCCATCATGGCTCACTGAAGCCTTGACCTCCTGGGTGCAAAGCAATCCCGCCTCATCCCCCTGAGTAGCTGGAACTACAGTCACACGCCACCATGCCCAGCTAATTTTTGTATATTTTTGTAGAGACAGGGTTTTGCCATGTTGCCCAGGCTGTTCTTGAACTCCTGAGTTCAAGCAATCCTCTTGCCTTGGCCTTCCAAAGTGCTGGGATTACAGTTGTGAACCATTGTGCCTGGCCATGGATTTTTATTACAAATTATATTCAAATAGATGAAAACAGGAGGGAAAAGAATTTTCAGTATGTGTAGTAGTTTTGACAGGAGTTTTAGCCTTTTATCTTGGTGGCTGATATTAGATATTAACGTTGCTCTTAAGTGTACTTAAGCACACTAAAACATTGAACACAATATGTGTTTGATAACACAATTATCAAGGGAACTGAGGATAAAAGCACTCATCTTTGCATCACAATATGACATTATTAGCATCTGTTAACTTTACAAACCTGATTCATTTAGTTCTTCATAGCCACCATCTTGATAATGAATAAAGAAAAAACAAATGATGTATTTTGTCACTCTATTCATTTTTATCTATAAAGATTTAAAATACCTTTCTTTTGAGTTAGGTTGGTTTTATGGTTGGAAGAAGGAAAGGAGGTAGACCTTTGAATGCCTTGATTGCTGCCCATTTCTCTAGGCAGTGAAGAAAGGCAGCTAAAGTGCTGTCTCTGATTATCAAATGCCATATATGTGAGTATACCTGTGTTGTTTGTCATGCTGTTGTGAATACTCACTTGCTTTTTTATCCACTCATCTTTTTTATCCACGAGCTCCTGCATTAAAGTAGTTAGTAACCAGTTCTTTCTCTTGGAGTAATTAATGTGACTTTTCCCTTGTTTGAGATTTAGTTAAGAGTTTTATATATAACATATAAACCATGATATATCTGAAAAACTGTATTTGTGGTTCATAAAGACTGTAATTTCATTTCATTTTCATAAATTGTATGTTTTTTCTTTTTTCTTTTTTTTGTTTTGAGATGGAGTCTCACTCTGTTGCCCAGGCCGAAGTGCAGTTGTGTGATCTCGGCTCACTGCAAGCTCTGCCTCCTGGGTTCACGCCATTCTCCTGCCTCAGCCTTCCGAGTAGCTGGGGCTACAGGTGCCTGCCACCATGCCCGGCTAATTTTTTTGTATTTTTGTAGAGACGGGGTTTCACTGTGTTGGCCAGGATGGTCTCGATCTCCTGACCTCGTGATCCATCCGCCTCAGCCTCCCAGAGTGCTGGGACTACAGGCGCGAGCCACCACCACACCTGGCCCATAAATTGTATGTTTTCAAGTCTGTGTGTTTTTTTTGTTGTTGTTGTTTGTTTGTTTGTTATTTTGATATGGAGCCTCACACTTGTTGCCCAGGCTGGAGTATAGTGGCGTGATCTCGGCTCACTGCAACCTCTGTCTCCCCAGTTCAAGCGATTTTCCTGCCTCAGCCTCCTGGGTAGCTGGGATTACAGGCGCCTGCCACCACACCTGGCTAACTTTTTTTTTTTTTTTTTTTTTTTCCTAGTAGAGACGGGGTTTCACCATGTTGGCCAGGCTCTAGGCTGGTCTCGAACTCCTGACCTCAGGTGATCCACCTGCCTTGGCCTCCCAAAGTGCTAGGATTACAGGCACAAGCCACTGCACGTGGCCTGAACTGGATTATCTTAATGGACATATGTATCTTTTTATTTGCTTAATGAGAATTAGAAATTCTATTTTTTTTTTTTTTTTGAGATGGAGTCTGGCTGTGTCACCCAGGCTGGAGTGCAGTGGCGCAATCTCAGCTCACTGCAAGCTCCGCCTCCTGGGTTCATGCCATTCTCCTGCCTCAGCCTCCCGAGTAGCTGGGACTACAGGCGCCCGCCACTACGCCCGGCTAATTTTTTGTATTTTTAGTAGAGACGGAGTTTCACCATGTTAGCCAGGATGGTCTCGATCTCCTGACCTCGTGATCTGCCCGCCTCGGCCTCCCAAAGTACTGGGATTACAGGCGTGAGCCACCGTGCCCGGCTTAGAAATTCTATTTTTTGTAGAATCAGAAATCAGTTTGTGACTTGTGTGCTTTTAAATTGGGCATATTACTCACTTGAATGAATTGGATAAAACATGATGGTTTTAGTCTGCCAGTTCTGGCAGTTTTATTTCTTAAATGTCATTCTTAAAGTGTTTTGTCAGTTCTGATGAAGTTCTGATGGCATCTTATTATTTAAAGTTAAATTTTAATAGGTATTAGAGTCATAGATTTTAGCATGTTTTTATACTTCGAGAAAACCTGGACTGCAAATACTAGTATTACAAAGCAATGGTGGCTTTCCGAATATAAGGGCTCTTAGTGTGGAAATTAATAATCATATTCTCTCTAGGCAATAATAGCATTTGTTGCCTTAAATAGTAGCTTAAGAAGTAATAATGCTTGACTGTACACTTCATTAATGCTTGACTGTACCGCTTCAGATTAGGAGAGTAAACTCTGGTAACTTTGTTATTATTGATAGAAAAAAACAGATGAAAGTTGAGAGGATACTACTTTTCAACTGTGATTAACATCAGTTTTACTAGTAGTCATGTTTGTTGTGTGAAAAATAGAATTAAAACAACAGCCTAGTAATGTCTGTTAATCCTGCTTATCAATATAAGATTCGTAAAGAAAAATAAAAATGACTTAGTAGATTTTAATATCAGTGTTCTGGTACCTCTCTACAACAATAGATTAGATGGCATTGCATCTTTTCTTAAGGTGTCAGAATTGTATTTACCCTGTTAATTTAAAGAATAGAATAAGTGCTGTAAAAGTGCCTGATTTATGGAAGCTTTTGTCAGGATAGAATGGCAGCATGCTGTTTTCATTTCAAAGTTTTATGTATTTAATTACCTGAGTTATATTTTCTTTTCTGTTTTTTTTTTTTTTTTCTTTGAGACAGTCTCGCTCTGTCGCCCAGGCTGGAGTGCAGTGGTGTGATGTCAGCTCACTATGACCCTCGCCTCTCGGGTTCAAGCGATTCTCCTGCCTCAGCCTCCTGAGTAGCTGGGATTCAGGCATGCACTACCACGCCCAGCAAATTTTTGTATTTTTAGTAGATACAGGGTTTCACCATGTTGGTCTTGAACTCCTGACCTCGTGATCTGCCCACCTCAGCCTCCCATAATGGTGGGATTACAGATGTGAGCCACCATGCCCAGCCTTAAATTTATTTTTAAAAGTTATATATTTATCTATATATATTTCTGCTTCTATGTATACCTCTATATATACATATGTTTATTTTTACCTTTCACCTCTATTTTGTGGTGCATATATATATATACACACACACACACACATATACACACACATATATATACACACACATATATACACATATATATACACACACACACATATATATATATATACACATATATATACACACACACATATATATACTTTTTGTAGAAATGGGGTCTTGTCCTGTCTGTTTTTGAACTCCTGACCTCAAGTGATCTGGCTACCTTGGCCTCCCAAAGTGCTGGGATTACAGGGTGAGCCACCCTGACTGTTTTTTAAAATTTTTATTTTATTTTTTTATATATATTTTCCACTTCAGAATTTTCTAAGCAGTTGAAATTACTCCTTTAAATGAGAAAACCTTGATGATTTTTGGTGTATGTGTTTTTATTTCAGCTTTTTTTTTTTTTTTTTTTTTTTTAAAGACGGAGTCTTGCTCTGTCGCCCAGGCTGGAGTGCAGTGGCATGATCTTGGCTCATTGCAACCTCTACCTCCCAGGTTCAAGCGATTCTCCTGCCTCAGTCTCCTGAGTAGCTGGGATTACAGGTGCCCACGACCATGCCCGACTAATTTTTGTAGTTTTAGTAGAGACAGGGTTTCACCATATTGGCCAGGCTGGTCTTGAACTCCTGACCTCAGGTGATCCACCCGCCTTGGCCTCCCAAAGTGCTGAGATTATAGGTGTGAGCCACCACTCCTGGCCTCAGCTCATGTTTTTGTTGTTCTTTTTTGTTTTTAAAGCAAGGTCGGTCTGTGTTGCCTAGGCTGGAGTGCAGTGGTGCTTTCTCGGCTCACTGCAACCTCCACCTCCCAGGCTCAAGCGGTCCTCCTGCCTCAGCCTCCTGAGTAGCTAGGAGTACAGTCGTGTGCTATAATGCCCGGATAATTTTTGTAATTTTAGTAGAGATAGGGTTTCACCATGTTGCCCAGGGTGGTCTCAAACTCCTGAGCTCAAGTGATCTGCCCACCTTGGCCTCGCAAAGTGCTGGGATTACAGGCATGAGTGACTGTGCCTGGCTTGTCATTGCTCTATAATGTACTTTTCATTCTAATACATTTCACGTTTATCCTTGCAGCATTTTTGCTTTGAGATGTTATGGCCCACTTTTTGTGGGTTAAAAATCTGGACCACACAGGTCAGTTAAAGGTGCTGAGATCAGAGTAAGTCCTTATCACAGTGGATCTGGGGCTAACTATGGTTTCCTAAGCTTTTGTCCCTTATAGCTTTGCCTGTGTAGTAGATGCTCAGCAAACACCTGTTAAACGGATTAGAATAAATTATATACTACTGGGTTTTCACCAAGTCCTTAGGTCATTTTTAGACTAAACTTTGGCACCTGCAATTGAAACGATATGGAAATCTTGCAGGAAAGTGTTGAATCTTCCTCCAATGATGGGGAATTCAATTCTTTTCTGTGTGGATGTCATTTGCCTTTTTATGTAGTGTTCATTTTCCCACATGTAACGTGTGTTTGTTTTCTTAAATGGTCCTAAATGCTAATACCTTATAGGTTATTCAATGCCGTTTTCAGATGGTTGAGATTGTTTGATTCCTGGTGTTTAAGATAAAAGGAAATTAAGGTTGTGCATTGGGGAAAGAAACAGCTGAAACTTGCTTTACTTCATTTGTAAAATAGAATACCTTAAACTCATCCAAATTATGGAGCTTTTTAGTACCCTGTTTTATAAGTTGCAAAGTGTTTCCAGTTCCTCCTTACAAATTTAGAAGTTCTAAAAGGGGTTTTCCTTAATATTTGATACTGTCAACTTCTTAGTTTGCTCAGGACTTCATTAAGGACCTTTATGTTGTGTTTATTTTTACCTTTCACCTGTATTCTGTGACAAAAGAGGACTTAAGAACTACTTCAGCAGCTCACACCTTCCATAAAAGTATGTGGCCTTTTCTTAGTTATTCAGAATAATAGGAAAGATACTTAAACCAGATATTTAAAATCTCATTTTACAGATGCAAAACCTGAAGTTTAGTGTTATATTTAAATGTATATACACATAAGTATAGCTTTTGTTTTTCTTTGTTTGTGGACATGTGCTTGGTGAAAGAGGAACAGAATTTTACTCTTTAGGTTTTTGGTAAGTAACAGAGGTTCTGGCACAGGTGATGTCTGGAGCCCCCTAGGGATCCCCAAGATACTTTCAAGGGGAATGTGAGGTCAGAACTTTTCATAGTAATATTGATTCATTATGTGCCCTTTTTGCCCAGCCAACAGTTTTCTGATGTAGATAGACAGTTCTGACAGGACTTTTTTTTTTTTTTTTTTTTTTTTGAGACGGAGTCTCGCTCTGTCGCCCAGGCTGGAGTGCAATGGCGTGATCTTAGCTCACTGCAACCTCCGCCTTCCGGGTTCAGGCAATTCTTCTGCCTCAGCCTCCCGAGTAGCTGGGACTACAGGTGCCCACCACCACGCCCGGCTAATTTTTTGTATTTTTAGTAGAGACGGGGTTTCACTGTGTTAGCCAGCGTGGTCTCGATCTCCTCTGACAGGATTTTTGATGTATGATGAAATGGTGTCAACATTTGGAAGATCTGTGTAAGTCAGTGAAAACTGTTTTCCAAATGGCCAGTGCATGACAGAAAAATTATGCCTGGTTAAAAGATCCATTAAAAATGCAAAGTAGGCTGGGCGTGGTGCCTCACGCCTATAATCCCAGCACTTTGGGAGGCCGAGGTGGGTGGATCATGAGGTCAGGAGATTGAGACCATCCTGGCTAACACAGTGAAACCCCATCTCTACTAAAAATACAAAAAATTAGCCGGGCGTGGTGGCGGGCGCCTGTAGTCCCAGCTACTCAGGGGGCTGAGGCAGGAGAATGGTGTGAACCCGGGAGGTGGAGCTTGCAGTGAGCCGAGATTGCGCCACTGCACTCCAGCCTGGGCAACAAGAGCGAGACTCCATCTCCAAAAAAAAAAGCAAAGTGGGCTGGGCGCAGTGGCTCACACTTGTAATCCCAGCACTTTGGGAGGCCGAGGCAGGCGGATCACGTGGTCAGGAGTTTGAGACTAGCTTGGCCAACACAGTGAAACCCCATCTCTACTAAAAGTACAAAAATTAGCTGGGTGTGGTGGCGGGCGCTTGTAATCCCTGTTACTGGGGAGGCTGAGGAGTAGAATCGCTTAAACCTGGGAGGCGGAGCTGAGATTGTGCCACTGCACTCCAGCCTGGGTGACAGAGCTGGACTCCGTCTCAAAAAAAAAAAAAAAAAGCAAAGTAGAACAGTGGATTTTAATATAAGAATATGAAAAGTTCGTTGGTACAATTTAAGATTCCACATTGCAGTTAGCCTTTACGAGACAACTGCTTGTCAATTTTGGCATTATATCAACAAAAAATGTCCAGAATTATCTGAAAAGTCTGTTAAAGTACTCTTTTCCAATTACATTCAAAACATACCAGATTCAATACAGAAGCACATATGAAAATCCAGCTTTCTTTTCTTAAGCTGGATATTAAAGAGAGTTGCAAAATGATTAAAAACTGTTCTTACTATGTTATTCTTTGTTTTGGAAATTAGTTTTTTTTTTCTTAAAGATGATTTATATTTATATGCATAAGATTTACTTTTAAATGAATTAATATTTTGTGTTTCTAAAATGGTAAATAACACACATAGAAAAGCTCTTTGAGGTCTTCAGGTTTTTTTTTTCTTTCCCCAAGACAGAGTCTTACTCTGTTGCCCAGGCTGGAGTGCCATGGCGTGATCTCAGCTCACTGCAACCTCCGCCTCCTGGGTTCAGGCAATTCTCCTGCCTCAGCCTCTCCAGTAGCTGGGATTACAGGCGCATACCACCACGCGTGGCAATTTTTTTTTTTTCTTTTTGAGACAGGGTTTTGCTCTTGTTGCCCAGGCTGGAGTGCAGTGGCACAATCTCAGCTCACTGCTGCAACCTGTGCCTCCTGGGTTCAAGCGATTCTCCTGCCTCAGCCTCCCAAGTAGCTGGGACTACAGGCATGCACCACCACGCCCAGCTAATTTTTTGTATTTAATAGAGATTGGGTTTCACCATGTTGGTCAGGCTGGTCTTGAACTCCTGACCTCAGGTGATCCACCTGCCTCAGCCTCCCAAAGTGCTGGGATTGCAGGTGTGAGCCACTGTGCCCGGCCTTGTTTTTTTTTTTTTTTTTTTTTTTTGTGAGACGGGGTCTCGCTCTCTCACCCAGGCTGGAGTGCAGTGGGGCGATCTCGGCTCACTGCAACCCCTGCCTCCTGGCTTTAAGCAATTTTCCTGCCTCAGCCTCCGGAGTAGCTGGGACTACAGGCGCGTACCACCATGCCCGGCTAATTTTTTGTATTTTTAGTAGAGATGGGGTTTCACCGTGTTAGCCAGGATGGTCTCGATTTCCTAACCTCGTGATCCACCCGCCTCGGCCTCCCAAAGTGCTGGGATTACAGGTGTGAGCCACTGTGCCCAGCTGTTAATTTTTTTTTATTTTTAGTAGAGATGGGTTTTCACCATGTTGGCCAGGCTGGTCTTGAACACCTGACCTCGTGATCCACCCGCCTTGGCCTCCCAAAGTACTGGGATTACAGGCGTAAGTCACCATGCCCAGCCGAGGTCTTTAATTTTTAAGAATGTAGACCGCATGAGGTGGCTCACGCCTGTAATCCCAACACTTTGGGAGGCCAAGGTGGGCAGGTCACCTGAGGTCGTCGGGAGTTTGAGACCAGCTTGAGCAACATGGAGAAACCTCGTCTCTACTAAAAATACAAAATTAGCTGGTCATGGTGGCGCATGCCTGTAATCCCAGCTACTCCGGAGGCTGAGGCAGGAGAATTACTTGAACCCAGGAGGCAGAGGTTGCAGTGAGCCGAGATCGTGCCATTACACTGCAGCGTGGGCAACAAGAGCGAAACCCCATCGCAAAAAAAAATACAGAGTGTAAAGCGTGCTGAGACCAGAGTGTTTGAGAGCTACTACTCCTAACAAATGTATATTGGAAGAGAAGTCATATTATGATAAAGTCTAGGATGTGCTTTAATTGTAACCTAGCACAGTTTCTTGTATATCCGTTTTTTTTGTTTTGTTTTGTTTTTTGAGATGGAGTCTTTGTCGCCCAGGCTGGAGTGCAGCAGTGCGATCTTGGCTCGCTGTAACCTCCACCTCCTGGGTTCAAGTGACTCTTCTGCCTCAGCCTCTCAAGTAGCTGGGATTACAAGGGGCCTGCCACCACACCTGGCTAATTTTGTTGTTTTAGTAGAGACAGAGTTTCACCATGTTGGCCAGGCTGGTCTCGAACGCCTGACCTCAAGTGATCAGCCCGCCTTGGCCTCCCAAAGTGCTGGGATTACAGGCATCAGCCACTGTGCCTGGCAATGTGTTAATATAATATTTGAACCAGACTGGATAGAATTATTCAGTAAACCATGTAAATACACATTTAGCTAAGAAGGAATATTGGTGGCGTGTGAAGATGGTAAGTGTTTTTATGTCAGTAAACAGTGTCTGGTTTATCTTGTATTTTATAGATTCTGAGACCTTTTTTTCCCACATCTTAACATCTTTGAAATTGAGATGTCTTAAAATGGTGATAAGTCATAGTCTAATGGGCAGCTTTTTTCTTTCTTGGTGTGTCATAAAATAATGGTGTGTCATAGATGTAATGAAATGTGCTAGTGTCTCTTTTTGTGTGGAGAGGAGAAGGAAACATACTGGATAGCAGTTCAGTTCTTGAGCTACGGGATATGGTGCATTAAATGTTACTCTTCTTTTTTTTTTTTTTTTTGAGATGGAGTTTCACTCTTGTTGCCCAGGCTGGAGTGCAATGGCACGATCTTGGCTCACCGCAACCTCTGCCTCCTGGATTCAAGTGATTCTCCTGCCTCGGCCCCCCAAGTAGCTGGGATTACCGGCATGTGCCACCACGCCAGCTAATTTTGTATTTTTAGTAGAGACGGGGTTTCTCCATGTTGTTCAGGCTGGTCTCAAACTCCCGACCTCAGGTGATCCGCCTGCCTCGGCCTCCCAAAGTGCTGGGATTACAGGCGTGAGCCACCGTGCCTGGCCCCTAAATGTTACTCTTATCAGGCACTTAATTGACTCTGGGCAATTGACAGTGCACTCATTGTTGGAATATTCTATTCATAAAGCAGTTATCTTTATTTCAAGCAAGAAAACTAGATTTCAATGCTAGAATTCAAGTCTTTTAAAACAAAGTGTAAAACTCATATTTGTGTATCTTTTTTAATATGCAGAGCCTTTTTTCTGTTTAACCATATTGTTGATTTTCTCCTCTTTATATATGTATATATATATTTAGTTTTAATTGACATATTTATGGCATACAGTGATACTTCTATAGATGTATTCAATGTGTAATGATCAAATTGGGCATATCTGTCACCTTATTTATCACTTCTTTGTGTTGGGAACATCCAAAATCCACTCTTCTAGTTATTTGAAAAGACAAAATATTTGTTTTTATTTATTTATTTATTTTTGAGACGGAGTCTCGCTTTGTCGCGCAGGCTGGAGTGCATTGGTGCAATCTCGGCTCACTGCAACCTCCACCTCCCGAGTTCAAGCAATTCTTCTGCCTCAGGCTTCTGAGTAGCTGGGATTACAGGTGTGTGCCACCACACCCGGCTAATTTTTGTATTTTTAGTAGAGACGAGGTTTCACCATGTTGGCGAGGCTGGTCTTGAACTCCTGACCTCAAATGATCCACCTGCCTTGGCCTCCCAAAGTGCTGGGATTACAGGCATGAGCCACCGTGCCTGGCCATAAGTTGTGTTTGTTTTTTGTTTTTATTTTTGTTTTTTTGAGACAGAGACTTGCTCTGTCGCCAGGCTGGAGTTGAAGCACTTCTCCTGCCTCAGCCTCCCAAGTGGACTACAGGCACGTGTCACCATGCCTGGCTCTTTTTTGTATTTTTAGTAGGCACAGGGTTTCACCGTGTTGGCCAGGATGGTCTTGAACCCCAGACCTCATGATCCGCCTGCCTCAGCCTCCCAAAGTATTGGGATTACAGGCGTGAGCCACTGAGCCCAGCCAAATTTTTTTTTTTTTTTTTTTTTTAATTTTGAGATGGTATTTCGCCATGTTGCCCAGGTTGGTTTTAAACTCCTGGGCTCAACTGACCCGCCTCCCAAAGTGCTGGAATTACAGGTGTGAGCCACTGCGCTCAGCTACAATAAATTGTTAATTATGGTCACCTTCGAATGCACACTAAGACTTATTTCTCTTATCTATCTGTAATTTGGTATTTGTTAACCGATCTCTGGCTACCTCCCCACCAGACTCTAGTAACCACTATTCTGCTCCATTTCTATGAAATTAACTTTTTTAGCTCCCACGTATGAGTGAGAATATGCGATACATGTCTTTGCGTGCCTGCTTTATTTTACTTAACGTAATGTCCCCTAAACTCATCCATGATGCTGGGAATTATAAGATGTGGTTTTAATTTTTTTATGGCTGAATAGTATTCATATATAGTGTATTACATACCACATTTTATCCATTTATTTGTTGCCCACATTTTTTTGTTGTGTTTTTATTTTTGAGACGGAGTCTCGCTCTGTCAGCCAGGCTGGAGTGCAGTGGCGCAATCTCGGCTCACTGCAACCTCTGCCTCCAGGGTTCAAGCAATTCTCTGCCTCAGCCTCCCCAAGTAGCTGGGATTACAGGAGTCCACCACCACGCCCGGCTAATTTTTGTATTTTTAGTAGAGACGGGGTTTCACGATCTTGGCCAGGCTGGTCTTGAATTCCTGACCTTGTGATCCACCCCCCTCTGCCTCTCAAAGTGCTGGGATTACAGGCATGAGCCACCGCACCTGGCGAAGTTGCCCACATTTTTAAATTTCTAATAGGTTTCTTAAAAAAGTTACTGAATTCTATTATTAACATTTTAGTGTCTCTGTTTTATTCTGTATAAAAATAATAGGACCATTACATGGAGTTATGAAGATAGTGTATGAATAAAAAGCCTAGGCATCCTTAGAAGTACGTTTTAAAAAGGAGAATAGGGCCTTGGAAAAGCACAGAGTTGAGTCTATCAGAGAAGGCTTCCTGGTGGAAGCAGAATGTCATAGAGACAGGAGATAGATGAGCAAGAGGGCACTCATGAGGTATGAGGCGGTTGGTAGGTTATCTTGATTAAAGAATCAGGTTGTAAATAAGTTACTGTTAAGTACATATGTACTAGTATGTACTAGAGCGTGGCGTTTGTGACCAAGATTATGTGGGCTGCTGTATGGAGAAGGGGCTGAGCTTTTTATGATCTGACACTCTGCAACCAGTAGGGCCATACCTGATACTTTTCTGGAGGTGTGATCACTTATCAGTCAGCCAGAGGAGGACTCTTGGTAAAGAATTTACTCACAGGTTGAAATCCAATCATGGTTGGCAGGGTTTTAATGAATTAGAAGACAGTGAATGGATTTGTGGCACATTATATGAGAATGATTGAGATAATTTTTTGAAATGCCTCTGCTTTTTCAGGTGGCTCATGACTGTAATTTCAGCGACTCAGGAGGCTGAGGTGGGAGAATCACTCGAGGCCAGGAGTTTCTTTTTTCTTTTTTTTTTTTTGAGACGGAGTTTAGCTCTTGTTGCCCAGGCGGAGTGCAATGGTGTGATCTCAGCTCACTGCAGCCTCTGCCTCCTGGGTTCAAGCGATTCTCCTGCCTCAGCCTCCTGAGTAGCTGGGATTACAGGCATGTGCCACCACACTGGGCTAATTTTGTATTTTTAGTAGAGAAGGGGTTTCTCCATGTTGGTCAGGCTGGTCTCGAACTCCTGACCTCAGGTGATCCACCCACCTCAGCCTCCCAAAGTGCTGGGATTACAGGCATGAGCCACTGTGCCGGGCCGAGGCCAGGAGTTTCAGACCAGCCTGGGCAACAGAGCAAGACCCTTTATCTTGAAAAGAAAAAATCATAGACTTTTTCAGATGTGTGACATTTGAAGAAGTAAAATACAGTGGAATAACTATAGGCTTCAGTCACAGATTGGATTTGTTATCTCTTTGCCTTGGTTTCCTCAACCGAAAAAGGAAGGAAATACTTATAATTTGTTTTGAGGTTATTTTATATGAAATGTATGTGAATGTATTTAGCATGTAATTGCTTACTGGACAGATCAGTTAGGAATTGTAGTTGGCTGGTAGTAACAGTTCTGGAATAATGTAGTTGTGATGGTAAGTTAGGGAGGCAGATAAGGGCGGGCTTCATGTCATCAGGGAATCCAGATTGCCGCAGTGTGTATTCCCAGCCCTCTTCAGTGCATTACTTAATCTTAAAGGCATCGCTTCTGCCATCACGTCACTGTTTCATGCAGTGGGAGGAAGAAAGGGGTGAATAGGCAGAAGGCTAAGAGCTAGCTGAGACTATTCCCCTCCTCCAATGACCAAAGGAACTTTTCTGAGTGTCCCTCCCTACACATTGCCCTGATCATCCTGAGCTAGAAGTGTCTCGTTGCAAGAAAGGCTGGGAAACAAGGCTCTTTGACTGCCCTGAATACAATCGGGGTTTTGATAGTAAGAAGGAGAGAATGGATACTGGGTTGGATCACGTACAGTGTCTTTCACAGTGAATGTTGTTTCGCTTTTTTCTTTCATTTACATATTTGGGAGCATTATTGTATAGGCCTAGCTCCCATGAACTGTCCCACATTGTGGATTTTATTTTTTTCTTGTTTTTTTTCCACCTGGAGAACACCGTGAATTTTTGTTTATGAATATCTTTTTTTTTTCGAGACTGAGTCTTGCTCTGTTGCCCAGTCTGGAGTGCAGTGGCGTAATCTTGGCTCACTGCAACCTCTGCCTCCTGGATTCAAGCAATTCTCTTCGTCAGCCTCCCGAGTAGCTGGGATTACAGGAGCTCGCCACTACGCCCAGCTAATTTTTGTATTTTTAGTAGAGACGGGGTTTCTCCATCTTGGCCAGGCTGGTCTTGAACTCCTGACCTCGTGATCCACCCACCTTGGCCTCCCAAAGTGCTGGGATTATAGGCGTGAACCACCGTGCCTGGCCATTTGTGAATATCTTATGTCTTTCGGGTTCTGCTTTGCTGGGGGACTGGGCTTATGTGATAAAATTACTTACCTTGAGCATTAAAGGAAAACAAAAAGTTAAACTTTTTTTTTTTTATTCATAGTTTAGCTTGTACCCTCAACCTTTAACTCAGAGGACCTGATTTGGGAGTTCAGCGGTGGTTGAAGGTTGGTAGAGGAGAGGCAGAGTGTTGGGAGGAAAGGAGACTGCCTGGAGGACCGTCCAGGGCTTTCGTCCTTGGCTCTGTGCGGCTCAGAGACCTTGGGGCTTTCACTTCCTTCTTGGGTTATCTGTGTCCTTATCTATCAAATAAGGAGTTGGTTTAGATGATTTTAAGTCTCTCCAACTTGAATATTCTGATTTTATATGTAGACATTATACATGCAACTCTTATTTTCTGTGTGTGTGTGTGTGTGTGTGTGTGTGTGTGAATGTAAAAGGCCTTCACAACCATATGTATACCTGGTATTGCCTTCTAGGGAATACAGAATTGAAGATAGAGTTATGACATAAAATCTCATTTTGAATCTTATTCTCTTTGCAGAGAAATATGCACAGTAAAACTAGATAAATTCTGCAATTTATTACCTTCTTGGTATGAATTTTTACTAGGGCTTTTTTAGAAGTTCAAAGTAGAAAACCTTTTAACACCTTCATTTGGAATTTTAAAATGTGGCAGTGAAATATTTCACATTCAGAAACCTGTGTTAATGTTAACTAGGAAAAGTCTCAGTCTTACGCCATTAGTAATGATGTGTTGTTATCCTTTCATTTCTAGAAATGGATCCCTGGAATTAGATGGAGTATTGTGAAAGTATAATTTTAAACAAATGTTTTTGTAGAGACAGGGTCTCACTATATTGCCCAGGCTGATCTCTAACTCCCAGGCTCAAGTGATCCTATTACTTTGGCCTCCTGAAGTGCTAGGATTGCAAGTGTGAACCACCATGCCCATCCTGAAGGTATAATTATTAAAATGCTATCCAGTGTTCATAATCTGCTTATCTAATAATTCAAATGCTTTGTTTGCCCTGCTGAGGTCAGACTTTGGCCTACTCTGTGAATGAATCAGTTTTTGCTGTTGTTACGGATGGTAGAGTTGAGTCAAGATGTTAATGGCCCTTGTCCAATATGGGGAGCTAGTTAAGAATGTCTTCTGATTCTATCCTGTGGAGTGAGAGTATCTATTTGTTCACTTGATGGAAACTTACAGTTCCCTCGTGTCTTGTTTCAGTTTTGTTTTTCATGTGGAATACATCTAGAGAGACAGTATGGCTTAGTGGATGGGACAGGCCCTTGTGAGAATTATTTCAAATAATTTTGTAATTTCAACCCAGTAAATTTCTCCATCACTGTTCCTGATCCCTGGCATTATGAACAATAGGTTTCAGAAAGCTTCCATGTTTTAGAACCTCTCCTACCTGAGATTACAGGTGTGAGCCACCACATCTGGCCAAGGTGTTATAGATTCTTTAACCTAAATTTGGCTTATTACTTGGAAATGTTATTGAGGAAATTGGTTATCAGTTTTATGATTTTCTAAATTACTATATAACTTCTAGTCACATAAAAAGTGTCTAAGCTTGTCCATAGCAAGAGAGGGCTGCTTCAAATTATGATTAATGATATTGCAGAACAAACTCTGGGTTGGTAGTAATATTTATTGGTTAAAATATAGTAGTAGGCCTTTAACATGGATATGACTGTAGATCTTTATTTTAGCTGCCACATAGTTGTGAATAAAACCAAACTTACGAAAAGCAGGTAAAACTTTATTTTATTTTGGAAGTTAGTTGATAAGGGTAATTCAGATTGAATTGCATAATAATGGCAATATTAAGTTTCTTGTTTAACAGTTATGGACTGGAAATTTTTCTTTCAGCACTTGGGAGGCCGAGGCGGGTGGATCACGAGGTCAGGAGATTGAGAACATCCTGGCTAACACGGTGGAACCCTGTCTCTACTAAAAATACAAAAAATTAGCTGGGCTTGGTGGCGGGTGCCTGTAATCCCAGCTACTCTGAGGCTGAGGCAGGAGAATAGCATGAACCTGGGAGGCGGAGCTTGCAGTGAGCCGAGATCATGCCACTGCACTCCAACCTGGGCGACAGAGCGAGACTCCTTCTCAAAAAAAAGAAAAAAAAGAAAAATCTCAGATACAAGCCAGGCACTGTGTGTGCACTTGTAGTCCCAGCTACTTGGGAGGCTGAGGCTGGAGGATCGTTTAAGCCCAGGAGTTCAAGTCAGTCTGGGCAATATAGCAAGATCCCCATCTCTAAAACAAAATAACTCAGATACATATAATTAGAATAGTATAAATAAATATCTGTATACCACCCTACTATGTAGACTCAATATTTTGCTATATTTGCTATCTCATATTTTTGGCTGAGCCATTTATAATTTGCAAATACTGTGAGACTTCAGTGTAAATACTTTAACATGCATCTTCAAAGAATAAGGACTGTTTTTCTGGGCACAGTGGCTCATGCCTGTAACCTCAGGATTTTGAGAAGCCGAGGCGGGTGGATCACTTGAGGTCAGGAGTTCGAGACCAGCATGGCCAAAATGTTGAAATCCCATCTCTACAAAAATTAGCCAGGCGTGATGGCGTCTGCCTGTAATCCCAGCTACTCAGAAGGTTGAGGCAGGAGAATCACTTGAGCCCAAGAGGCAGAGGTTACAGTGAGCCGAGATCATGCCATTGCATTCCAGCCTGGGTGCCAGAGCAAGACTCCATCTCAAAATAAAAATTAAAAGGCCAGGCACGGTGGCTCATGCCTGTAATCCTAGCACTCTGGGAGGCTGAGGTGGGTGGATCACCTGAGGTCAGGAGTTCAAGACCAGCCTGGCCAACATGGCAGAAACCCATCTCTACTAAAAATACAAAAATTAGCCAGGCGTGGTGGCTGGTGCACACCTGTAGTCTCAGCTACTCAGGAGGCTGAGGCAGGAGAATTGCTCCAACCCAGGAGGCAGAGGTTGCAGTGAGCCGAGATCGTGCCACTGCACTCCAGCCTGGGTGACAAAGTGAGACTGTCTAAAAAAAAAAAATTAAAAAAGAATAAGGACTTTTCTTACATAAACACAGTACCATTATCACACCAGAGGATATTAATAGTAACTTCAATTATATCATGTAATATCCATAGAGGAAATATTGAAATGGTGAGATGTTTTGTCTAGCCACTTTCAAAGAAAGAAAGCCTGTATTTTTACATTTTAAACAACAGTAATTAGACAAAGTTAGCGCCAAAAAGATTGGTTTGAAACCCATGCAATGTTAGTGGGAAAAATGTTCTCATTCATTCTAATAATTTATGAAGTCAGCTTTTTTTTTTTTTTTTTTTTTGTGACAGAGTCTCTTGTTGCCCAGGCTAGATGCAGTGGCGTGATCTCAGCTCACTACAACCTCTGCCTCCCAGGTTCAAGTGATTCTCCTGCCTCAGCCTCCCAAGTAGCTGGGACCACAGACGTGTGCCACCATGCCTGGCTAATTTTTTGTATTTTTAGTAGAGACAGGGTTTCACTGTGTTGGCCAGCCTGGTCTTGAACGCCTGACCTCAAGTCATCCGCCCGCCTCGGCCTCCCAAAGTGCTGGGATTACAGGCGTGAGCCACCATGCCCGGCAAAATCAGCTTTTAAATTAGGGTTTAAATTTGCTTTTGTAGCTGCATATTTTAAAAAGTTTGCTTGAGCCCAGCAGGTTGATCCTGCAGTGAGCTATGATTGCACCAATGCACTCCAGCCTAGGTGACAGAGTGAGACCCTGTCTCTAAATAGATGAGTCCATTTTTCTGCCCTTAGAAAATATAGAATGATGAGTACAATTGGACCCTCAAGAGTAAAGATCAGAGACAGTGACACAGTCTAGCAGAAAATAATGGTACCTGCTGCAAAGGGTCATTGTTACCAAGTAAGTGAAATTGTGTAGTAGTGGTTAGCACAGTATCTAACACATAAGCACACCAATGTTAGCTTTAAAAAAAAAAATCACGTGTAATATATATTGATTTGGAACTATAAACACCAGGACTTTTTTTTTTTAGAGGCAGAGAGTCTTGATAGGTTGTCCAGGTTGTTCTCAAACTCCTGGCCTCAAGTGATCCTCCCACTTTGACCACCTAAACAGTGAGCCACTGTGCCCGGCCAACACCAGGACATTTTAAAGATTGCTTTTTTTTTTTTTTTTTTTTTTGACTTTTTCTAGTCATTTGTTTATTACATTGTTTTCAATGACAAAATATTTTAAGCACCACAACAAATATGTGGAATAAAATAATGAACAGCATCCATTTCCCAGTTGTCAGATTTTAACATTGTCTTCAGAACTTTTTTTTGAGGTAATAACACCTGAAGTTACACTAAAGCCTCCTGTGATGTCTTTCCTGATTCCGCTTCCCTCCCTGTCTTCTTGAATTGTCATCATACCATTCATGTTTATTTTCTCATATATGTATGTATGTAGTATTTTGTATGTTTATATAAATATACATTTTGATTCAATATTACTTTTAAGATTTATTGATATTATTAGAAGTATTCTAGTAGCTTTACTTCATTTGTTTCCAGTTCATTTATATTGAGTTATATGTGTACCATATTTTTTCCATTTTGTTAATGCACATTTAGGTTATTTCCAGTTTTTCACCGTTATATACAGTGTCATAATTAACATTTATGAGTGTCTTTTTGAGCACATATGTGTTTTTCTGGGATAGTGTTTTTCAAGCCTTTTTTGTTCACTAGACACAGTAAGAAATGTATTTTACATTGATACCCAAAATATGTGTGTGTTTATTTGCATAATGTTCATATATATATGCATAAATATTTACATGTAATAGAAATTATAGTTTTATAAAATATTTACCCTGAAAAAATATTTACGCATACAATGTGAGAGATGCATACTTGAGATATGAATAAATATCCCTTCATTTAAAAATAAGCTGATCAGGACAATATTTGACAAATAATAGTCTAATGTATGTAACCTGAAGCAGAATTGCTGCTTTGACAGTGCTCATTTTCAGCTTGGCGAGAGATGAAAAATATCACTCTTCAAAGTAATTTTACCAAACTCACATTCCCATCAGCAACATATGAGAGTTCCTGTTTATTCATATCCACACCATCATTTATCCAGCTTTCTAACATTTTGCCTATCTGATGGATGTGAAATGGTATCCCAGTGTTTTCTCAGTTTATTTTCTAGTCAAATATTTTTGGTGCCTTCTTTCTGTCAGACCCTGTGCAAAGCAGTAAAGATGGTAACAAGAGAGGTGAGACATGGCTTTCCTATTCTAGGGAGCTTGCATTCTAGGAGAGAGATGAACTTTGTCTCCCAGTGAGTGGCAAAGGGACACACAACGGGGTGCAATGTGCAGCCTGCCTAGGGAAATGGGGCTGTTCCAAGAGATGAAGTTTGACCTTGGTCTTGAAAGATGAGTGGGCATTTTCAGAGAGCTGTGGAGTTGAGGGGCATTCCGGGTGGAGGGGAGGCAAAGGCATAGAGCTGTAAAACCACATTATTCAAGAAACTTAATGAGTGTTCATGACTGTAGAGTCCCAGGATTGGTGAGGCCAAGGAATAAGCAGAGGAGAGCCTGCAGATATGGAGGCAGGTGGAGTTGTATGCTGCCGGCACCAGACTCATTGAAGGTTTTAAGTAGGGTGTTAACAGGAGTTTTATTTTGTTTTTACAAGTCTAGGAATGGATTCTGGTATTAAACGTGATGGTCAATCAAGTTTTTGTCTTAATTTCAGTTTCAAACGCATTAGCTTAGCTGTTTACTATAGTCTTTTTGAAACAGGTAGATAATAGAAATTATTATATTTCCTTTGAACTAGAGTTGGTCATTTTCTATTCTTTCCTAGCATATGACACATTTCCTTTCATCCATGTGCCTTGTTTTTTGGTGCTTTTTTTTTTTTTTTTTTTTTACTTTGTTTTTGTTTTTGAGACAAGGTCTTGCTCAGTTACCCAGGCTTGAGTGCAGTGACACAATCATAGCTCACTGCAGCCTCGACCTCTCGGGCTCAAGTGATCCTTCTACCTCAGCCACCTCAGTAGCTGGTACTATAGGCGTATACTACCACACCTGGCTAAATTTTGTATTTTTTTGTAGAGATGGGGTTTCACCATGTTGCCCAGGCTGATTTCAAACTCCCGGGCTCAAGTGATCTACCTGCCTCAACCTCCCAAAGTGCTGGGATCACAGGCAAGAACCACAGTGCACAGCCTTCTTTCTTTTCTTTCTTACATGTTAAACATATACATAGAGAAAGGGTCTACATTGTATAGGCTGGTTGTGAGCTCCTGGCCTCAAGCATCCAGCCCATGCTCCTTAGTTTTCAGTGGGACAACAAATGGTCTTCACAGGTGTTTTTTATTGTCAAATATGAATAGGTATAGCTTTGTACAGGTTGGTAATTTTAAGAATTTGGATTTTGGGGCCGGGCACTTGAGCCTGACCAACATGGCAAAACCCTGTCTCTATTTTAATAAAAATACAAAAATTAGCTGGGTGTGGTGGCACATGCCTGTAATCCCAGCTACTCAGGAGGTTGAGCATGAGAATCATTTGAACCCAGGAGGCAGAGGTTGCAGTGAGTCTTGATTGTGTTGCTGCACTCCATCCTGGGTGACAGAGCAAGACTGTCTCAAAAAAAAAAAAAAAAGAATTTGGATTTTTTGGACAATGTCTTTCATGAGGATACTTTCAGTCTTTATCTCTTACTCTTGCTACATTGTATGTAGCAAGTATGGATATAGTTAAAAGAACTTCCTTTAGAAAGCTGGAGTGCCTCCTGTTAATCAACTGTATGTGCGTGCATGTATATATAAAGGTGATGATATGAGAGATTGCTTTGGACTTCTTGCAGCTTTTGGCATTCCTGGGCTGCCAGTCCCTTTTTAATAGGAGCATTTGTCTTGCTTTAAGACATGAAAGTTTGAGGCCTGCCAGTGTCTAATAAAAGCAGTTTTTGGAGAGCAAATTACAGAGAGTCGTGTTTTGAAATTCTCAGTGCCTTAAAAGAATAGATGTGAACCATAGCATGGAATAGTAAGCACTTATTCGCGTGTGCATACTTGATACTAGCTTTTGGTGAGAAGTCTCACACTTGTGCTAGTGTTAAGGAGCGTATTCAAAGGTATGTTGGTATGTTCATTGAGATGCAGGGGCAACACTGAGCATTGTGTAGATCCTATTTTTAATTTAGGAGAATCCTATGCAGGTAGGTTAACTTTTTTAAACCTTACAGTTCAAAGTTGTTGTTTTTTTACCCCTCCTTTTCACCTCCCAGTTCAAAGTTTTAATTGTGTTTCCTAGCTCCTTGATATTTAACAATTACATACTTCCCTGCTCTCTCTAAAATAAAGGCTTTTTATTAGTTCAGGATTTAGTCCAGGGAGACCTTTTACTGCGTGAACCATGCTTGAGATGAAAAGAACTAGACAGAAGCATGTATTGCCCAGTGTCCCTGCCTGTGCCCTTTCTTCTCAGAAAACCCTGGCTAGTTGATTGTCTCAGCCTCATGGTCTTTTGTTACCACCAACCTCCCTGCACCCCAGACTCCAGCAGGCACACACACATCTGCACACACACAGTTTAGCTGATGGAGAAGGAGTAGGGATGTGAGGGTGTGTCCTCAGGGTAGGGGCTGGGACTATTTCATTTTCTTTCTGTCTTCAGCAAATGTAATGCATGTTAACACCTTGGCAGTAAAAGTGGGCTGGATCAGTTGGATACAAGGTGACTGTTCTAAAATAAAATGAAAAACAGCATAATCTCGAATTTGTAGGCAACATGTGAGACCCAGCAAATGGAACTTTTTGTTTGTTTGTTTGAGACGGAGTCTCGCTTTGTTGCCAGGCCGGAGTGCAGTGGCACGATCTCGGCTCACTGCAACTTCCACCTCCCAGGTTCAAGCAATTCTCCTGCCAGTAGCTGGGACTACAGGCACCTGCCACCATGCCCAGCTGTGTTTTTTTTTTTTTTTTTGGAGACGGAATCTTGCTGTGTCGCCCAGGCTGAAGTGCAGTGGTGTGATCTCGGCTCACTGCAAGCTCCGCCTCCCAGGTTCACGCCATTCTCCTGCCTCAGCCTCCAGAGTAGCTGGGACTACAGGCGCCCGCCACCACTCCTGGCTAATTTTTTGTATTTTTGGTAGAGATGGGGTTTCACCGTGTTAGCCAGGATGGTCTTGATCTCTTAACCTCTTGATCCCCCTTCTTGGCCTCCCAAAGTGCTGGAATTACAGGTGTGAGCCACCGCTCCCAGCCGCAAATGGAACTTTTGCAGGTGGTTTGGCCATTAGCCGTGTACATGCTTAGAGTGTGTTTAGGCTAGTGGACAGGATGTTCTCTGTGTGTACTGTGTAACCTTGAGGCTTTGCGTCTATTTCTATTTCCCTAGAAATGAAATCTAAAACAGGCTGCTTTCCTTCCCCCTAGCTTTCCAAACAAAAGTAAGGCTTGTAGATGTGAACTAGACTGTTGCAAAGTTCTGGAGAGGATGGCTGTGGTTTGGGATTTGATTTTTGGTAGGCTTTTTTTTTTTTTTTTAATTGTTAGAACTTGAGTGTGATAAATGGCTTCTTTTTTTTTTTTTAAGTGGGAAGAAAATACAAGATCATTAACCACTTGTGCATATTCTATTTCAAATGGCTTAGAAATTTAAAGCAAACTTGTTAAAGTTTGTAGAAGCTGAGTTGTTGATTTCTGTGGTGGATAAAAGCCAGTGCTGTATCTGGAAACTGTTTTCCTGTTTTTCTTAGATACCCCTTGAATCGGATCTGTTTAATGGAAGAGGATTTTTCTGTTAAGCTGGTTATAATGCCGGTTAAACTTTGTGTTTAGGATGTTAAAGTCCTGGAATGAATATAATTACCTGCCTATATAAAAAAAGCTGAAGTCATTTGACGAAAAGTTAACAAGTGCAGGCATGTGAGCTATTTGAAAATTTAAAATGCATCTGAGAGAGCTTTCTAAGATTCAGAGGGTTTTATGGATTTTTTCTGGCTTTTTAATAATTGAACTTTATATGAAATGTACATTTTAGCTAGATGGACTTACGAGGCAGATAGAGGTCAAGGAATTTTTAAATTATAGATTGTCTTTGCATTGCCTTTGGTCTGTTTCTGTATTCTGAACTGATGATTGAAAGAACGATCTGTGGTACTCAACATTTTTATGGATTTTGAGATACAAAGGGAGCTCAAAAGCAACTGCATGCTGGGGATGGTAGGAGTTCTCTTGAAAGACAGGCAGAGTTAGGAGGGTCTGGGCCACTTAGCCCGTTTGCTTTTGCTTTGGCCACAGGTACGGGCAGGCTGTTTTACAAGGAGTTAAAGTTCTGCTTCTAAACAGATGCCTTTCTGTTTCAGTGTTTCTTCCTAGTGCTCTGAAAACCATATGTGGGGAAAATAGTTCGTTCTGTTTAGAGGTTAAGGGTGTTGCCTGCCTGAAAGTACCAGTAGTAGTATTTAGTATTTATTTATTTTTTTGAGACAGAGTCTCGCTCTGTCACCCAGGCTGGAGTGCAGTGGCGCAATCTCGGCTCACTGCAAACTCCGCCTCCCAGGTTCATGCCATTCTCCTGCCTCAGCCTCCCAAGTAGCTGGGACTACAGGTGCCCGCCACCACACCCGGCTAATTTTTTGTATTTTTAGTGGACGGGGTTCCACTGTGTTAGCCAGGATGGTCTCGATCTCCTGACCTCGTGATCTGCCCGTCTCAACCTCTCAAAGTGCTGGGATTACAGGTGTGAGACACCGCGCCCGGCTGTATTTAGTATTTAAATAAAGTGTGAAGAAGCAGGTGAAGAAACCTTCCTACCATTTAACAAGAGGGAGCCAAGCCCGTGGTTTTTGTTGCAGGAAATGTGCTTCTGCCACTCCTTTAAAGCTGTGAAAGTTAATTTCACAGCCTCGGGGAAAGACATTGTTTCCCCTAAAGATCAGGTCTTGAAGTTGGAAGTTGTCATTTGGTCTATAACTTACACTAATGAAAAGCCTCTTAGAGTGCTTACTGTGTGCCAGACACATTAATCATAGTAGTAACAGCTGACATTTGAGCGCATCCTGGGCCGGACATTGTGTTTTTTAGCACTTTAAATATCTTCCTCAGTCCTCAGAATAACTCAAGAGGTAGGTACTGTTTTCTTTTTTTCTGTTTTAAAGATGAAACCTTAGGCCCCTATCTCATGCCAAGTAAGTTGCAGAGCTGAGAGATAAGCTCAGTCTGTATAACTCGGGAGCTTTGACTCTGAACAACTAAATTCTCTATTATGGTACTGATAATTCCCTGGACTGTCTGGCAGAGAGTGTGGTTCTTTATTTCATCAAGGGAGTGGGCTCAGAGAAGATAAGTAATTTACTGTCATAAGCCTTGTGTTGAAACCAGAACTCAAACCTGGGTCGGTTTGAAGTGAAAGCTTATGTTCTTGCCACTGAGTGTATCATATGACCTCTTAGAGTACATTACTGTAATATCTGATTTACAAAGGTCTTTTTATTTCTTGTGTCGGCTTCCCTCTGTTTCTGGAGGGGAGTTGTTTAAAAGGTTGATTTTTGGTCGGGCATGGTGGCTCACGCCTGTAATCCCAGCACTTCGGGAGGCCAAGGTGTGTGGGTCACTTGAGGTCAGGAGTTTGAGACCACCCTGGCCAACATGGCAAAACCCCATCTCTACTAAAATACAAAAGTTAGCCAGGCATGGTGGGGCGCTCCTGTAGTCCCAGCTACTGAGGAGGCTGAGGCAGGAGAATCGCTTGAACCTGGGAGGCGGAGGTTGCAGTGAGCCAAAATTGCACCTCTGCACTCCAGCCTGGGCAACAGAGCAAGACTCTGTCTCAAAAAAAAAAAAAATTGATTTTTGAGGTGGCTGTTGGGAACTTGATACGTTGTCTGCTGGCAGCTATGTTGCACCTGGTTGTGGTTCTGAGGCTGTCTGGCCAGAGCCCATTGGTACAGTCAATACATGTTACCTTCTTAAGCTGCTGACACCAATCTGGCTTCCAAGATATGCATTGAGTTCCAAGTGGGGAAGACAAGCAGATATGTGTTTCCTAGTGTCCAGATTCCATTTGTTCTTTTATAAGTGTTATCTCCTTCCATGTCGGTAACAAAAGTATGGGGTCGTAGTTAAGTACAGAGCCTCTGAGGTCAGACTTGGTTCTGTCACCCGCTCCCTACTAGATGACTTGAGGCAAGGCTCTTAACCATTTTCTCCCCTTGAGAGACAGGGTCTGGCTCTTGCTCAGGCTGGAGTACAGTGGCGTAATCATAGCTCACTGCAGCCTCCAATTCCTGGGCTCAAGCAATCCTTGTGCCTCAGCCTCTGGAGTAACTGGGACTACAGATGCATGCCACTGCACCCAGTTAAAGGCTCTTTACCCTTCTGAGGCTCAGTTTCCTCATCTGTAAAATGGATGGATGTCCTCATGAGTTATTGAGGGGCTCGAATGAAACATACAGGCCTTAGATGCTTGGAATGGCATCTAGACATGGCGGGTGTTCAGAAAATGATGGCAGTGGTGGTGGAGATAGCAATAACTTCTCTGCTGTGTGGCTCTTCTCTTCTATTACAAAAGATCAGGACCTTTTGTAACAGGTCAAGGTGAATGCTTTCTGGAGTAGACTGTTGTGTTAATGCTCTGAATTGGATATAAAGTAAAATTTGGGATTCCCTTTATTTTGTAGGCACATGTAAGTCAATAAATTGCCTTGTAATTTAAATCCTATATAGTCAAATTCTGTGCTGTACTCTTTTTTTTTTTTTTTTTTTGAGACGGAGTTTCGCTCTTGCTGCCCAGGCTGGAGTGCAGTGGCATGATCTCGGCTCACTGCAGCCTCTGCCTCCGGGGTTCAAGCCATTCTCCTGCCTCAGCCTCCCGAGTAGCTGGGATTACAGGCACCCGCCACCGTGCCCAGCTAATTTTTTGTATTTTTAGTAGAGACGAGGTTTCACTATGTTGGCCAGGCTGGTCTCGAACTCCTGACCTCAGGCGACCCACCCGCCTTGGCCTCCGAAAGTGCTGGGATTACAGGCGTGACCACCGCACCTGGCCCAATGTTGTACATTTTTATATTCTTTGAAACCTTGACTTTTATTGGAAATGTACTTGGTTGTGTTGAACAAAATATTTGAGGAAAATTTTTAGTGATTAATTATTAAAAATGAGCCTTTTAAGTTCTTGTTGAACTTGAACATAGTGTACATTTCATTTCTCAAATGGAAAAACTGAGGTAGGAAATAGGGATAGGCTTTGCCTAAAGGCCGTTGAGTAAAGTATGAGTGAGCGGGCTTTATAAGGGCCAAAAACAGGTTGTGCATCCCTTATCTGAAAATCCAAAATCTAAAATGCTCCAAAATTCAAAACTTTTTGAGCACCTACGTAACACAAGTGGAAAATTCCACACATAAATACTTAACACAAACTTTGTTTCATGTACAGAATTATTTAAAATATTGTTTAAAATTACCTTCAGACTATGTGTATAAGATGTATATGAAACATAAATGAGCCCAGTGTGGTGGCTCATGATGTAATCCCAGCACTTTGGGAGGCTGAGGTGGGAGGATCGCCAAGCCCAGGAGTTTGAGACCAGCCTGGACAGCATTATGAGACCCCATCTCTTTAAAAAGAAAGAAATGTAAATGAATTTCATGTTTAGACTTGAGTCTCATCGCCAAGATATGTCATTATGTATATGCAAATAAATCCAAAACATTTCTGGTCCCATGCATTTCAGATAAAGAATACTCAGCCTGTAGTAAATATTTTAGGCTTTGTGGGCTGTATGGTCTTTTTTGCAACTATTCAACTCTGCTGTTGCAGCACAGAAGCAGCCATCAATAATACGTAAATGGATGGGCATGGCGTGTTCCAGTAAAACTTTATTTACAAAAACAGGGGGTGGGCCCTAGTTCGTGGACCCCTAAACTGAAGGAACATTTTAAATTCTATCTCATAATAAAGGCCTACCTTGGTCCTGCATCTCTCTGTGTACATGTATTAAAGGTTGTTTTTCCCTTAGGCTTCATTCTCAGTCATCTTTTCACATAACACATCCTTTGCTATAAAATGATTCATAGACCCGGTATGGTGGCTCATGTCTGTAATCCCAGCACTTTGGGAAGCCGAGGCAGAAGGACTGCTTGAGGCCAGGAGTTTGAGATTAGCCTGGGCAACATATCAAGACATCGTCCCTACAAAGAAAAATTTAAGAATTAGCCAGGCATGGTGGCACACACCTGTAGTCCCATAGCTACTCGGGAGGCTGAGGCAGGAGGATCACTTGAACCCAGGAGTTCAAGGTTACAGTGAGCTATGATGATGCCACTGCCTTCCAGCCTGGGCAACAGAGTGAGACCCTGTCTCTAAAAAATAATTAAAAAAAACATATATGTGCATTTTTAGTTGAGTTGTTGTTTCCTAAACTCTAGGTTAGTGTAGGTGCCTGCCTTCCAAATATCTCTCCAAGACGATCCCAACAGGCCCCTAAAACCTTGCATGTCCAATACTGATGTCAGTACTATTTCTTCCAAACTCTTACTACAATCTGTTTTTTTGTTTACTTACCTATTGCCGAAGTGGGAAACCTGTGTGTCTTAACAACCTCCCTCATCCTGTTTGTTCTGTCCTCATTTTTTTTTTTTTTTAATTGAGACGGAGTCTCACTCTGTCACCCAGGCTGGAGTGGTGCAATGGTGTGATCTCAGCTCACTGGAACCTCCACCTCCCAGGTTCAAGCAATTCTCCTGCCTCAGCCTCCTGAGTAGCTGGGACTACAGGTGTGTGCCACCATGCCTGGCTAACTTTTTTTTTGTATTTTTAGTAGAGACAGGGTTCCACCGTGTTAGCCAGGATGGTCTCATTTTCCTGACCCTGTGATCTGCGCGCCTTGGCCTCCCAAAGTGCTGGGATTACAGGCATGAGTCACCATGCCTGACCTGTTCTGCCTCTTTATTCTCTCCCCCAACCCTGCCCTCCATTGCGACCACCACTGTTTGATTCAGGGCCTCGGGACCTTACCTGGACTGTTGGAGATAATCTCACAACTTCAGGGCTCCCTGCATCTAGTCTGTCTCCTTCCAGTCTGCCTTTCATCTTGGCTGCCAGAGTGATCCTGTTTTGTTTTTGTTTTTGTTTTTTGAGATGGAATCTTACTCTGTCACCCAGGCTGGAGTACGGTGGTGTGCTCTCTGCTCACTGCAACCTCCGCTTCCCGGGTTCAAGTGATTCTCCTGCCTCAGCCTTCCGAGTAGCTGGGATTATAGGTGCCCACCACCACACCTGGCTAATTTTTGTATTTTTAGTAGAGACGGGGTTTCACCGTGTTGTCCAGGCTGGTCTTGAACTCCAGACCTCAGACAATCAGCCTTCCTCGGCCTTCCAAAGTGCTGGGATTACAGGCATGATACTGTTTTTTGTACATCTGATTATGCTACTTCTTGCCTAAAACTCCTTAGTTGCTCTTTAGCACCCATGGTTTAAAGCCTAACCTTGGTATAAAAATCGGTTTGATGGAGTCTTGGTTTAAAAGTCAGTTTGATAGAGAAGTAGTGCCTTCCTACCATCGGTCAAAGATACAATGCTGTGCTGTATGCCTCTCCCCTCCCCTAGCCTTCTCAAGGGACACTTCCTAACTCTTCTACAGAGTCCCTTTCTCTTTTGGCCTTTTTGTTTTTGTTTTTGTTTTTTTTTTGAGATAGAGTCTTGCTCTGTTGTCCAGGCTGGAGTGCAGTGGTGCAATCTCCGTTCACTGTAACCTTCACCTCCAGGGTTCAAGCGACTCTCCTGCCTCAGCCTCTTGAGTAGCTGGGATTACAGGTGCCTGCCACCACACTCGGCTAATTTTTGTATTTTTGGTAGAGATGGGGTTTCGCCATGTTGGCCAGACTGGTCTCGAACTCCCGACCTCAGGTGATATGCCTGCTTCAGCCTCCCAAAGTGCTGGGATTATAGGCGAGCCACCGTGCCTGGCAACTTTTGTTTATTCTTCAATATTCACCTCAAGCCTTGCATCTTACTCAAAGCCTTCCTTGAATCACCCCCCCTCTATATTTGTTTTCAACCCTTTTCGTGTCTTCTGTATGCTTTAATTGACCCCTTTGTTTTCCCCTCAGACCACTTTATATAATCAGCTGTTTGCTTGTGGCTCCAACTCCCACCTCTTTCAAGCTGCTCCTTAGAAGATAGATTCTGTGTCTTATCTCTTTGTCCCTAGATCCTAGAACTGTTTGTATTGCGTCTGGGCTTAAGCATTGTGAAGAATGAGTGGAAAATGGTAAATATTTATTACTAAAGAGGTGGGGCCACATGTACATTTATATATTTTTTAATACAGACAGGGTCTCATTATGTTGTCTAGGCAGGTCTTGAACTCCTAGGGTCAAGTGATCCTCCCACCTCAGCCTCCCAAAGTGCTAAGATTACAGGCGTGAGCCACCACTCCCGGCCCATTTTTCTCTTTTTGAAGGGTTCTTATTTCTACTCTTCCAGGGCAATTAGAAGCAAAAGGAAAAGACCCTTGGACTGGAGTCTGGTAGAAAGAATGCTCAGTGAGCAAACCTGGGGCTCTGAACCGTCCCCTTGTATGTTTTTCATGGCCTTGCAGCTCACTCCTTGGAGCTGTGGTTCTTTGAGGTGTAGGTCAGAAATTCACGGGGTGCTTCATCAAAGTGTGCATGTCTGATGAATACCTACCCCCTGCCTGCCCCTCTCTAGGTATCAGTGGGGCGGGGAATGTCACTCTCCTGGTGATTCTTGTACATGTTTCTTCTTCCCATTTCCGGCCATTTTTCCCACCTGACATTTTCTCCCTGCTCCTTATATTACATAGTTCTTTATGATCTTTCTCCTGTGTTTTGTATTCCTTCTCTGAGAGAGAGGGGCTCCAGTTGCAATGAGGTTCAAATGATGGTTTTAGTGTCTCAATTAAAACTCTGAATGCACTTACTTTTTTTAGTAAAAGCATTGGTATAGATGATGGCTAATATTCCAGAGTTAAATAGTGTACTTCAGATAAAAGTGAGTTAAATTGGCTTTTGTGTGTAGGAAGTTACATTCTGAGTTCTACGCAATGGACTTAAGAACTTTTGAAACAAAACTTAAGGCTGTTAGTTAAGGACTCATGGAGTCAGATCTGCAGTAGAGAACATCATTCTATACCTCCTGCCTTATTCCCCTCTTGTGACCCCCCATTTCTTCCCTTTACTGGTAAGAAACCCAGGAGCAGGCAGTCTTTGTTGGGGATAATCATAGATTGGCCCTTGGAAAGTGGATTGGAAAATTTGAAGGTGGTGCTCATTTGTGTTTAAACAATTATTTGCTATCATATTTAGCAGTATGCTTTGCTGGTTTTTAGATTGAACCTATGCAGACAGTTAGCTGGAGCCTCTAAAGAAGAAACTTTTTATTCTTAAGTGACTGACTGCTTAGTAATCTACATAACAAATGAACCATTTTGCTTCAGAGACGTGAAATAGGCATCTATAAATGAATAGTTTTTGAAACTAAAGTTGTTAAGACAAAGTTCATCTTTTCACAGTAGGGTTTCTCCAGAAAACCCTCTTTACTCTATTGAAATGCAGCTAGTTGAACTAGGAAAGCATATTCCAATAATAGGCCCATGCAATTAGCCTTTAGTATAATGGAATGAATGGTGGAATTTTTTGTGCATTGTCATCATCAGTTGGTGTTAGTCCCAAACCACATAATAGCTAGAAACCTTGATTGGGAGACACAAAGGTTTCTTATTCATGGGCATGCTTTAATTCTTGAAACTAGTAAAATGTTAGACTCTTAAATCTTAACACTTTTTTGATAACTGTCTACTGCTGGTAAGATTAAGATATGGTGCTTCGGAATTATGTCATTATTTTGAGTGAGAAGAAATGTCGAGGAACTCTTCATTTAGCACCATATCCAAGCCAAACCTCGTATAGAAATTACACAGTGGTGTGCTGGTGAATATTGAACAACCACCCTGGGGAGGGGGATAAAGCCCTGATTTGTAATGTTTGCTGATTTCTGAGGTATAAATACTCTATCATGGCTGGTTTCAGGCTACTAGTGTTATGTTGCTGAAGTTGGGAAAAAATGTGTATAATCAGCTGGCTTGAATTAATCTCAGCTATCAAATATTCAGGATTTTACAGCCTGACTTTTTTTCCAGCCTGTATTTTAATAATCTGCTTATTCTTGTCTTTATCTTTGTCCTTTGTTTTGAAAAAATTGGTCTTCCTGAGGTATAATTTATATGCAGTAAAATTCAGCAATTTTAAGTGTATACATTTGATGAGTTTTGACACATGTATACCTCGTCACAATGATGATATTCCATTAACCTTTCTATACACAGTTGCCAGATTAATTTTCCTAAAATTGTGCTTTGCATCCGTCATCTACCTCGGCATAAAACCTTCACTGGCTATGTACTGTTCATAGGATAAAGTACAAAATGCTGTGGTCTGGCTCTCTACCGTCTTGCTTTTTGTCTACTTATCTGCTTTTATCTACCACAACCCGGCTACATGAACCTCTTATTGCAATAAAACTGATCAACTGGTTCTAGGCACAGTTGCTGCATCTGTGCCTTTGCTGTCAGCTGTACCCTGCCTATGATATTCCTTGGACATCATATTCCTTCTTGACTGCTTGGCCTTTCCTTAAAGTCTGGCTCAAGCCCCATTTTCTTACACGATCCAGGCTTTACTGATTACTTCTGCATCCCGACAGCTGTCATACCGCTTGTTTTGGCACTTAACTATCGCAACTTGTATTGAAATTCCAGAGGTGTTTTTTGGAGTCATTTGATCTTACCCAACAAAGTTGTAAACTATGATGGGGTAGGAAACGTACAACGGAGTTTTTAGCACTTTGCTCAAAAAAAAACAAGAACACCCCCTAATAAATGGCTTTTGATGATGATAAACCTTTAAGCAGCTCTTCCAACTCAGTGAGTCGCAAATTCAGTAACACTACTGGGGAGAATAGTACTCTGTTGTACCATTGACGTAGAGACTGAAGGTTTGGTCTGTCCCAGAGCATAGATGTGTAGTAATGTCTCTCAAAACTAGTATTAGTCATTAAAGTGCACATTGGAGATTTTATCTCTGCCTTGAAAATTCATCCAAAGGTAGTTAGCTTCATGGACTTTGGACTTTTGGCACGGATTAAGCGTTTAAAGTAGGTCTCCAAAGAAACTTCTTTGTTTCTCTCAACCAGCTTTATTGCACTTTTTGAAGTACTGGTAAGAGGTCAGGAGGGTGTATCTCATTGGTTTCCTTCCTGTCCCAGGAAGCCATGTTACGGTATTCTGAAAGAACTTTTTCTTTTTCAGTAACTTTACTATAAGCAAATTTTTTTTTCTTTTTAAAACTTGAATTTTCTCTGTAAGACATTGCATACTTGTTGAAAGCAGACATTAAATGATAACCTAACAAATACTTAACTTAATTCTAGATGCCTATCTGTTTCTCAGGATACCTTGTAGGTTCCTCTTCTCTTAAATACTGGCTTTACTCAGGGCTGGGCGCGTGACTCACAACTGTAATCCCAGCACTTTGGGAGGCTGATGTGGGTGGATCACATGAGGCCAGGAGTTCGAGACCAGCCTGGCCAACATGGTGAAACCCTGCCTCTACTAAAAATACAAAAATTAGCCGCATGTGGTGGCACACACCTGTAATCCCAGCTACTCAGGAGGCTGAGGCACAAGAATCGCTTGAACCGGGAGGTGGAGGTTGCAGTGAGCCAAGGTGGCGCCACTGCACTCCAGCCTGGGCAACAGAGCAAGACTGTCTCAAAAAAAAAAAAAGAAAGAAAAAAAAATGGCTTTACTCGGGGTTTCACAGTTCATCCTTATCTCTTGGTAGTTAGTACCCTATTCTTGAGTGATTTCATCTATTATTGCCTGAATGTGTTTTTAGAATAAAAATTCCATATCTCTTGAGCTCTGGTCTTGGATGGCCAAATGCCTACTGGACATCTTCTCTTTGCTGCTTTTCAGAGACCCCAGATTCAACATGTCCTAAATGGAACATCTGTATAAGTCTTTTTTTTTTGGAGACAGTGTCTCGCTCAGTGGCCCAGGCTGGAGTACAGTGGCACTGTCATAGCTCATTGTAACCTCTAACTCCTGGCTCCTGGGCTCAAACCATCCTTCTGCTTTGGCCTTCTGAGTAGCTGGGACTGCAGGCGTGAGCCGCTGTGCCTGGCCTCTCTGTAAGTCTTAGGCCCTCTCTTATTCCTCGATTGCTGAATGGTATTACCATCAGCAATACCAGGATAACTCAACTTGAGATAACTCAAGCCAGAAACATTGGAATCATCCTTGGCTTGTCCCTCTTCCTTCTCTTTCTGTGTCTGTGAGGTTCACCTCAAACATTTCTTACAAAAATCCTTTTCCTCCTCTGTTTTGAGTTCTGGCCAACCTTATCCTTTGTTGGGAAGGGGACTCCCCTGCCTTCCAAGCATCTAATTTGTGTACTAAGAGCAGATCTACTTCCATGGCATCAGATGAACCAAGCTCATAAGTCTGAAAGGTACAACTGGAAAACCAGCATATAATTTTAATTGTGTACCAGTGTTTCTGGTCTCTATAGGTAAACATAGCTGGGATCCCATACTATCATTGGAAAGAAGGTTATTCGAGAAGGCATTAGAACAAAAACAATGAGATGAATCAAATGTATAATGGTCTGACACAATCTGATGATACCACCATCTCATCGTAGATCTGTTGTGACCAGAAACCTCATGTCTATGAACAAAGACTCCTTTTCTCCCCTATCTAGTTGCTTCAGTGGCCCCTGCCAGTCTTTCTTTTTCATTCTTCTTCTGAGCTTGCAGGGGTGACCCTTTTATGAGATACCTTAATCCTTTGCATGTCTGAATACATTGATTCTGGCTGTACTTGAATCTTGCTATGTGGAAAACCAGATTTTCTCTTTCAAATGGCTTGTACTCCCCTCAGTCATTGTGTGTTGATCTCGAGTTGAACTCTGAGGGGCCATCTTACTTCATGTCCTTGGAAAAAACTTCACTGTAGCTGCCATATAAGAGCAAAATGCTAATCTCCCATTGCATTTAGCCAGCATCACCACCTCTTGAAAACACCTTTGGCTTCCCCACCTCCTGGATTAGGACAGGAGCACCTTCAGTGTGCCTCTTCAGCACTGCTGAGTAACCCTCATATCACTCTTAACTGCCTCTTTGGTAGTTTATTGATTGTTCATTTCCCCACTAAACTTGGAGCTTTCAGAGGGCAGATGCTCTCTTATTTCCAGATCCTACTGTCTAGCGTAGTGCCTGGCACCTACTCACACTATTCATTTAACCAGTTTCTGTTGAGCATCCACTGACACGTAGCCGAGGCTAGTCACTCAGCTACATGTCAGGAATAAAGGCAAATAAGGTTCTTGCCCTCTTGGAAGTCGAATTTCGTTCGAGGTGAGGGAGGATATAAAAAGACAAAATAGTACTCATGATAAAACCTACAAGGAAATAGACAATAGAATGAGGTAGAGAATAATTGGGATGGTCTGTTGGGCATGTACTTCAGGTGATCGGAAAGGTCTCTAAGGAAGTGCCATTTAGACACACCATAAAGGCCTGGTGCAGTGGCTCACACTGTTAATCCCAGCACTTTGGAAGGCCAAGGCAAGAGGATCGCTTAAGGCCAGGAGTTTGAGACCAGCCTCGCCAACACAGCGAGATCCCCATCTCTATTTAAAAAAAAAAAAGACACACCTTAAAGGATAAGAATCAGCAAGCTATCTGTCAAAACAGGGAAATCAGGGCTGGGCAGAAGAAATAGCCATTGCAAAGGCCCTGGGGAGGAAGAGAGCTTATTGTGTTTGAGGAAATGAAAGAAGACCAGTGTATCTAGAAAGGTAAGAGAGGAAGAATGTGGCAGACTGAGACCGTGTCAGGCATATTGTGGGCTTGGATGAGTGAAATTAGACAGCTGTCGATACAGTGAGTGATTCACATACTTTAGATTTGTTTGGAACTAGCACTGTTATAAATTGGGATTCTAAATGTTAATTTTGCACATTCTTTTCTGGAATGTTAATACTCAAAAAATAACGATTGAAAGATAACCTAGAACTTATTATTTTTTAAGAGACAGGGTGTCACTCTATTGCCGAGGCTGGAGTACAGATGCCAGCATAGCTACCTGTAGCCTTGAACTCCTGGGCTCAAGGGATCCTCCCATTTCAGCCTTCTCAGTAGCTTGGATAACAGGTGTGTAACACTGTGCTCAGCTAGTTTTGTTTTGTTTTTTAAATAATAGAGATGGCGTCTTGCTTTGTTGCGTAGGCTAGTCTCAAACTCCTGGGCTCAAGCAGTCCTCCTGCCTTGGCTTCCCAAAGTGCTGGGATTACAGACGTGAGCCACCACATGCAGCCATAGTTTTAAAATTTTTGTAGATATGGCGTCTTGCTGTGTTGCCCAGGCTGGTCTCAAACTCCTGGCCTCAAGTGGTTCTCCCACCTGGGTCTCCTAAAGTGTTGGGATTACAGGCATGAGCCACTATGCCTGGCCGAGAATTTCAGTCTTTATGTGAAATATATCCTACAATTACAGACACTCTTAGGATGTTCCTTTTCTTGTCTGAATTCCTATCCCTCAGGAGCCTGGAATAAAGCTATATTGAGAGTTTTCTGTGTCTTATTGAGAATTTTCACATAGTCTTATTAACCGTCGTTGCATTCTGCTGGTTGATCTATTTTAGCACAACTGTTGAAATAAATACTGTTCATTTAATGCCACATCCTTATCTGAAAATCAGTTCAAGGATAAGCACAGCTGAGTCATTTAAGCTTATATGAGTACAGTTTTTGAACTTTGTGGATTGTGCTTTAAACTAGTGTTTAGATTCTCTGTAGGTGCAAGGCTTCTTTCCTCCCTTGCTCTCACACATTCTGTGCCCTTGGCTGCACTAGGTTGCATATGCATTATTGAGGTTAATGGGAAGCCAAATGCAGAGCAGGGAGCCACAGTGAGTAGCAGCTCTACGACTCAATAGCAGTCCGACCTTGGACGGGGTTGCAGCCCGACAGTGTATTCATTTTTTATAATGGAAACAATACTTGCATGATAGGGTTGTTGAGAGGATTAAACGATGTAACATATGTAAGACACTAACACCTCTTGATAGAGGCTTGGTAAATATTTGGCACCTGTTAATCCTCAGTTTCCCCGTAGGGTAAATATGCTTATCCCCACTTTTGTAAATGGTGGGGGGAGGCAAGGCTTAGAGATCATTTCACTTGCCTTAGGCTGGTGCTTCTCAGTTACTGGGGACTCTTGTTAAAATGGAGATTTTGATTCAGTTAGTCTGAAACTGGGGTCCAGTGTGTTCATTTCTAACAAGCTCCTCCACCTTAAATAGGAGGCTGTAGGCTACTTCCTAGGAAATGGGGGAGATGGGCCTCAAACCCAGGTTTGCTCTACTCCAAAGCCTTCCCCCGTCCCATGGAGCCTCCCTTATTCTCACTTGTGCAACAGGTTTTTTGTTTGTTTGAGATGGAGTCTCGCTCTGTCGCCCAGGCTGGAGTGCAATGGTGCATCTCGGCTCACTGCAACCTCCGCCTCCCAGGTCCAAGCGATTCTCCTGCCTCAGCCTCCCAAGTAGCTAGGATTGCAGCTGCCTGCCACCATGCCCAGCTAATTTTTTTGTATTTTTAGTAGAGACGGGGTTTTGCCATATTGGCCAGGCTGGTCTTGAACTCCTGACCTCAGGTGATCCATCCGCCTCGGCCTCCCAAAGTGCTGAGATTACAGCTGTGAGCCACCGTGCCCGGCCATGTAATGGTTTTGTTAAGAGACTTATATGTAGTTTAATGATTCCTTAGATTACTAAGATCTAAAGTTACATTTTTTTATTCATTTGCTCAGCCTTTTCTTAGAACTCTTTGTATGCTGAGTTCCCGTTTTAAAGATCTACTTTGAAAGAAGTAGGACTAAGTGAAAACGGGTTAATAACACTTAATGTTGTCTGTTGGACAATTACTTGTTGTCTCATCATGTTAAATACTCCACATTGTTCTTCTCTCTCCCCCGCTCCCCCACCAAACTTGCTTCTGCTACTCCTGCCTGCCTTTTATTTTTGTTAGAACAGTGTCATCAGCCGGGTGCAGTGGCTCACACCTGTAATCCTAGCATTTTGGGAGGCTGAGGTGGGTGGATTACTTGAGGTCAAGAGTTGAGACCAGCCTGGCCAACATGGTGAAACCTCATCTCTACTAAAAATACAAAAAATTAGCCAGACATGGTGGCGGGCACCTGTAATCCCAGCTATTCAGGAGGCTGAGGCAGGAGAATCGCTTGAACCCGGGAGGCAGAGGTTGCAGTGAGCTGAGATCACACATTGCACTCCAGCCTGGGTAAGAAGATCTCAAAAAAAGAAAGTGTCATCATCTACTAGATTGGAAATATCAGATATTCTTGAGTCTTTCTTCTCCCTCATATACAGTTAGTCATCCAGTTCTTCAAAATCTCGTTGAAATGTGGCTTCCCCTCCAGCCAGTCTACTGCCTATCAGTACTTACCTGTCTGTGCATTAGCCCCCACCGACCTCTATCCCACCAGCATCTCCCTGTGGCGCTGTGCAGTCTCGCTGTTGGTCACCTTCCTCATCAGAACAAGCCTGAGTGTGCCACACTCCTCTCCAGAAGCCCTGTGGTCTTGATAGAGAGAGGCAAATAGGGTGGCTCAAAGAACAGACTTGAACTAGACTGCCTGGGCTCCTGTCCTCCCTCCACAACTCACCAGCCACAAATAATGAGAAAGGTACATTTGCTAGGGAAAACATTTAAATACAAATACTCATCTTGATGTGTTTAAACATGTTGAGACAGTTCTGTCTGAGGTGAGGAACAAATTAAGGATAGATACATTGGTTTCTTATTAATTTAGTGTTTAAGACAGTGCTTATTTCCTTGGGGAAAAATACTGTAAAGAAAAAGAAAACACCTGGTACGGTGAGTCACGCCTGTTAATCCCAGCACTTTGGGAGGCCAAGGCGAGTGGATCATGAGGTCAGGAGATGGAGACCATCCTGGCTAACACGGTGAAACCCCTTCTCTACTAAAAATACAAAAAATTAGCCGGGCGTGGTGGTGGGCACCTGTAGTCCCAGCTACTCAGGAGGCTGAGGCAGGAGAATGGTGTGAACCTGGGAGGTGGAGCTTGCAGTGAGTGGAGATGGTGCCACTGCACTCCAGCCTGGGTGACAGAGTGAGACTCTGTCTCAAAAAAAAAAAAAAAAAGGAAAAAGAAATCTTAATCATACGATGCTATATGGCTCAGAAGTGAATAATATTTACATGTATACGTATGTAACTAACCTGCACAATGTGCACATGTACCCTAAAACTTAAAGTATAATAAAAAAAAATTTACATGGTCATAATATAATCTCTAAATAGTGATTTGGCCAACAATGGTGATGTGATTGTATTCCATGGAGAGGAAGAAGAAACATGGGGGTGAGGTTGAAAATCCTGATACTCCAATGTGAGAAAGTCATTTGATAATATTCGAAACTATAAAATCAAATAGTATATACAAATGTTATATAGATACAATGAATTATCTTCCATGTGTTTGAATTATCTTCTATGGGATCTCACATTTAAGTAGTCAAGGGTAAACTCTATGGCTTTTAGCAAATTGGAGAGTAACATATGTGTTACATTAATGTTGGATGTTGAGATAATTAAATCCATGTCATTCTTTTGTGAGAACACATTATTTTGCATGCTGTAATAGCACAGTAGTTTGGAATAAGGAGCTATTTGACGTATCAGGTCCACCTAAGAAATAAGAAGTTAACTTCATATCCTATTTTGGGCATAGATTTATTTTATTATTTTAATTTTTTTTTTTTTTTGAGATGGGTCTTACTCTGTAGCCCAGGCTGGAGTGCAGTGATGTGATCTCGGGTCACTGCAGTCTCCACTTCCCATGTTCAAGCGATTCTCCTGCCTCAGCCTCTCGAGTAGCTGGGGTTACAGTTGTGTGCCACCACACCTGGCTAGTTTTTGTATTTTTAGTAGAGAGACGGGGTTTTGCCATATTGGCTAGGCTGGTCTCGTACTCCTCACCTCAAGTGATCTGCCTGCCTCGGCCTCCCAAAGTGCTGGATTTACAGGTGTGAGCCATGGTGTCCAGCCCTGTGGGGGCACAGATTTAGAAGTACAAATACTTTTTAAGTGTTTGAGATGTAGGTAAAATACTACTCCTTGTTGTTTGATTAAGTGATGCCGTATCAGACTAAACTCTGTCCTTGTTTTTGTTTTTTTCTGATCAGGTTCTGGAGTTAACCTGTCTCACACGTTAGGTGAGATTTAATTGATTAGCCTTCTCTTTGAGATAGTTGATGAAAGGTGCTTCATATCTTAGTAAGTTTTTGTTCGTGAATCCTGAGCACATGCACGTGTTGTGTTAAAGAGGCAAGAAGGAACAGTAGAGCGAATCCCTGTGAAAAGCATGCTTTTCCCCATGGGTCACCTAGCCAGGGCTCTGTTGGATTGGTGAACAGCATGAGAGAAAAAAAAGCACTGGACAATTTGAGCTGCGTTTGGCAATTGAGGTGGTGTTTAAAGGTGAACTTTATTTTACTATAAAAGCTTTAATACTGGTATTGGTGAGAGCATGAGGGAAACAGGTCTGCTTAGGTGATGGTAGTTAGAAAGTAACTGGATGCAACCTTTTTGAAGGATATTTAAGCATTATATGTCAAAATTAGGTATACAGCCCTTTGAATAGAAGTTCCACTTCTAGAAATTGCAAACAGATACTTGAAAAAGTATACCAACAGACATGTACTGGGATGTTTATTGTAACTAATAGCAAAACAAAACAAAACAAACAGCAGACAACAGCCTTCCTATTCACTAATGGATATGAAATTACGGATAGGTAAATTATGGTATATTGACATTATACAAGCACTAAAAAAAGGAGCTTAGATCTATATGTCCTCAAACATATCCTCCCTAGATGCATGGGCAGAGGTATTTACAGAACAGTTTGTACCTACATGTCTTTGTGTATGTGATGACGTGGATGTGTGTGTATATAAACATCTCTATGGAAAGTGCATAAGCAATGGTAGTATCTAGGCAGTGGGACTAGAAGTTGCGGGGTGGAAAGGCTATTTTAAGCCCCAGTCATGTTTTTAAAAGACAAGAAAAAAAAAAAAAGGCCTGCAACTCAACACTTGATCTGATGAGGTTATTTGGTTGTATTGAGGGTGCTCTTGTGTCTTTCAGGAGGGATTCTCCTCTGCACTGTGCCCTCTGATTGCACCAGCACATCTCACATGGTGGCACCTGAGCCTATCAGTTCTACTTGTCTCCGTGGTGCAAACACGAGAGAAGGAAACTCAATAGTTTTTTCACCTTTTCAATGTCAAGTTTTCTTACTATATATACATCCACTGTTGTGTCTAGGTTTGTTTTCTGTTGTTTTGCTAAATAGCTTGATTTTTTTCATATTATTCAGTTCTTCAGGAAGTACTACTCCTTGTGAGAAACTTGATTTTTAATTTCCTTCTCATACTTCATAACAATACAGCCTTCATTCTTATTGTTGATGCATATTTAAATCTAAACTTCTACTTAAGTGATTAGGTTGGTTTCTTTTATACTGTTTATCACTTCATATGTCCTAATTGTACCTGACAGATCATTTCTTAACTGTATGTTAATCATTTCTGTTGGTCTTGAGCTAGCAGTTTTGCTAATATGGCAGGGTGGCTTTTTCTCTGAGATCTATCACCTGTTAGTAGTATGATGCTGAAAATAGCTCTACCACTCTTGTTGTATCACATTGCACACCTAGATACAGTCTACTTTCACCTCCCTTGACTTTCCAGGGTTTTCTTGCTTATTTACTCATATTGGTGTGATTTTCTTATGGTAGGGTGTTTCTTTAACAGCAATTTTTTTCCATAAAATAATTCATTTCTTTTGCTTATTTTCACTATGGGTTTTTTTAAAAAGCAGCATTCCAGTTTTTGTTGAAAGTTTTTTATCCCACTTCTTTCATCCTAAATGTTGATAAAGATAATAAATACAGGCAGCTTATAATAGCTATTTGAACGTATTATCAAATAAGGTATTTTCCTGTTAACTACACTTCTGTATAGTTTTTAAGCAGAATTTCAATCAAGAAGACACTATTTTTCTATATCTCTTTAGATTACTTTTTGATTTTTTTAAACACTGTTTATACAAGTTTTTATCAAACTTCCAACAGATAATGGGTACTGCCTCTCATAAATCTTCCAAAGGGACAATGGAAACTGGGCCCAGTTGAATAAAGCCATATTCATTTGTTTTGGAACGCAGAGTTCTCTGCATGTAGATTGCATTTAGCATTCTGTCTAGTGTATCCATCTGTAGTTTTGCTTTTTTCAGAATAAAACCTTGACAGTAATTTTGAACCTGTTACTTTATTTCTTTTTGCATGTATTGCTTTAAAAAGGCCGAAGTCTAGTATTCTCTTCCCCTTTTTAAGTTTTATGAAATCAAGGTTAAATTGATATTAGTGCCACTTAATATTTGACACCTGCTATGCCTAATGAACTTGAAGTAGTAAAGGGAGCAGCAGGGGTCAGCCATTCATATTATGCAAGATAACTGGAGAACGAGCAGACTATGATTAGAGCTTTAGACTAGTGGGTTCTAACCTCTTTATAAGAGCAAATTCATTATTTATATGTGCATATGTGTTACCTTTTCCTTTTTCCTCTGGATTTATAGGTATTTGAGTTTCAAGAATTTTCTTGAGATTATATTATAGAAGTCATTAAGATGGGGAATCAATCTCTAGAGACATAAACTGGTAATTATCCAGTGTAGGGAAGGAAAGGAAGATGAGGCATGGTCTGGTTTGTGGACCTGGGTCTTCGAGTAAGTGGCTCCATGACTTTGGGGTGCGCTGAATGTAATGTAAGAGGAAGGGGATGATGGCATATCTGGCATCTCTTCCTGCACATTTTTTATGATCCATTATTCACACTTTGATCATCTTTATCTGCTGAATGGGTACCGCAGCTTGGTATTTATTAATTATCACCCACCACTCTACAGAGGTAACTATTTGTCACTATGAAGAATGCCAAAGAAAATATTTCCTCGTAAAATTTAACTGCTTACTGTGAATGATTCATAAATGCCTGATTAAAAGGTCTGTGAATAGAGATTTTTGTGCACTGACTTAGCTAAATGCTATCTTCATTGAGTGGCATTGCAGTCTATATGTCAAGTTAGAGTAAAAACTGTATTTAAAATGGAAAAACAGAAAAGGGCCAGGCAAGGTGACTCACACCTATAATCCCAGCACTTTGGGAGCCTGAGGTAGAAGGATCACTCGAGACCAGTAGATTGAGACTAGTCTGGGCAACATAAGGAGACCTCATCTATACAAAAAATAAAAAATGAGCCGGATGTGCTGATGCATGCCTGTAATCCAAGCTACTGGGGTGGGTGAGGTGGGAGGATCATTTGAACCTGGGAGGGTCGAGGCTGCCGTGAGCTGAGCCGGGATCTCGCCACTGGACTCCAGCCTGGGCAACAGAGTGAGACCCTGTTTCAATCAATCAGTAAATAAATAAATACAATGAAAATAAAATGAAAAATGGAAGCAGTGTTCTTAAAGATTTTGTTTTTTTTTTGAGACGGAGTCTCACTCTGTTACCCAGGCTGGTGTGCAGTGGTGTGATCTCGGCTCACTGCAACGTCTGCCTCCTAGATTCAAGCGATTCTCCTGCCTCAGCCTCTAGAGTAGCTGGGATTACAGATGCCCGCCACCACGTCCAGCTAATTTTTTGTGTTTTTTAGTAGAGACGGGGTTTCGCCACATTGGAGGCTGGTCTTGAACTCCTAACCTCAGATGATCTACCTGCCTTGAATCCCGAAGTGCTGGGATTACAGGCATGAGCCACGACGCCCAGCCAAGATTTTTCAAAGAACACTGGAAACTTGAATACCAAAGGCACTACATAGATACTCCATAAAGTCATATTAAATTTAGCTTTTTATTGAGAAGTTGCTTTGTGTTGAGCACTTTGAGTGGTATAGCAAAGACACATACCGCCCAAAAGGGGAAGTAGGATTTTTTCTGTTGTTTTTTTCTGAGACAGAGTCTTGCTTTGTTGCCCAGGCTGGAGTGCAGTGGCGCGATCTCAACTCACTGCAAGCTCCACGCCATTCTCCTGCCTCAGCCTCCCAAGTAGTTGGGACTACAGGCACCCGGCTAATTTTTTTGTATTTTTAGTAGAGACGGGGTTTCACTGTGTTAGCCAGGATGGTCTCGATCTCCTGACCTCGTGATCCACCCGCCTTGACCTCCCAAAGTGCTGCGATTACAGGTGTGAGCCACCGTGCCTGGCCTAGTAGGATGTTTTTAAATAGATATTTTGGGGAGAGGGAGTTGGGGGGAAGAAATAAATAGATGTTTTCATTAGGATTTTGCAGAGGGCCACCTGATTATTTGTATGTCTTTGTATCATTTACGGGGAAATTATATGTTGCCTATGACTTGGAAGTTTTCAAGGTGAGTTGCTATTGTCATTTTTAAGGTTGTGATTTGTTTTCCTTGTCTTGCCAGCCTCCTGTGATTAGGTAGGTTCTGCCTTTGGAATGACAAGGTTCTTCCTGCATGTTTTTCTCATGTGCGCAATGGTTTCGTCTCCCCTCCACCCTTAGAATTTGCAGGTCTAGGTCTTCCGCCTGTGCTTCCCTTCATGCCATAGCCCCCATGTGACAGGTGCTAGAGACTGTGTGACAGCCATAACTAAATGCCACTTGGGACTTCTGCACAGCATGTCAGATGCACAGCTCATTGTTTGCCTCCAGGCCTACAGTTAACCAGGAAAGATTTTTGTTGTCTAATTATTTTATAATTTCCTGAGAGCAGAAAAAGTGGATTTTAATTAAGTACCAGATGTCTTTTAAGGTCCTACCTTCTAAAAGTTTTCCAAAAAGTTTTTAAAACAATTTTTCTAGATTTGGAATTTCATTGTGGACTTGTTAATATCTCTGAAGTGTCTCATGTCTTGAGAATCTTGCAGGACTTTATTCTCTGCGGTTCAGTCCAAGTTTGCAGATTTTAAACTGAATGCTTGACTAGCTGATGGTTATTTGACAGTGAGTGTCAATCTTTCCATAGAAGTAGGATGTACTTTGAGAAAAGAAGTTAAAAAAAAAAAATGATGGGTATGGGCCGGGCGCGGTGGCTCAGGCCTGTAATGCCAGCACTTTGGGAGGCTGAGGCCAGTGGATCACCTGAGGTCAGGAGTTTGAGACCAGCCTGGCCAACATGGTGAAACCCCATCTCTACTAAAAATACAAAAAATTAGCCGGGTATGGTGGTGTGTGCCTGTAATCCCAGCTACTCGGGAGGCTGAGGCAGGAGAATCACTTGAACCCGGGAGGTGGAGGTTGCAGTGGGCCAAGATCATGCCATTGCACTCCAGCTTGGGCAACAAGAGCAAAAACTCCGTCTCAAAAAAAAAAAAAAAAAAAAGATGGGATTAGATATGAAACAAAAGCACATCATTTATTTATTTAGAGACAAGGTCTTGTTCTGTTGCTCAGGCTGGAGTGCAGTGGCGTGACATGGTTCACTGCAACCTTGACCTCCTGGGCTCAAGCGATCCTCCCGAGTAGCTGGGACTACAGGCGCATGCCACCATGCCCAGCTAATTTTTTTATTTTTTGTAGAGATGGTGTTTCACCATATTGCCCAAGCTGGTATCAGAGTTCTAAGCTCAAAAGATCTGCCTGCTTTCACCTCCTAAAATGTTGGAATTACAGGCGTGAGCCACTGCACCTGGTCCCATTTATTATTTTATTTTTTTGAGACAGAGTCTCTGTTGCCAGACTGGAGTGCAGTGGCACGATCTCAGCTCACCACAACCTCTGCCTCCCAGGCTCAAGCAGTTCTCCTGCCTCAGCCTCCCAAGTAGCTGGGATTATAGGTGTGTGCCTCCATGCCCTGCTCATTTTTGTATTTTTAGTAGAGACAGGGTTTTGCCATGTCAGGCTAGTCTTGAACTCCTGACCTCAGGTGATCCACCTGCCTCGGCCTCCCAAAGTGCCGGGAGTACAGGTGTGAACTACTGTGCCAGGCCCAAAAGTAGGCTTTTGATTAACCCTTTAGGAGTTAAGAGAGTAATATACTATTTAGCTAATATACTGCTAATTTATATACATGCATTTGTACATTATGTAAATTTGTAATTTTCAGTTGCAAGTAAGCAAATATGCACTATTGCCATAAAACAGCAAAGCAGTCAAGTTTGTTTATTAAGGAGCTATTGATATTTCATCGATAGCCTTCTAGCTTCTAAATATTTTAAAGTGCGTAACTGAAGTTGGAATTTCTCTCAAAATCTTATTTTTTGTTTTGACTATATTTCCTTGCTCTCAAGATGGTATCATTATTTTTCCCTATTTCCCTTCACTTTTCTCTCTCTGAAACTGTTTCTGCAGTTGGATCATTTCTGACTTTGACTATCTGACTTTGTAAATCTGCTTTTAAAAATATTTTGTTGGGGATGGGGGTGTGGTACTTAGATTTCTTATCTTTCTGATAAACCTGTCTTAAAATGTTTCTATGAGTCTTAATTTTTCTTTGAAAATTTTTTACTCTATTATTTGGAAGTCTGGAGGAATAATACATTCAGGGAAAAGCCAAGTTATAGTGATGATTTTCCTATTTAAGTAACATTTACTTGGTTTTTGCCTATGTTTGGCTTGTGACATAGAAACTCTAAATGAAGCATAACACTAGAGAAGAAAAATTTCCTCTCCTAAGGCTAGACTGATTTAGTCTGCTAGGTGGTAATGAACATGCTTGCCATTTAACCTTACTCGTACCAGTTGACTCTGTAAAATTTTAAAACTGTATGTTACTCTTTACTCCTAAGATAATGGGTCTTTAAATATTCAGGGTACCATAGTAAGTTGCCAGATATTTTTTTGCTTCTGGGCAATACATATTTATTTTGAAATGGCTATTTTTAAATAAGTGATACTTCCCTTATTCAGAAGCTGTTTGACAGCTTTAGCCAACTAATTTAGTTGTAAACCTGCTAAAAGTTACATATTTTATTGATTGGAGAGTGTCTTTCTTAGGACATATTTACCCTTTTTTTTTTAAACATAAAGTAATCTCATGAACTTCAGTTATCTGATTTTTCTAGCCTACTATAGATACATTTTAAAGGATAGTAGCCCAGTGTCATCTCCCAAACATAGCTAAAGGTTAAGAACAAAGAGAAACTAGGAAAAGAACCTCTCAATGCAAGGACTTTAGCATAACAGTATGGGAAATTTTCTACAGCAAAAAATAAGTATATTCCTTATTTGTTCCTAAGGGTATCCTTGTATTTTGTAGTACAGTATAGCAACTATTATTCATAATGATGACCCAGCATCAAGAAAGGGTGTAGTTGGCTGGATGCGGTGGGTCATACCTGTAATCCCAGCACTTTGGGAGGCCGAGGTGGGTGGATCACCTGAGGTCAAGAGTTTGAGACCAGCCTGGACAATATGGCAAAACCCTGTCTCTACTAAAAATACAAAAATTAGCCGGGCGTGGTGGTGTGCACCTGTAATCCCAGCTACTCAGGAGGCTGAGGAAGGAGAATCGCTTGAACCCAGGAGGTGGAGGTTTCAGTGAGCCAAGATTGTGCTACCGCACACCAGCCTGTGCGATGGGAGCAAGACTCCATCTCAAAAAAAAAAGAAAGGTTGAGGCCGGGTGCGGTGGCTCATGCCTATAATCCCAGCATTTTGGGAGGCCGAGGCGGGCGGATCACGAGATCAGGAGATTGAGACCATCCTGGCTACGGTGAAACCCCGTCTCTACCAAAAATACAAAAAATTAGCTTGGCCTGGTGGCGGGCGCCTGTAGTCCCAGCTGCTTGGGAGGCTGAGGCAGGAGGATGGCGTGAACCTGGGAGGCGGAGCTTGCAGTGAGCCCAGATCACACCCCTACACTCCAGTCTGGGCAACAAAGCAAGACTCCGTCTCAAAAAAAAAAAAAAAAAGGTGTAGCATGTTTTTTTAGTATTCTGCTTAAGAATGTAGGAAAAAAACTAACACACACACACACTACATTTATAAACTTTGAATTTTAGTTTTGTGGCAATTCATTTAGGTAAAGTGTGTGTGTGTTTTTTTTTTTTTTTTTGTTTTTGTTTTTGGAGACAATCTCGCTCTGTAACCCAGGCTGAGTACAATGGCATGATCTCGGCTCACTGCAATCTCTGCCTCCCTGTTCAAGCAGTTCTACTGTGTTAGCCTCCCAAGTAGCTGGGATTACAGGCACGTGCCACCATGCCCAGCTAATGTTTGCATTTTTACTAGAGGTGGGGTTTCACCATGTTGGCCAGGCTGGTCTTGAACTCCTGACCTCATGATCCGCCCACCTTGGCCTCCCAAAGTGCTGGGATTATAGGCGTGAGCTACCATGCCCGGCCTATTTATTTTTACATTAAAAAAATTAAGTTCCTGTTGTGTCAGCTGCTGGGCCTGGTACCTTTGGATATACAGTATTTCATTTAATTTTCCACAATTCTGTGAGTGAGGTAATGTCCCTTCCCTGCATCCCCTCCCCCTTTGTTTAGAGATTAAGAAACAGGCTCAGATTTAGCCAGGTGCGGTGGCGCATGCCTGTAATCCCAGCTATATAGGAGGTTGAGGCAGGAGACTCTCTTGAACTGGGGAGGCAGAGGTTGCGGTGAGCCAAGATGGCACCATTGCACTCCAGCCTGGGCAACAAGAGTGAAACTCCGTCTCAAAAAAAAATAAAAAATTAAAAAAGAGGCTCAGATTTAATTGATTTATAAGTTGACTATTTTTTTTTTTGAGAGAGTCTTGCTCTGTCACCCAGGCTGGAGGGCAGTGGCACAATCTCGGCTCACCGCAACCTCCACCTCCCGGGTTCAAGCCATTCTCCTGCCTCAGCCTCCCAAGTAGCTGGGATTACAAGCGCCCGCCACCACGCCCAGCTAATTTGTTTTGTATTTTTAGTAGAGACGGGGTTTCACTATTTTGGCCAGGCTGGTCTCAAACTCCTGACCTTGTGATCCACCCGCCTTGGCCTCCCAAAGTGCTGGGATTACAGGCGTGAGCCACCATGCCCAGCCTATAAGTTGACTTCTTTAAGTCATGAGTTTTCCAGCTGTTTATAATATATTGCCACTTGGTTTATCCACTGATAACCTCAAATTTAGTGTTTTCAAAAGTAAACTTACTAATAGTGTCTTTCATTACAAAACTGATTCCTGCTGTCCTGTGTTTCACTTTGCCATTAATAGTATCACCGTTGGCTGGGCGCAGTGGCTCACGCCTGTAGTATTTTGGGAGGCCAAGGTAGGCGGATCACCTGAGGTCAGGAGTTCAATCCCAGCCTGGCCAACATGGTGAAATACAAAAATCTAAAAATACAAAAATTAGCCATGCATGGTGGCAGGCACCTGTAATCCCGGCTGCTTGGGAGGCTGAGGCAGGAGAATCGCTTCAACCTGGGAGGCGGAGGTTGTAGGGAGCCGAGACCACACCATTGCATTCTAGCCTGGGCAACAAGAGCAAAACTCCATCTTTAAAAAAAATATATATATAAGTGTGTGTATATATATGTGTATATATACATACATATATATACACACGTATATATACATACATATATACACGTATGTATACATATACACGTGTATATATATACGTGTGTATATATACGTGTGTATGTATACGTGTGTATATATATATGTGGTATCACTTTACCTGTCTGAGAGGCTAAAATTAAGGTCTCAGACTGGCAACTTCATTCATGTGTTCATCTTATTTTTAAATTTATTTGTTTTTAAGCTACAGGGTCTATGTTTGTCACCCAGGCTGGAGTTCAGTAGTGTCATCATAGCTTACTACAGACTCAAACTCCTGGGCTCCAGCAATCCTCTTGCCTCAGCCGTCAAAGTAGCTGGGACTACAGGCTCGTACCACCCTGCCCAGCTAATTTTTTGGTGTTTTTTGTAGTGATGGGGGTCTCACTATGTTGCCCATGCTGGTCTCTAACTTAACTCCTGGGCTCATGTGATCCTCCCCTGTCAGCCTTCCGATTAGCTAGGAGTATAAGCACGTACCACCATACCTGGCTAATGTTTAAAAATTTTGTTTTTGTGGAGACTGGGTTTTGTTATGTTGCCCAGGCTGGTCTCGGACTCCTGGCCTCAAGCAATCTTTCTGCCCTTGCTTCCCAAAGTGTTGGGATTAAATAGGTATGAACCACTACACCCGGCCTCATGTTCATTTGTAGTCTACTGTTTGCTGGGTACTCTTCTGTGAACAAAATAAACAATTCCTGCTCTTACGGAGCTTGCACTGCAGTAGGAGATAAAAGTAAAATACATAGTATATTGCATGGTGGGAATGTTAGGAGTAAGTGGTTGTAAATAGGATATCCCAGAAGGCCTCACTGAGAGGGAGACATTGGAGCACATATACTTTGTTTACACTTAGAAATTTAGAGCTTGAATTAGAAATTAGAAGATTGATTTGGAGATCTGCTTTTTTGTTTTGTCATGAAAATTAGACATTGTAGCAACGTTGGAGCTTTCTACTGGCTCTGCCAGGTCTGTTCAGCTGTGAAGGCCTGTGAGGGCTCTGTTTAATGTCCCATGATTCATGTGGCTGTTATCTTAGTTGAGGTCTTGAATATTTCTTTCCTACTCTTTTGCTTTAACTCTGCTTATTCCCACCTTCAGCCAGTCCTACACACCACAGTTGGGTTATCTTTGTAAAGCACAGGTAGATGCACTGTGCATGGAATACTGTTTCCCTGTTTGCCAGATAAAATCCACACTTCGGAGCCCTCCGTAATCTGGTCTTGGCCTACTTTCTAGTATTCCCTAGGGTCCACTCATCAAAATAAAAATGTATTGTTCTCAGTTTCCTGAATCAGTTCTATACTAAATCTTTGCATTAAATTCCTTCTCCCACCTCGACATGTCCAAATCACACTCTGTTTAGGACATTTTGTAAGTCCTTACCTTCCATAGCAGACCATCCCTATCCCTCCCTCCGGGCTGGAAGAAATCTCTCCTACTCTAAGCTATAGTATTACTTTATGCAAACTCTTTCTGTACTTCTTAATGAACAGATCTCGTGTTCCCTTGCTAGACTTCAAACTTCTGGAAGGCAGTCTCTGTGTAAGAGTAGTTTTTGTGGCTGGGCGTGGTGGCTCATGCCTATAACCCTAGCACTTTGGGAGGCTGAGGCGAACGGATCACTTGAGGTCAGGAGTTCAAGACCAGCCTGGCCAATATGGTGAAACTCCGTCTCTACTGAAAATACAAAAATTAGCCAGGTGTGGTGCCAGGCGCCTGTAATCCCAGCTACTCGGGAGGCCGAGGCAGGAGAATGGCTTGAACCTGGGAGGCGGAGATTGCAGTGAGCTGAGATCAGGCCACTGCACTCCAGCCTTGGCGACAGAGTGAGACTCCGTCTCAAAAAAAAAAAAGGGTCTTGCTATGTTGCCCAGGCTGGTCTCAAACTCCTGGGCTCAAAACAATCCTCCCACCTCAGCCTCCTGAAGTGCTAGGATAACAGTTGTGAGCCACTGCAATGGTCCCTAAATCTTTATACATATGGATTTCATCACTGATAGCAGCCCACTTCCCATTGTCTTTTCTCAATGCCACTTTTCTTTTTTTCTTTACTTAGCAAACCTTTCCCAAGATAATGCTCATTTTCTGAATAGCTTTTATTTCTGCCATTCAATTTCTCTTTTGAATAAAAGGCTTCCCCCTCTTCATTTGAAGAACATTAAAAACCCTTAAAAATTTTTTCAGCTTCTTATTTCAATCAGGAGCCTTTCTGTTGGACATGACCATTTTTCCTTGTAGTTTAAGAGCTTTGGTTAGCATGTTGCCTAGAGGCTGTTTGTCATGGATATACAGACACATGCTTGTCTTCCTTCCATGTGATTGTATTTTTCATAGACATCCTTATGAAACCACTTGAACTTGTTTCCTTCAGAATGTTAGCAGAGTATGCTTCTCTTTCAATGTAAAGTCTTTGGTTTTTTTGTTTTTGCTTTTGTTTTGTTTTGTTTTTTGAGACGGAGTTTCATTCTTGTTGCCCAGGCTGGAGTGCAATGGTGTGATCTCAGCTCACCGTAACTTTGGCTCACCGTAATCTCCGCCTCCCGAGTAGCTGGGATTACAGGCATGTGCCACAACGCCTGGCTAATTTCGTATTTTTAGTAGGGACGGGGTTTCTCCATGCTGGTCAGGCTGGTCTCAAACTCCCGACCTCAGGAGGTGTGAGCCACCTCACCCAGCCAGTCTTTGCTTTCTTAAATACTGGATCACTTGCTATTTTTTGTCTTCTTCAAACTGTCGCACCTCAGGAAAACTTAACATTGTTTCATAAATGTTCAAGAGAGGCCAGGCATGGGCCTCATTAATAGTATCACCTTTAGCTGGGCGTGGTGGCTCACTCCCATAATCCCAACACTTTGGGAGGCTGAGGCAGGTGGATCACAAGGTCAGGAATTCAAGACCAGCTTGACCAACATGGTGAAACCCCGTCTCTACTAAAAATACAAAAATTAGCCGGGTGTGGTGGTGTGCACCTGTAATCCCAGCTACTCGGGAGACTGAGGCAGGAGAATCGCTTGAACCTGGGAGGCCGAGGTTGTGGTGAGCTGAGATCGTGCGACTGCACTCCAGCCTGGGTGGCAGAGCAAGACTCCATCTCAAAAAAAAAAAAAAAAAAAAAGTTCAAGAGAGCTCTAGTAGCTAAATTCTAGTTCTAGTTCTTGTTCTTAGCTCTAGTAGCTAAGCTTTATGCCTCTACAAAGCTAAACTTTTGATGATAACTATGTTATTAGGTTTTAAAGAACTTTTACTGTATTATGGAAAACTTAAATGTAAAACAAAAATAGTGAGAACAGTGTAACAAATCATGTGCCGCTGGGACTCGATCATTAACATAGGATTCAATCATTAACGTTGCTGGCCCTCTACTGTTTCTTCTACACCTCTTCTACCCACACTGGGTTATTTACTAGCAAATCCTAGAAACATTTTTATTAGTAAATATTTCCATTTATGTCTCTAAAAGAGAAGGATTCCTTGTAAACATATCCCCCCCAAAGCACTATTTTTGTGATACTTACATATTAATGGATTAACAGACATATCTTTTTTTTTTTTTTTTTTTTTTTTTTACCAAAAAACAAAAAACCAGGTAGTGAAAATTGCCAAGTTTCTTCAGCTTTCCTAGTGTGACTCATCTCCAGGAGAGTAGGAAGCAGGTGGGTCTGAACACAGAAATCCACACGACTTGCTTCTGCCCTCTGCACAGAAGCGCGTTCTTTATGCCAGGACCTCATTCCCTTCCACACAGCTCAGGGAGGGCACTCTTTTATTTTATGAACTTGTTATCAGTAAATTTAGGACTCAGTGGTCCCTGAATCCTTGGTCCTTGACCTGTTATTGTCAGTCCTTAAGGCCCAGACATTGCCTTTGGCTTCCTTTCTGGAAAATTTCAGAACTGTATAAAAATCACTTGTAAAACTCTGACAGACACATTTTGCCAAGAATGTCATTTATCTCTTGACAGTTTGGCATTTGCCTTTAAATATTAGATTGTGTAATCATAATGGCATTCCAGGAAAATAATGTGGTAGGTGGCTGGCACTTTAAAAAGTGAAATGGACTTGGGTTCTTGGGAATGTTAATCATTATTCTACACAAAATGGTGATACCCCTTAATAGTGAAATGCTAAGTGGGTATAAAGCAGTATTTGTGAATAAGATCAAAAAAGATGAGTATAAAATGTGATTTATGGGTTTATTTAATGAGTTTTTACCAGAACAATGTCTGAAGGATATTTTATATTTTTAAGCTGTGAAACAGAGAAAGTAATGAGGAATCTTCTAGTGAGTCCCACCAGTCTCCCAGCCTGACCAGCACATCCAGAAATCGATCATTATTTTTGTCATTTTAACCTGCCTTCTTAGTGCCTTCCTTGCCCTTGACTTTGCAGCAGAGAGGAGAAAGAAACTCGTGGTCTCTCCCATAAATACACGTGGTAACAGCAGTGAAGTAATTATTATATATTTTGTGGCAAGTCATTCATTCAGTGGTGATGGAATGGCTTATTTTTAATGCAGTGTTTTTCTTTGGACTAAACCTAAATTCTTTTTTCTATCTCATTTAGTGCCTGTCCATTCCAAGGCAGCATAAAGTTAGCATAGCTTCTCATTTTACTGGTTTGGTAAAAGTTTTAAAGGTTTAGTTCAGTTTGCTTTTGGGTTTTCATATGAGGTAGACTATGAGAACTCTTTAATTTATGATGTGATATATAATTAAAGACAATCCCATTGTAGCTGGCATGTGGGCTATTACTGGGGATCATGGGAAAGAGAAGGCTTGGAGGATCTTCTTTATAAAATACACGTAAGTATGGACTGAATTCCAAACAAACCGCAAAATGGAAGGAACCTCGTTTTATCGCATCCAGGTAAAGGATAGAAAAGGTATCTTCAGTTTTCCCAGAAGCAACATCCACAAGGACAACTCGTAATTTTAAATGATTAAAAGTAATTGCAGTAGATCAGTGTCATTCATAGCAAATTAGTTCTGATTGATGGAGAATGCTGCATCTGTGGATTTTTATGTTATAAAATTAATTTAAGACTTCTTTTGTTAAACTCGTTTAATCTTCTGCACTACTCCGTTCTTTCATTATCCTTGTCAGTTTTAAGGGCTGGAATATCTTTGTACAACTAAATTCAGTTGACTTCTTCTGGATACCCAAGTTGAACAGACACATATATTAGTGGAGCTCTGGTTGGAAAGAGGACACCAGTACACACTATTAGTAGCCTACTGCATGTGGTTTGTGTTTTTTGCCTTTTTTTTTTTTTAAGAGAAGTTCTCTCTCTCTCAGGCTGGAGTGGAGTGGCACAATCATAGCTCACTGCAGCCTCAAACTCCTAGGCTCAAACAATCTTCCTGCCTTAGGCCTTCCAAAGTGCTGGGATTATAGGCATGAGCCAGTGCAGCCAGCCACCTATTGTATAAATGGCTTATAAGTCATTTCACCTGGCTAGGCATGGTGGCTCACGCCTATAATCCCAGCACTCTGGGAAGCCGAGGTGGGAGGATCACTTGAGCCCAAGAGTTCAAGACCAGCATGGGCAAAGAGAGAGACCCTGTCTCTACAAAAACTAAAAAAATTAGCTGGGTGTGGTGGTGCCTGCTGTAGGCCCAGCTAGGGGGAAGTAGAGGTGGGAGGATCACTGGGAGGTAGAGACTGCAGTGAGCCGTGATCATGCTACTGCACTGTAGCCTGAATGACAGAGTGAGACCCTATCTCAAAAAAAAAAAAAAAAAATAGTAATTCGTTGAACCAGTTTCTTATTGATAAATGTTTAGACCGTTTCCATTTTTAAACTTCAAATATTCCAGGAAACATATATGCAGATTTATCAGAAACACTTATTTTTGTAAACTTTTTATTAAAGAATAACATATATACAAAAAGTAGAGAAATTTTTTTTTTTTTTTTTTGAGATGGAGTCTTGCTCTGTCGCCCAGGCTGGAATGCAGTGGCACATTCTTGGCTCACTGCAAGCTCCACCTCCCGTGTTCATGCCATTCTCCTGCCTCAGCCTCCCAAGTAGCTGGGACTACAGGCACCCGCCACCATGCTCGGCTAATTTTTTGTATTTTTAGTAGAGACGGGGTTTCACCGTGTTAACCAGGATGGTCTCGATCTCCTGACCTCGTGATCCACCTGCATCGGCCCCCCAAAGTGTTGGGATTACAGGTGTGAGCCACCGCGCCTGGCCAAAGTACAGAAATTTTTATTATTTTTTTATTTAGTTTTTTGAGACAGAGTCACACTCTGTCACCCAGGCTGGACTGCAGTGGTGCAATTTTGGCTCACTGCAACCTCTGCCTCCTGGGTTCAAGCGTTTCTCCTGCTTCAGCCTCCCAAGTTGTTGGGATTATAGGCGCATACCACCATGCCTGGCTAATTTTTGTAGAGAAATTATTTTTGTAGTTCATTGATGAAATCTGTAAAACCCATACATTATGTGTATCAATTCATTCTTTTTTCTTTTTTTAAGTTATATTTTTTTGAGACGGAGTCTCACTCTGTTGCCCAGGCTGGAGTACAGTGGTGCAATCTCAGCTCACTGCAACTTCTGCCTTCCGGATTCAAGCGATTCTCCTGCTTCAGCCTCCTGAATAGCTGGGACTACAGGCACCCGCCACCACGCCCAGCTAATTTTTGTGTTTTTAGTAGAGATAGGGTTTCGCCATGTTGGCCAGGCTGGTCGCAAACTCCTGATCTCAAGTGATCCGCCTGCCCTGGCTCCCCACAGTGCTGGGATTACAGGCGTGAGCCACTGTGCCCAGCCTATTTTTCTTTTTTAATGCTTTGTAATTTTCTTTTGGGTGACTATACTACAGCTTATTCTTTTTGCCATTGATGAACGTTTGGATTGTCTCTAATTTTTGGATGTTACAAATAGTCCTGTGAACATTCTTAAACATCGGTTTCGGTGAATGTAACTATCCATATGTATTGGGCGTATCTCCGGGAGTAGCGCTGACAGGCATAGGGTATGCATATGTGCAGGTTTAGTACTGCCAACAGTTTTTCAAAGTGGGTGAAACCATATCACACTCTCACCAGCAGTGTCTATTTTTAAAAAAATAACTTCATATAAGTGAAATTTGAATAAAAGAGTAAATTCATTTTAAGTTTTGGAATATAGTGCTGGATTTGTCCTCAGAAGTACTAATTCGTACTCCACTGAACACTAGATTTTATCCAGCTCTTTCGTTGTTTTCATTGTTTATAGTGAAGAAATATCTTTTTAAACTTCTTTAATGAATTGGACTTTTTTATACTTCAGTTTTACCCATTTCCGTTTTCTTGACTTGGATGTTCTGGCTTTTTCTTTGTTGGGGTATTTGTATTTTTTTCTTGCTGCTTTGTAATAACTTATTTTTAAAATCCACATTTTTGTCTTCCTAGTTTATCATTTGTCTTTTACACTATGGAAGTGTTTTCCATGTCTGTTTTCTTTAAGGGCTGTATTGTTGATATTTAATTTTATTTTAACTGGATTTGCCTTTTTTTACGTGACACAAGGATGCTTTTTTTAAAAAAGTTTTAAAACATTTTAAGCATGTTATGCTTTTACTTATTACATTAACGTTAACTTTGGAATATTTTGCAGGATGTCAGAGGGTGACTGGTCAGAGTAGGCATGCATGTGTCATTTGACCAAGCAAGAAATAAAGCCAGTTTTCCTATGTGGACAGTATTGAATCATTTTAGTGTGCATGTTTCTAAGGTAGTAAGTTATCGTTTAGAAAAGAATTAGATCAAATTAGCCTAGACTGAACTATCTTATTTAAATATCTCTTGTGGATACTCAGGGCTCTTGAGCAAGGACTTTACCAAAATTACACCTGGCCTCTTGCAGTCAGTTCTGTGTCTCATTGGACACGGGCTTGGAGTGCCAAATATTTAATTTCAAATCTTTAAAAATATTTATTCTCTATGAGATTATTAAAACTTTTTAAATGTTTCTGTTTTGTATTAACAGTATATAATTTGCACTGCTGATGGAGAAATATGAGACCAATCTATTGTGTTTTCCTTTTTAATGTTACAGTGGGATTTGAGAGCTTCCCAAAGCCTCTGTCACCTAAAATTCCTACTGAGAATCATTTTTGGATTTTACCGCAAAGCAGATACATAGAACAGATTTTAAACGAGTAGTCCTCTCTTCTAATATGAATTAATTTGGTTTCTAGAATTGAATCTTAGCACCTTAAAGGGGCAAGAATCTCAGGGGTAGGTAAGTTTTAGAGGAAGGGAGCACAGCCATGTTACCCCTCTGTGATTAGAGCCCTGGAGCATACCAAACCTTGAGGCAAGTCTGAAGAAGGTGGAGTTTGGGGGGCAGTGAAAACAGATGCTATGGATAAGATCTGAAAAAATTTTTTTTTGTTTTGTTGGTCTTTTGCATTTGGCAGTACTGCTTGTGGCAAGGTTGTATCATTAACTGTGTTGATTATTCCATAAGCCAAGGAGACAATTGTGGGAACTCTCCTTAGTAAATCCCTCGTTTTAGGAGCATAGCATTTCCAGTTTAGGGGAATTTGTATTTTGCTGAACATTTGAATTTGACTAAAGGGAATACTGGGTTTATATGACAGGCTCATTAGGGATAGATTGAGGAGGAGAGGGTAGAAAGGGAGAGAAAAGCTAAAATTAAGCGCCTATTTTTCATGTATATTTTTTATTTTATTTTTGAGACTGAGTCTCACCCTATCACCCAGGCTGGAGTGCAGTGATGTGATCTCGGCTCACTGCAACCTCCACCTCCCAACTTCAAGCAATTCTTTTGCCTCGGCCTCCTGAGTAGCTGGGACTACAGGCATGCATCACCATGCCTGGGTAATTTTTGTATTTTTTAGTAGAGATGGGGTTTCACCATATAGGCCACGCTGGTCTCGAACTCCTGACCTCAGGTGATCCACCCGCCTAGGCCTCTCAAACTGTTGGGATTACAGGCGTGAGCCGCTGCGTCTGGCCAGTTTTTTATGTATATAGGCAAAATGCAGTCTTACACATTTTACATGTTTAACCTGTCTAATCCTCACAGAAATCCTATGAAATGCTGTTTTCCCAATTTGCAAAGAGAAAACAAAGACTCAGGGAGTAAACTGACATTATTTTGGCTAGGCTCAAAAACTCAGTAAATGGCATTCCTGGGATTTGAACGGCCGTCTCTGAATCCAAAGCTCATGCATATCTTCTTACAAGAGTATATATTGCCTCCTCCTAAACTACCAGAATTATTATGTATATTTTATCAATGTCATGCCAAATTTTGGTAACACTTTAAGTGGCATATGCCTGGGGTGTTATTGGTAATTCTGCCAGATACTGTAAAGCCTGTGTAATTTCCTTTACCGTCCACCTTAGCATCGAGAGTAAACATGAGGTTACGATCCTGGGAGGACTTAATGAATTTGTAGTGAAGTTTTATGGACCACAAGGAAGTAAGTACATGTGTTGGTATGTGTTCTTCTATTACAGTCTTTTACTCTGTTTCTTAATAGAATATCAAAGACAGATGGTAGCATGCGTAGTTTCTGAAAAGCAAGTTTAGTTGGACTGCAGAACCAGTGAGGAAATCTTTCTCTTATCACAATCACTTTATATACAGTCATCCCTTGATATCTGTAGGGGATTGGTTCCAGGACCACCTCATACCAAAATCCACAGATGCTCAAGTCCCTTTATAAGATGACATAGAATTTGCATGTAACCTACACACATCCTCCCATGTCCTTTAAATCACATCTAGATTACTTGTAATAGCTAACACAACGCAAATGTTATGTAAATAGTTGTTATACTGTATTTTATTTATTTATTTATTTATTAAGTGATGGAGTCTCACTCTGTCACCCAGGCTGGAGTGCAGTGGCACGATTGTGGCTTACCGTAACCTCCACTTCCTGGGTTCAAGCAATTCTTCTGCCTCAGCCTTCGAAGTAGCTGGGACTATAGGTGCCTGCCACCACGCCCAGCTCATTTCTGTATTTTAGTAGAGACAGGGTTTCACCATGTTGGCCAGGCTGGTCTCGCACTCCTGACCTCAGGTGATCCACCCGCCTCAGCCTCCCAAAGTGCTGGGATTACAGGCATGAGCCCCACCGCACTTGTCCTTTTTGGTATTTTTTTTGTGTTATTTTTAATTGTATTGTTATTTATTATTGTTTGGATTTTTTTCTCTAATATTTTTGATCTGTGGTTGGTTGAATCCAGGGGTGTGGAACCTGCAGATATAGAGGGCTGACTGTAGTTTTCTCTTTATCTCTATGTGACAGTACTAGACATGAATTGTAAATTCTGGGTTTTGTTATGGATGGCCACGTGAATGGTTTCCAGGAAATGTTTTTTGTTGTTTTCTTTTTGGCCTTGGAGGGGGGATGAATATGGGGTTTATTGAGATAGGAGGGAAAGTAACATGGCTATTACTTACCAAATAATTGAATAGTGTTTAGTACTTTTGAAGAATCAAGTAAATTGCAGAATGAATCTGCTTATTTTTTAACTCTGGATCTTTCCAAGAAAAGTATCTTAATCTGAACGTGGTACACCTATTGATTGTAGTAGGTCCCTGACTCTTGAAGGAATTAATTTGGAAGGTTTTCAGAAGATTAGGGGATAATGTTTAATTTACACTCAGATTTATTTTCTAATTTGGAGATGTAGTTCTGATGAACATTTTTACTTTTATTTCAGCACCATATGAAGGCGGAGTATGGAAAGTTAGAGTGGACCTACCTGATAAATACCCTTTCAAATCTCCATCTATAGGTATGTTACTACTTGGTTTTTCTCCTTAGAGAGTTTTGAAATCTAAGGGGGAAAAATCTTACATTTCAGGGGAGGTAATTAATGCCAGAAATGGCTGTCTAATTGAATTTTTCCTTTTTTGGCTTTGGTTAATTAATCAGTGACTTTTGGGGGGAACTTCTATAGTGTGTTAGAAGACGTTTAAATATACTCTTTGCATAATTATAATGACCATTACTTTAGATTTTTGTCTTTTGGTGTCAGATTAAACCAGCTTTAAGGCCCCACTGTTCTTTAAGCTGTTAGCAGGAAAATAATAAACATATCTTAAGTCTAATTTTGAATGCCAGATTGCAAGAATGAATGTTACATAGTATGTGTTTTAATCCTATCATTTTCAGAAATTCTCCCTAGATCCTACTTTGCTTTTTTGTTCACTCCAACTCTGGGTACCTTACAATTAAATGACCCTTTGCAGTCTTCCCACCTCCAGTCTCTTTAGCCCCCTAAACAGCAGAAGAAAGAATAGAAACCTCAGTGGGGTTGTACAAAGAGGTACTTTCTCCTCACCTTCATCTCCTTTTACCTTAATGGGTGATGTTATTTACCTGTCACCCCCATTGAGGCACTCAGTGACAGATCTATCTGATTGAAGGTGGACACCTTTAAATATTTGGAGACTGTAGAATGGTAGTAATTTAGTTAATTTAAGCCAGCTTTTTTTTTTTTTGCTTCACTTTATACATGTCTAAAATATTATAAAATATTGAACAATTTTAAGTAAGAACAATAAAATTGTAATATATTGAGCATTCTCTGAGAATCAGACTAAGCCTCATGTTCAGAATTGCCAGAGTTCAAACATTTTGCTACTGCTGTGGGCTTTTTTTTTTTTTTTTTTTTTTTGAGACGGAGTCTCACTCTGTCGCCCAGGCTGGAGTGCAGTGGCACGATCTCGACTCACTGCAAGGTCCGCCTCCTGGGTTCACGCCATTCTTCTGCCTCAGCCTCCCGAGTAGCTGGCACTACAGGTGCCTGCCACCACACCCGGCTAATTTTTTGTATTTTTAGTAGAGACGGGGTTCCACTGTGTTAGCCAGGATGGTCTTGATCTCCTGACCTCGTGATCCGCCAGCCTCGGCCTCCCAAAGTGCTGGAATTACAGGCGTGAGCCATTGCGCCTGGCTGCTGTGGGCTGTCTTAAGAAGTAATGCCCGATATCCTGGAGTCTAGACCACTCCCCACTACACCCCCACTCCTAACCAGTTGAATCAGAAATTTCTTTCTTGCTATAGGGGCCTCTAAGTTTCAGCGTTGTGAATGGTAAAGTGGGAGTGGAGCTGTGAGGTGTTGAGCCTTTGAGACAGCCCCCGAGCACATCTGACTTAGCACCTGTATAGGTGTAGAAACGTATACGCCTGTACACCTTCTCCTTTTGAGAGGGCTTTTCTGTTGTGTTGTGGTTCCCTGTCCCCAGTTTATTCATCTTCTAACTTTAGGGTGTTTCTGTCTACTCAGCCATTTAAAACTCTTATGTTGGTTAGTGATAGGACTTTAAAGCCTTTATAGAAGTCCATGCAAGTTCATTCAGATACATTTCATAAATACCTGTTTACCTAAAGGCTAAAAACTGGCATGCTAAGTCTAGTTTTGTTAACCCCACATTCCTAGTCAGAAAGGAAACAATAGAGCTTGTTGAAACTAAGAGTGAACTTATAGAAATGCAATTTCATATCCTGTAGAAATGTTATTTCTCAGACCTTAATGTATTTTTTCTAGATAATATGATTATCTCATCATAACTTTCTAGGTAATAATGTCTAAACTTTAGGCATTGCTTGTTTATTAACTAATGACACAAAAAGCCTCCACGCTTTCTTAAATTAATGATGCAATATGAAATTTGGTTGGGACAAATGACTAAGCTAATTTAACTTCTTCATAATTGTTTCTTTTGCCTTTCTGTGTGCTTTCAGGACTTGATAATGCCTACAAATGTGTATCATCTTCTGTTTGGAAAGTAGATTTAGCTGAAATATTTGTACAAGCTGTTCTTGTTTCCTCTAGAGGAAGGTTGCATAAGAGAGTTTCAATCAGTTGTGCGGGGTGACCCATTTTCAGGTCATCAACAGTGTAATTACTGTTGAGATGTGCTTTAAGCATTCAGAAAGGTTGTGGCTCACTTAGAAAAGGCAAGGATTCCTTTTTGAGTTGTGTAGATAGTTGTAAAATTATACAGAAGGGCGAGGAGGTAAGATCAACCCAATCTCAACATTCTTTTTAAATCTTGCCCCTGTTGTATCTGGGTAGGTGTAGTGTTCTTCCTGAGCCAAATTTTGAGCTTTTAAACAATCAGCTGTGCAAATTTAGATCAAACATCTTTAATGCTTGGCTCTTGGAATTTTGCAGTGTCTATGTACTTTGTTCTATTTTGTGTGTTTGTGTATGGATGTGTATTTTAATTGTATAAATGACCCATATCCATTAGAGCAATGTAAGAAAATCTGTAAGCCAAAGTAAAGAAAAATCAAAATGTCTCATAATCTTATCCCTTAAAGGGTGTCATTATTTACATTCTGGAATATGCTCTTTAAGACATTTCTCTCTGAATATTTAAATATATATATTCAATATAATGTGATATGCTTATCTTTGGGACACTCTCCAAATATAGTTTTAGAGGGCTGTCAGTAGTTACATGATTGCATGAGATGTCCCTTTAAAACAATTTGCATCTATAAATGAGTGGGTATTCGAAATAGTGGCATAGCTACTTTTTGGAAAGAAAAGGAATATAGGTAGACACCTTGGGAGGTTATGAACTTATTCTTATGATGCCATTATTGTTTCAAACACTTTGAGCTCTTTTTTTTGGAATTTTACTTCTGTTTCAGTATCATAAGTGATGGCAAATCTTGATGCTTTGAAGCTGGATGTGAATTTTTGAAATGGCTAACAGTCATTTAAGCCCAAAGAATAAGATGAATGGAAAAACGAGTAATATCAATTGGGGTATAAAACCGGCCCTCTAGGCACTTTGAAAAGAGTAAAAGATATAAAACTCCTTTAATCAACTATAACATCGCTGAATATTTGCATAATTTTCCAGAGAGACTGCTTTGAGATGAATCATATTTGAATCTTTTTCTGATTTACTTGAAAATTCAGACTTTCATATTTTTCATTCAGAAACATTAGTTCCTAGAGTGCTTAGCAATACTGCTGGGTGTTACTGTGTAGGAGTTAGGAGAGTGTGATTGGTCAGTGGACTGGTTATCAGGGTAGAGAAGTTCTGGCCCTGGTTCTCCTTGACCATGAGAGAGATATGCAGCTGACCCATTGTTTTCTCTGCTAGAAAATGAGATACTAGAATTAAACAGATTCTGCATGTTTGATATGACCAGTGTATTAAAACTCGGGGTACCTGGCATCCTGCTGGACATGACGAAGGCTACAGAAGATCTTTACTGGTTAGGAGAGAAGAAGAATGTAAATAAAATACTACGTGTACTTAATGGCATGGTTCCATTGTTTTTTAGGAGAGGTGTGAGTCAGCACCTCAATTTAGAAGAGAGAGCGTAAGGAAGACATAAGTTTCTACAAGAGAGATTGTCTTCACAAAAGCTTCAGAGTTGTTGAGGTGTGCATGAGGACTTTAGAGATACTCATTCAGAACCCCAAGTAATCCCCAGTTCATGAAGATTTTGTTTTATGCAAAGAAATTGCTGCAGAGACTGCCATAGCTCACACTTCTCGAGGTTCACAGTTTTTAGCCTTTGATACTTGTGCTCAGCTGTTAAGTGAAAGCTTTCACCAAACAGACTTGCAGTTACAGTGTGGGTGAAATAAAGATGAATGATCTCATAGAAGAGGGTAATACAGAGTAATTTTTAATAAAAAAAAATAAGCAGAGGATACAAAATGGTTTTATGTCTAATCCAAAAGAATGCAGATTAAAACGAAAGTACAGTATATGATTTGTCAAACTGGCAGATAAAACAGTGTTAGAAAAGGTATTATGATACAGCCAGTCTACCACTATGTATTGCTTGGTAAATATTTTATATCCTTCAAATAATTTTATTTAAAAAGTTAAAAATTATCTAAAGAAATATTTAGAAATGTGCACTGTCAAAAGAATACGTAAATTTTAGTGTTATAATACTTAAAAGTCAGAAGCAACCTAAATGACCCAGTCGGTGATAAAGTAGCTAAGTGATAGTGCATCTTAGTGGATAAAATGTTTTACCCATTAGTCATGTTTTAACACCTCTTTGAAGGGACACACAGGAAAATGTTTTTTATATAGTACAACTCTAATTTTTTCCTATACATTTCACATTTGAATGCCAAACTATTGATGTTATCCATAGCTGTTCAGTTAAAGGAGACTAAAAACATACTTTTCTGTAATTTCCAAATAGTCTACAATGTTTGCTTTTATTATAAAAGTAAATATTTTTAATCATATTGCAAATGTATGTCTTTTGACTGTCCTGTCTGTATCATTGTCTGAGTCTACACTTTGCTGTCTTTTGCTCTAGAAAGCCATCAGGCTTGGCCAGAATTCCCTGTGGTAGCTTGCTCAGGACCTGCCTAACCCACGTGTTTCCCAGCAGCCTCCCTTCTTTTTTCCTTTAAATTTTAATTATGTGTGTGTATAAGTGCACACACTGTTTTCCTTCCTTTGTTTTCTGCTTAGAGTTTAGAGTTTAGTCCATCTCAGATACTGTCTTTACGCGCAACTTTCTTCACTTCTTTCTTCCCCCTTTTTCTCTTCTCTTGGGTGGTTACCTCAAGTACTTCTCACCTTTTTCTTTTCTGCCTGACTCTTCCACTTCCCCCTTCCGTTGTTGCATTTTTCTCTTCATATGAACTGAAAAATGCCCCTCTTTAGAGCTAATAATCATAATGGGGATACTTTTGATAAGCCTAAGCCAAGGGAAAAAAAATATAAAAGTCTTCTAATAAAAGATACAGGGCCGGGTGTGGTGGCTCACGCCAGTAATCCCAACACTTTGGGAGGCCGAGGCGGGTGGATCATGACCTCAGGAGATTGAGACCATCCTGGCTAACACAGTGAAACCCCGTCTCTACTAAAAATACAAAAAATTAGCTGGGCGTGGTGGCGGGCACCTGTAGTCCCAGCTACTCAGGAGGCTGAGGCAGGAGAATGGCGTGAACCTAGGAGGCGTAGCCTGCAGGGAGCCAAGATCGTGCCACTGCACTCCAGCCTGGGCAACAGAGCGAGACTCTGTCTCAAAAAAAAAAAAAAAATTATATATATAAAAAAAATTAAATTCAGGGCTTATAGCCACTAAAGATCTTGCAACATCCAGAAGTTCTCTTCTGGATCTATTATATTCTCCTTCATATCATATCTACTTTACTTAAACACTAGCATTCCAGATAAAATTAAGATGTCATTTTATCTTACATTTAAATGATTATTGGCTACTATTAACAGAATTGTATCCTAATTTCAGATAGAACTATAGAATATTTTAGAATCTTTTGTAAATAACTTTAAGAGCAGCCTAGGAACCCTGTCATCATTTATACTTCTTAAAAATTAGAAAACTGTGTTATAAGGTACAGGTAACAAGTTTAGAAACCAATTTGTGAAATGCTACCGATCTATATCTACATATTTTCAGTGAGGAGGACCCTCTACTAGGAGCAGGCTGTATGCATTGCCTCTGGGTTGCAATTTGATGATACCAAAGCTGGGAAGGTAAGAGAAATGGTTGAGAACAGGATTCTGGAGGGACTGCTGAATGGTTTGCTGAATGTTGGTAGAATGGTCAGGTACAAAACCAGCAAGCTCGTGCTGCCATAGAACTTGATGTGAGGCCGAGCGCAGTGGCTCATCCTGTAATCCCAGCATTTTGGGGAGGCCGAAGTGGGCACATCACTGGAGACAAGGGGTTTGAGACCACCCTGAGCAATATGGAGAAACCCCATCTCTAAAAAAAAAAATACAAAAATTAGCTGGGCATGGTGGTGTATACCTTTAGTTCCAGCTACTCGGGAGGCTGAGGTGGGAGAATCACTTGAGCCCAGGAGGCAGAGGTTGCAGTGTGCTGAGATAGCATCACTGCACTCCAGCCTGGGTGACAGAGTGAAACCGGTCTCAAGAAATTAAAAAAAAAAAAAAAAAAAAGAATTTGATGTTAGTGGCATGAAGCAAGAACTTGCCAAACCCATTTGAGTAAATGGAGACAAAATGAAAAAGTCATGGGCAATACAATAGTTAAAATACTCTGAGCTGGCTGGGCGTGGTGGCTCATGCCTGTAATCCCAGCACTTTGGGAGGCTGAGGCGGGTGGATCACGAGGTCAGGAGATCGAGACCATCCTGGCTAACACAGTGAAATGCTGTCTCTACTAAAAAATACAAAAAATTAGCTGGGCATGGTGGCGGGCGCCTGTATTCCCAGCTACTTGGGAGGCTAAGGCAGGAGAATGGCGTGAACCCGGGAGGCGGAGCTTGCATGAGCCAAGATCGCGCCACGGCACTCCAGCCTGGGCAACAGAGCGAGACTCTTGTCTCAAAAAAAAAAAAAAAACTCTGAGCTATATTAATGGCCTTTAAAATTGGGTCAAACTATCAGGATGGTTTAGGTTGCCCTGTTCCACTAGACTGGACAGCCTGTCAGAGTTCCTCTTAAATCTCCCAGTCTGGCATATACTCTGATAACCAGTGTGCCATAATTCTTTTTTTTTTTTTTTTTTTTTTTTTTTGAGACGGAGTGTTGCTCTGTCACCTAGGCCAGAGTGCAGTGGCAGCACCATTGCAGCTAACTGCAACCTCTGCCTCCCGGGTTCAAGCAATTCTCCTGCCTCAGCCTCCTGAGTAGCTGGGATTACAGGCATGCTCCATCATGCCCTGCTAATTTTTGTGTTTTTTAGTAGAGACGGGGTTTCACCATGTTGGCCAGGCTGGTCTTAAATGCCTGACCTCAGGTGATCCACCCACCTTGGCCTCCCACAGTGCTGAGATTACAGGCGTGAGCCACCGCGCCCAGCCAATATATATATATATTTTTTTACTCATGCAAGTGATAAAGGGAACTGCATTAATCTTTTTCATTGTCAGAATAATAGACTGTTCAGGCATTATACATTTTTTATTTCACTCTGGCCAGAAATGACCTCACACTATTTTTGGAGTGGAGGTTTATAATATGGCATGACTAAACTACCTATAGAACTTAGAATACTTACCATTTTATCTTATGTCTTCCTAGATGGAATCATTCTAGAGTTACTCCCTCAAGAACTAGCATGAGTAACTTCATTGAGCAGTATTTAAGCAGGGATGGGCCAGTATTTGCAGTAGAGAGGAGTTTGTCATTCACAAGAGGTTTCAGGTTAGTCATTTAACAAAGGCCTACTTGTACCACTGTATTTTCACAAATAAAATGAATTCTGTGACTGGGCACGATGACTCATGCCCGTAATACCAGCACGTTGGGAGGCCGAGGCAGGAGGTTCACTTGAGGCCAGGAGTTCGAGACCAGCCTCACCAATATGGTGAAACCCCGTGTCTACTAAAAATATATATATATAAAAAGTAGCCGGGCATGGTGGCGCGTGCCTGTAATCCCAGCTACTCGAGAGACGGAGGAAGGAGAATTACTTGAACCCAGGAGGCAGAGGTTGCAGTGAGCTGAGATGGCGCTGCTACACTCCAGCCTGGGCGACAAGAGTGAGACTCCGTCTCAAATAAAATGAATTTTGGGGCTGGGGAGGCAAAATTCCATTCAGATCACCTGTGTACTTCTCTAATAACCGTGGTTATGACTTTAGTCCTGTCCCAAACAGTTACATAATGGCTACTCTGTAGTGATCTATATCTTTTTTTTTTTTTTTTGATACAGAGTCTTGTTCTGTTGTGCAGGCTGGAGTGCAATGGCACAATCTCAGCTTACTGCAACCTCTGCCCCCCGGGTTCAAGTGATTCTCCTGCCTCAGTCTCCCGAATAGCTGGGATTACAGGCATGTGCCAACACGCCAAGCTAATTTTTGTATTGTAGGAGAGATGGGGTTTCACCATGTTGCCCAGGCTGGTGTCGAACTCCTGACCTCAGGTGATCTGCCTGCCTTGGCCTCCCAAAGTGCTGGGATTACAGGCGTGAGCCAACGTGCCTGGCCAATGATAAGTATCTTTTGAATTCCAGTAGAGAGAAACAAGGTTCTAGTAAGTAAGGAAGGTTTTGTAAAAAAATAAATAGAGATAATGCTATGAGAATATAAGCCATTGTTAAAAGCTCTTTTACTGGTGTTCTGAAAATAACATTTTTCAAAAATTATGTCTGGCAGCTGAGGCTTTGGCTGTGGCATACATCATCCTTCCAATCAGTTTCACAAAGTTATTGGATACCTACTGCGAGCTGGGCGTTATTCTGGGTGCTGTAGATACAGAAGTGAACAAATTGCTCTCTTAATACTTTATGTTCTTTTGGAGTGCGAAGATAAAGCAAAATTTAAAACTTCTGATAGCTTTATGCAGAGAATTAATGGATAGAATAGGTACCTTGGATCAGATATTCAGGAAGGGTCTGACAAAGTAAATTTAAGCTGAGACTTAAAAAGATTAAAAACAAAACAAAACAAAAACCAGCCCTGATCCTCCAAAATCAGGGGTAAGAGCTTTCCAGGCAGAAGAAATTTTGAGTACAAAGGCCCCAGCCTGGAAAACTGGGTAAAATGTGAGGTGTGTGACACACGGGCCAAGTGGCAGGCAGGGTTGAGTTCACAGACCGCTTTGTAGGCCAGGTTAAAGGCTCGACTTTCATTTTAAATGTAATAGAAAGATTACATAGTTTTCAGCAGGGGAGTGAAAGGTCTGATTTTGTTTTTTTAATGATCATTCTACTGCTGTGGGGCAAGACACAGTGACGGGATAGAAGCACAGTTATAAAAGCTTTTGTAGCCGGAGATGCTGGTGGCTTGGACAAGGCTGCCAAGGTCAAGAAACTTTGTTCTAGACATACACCGCTGTGAAGACATGTGGCTCCATTAAGGAAATCATCCAAGCTGGACTGCAGTGGCATAATCGTGGCTCACTGCAGCTTGGACCTCCTGGACTCCAGGCATGGGCCACCACGCTTGGCTAATTTTTTTGCATTTTTTGTAGCCATGGGTTTCACCATGTTGCTCTGGCTGGTCTTGAACTCCTATACTCAAGCGATCTGCCCACATTGGCCTCCCAATGTGCTGGGACAGCAGGTGTGAGCCACCATGCCTGGCCTGTTTTTAATTTTTAAATGGAAGATTCTGAAGGATTTTAAAGTGCTTATTGTAGAGAGATGTTTAGAAAAGGGAGAGCTTGGTGATGCTGGAGTTGGGAAGAGAATTGCAGGAGCACCACCATCGAGAAGGAAGGAGGGAGCAGGATCAGAACCCAGAGGCCTGGTGTTTGAGAAGAGGGGAACATGTGTGCAAGCTGTTGAGGCAGGGAGAAAGAGTATGTGTGCAGGGAGGAGTTTAGAAATTTTTATGGAAAATGAAGAATCCTGCCAATTGGCTTTCATCTTCTCAAAGAAAAGGGACAAGGCTATTTAGTGAAAGAACTAGAGGAGAGAGTTAGGGGAACAAAGGGAGAGAAAGAAAGTAGATTTGCAGGATTGTGGTAAAATGTAACAGTCATGGGAGACTGGGGGAGCGACCCACTAGAGAAAGGGGAAGGGAAGATTGTAGGTGATGCTGAGTCCAAGAAAGGCTGTTGAGCATGTTTAGATAAACTGGTATATATTTGTTTACTTATGTCTCTCCTCCCTGCCAGCTCAGTAGATGTGAACTCCATGAAGGCAGCCCCTGGGTCTGTTTTGCTACCACCACCCCTGTCCTCCCAAATACTCACTACTCAGGGCCTGATACAGTGCCCTTTCTGCAGAAGAATATTCGTGTGAGTGAATGAATGCCTACCTACTGGTACCCTCAAGTCCAAGTTGAGCAAATGTGAATGATGCTTCCTGTGGTAGCTTTGCTAGATGGGCATTTTGGAGGGGAGAGGACAGGGGATTTGCAGAGGATTGCTTGAGAGTGAGGATGGTGATGGCTCTTAAATCTTAAGCTGAGTAAGAAGCCAGTGAAGATAAGAGGGCTGGTAGTTGGGAAGAAAATGGGAGAATCTGTGGATTACAGTTAACAGGTGAAAGAATTAATGATTCCTGGGGTGGGAAGCTTTTGGCAAGGACAGGGGATTGGTAGGATAGGAGATGTCTAAATTTGTGATTGTGGAGGTAAATATGTAATTGTGGAGGGAATGACAAAGGTCAGGGTATGTCCTGGGGAGCATGAAGTGGAATGGAATAGAAGGTCACTGAGGAGAAGCTTAAGAAACAAGCCGGGCACGGTGGCTCACGTCTGTAATCCCAGCACTTTGGGAGGCCGAGGCAGGCGGATCACCTGAGGTTAGGAGTTCAAGACCAGCCTGACCAACATAGAGAAACCCCGTCTCTATACTAAAAATACAAAATTAGCTGGGCATGGTGGCACATGCCTGTAATCCCAGCTACTCAGGAGACTGAGGCAGGAGAATCACTTGAACCCCGGAGGCAGAAGTTGCAGTGAGCCGAGATCGCGCCATTGCACTCCAGCCTGGGCAACAAGAATGAAACTCTGTCTCCAAAAAAAAAAAAAAAAAGAGAGAGAGAGAGACCCGGGTGTCAGGAGTATGGTCTATATTGTCACCAAAAATGACAGGAGTTGGGGCAGAGAGCAACTTGGGGGCCAAGCCAGGTGCTGAAGTTCTCAGTGAGAGAAGCCAGTGGTCAAATGGGCCCTTTTAATGTGAAACCTGCTGTGAGCAGGCTGTAATGTCTAAATTCATTTACCTTCATCTTGTTATTAGCCAGAGTAAAAATAGTACAGTTAGCTTTCCCACCCCATTCCCCAGGCTGCCACCTCTAAGGATAACCCTGCTTTTGCATATGCTTGTTACTATCAGAGGACTTGTCCATTTCTTTCTTTTTTTTTTTTTTTTTTTTTTTTTTGAGACGGAGTCTCGCTCTGTCGCCCAGGCCGGACTGCGGACTGCAGTGGCGCAATCTCGGCTCACTGCAAGCTCCGCTTCCCGGGTTCACGCCATTCTCCTGCCTCAGCCTCCCGAGTAGCTGGGACTACAGGCGCCCGCCACCGCGCCTGGCTAATTTTTTGTATTTTTAGTAGAGACGGGGTTTCACCTTGTTAGCCAGGATGGTCTCGATCTCCTGACCTCATGATCCACCCGCCTCGGCCTCCCAAAGTGCTGGGATTACAGTCCATTTCTTTCTTGAAGTTGACTTATGCCAGTTTTAATTCTGCCTTTGACAGCTCATTATTATATAATCTTTTCATTTGCTATTTAAAACTTCCATCACACTTGCTGCCTAGGTTAGTTCCTACTCTGTATTGGGTGACCTCTAGCTTTTGAGCTGGTTATTCTGACATCTTTTTGGCATTAAATCTATTTCTTTCCCTTTAGGATTTGGTGTCATAATGAAAACAAGTATTTTTGGCTTCCTTTTTCTTTAAACTGAAATTCTTTTGAAAACAACAAAAGCAATGTCTTAGTTCTTTTTAGAAACCTGTTCACAGTTTGAGATTTGCTTATATTCCTGGTGTTGGTGAAAACTGTGTTGTTAGTGGAAGTTTAGAGATTATGACATCCAATTTGCCTGATTTTAAGGATGGAAAAAAATGAGGCTGAGATGTATGACTACGCACTAGTTGCAGAGTCCATCTTCTGGCTTCCAGTTTAGTGTGTGTGTGCTTGTTTTTTAACTATACCAAATGCAGTCAGGATGTTTTTTTTTTTTAATCTAATTTTTGCTTGCACATCAAGAAAGGATGGTCTTCTTTTTTTTTTTTTTTTTTGGTTTTCTTTTTTTTTTTTTTTTTTATTATACTCTAAGTTTTAGGGTACATGTGCACATTGTGCAGGTTAGTTACATATGTATACATGTGCCATGCTGGTGCGCTGCACCCACTAATGTGTCATCTAGCATTAGGTATATCTCCCAATGCTATCCCTCCCCCCTCCCCCGACCCCACCACAGTCCCCAGAGTGTGATATTCCCCTTCCTGTGTCCATGTGATCTCATTGTTCAATTCCCACCTATGAGTGAGAATATGCGGTGTTTGGTTTTTTGTTCTTGCGATAGTTTACTGAGAATGATGGTTTCCAATTTCATCCATGTCCCTACAAAGGATATGAACTCATCATTTTTTATGGCTGCATAGTATTCCATGGTGTATATGTGCCACATTTTCTTAATCCAGTCTATCATTGTTGGACATTTGGGTTGGTTCCAAGTCTTTGCTATTGTGAATAGTGCCGCAATAAACATACGTGTGCATGTGTAGGATGGTCTTCTTAATAATAAATATGGGGCACATGTTCTCAGGACCTCCTGGGGCTGTGTCACACAAATAATAAATATTAAAAATAAAAATTATAATTGTATTTTCCATTTCTAGTGTGACAGAGTTATGGGAAACATATGTAAATCATAATATCCTCTCATGTTCTTCACACTTGTAAGAGCATTAAGAGATGGACACATAGGGTAAATATTAATCAGTTTTAGGATGAAGACAGTAAGATGAAATTACTTGTTCATTTAACTTATTAAGCTAATTCTAACATTACTGCATGCTTACTGTATGCCAGTTACTGTTCAAATGCTTTACATATATTAACTCATTTAATCTTCACGATTAATGATGTGTAGATACCATTATTTAACCTAGTTTTAGGAATAAGGGAACAGAAAGGCAAAGAGATGAAGTAGATTGCCCCAGAGGCTCACACAGTGGCATTTAGGCATTCTGACTGGAGCCTGGTCCTTTTTAAAAAATGTATTGTTACATCAGTTACACACATTTTTGGGGTACATGTGCTATTTTGGTACATATATGCAATACGTAATGATCAAAACAGGGTAATTGGGATATCTGTCACCTCAAACATTTATCTTTTGGAGCCTGATCTTTTAACTACAACTCTAAGAGTGGTAGAGAATTGTAGTTGGGTCTTGTGAGTTCAAGTCCAATGTATTCTGTACTGTATTGTCTCTGACCATGAAAATAAGTACTGCCTGAACCCAACAGTGTGGTTATATGAACGACCCAGCGATCGAAAGATAAACTATGAAAACAAAACAGAAGTTAGTCTCCCAAAAATGAAACCAAAGGAAAGTAGGCCAGAGGTTTTGATAATCCACTAGGTTGGTAGAAGGGTTATGCTATTGAAGGATAACACTTCACCTTTTCTTAGTTATAAATGACCTTTTCTTATCCATCTAGCCCATTCCTCAGACTCTATATTACCAGAGAGAAAGGAAGAAACAGAAAAGAGGACCCCTTGTTGAGTTTAGATCTCCTGAACACACACAGGATCAGTTCAGAAGTTCCCATGACACAGGGCATTGAGAGTGAGCTCCTTGCCTGGTTCCTCACCCAAGAAGAGACAGGCCCAGGTCCATCTCTCCTGAGTAGGAAAGGCTCAGATTTCTGAAGAGATTTCTACCCGGGCACAGGCTGCCTCAGGTGGGGCCTGGCTGTCTGAGGTTAGATGAAAATCTATCAGATTGTGGACTCCTGCACATAGCTGGCCAATGTCTGTCACTAGTGGAGCTGGCAGCACCCCCCCACCCTTACTCAATTGGAACACCCCTACTCTGGTCACCCTGTGTGCTAGGAACAGAGATCCAAGTTATTACCCTTAAATAATTTATAGTCTGAGATACTGCAAGGGAAGATGAGATTCAGTCTTTAATAAGAATATTTTAAACAATTATACCTACTGAAAAAATAGAATTAATCAGTTTGGTTGTGAACAGTCTACTTTATGTGGGCAGTTGTTCTGAAGATAGACGATCAGAATGACTTAATGTATTCACTTAACTGTTTTCTCACAGGAATTCATAAGCTTATAATGCAATTGCATCAGCCACAGCTGTCTGAACCACCTTAGCCTAGGCTTATTTTATCCCTGGGATGTAGCTGCTGTTTTGGCCTTTGGTGATCTTCACCCGTTTACCGTAGGGTGGATTTACCTTGATTCACAAGTCGTTTGTCTAACCTCTCCTTTTGTCAAGATAATTCTGACAGGTGAAATTTCTGGTGATTGGCCCAAAGTATTTCATCTACCCACAAATTTGATCATTAATATCCTCTCAAATAAAGGGAACAAAGATGGAAAAATAGGTGAAGCTTGGCCTCATTTATTTACATATTGACCCCAATGTCAGAAGTTACTCAGAAGTGTGTGCAACTCTGTATAGACCCCTTCCTGGGACTGGACACAGAGGCTGAAATAAAAACCAGTTTTTCAGCATGACTTAGCACAATGTTATTTATTTTCACTGCCTATTAGCCTATGGGTCATGAGATTTGTTATTCTAGAGCAGTTGAGTATTGGAGTGGAACAAGCAAAAGCAAGGCATATTTTTCTGTTGTAATCTGTACTTTTTATTTTTTAAGATATATAATAATAGTTTTACATTAAGTGTGATTTGGATTCCTTCTCCAGAATTATAAATTACCTAATTCCCTTCTGCTAAAAGACGCAGGACAGAGAAGGGTAAGCATTTTAGCTGGACATTTATTCCTGTTGTACGATCCTCCCCATCCCCTTTAACGAGTGCTAGAACTACGCCAGAGAATAACTGTCCAAAAAACTTAAGGAGTTCTGATTTTAATCTGGTCAAATCACTGAAATATGTTGTTAGAAAATGTCTGGTAGTGGCCGGGCACGGTGGCTCACTCCTGTAATCCCAGCACTTTGGTAGGCTGAGGTGGGTGGATCACGAGGTCAGGAGATCAAGACGATCCTGGCTAACATGGTGAAACCCCATCTCTACTAAAAATACAAAAAAATTAGCTGGGTGTGGTGGTGGGCACCTGTAGTCCCAGCTACTTGAGAGGCTGAGGCAGGAGAATAGCTTGAACCCGTGAGGTGGAGGCTGCAGTGAGCCGAGATCGCCACTGCACTCCAGCCTGAGTGATAGAGTGAGATTCTGTCTCAAAAAAAAAAAAAAAGAAAGAAAAGAAAAAGAAAATGCCTGGTAGTGAATAAAATCTTAAATCATGAAGATTAAAAATAACCTGCTACTTCTACTTATGTTGCCATAAAAGCAGTTTTCAAAATATGTTCTCTTAAAATATCTTGAAAATAGTTCCTGGTCTAATGGAAACAAGTGTTGGGAAAATTCCCTTGTTGCAGACATATTCATTAATGTGATGATAGCATTGCCAAAAGGAAGGAGAACATGCCAGGGCCAACTCAACACAGTCCTGAGAACATTCCTTTTCCGAATTTCTGGCCCGTTCTTTCTCTGTCTCCCCCCTCCTTGTCCAGGAGTTCCATTGTTGGCATCATTATCCAGAATGTAAATGGCTTTGCCAGAAACACTGCCCACAGCTTGTCTAAGAACAAATGTCAAGGAGATATGCTTTTTTCCATGTATTTGCTTTGGATATTTTTCTAACAATTAAGCCTGAGGGCCAGGTGCAGTGGCTCACGCCTGTAATTCCCCACACTTTTGGAGGCTGAGGTGGGTGGATCACTTGAGGTCAGGAGTTCAAGACCAGCCTGGCCAACATGGTGAAACCCTATCTCTACGAAAAAATACAAAAATTAGCTGGTTGTGGTAATCCCAGCTACTTGGGAGGCTGAGGCAGGAGAATCTCTTGAACCCAGGAGGCGGAGGTTGCAGTGAGCAAGGTGCTGCACCACCACACTCCTGCCTGGGTGACGAAGTGACCTTATCTCAAAAAAAAAAAAAAACACCTAGTATTGGAAGAGATCATTTTAGTTTAGAAAGTAGAAAGTTTCTTGATAGAGTTGGTCTGGTTGTGTTCATCCCTCAAAGGCAAGGTTATAAACTGTTTCTGCCTACTTTAGAAGAGTCAGAGGGTTTGTTTTGTGGCTCTTTATGGTATTTTATCATGTTGGTGGTTTTGTATTCTCTAGAAAATTTCTGTACCTAAAAATGCTGCCTTACAGAATTAATTTCCTTTAAGGACTTAACTCTTGGATATTTCCCCATAATTCCTCTGTTCTCAGAGTGCTTGCCATTGTTATTAAATGCTAGATTTTTAGAGCTGATAGGGCCTTCAGAAATAGAGTAAGAGTGGAGATTTGGGAGATCATATAGTTCAACTATTTGTCTTCGTAGGTAAAGAAACAGACCCCACAAGGTGAAGTGACTTGCCCAGGGCCTGCAGTTGATTAGTTGAGGCTAGAACCCATGTCCCTGTTTAGTACTTTGCTTTGTGGTGTGATTCTGCCCTCTGTACTAGTGCTCAGATGGTGTTCTGTACTTAGCAGGGGCACTGGAGACTGAGCTCCAAACCATTTATTACTAAAGCGTATGTTTACCAAGTCCTTTTTGGTTCTGTTATTTATTCCTGTACTCAACTAAGCCAAATCTAGATTTAATTGAAAACTGTATAGACACTGTTAATTCCAAGTGTGCTCTCCAGGTCATGTCCAATGAGGGAGGCACCTTAGTCTTTCAGAGACGTTTTGATAAACATTTAAAGCTTACCATAGTTATTTGCTTGACTTAACACCTTTAAATGCCCCGTGGCCTCAGATCGTTGAAGCATAATGCCCTGTAGGATTCCCATTTTGTTTTGCTTGAGATCTGCCATTCCCCAGCACTCAGGTGCTGTGAGCTGATTGAGCTGTTCCCCAACTAGCCTATTTTAGGACACAAGCCATTTGTTAAGCCAAGTATGTGAATATGTCACTGTTCAGGCACTAGTCTCAGTGGCCCCCCCATCTCCCTTGAATAAAAGCCAGTGTCCTTAAAAGGGCCCCAAATGCTGATCACCTCTGTGACATCACTTCTCATTTTCTGCCCCTTTTTCAAATCCCTTCAGTTTCAGGAAAAAACTTCAGAGCATCAGGCAAGCTCCTAATGTGCTTTGCACTTGGCTGTTCCCTCTATAGTGACCTTCTCCTCTCCTCTTGGTACCAGGTGGCTCCTCTTTCACCTCCTTCAAAGCAAGTCACTTTCTCAGGAAGTCCCTTCCTGACCATCTCATTTAAAATTGCCACCCCGCCCCAACCTTTCCATTTCTGTTTTCCTCCTTTGCTGTGTTTTTCTCCATAATGCTGGTGACCTTCTAATGTAGGACTTATTTTTTCTAAAGACCTTTCCTTACAGGTATTTCCCCTTAAGTCCTGTGTCTTTGAGTATTGGTTTTAGTTTAAATGAAAACTTCCCAGTGCTTCTCATCTGTAGCCAGCATTGGGAACCTTTGCCATAGACGTTGCTTCATTAGGTGTTAGTTTTGAGAGTTCTCACAGAGGCAGGATTTTAAGTATCAAGAACGTATTTTTAATTCTTAATAGTAGCTTCAGGCAATATTTTTCATATAGTAGGACCATTCTCTTGCATTAAACCACATAGTGGCTCAGCATTGTTCCCCACTCATCAGAAAGCTTCCCTGCAGTAGTGATAGCAGCATACTCCTATATATAACTGATCTTGAGGACCACGTACCTTATAACCTGAGGTTCCTCTGATTTTAGGGGGAGGGTAATGAATTTGTATTATTTGAACAAGAGTGTTAAGATACGAGATTTCAAATAAAATGGTTGGTTTTACTGGCTTTTTCTTAAAATAGTTCAGCACTAGTTAATGCTTGTGTAATTCAGTCTATTTTAGAATGTTTGATACTATGTATAACTTTTTTTGGAAACGGAGTCTAGCTCTGGCTTCCAGGCTGGAGTGCAGTGGCATGATCTCGGCTCACTGCAGCCACCTCCCAGGTTCAAGCAATTCTCCTGCCTCAGCCTCCTGAGTAGCTGGGACTACAGGTGGGCGCCACATGCCCGGCTAATTTTTGTATTTTCGTTACAGATGGGGTTTCACCATGTTGGCCAGGCTGGTCTCAAACTCCTGACATCAAGTAATCCGTCCGTCTTAGCATCCCAAAGTGTTGGGATTACGGGCGAGAGCCACTGTGGCCAGCTGATACTATGATAACTTTTTATTTCGGAGTTTTTTTAAGCTCAACTATTAAAATTACACATTGTAGAAATGTCAGAGAGCCAAAAGTGCAAGTAGAAATAATGGGAGAATCTTGCAAACATGACAACCATCCACACCTGTTTTCTTCTAGCCTTTTCCCATTGCTGTGATCCTAGTTCTGGTTCAGGTGTGGTGAGGTGGTGATGAGATTTGAAAAGTGCAGCGGAGAAAATACTACCACCACTAAGAATTCTACACTGTTAACATTTGTACTTACTTTCAGTTTCTTATTTATGTGCATATGTTTTAAACAGAGCAAATAATATAGAAGCACATTGTCCCTTTTTAAAAGGAATATATTAATAGTGTTAAAGTCTTTTTTTTTTTTTAAAGACAGTCTCACTCCGTCACCCAGGCTGGAGTGCAGTGGCGTGATCTTGGCTCACTGCAAGCTCCGCCTCCTGGGTTCAAGTGATTCTCTACCTCGGTCTCCCGAGTAGCTGGGACTACAGGCACACGCCACCACACTCAGCTAATTTTTTATTTCTTTTTACTAGAGACAGGGTTTCACCATGTTGGCCAGGCTGGTCTTGAACTCCTGACCTCAGGTGATCCACCCACCTTGGCCTCCCAAAGTGCTGGGATTACATGCATGAGCCACCGTGCCTGGCCAGATAAAGTCATTTTTAACCACTGTTTCCTCTTCTGTTCCCTTTTCCTATCATGACCCTGGCCCTGTGCCCTAACTGAAACAATTACTTTTGCAAATTTGGTATATGTTGGTTCAGTACAGTTTTCCTATACTTGTTACCATGGAGAATTGGTAGTTGTTTGTTTTAGTTTATTTAAATAACCTCAGCCTGTAAATATAACATCCTGCAACTTAAAAAAAAAAAACAAAACTCAGCTTTAGATGTATACAAGTTGATACACATGGATCTACTTCATTACCCTTGGCTGTATAGGACTCAGGTAGATGGATGTACTCCCCTTTATCCAACCCTATCCCATTGACAGGGTTGAATTTGGCTGTTGGCTTTTATAAATAATATTGCAACAAATACTCTCATGGGGCATCTGGGACATGTGTATTAGTATTTTTCTAAAGTTAATGTAGAATGTTTTTTACCCTAATTTTTCTCCTCTTAATACCAAGACATGAACATTTCCCATTATTAAAATGTCTTCATAAACCACATGCTTCTTAAATCTAGACTTTGAAACATCTTTAATTTCCTTAATGAAAAATTAATATTGGACACAAAGATTTTTTTTCATCAGAGTAACTTAAACATCACATAGGCCCTCTTGATTGTAGTAGATAGAACATTATGCTGTTTCAACACAGAGCATTTAAAAACAAAAGTTAAAAGTGTGAGTGACTAGAGTGGTCTAAGACTGGACTACTTGGACTTGGTATTCTTATCCCCTGTTTTCTACTTCAGGGGAAGTTTCTCAGGTTTTTGGAGACAATCTCTGTAGCGCCTCACTTGAGGCTCCTCCTCCAGTGCCATTTCTCTGCATCTTTCCTGACTCTTCCCATTTTACTCCGCCTACTGTATCAATACTTTATTCAGATTGCAGGTATTTATTGGTGTCTCTTGTCCCACTGCCACAGTGACCTCCTCAAGAATAGTGAACTGTCTTATTTTTATACCCTATCCAAGCACAATGCCTGCGGTGTAGGTGCTGACCAAATATGTTCTGAATGAATATGAGAGAGAGAGACTGTGGGGATGGGGGTGATGGAGGATGGGGGTCGGAGATAGTGGTGGTGATACTCACCTTAATAAGGAACTTCAGATATTGAAAGTGTGGAACAGAATGAGTCCTAAAAGGAAATGAAGTGATAAGGATGACAAAATGACACCTTTGACAATGGATCTCTGCTTTAGAATATTGCCATTTGCATATATACTGACTGACTGAATAACTGGTTTTATTAATTTCTCCTTGAAGTTCAAATGGCCATATAGCTATTAAAGTGTGTACTTGGTTTGCTAGGAAAAATTTTAAAAACTTAAACCTCCAACAGATATAGCCAACTTAGAGTATTTTTTTTAACTCCTTGCTTGGTTGCCCCAATTTTAATCAAAACTGGGTTTCCCTGAATGAGTAGACTAATGTTAAAGGAAATATTTTGGTCACTGCTTTTAGGAAATCCTTTGTGGTTTGAAGTGGTATTCCTTTAGCATTTCAACAGTTTCATTCATGTTCCGTGCACAGTGCAGCCAAGTGATACCAGTAAGTGAGCGTCAGAAGGAGAAGTTGAAATGCAGAACCTCCAGATTTAGAGCTTGAACAACAAAACTTCTGGGAGAGTGAAGTTTCTTAACTTTTATCATGACACTGGCTATGAACCATTTAGTAGTATAATTTATCTTTGAGCAGTACCTTCATAGCTCAGAAAACAGTTGCTTTAATGATTGTTTTGTATAAGAAGCTGCATTTCTCCCAGTTTGCTCATTTGTTAATAGAATGCTGATGTATTCCAAATAATTGGAGCTATCAGGAGAATATAATGTTTATCAGTAATGAAAGATCTAAGGTTGAAAGTAGTGATTTATAAGTATTATCACCTTTTCCCAATACTGAAATTGTTTCCAGTACTGAAATACTTTTATTGTTCTCTGGATACTTTTTGCTGCTAATTAACATCTCTTTTTACAGGATTCATGAATAAAATTTTCCATCCCAACATTGATGAAGCGTAAGTAACTATTTTAAAATGTTTCAATTTTAGCAGCAACTGCTCATGATTAGTGTTTCTCTGTGTTATAAAAAGCCTCGGTTATCTTTTTGGACCTTATCAGGAGGTAGGACTGTATGAATGGTCATGTAAATGATAGAATCCAAAGGATATGAGGTTCTCAATCACTTAGTTCACATTCTGCTGTTGTACCACTTATTTTTTTCCATTGTCGTGACTGGGTCCTTCATTTTTCTTGTTACCCAGCAAACAGTAGTAATATTCCACATCTCACTTCTCTTTTTGTAGACACAGTTCAGAGATCTGTTTTCAGCCTACAGATAGACTATTTTCAGATCTTATAATATTTTCTCAATTCTTGATAGATAGTAAGGCAAAATGACTATAGTTTCATTTCAGTTAATGAATCTTATTTATCCCCTTCTTTCCTTCTAATATTTTATTAATGATACTTTAAAATATTCCAGCATATCCTGTTTTATACTTCTAGTGCTGTTTAGAATATATTATTGTTTGGGATGCAATTTTAATTTGTCATGGCACTAAGTTTTACTGTCTCTCACAAACATACCTAACAGGTTTTTCTGCACTCTGTGTGAGTAGGTTGTATATATACATACATCATGCCCCTTAGTCCTTTAATATTAATATTTTATTGTATCAGTTATCCTAACAAGGATATTCTCTTATCTATCCACAGTATATAGTTGTCAGATTCAGGAATTTAACGTTAATGCAATACTTATTTAATCTACTGCCATATTCCAGTAACTTACTTTTTAGCACTTTTTTCTTTCAATAAAGGATCCAGTCTAGAATCACACATTACATTTAGTTGTCATGTTTCTTTAAACTGCTTTAATCAGGATTAGTTCCTCAGCCTGCCTTTATCTTTTATAAAATTCACTTTTTAAAATAACATAGACCAGTTATTTTATAGATTGTTCCTCAATTTGTGTTTGTCTGATGTTTCCTGATCATTAGATTCAGGGCATGAACACACTTAAGGCCAGAAAACTACAAAGTAAGATGGTGTCCTTCTTGGGGTATCACATTCAGAGACACACAAGGTCTGTCTGCCCCTTGTGTTCTCAGCACCTGGTTCAGGTGTTGTCTGGTTTCTCCATTGCATAGTTACTATTTTCCCCTTTCAGTCTGTAAGGTGACACTTCAAGACCTGGTACTATTCTGTTCCTCATCATACTTTTCCCCAATTGGGATTCTTTTTTTCACAGATCTATTAGAAGTATTTCTCTTGATAAGTAAAAATTAGTTGCCAGATACATGCAACTAACTTTCTAATTTTTAAAAACATGCCATTCTTTCCATCTGTTTCAGGTCAGGAACTGTGTGTCTAGATGTAATTAATCAAACTTGGACAGCTCTCTATGGTGAGTTTGGCCATGGAATATTTTTTGGAGATGTTGAGACATTGCCTAAAAAAATGTTGTTTGGCTTTTCTTTTCTGGTTTAAGATGTTTTGTTGGTAATGGGAAGGGATTTTTGAGGGACCGACTGGGAAAGTTTGATCAGTGGAAAAAATGTTTTCTCTTAAGTACAAATATATCAGTTTAGCTGTGGAAGTTTAAAATGATTTTTTGAGATTCCAAACTTAAGGTATAGTGATACATGTGCACACACATGAGTACATGCGCACACACATGAATACATGTGCAAACATTTTATATGTATGTATTAGCACATAATATATACATATTTTGGTTTTGGAAAAAACTAAAACTACTTAGGAATGTCCCTCTGAAATGAGAGAGCAATGATATAGTAAGAGGTTTTAGGGGATCATCTTTTCAAAGACCAAAACCTCCTTATGAAGGAAGAGTAATTTAGCCTTACCTTCAGTGCTGAAATTGACACCCCATCTCTTACAGGGAATCAACAAATGAATTGCCCAGCTCTGCAAAATGCTATGCTGAATATCCCAGAGAGTTATAAAGAGCATCAGGCCTTTCCTCCTTATCACCTGGTTGGGGAGCTGAAAATATGTTAAAATACAGTCATCTCTTGGTATCTGCAGGGGATCAGTTCCCAGACCACCTGCAGATACCAAAATTCATGCTTACTCAAGTCCCACAGTCATCCCTGTGAAACCCACTGACATGGAGGGCTAGCTGTATTTATTGAAAACCACATGTGAATGGACCCATGCAGTTCAAACTGTGTGTGGACCCATGTTGTTCAAGGGTCAGTTGTGTATTTGAAGTTAATTAGGGATACAACAAATAAATCTGTTTTTCCCTCCACATGTCCAAATCTCAGGCTTCATAGAGTCTACCTACTCCAGTGCTCCTACCCCGTATACTTCCGCTGATTCTCCAGCTGGAAGTAATCTCTGGATACCATTACATTTTATAGCTCCTTTTTTATGGTCCACTTTTACTTTCTACTGTGTATTTGTTGTTTATGCCTATTTTTTTGTGCTACTAGATTATTTCCTATCTTAAGGGCTATCGGGTGTGTGTCTGATTCATCTGTAAGGCCCAGGACTCTTATCACAGTGCCCTTCACCAGTATGGGTTGAAAGAATGAATGGTACAGGTAACCATTGCTGAGAGGCACAAGAAAAGAAGGGAAAGCTCAGTTGAGGCTGAGCTTAACCAGGGATGGCTGCTTCTTGTTGAACTTGTACGACCTTTTAGTGGTCTGAGGTAGGTAAGACTTCTTAGTCCAGCCACAATCTGCAAGTTACTTTTGCCAGATATCCTTGAACTAGATTGGTAAATGAGAATCACAGAGAAAGGTTGGTCACCAGCAGAACACAGTTAATCCCTGCCTCCACCTGATTGTGCCGTTCAAAAATTATTTTCTCTACCTGGGATATTCCCCCCTGATCTTTGTGTGGTTAGCACCTTCTTCACTCATCTCACATATTACTTCCTCAGAGCAGTTTCCTTTCCCAGCTACTCCATCTGAAATCACACCCCTCCATAGCACAGCACCCAGTTGTATATATATTTTTTAATTTTAAAATTATTTTTTAATACATAGAAACAGAGTTGCACTCTGTTGCCCAGGCTGGAATGCAGTGGTGCGATAATAGCTCACTGCAGCCTTGAGCTCCTAGGCTCGAACAGTCCTCCCATCTCAGCCTCCCCAGTAGCTGGGACTATAGGTGCATACTACCATGCCTGGCTAGTACCCCGTTTTCAATAAGCTTCTAAAACTGGTATTTGTATATTATTTATCTTATCCCCTTGGATTGTAAGCACCATGAGTGAGGACTTTGTCTTGTTCTCGTCTCTCTCTCTCTATACACACGCACACGCACACGTGACTGTAACAGTGCCTGGTGCACAATAAGGGTTCGACTATTTGTTGTCTTAATGAGTGAATTAATCATGTCCAGAACTGTTTAACAAGAGAGTTTTAGGGGAGATGATGGCATATAGTTGAGGCAACAAGAAAGAACATACACTCCGAGCTTGATTAAATGGATTCCTTTTAAGATGGTTTTTTTGGTAAAAATGTCTCATGGCAGGCTGCCTGGAATATCTGATGTAATGATGTGTTTTCTTAAACTACATTCACATCTTAAAAATGTACATATCAAAATACTGCAATCTGGTTCCAATTACAATGAAGTAAATTGATGTTTAGTTTTGCTAAAGCTTTTACCATTGACCAGAAAAGCTTTGTGAAAGATGTTTGCTGACTGTCAAGTACTTCATGTCTCAGAACAGGTTTTTTAAAAAAATAACAGTTTCACTGAATTATAATTCACAGACATGCAAATCACCCATTTAAAGTGTGTAATTCAGTAGTTTTTAATACATTCAGTTATATGCAGCCATCACCACAGTCAATTTTAGAACATTTTCATCACCTCAAAAATAAATGTGTACCCTTTAACTATTCGCCCTAGGCAACCACGAATCTGCTTTTTGTTTCTGTGGATTTGTCTTTTCTGGACACTTCTTAGAAACGTAATTATATAATATGTGGTCTTTTGTGACTGTTTTTTTTTTCACTTTGCATAATGTTTTCAAGGTTGATCCGTGTTGCATGTATCGGAAGTTCTTATGGCTGAATAATATTTCATTGTGTAGATAAACCACATTATTTGTCAGATAATAGACATTTGGGTTATTGCTGTCTTTTGGCTATTATGAGTGTTATAAATATTTGTGCACAAGTATTTGTGTAGACATGTTTGCATTTCTCTTGGGTATATACCTAGGAGTGAAATTGCTGGATAATATGTTTAACTATTTGAGGACTGATAGACTACTTTGTAAAGTGGCCAACATGAGTAAGTTTTCATCACATTTATAAAATGTTAGTGTACTTACATTAGCTTGCAAAGCATTTAATAAGCAGCAAGAGTTAAACCACGTTGGTCCAAGTGAACTGAAAGCAGACTTCTGTGTTACATGTGTATGAGTTACTGAACATGTTCCATAATACAGGAGTGTGAGCACACTAACAGGTAAGTGCAGGAAAACAAGAAGAAATATTTTCAGAGTATAGTCAAAAGTACACTGAGCATGGGAGAATTGTTTTGACATTTTGCTCAAAACTATTTCTGAAGAAAATTCAACATTTCTTTCACGGAAAGTTTTAGGAACAGGTAAATACAATTATATAAAGTACTGGTAGAATATGTTCGTTCAGATGACCTTGAAGTGTTTTTTCAGACTTATCTGAACTTGAGATCTGAACTGAATTTTTATTAGAAACTGTTAAAGCCTCTGGCATTGAAGGTTAGTTCATAATTGGTGAGTTCTGAATCACTTCATTTCCTGCAGTGGTTCCTGAGAGAATCTTAGTTCAAAGGACTGCCCCCGCCAACCCCTGCCCCGCCAAAAAAAAAAAAAAAAAAAAAACTAACACTAAATAACTAATAGGAGAAAGTTGGCGTGTCAACATAAATATTCAACTGAAAAGCAAAAGGCTAAGCCTGGCACCTAAAACTTGTTTCAACACTTTCCTCTGCTGTAGATTCGATGAGGGAGCAGGGAGTGGATTGTGAAATTTCCTGCCATTTACCTTGCCCCAGGACATGTACTGTTCTGTGGGTATACATATTTGTAGCGTAACAACAATTCACAGTTGAAATTTCAGATGTATGTTAATCATAGCCTGATATTAAACAACATTCATGTTAGCAGTAAATTTAGTCCTCTGTCCCCTCACACCCTTCCCCGCCATTGATTTCTGGTAAGCCAGTTGACTCATTGCTTCTGTTCTTATCCTGTTTTCTCTTTGCCAAGTGTATGTGCAATTTGTTTATTCAGAGTTCAAAATTGGTATAATTGTGGTTTACTCACCCAGTAATTTTTAATTTTGTATTATTTAACCTTACAAGAGAGCTAATTATAGTGAGGAATCGGATTAATTTTGTAAGATGCTTGCCATCAGTATGAAGTTATCAAGTATGAAGTTATCTATTGTTATTGTTATGACATTAAACAGAAAGTAGCAGATGACCAAAGTGATTTTGGCTTCCTGCATGATAGCATCTTTTTTTTTGCATCCCTTCCTGCTCTTCCAGACAGCAGTGACAGAAGCTCTGAGAAACATAAAATGTAGCCAAGGGGATCTGGATTTCCATTTCAAAACAAATTAATTTTAAGGACTGATAGGAGAGTTCATTAAGCCACAGGTAGCTTTTTAAGCACTCTTCTATTTTCCAGTTTTCCTTTTTTTCTCCAAAATATATTTTATCTGTAGTTGGCTTATCACCCTGCACTCCTGGGGGCCCAGGTGCCTTCACTGCGATACAGCTTTAATCTCTCTCTCATCCCACCCTTCTGGACCAGGCATGCTTGATCCCTGCAAATGTGTTTCTCTCTCCAGCTTTCATTTTACTCATTCTTTGACTGCCTTCGTAAATTATTTATATGATGGATTAAGTTGTAGGCTGGGCACGGTGGCTCATGCCTGTAATCCCAGCACTTTGGGAGGACAAGGCAGGCGGATCACCTTAGGTCGGGAGTTCGAGACCAGCCATAACCAACATGGAGAAACCCCATCTTTATTAAAAATACAAAATTAGCCAGGCGTGGTGGCGCATACCTGTAATTCCAGCTACTCGGACAGCTGAGGCAGGAGAATTGCTTGAACCCGGGAGGCGGAGGTTGCAGTGAGCCCAGATTGCACCATTGCACTCCAGCCTGGGCAATAAGAGCAAAACTCCATCTCAAAAAAACAAACAAAAAAAAAAGTTGTGGAGAAGTGAGGTGGAAGACAATTTTCTTATGAAATTGGGCAGTTTACATTTTCACTCTTAGGGTTGCTAGCCAGTGGACTAGATACTTCTACTCTTATTTTGCTGGAGAGAAAAATCAACATTTGGGAAAAGTCTTCCCCTAGAGTTATCTGGGGAGTTAGTAACAGGCAAATAAAATTGACTACAACAGAAGGAATACTTCAAGGACTTTGAGATTAGGCAAGAGATACAAATTTTTTTTTTTTTTTGAGACGGAGTCTCGCTCTGTCGCCCAGGCTGGAGTGCAGTGGCACGATCTCAGTTCACTGCGAGCTCCGCCTCCCGGGTTCACGCCATTCTCCTGCCTCAGCCTCCCGAGTAGCTGGGACTACAGGCACCTAAAATTTATTTTACCAGGCATTTAGAAATTTAAAATACAAATTTAACACTTATCCCATCCCCTTTTCAGTTAGATAGTCTGTGAATCTTCCCAAATAATTCAGATTTTGGCAGAAGGTATATCTTAAAATAATGCTTTATGCTGGATTAGTGCATGCTGTTTCCTAAACATTTTAGTGTAACTACACAGATAAGAAATACATGTATGTGTCTTCATGGATGATTAATTGGCCAACTACTATTTGAACAGCTTGAGAACTTCAGTATTGATCTGTCCATGTTGAATCACAAACGTCATCCTGCCTTTGGAACAGCTGGATGTCATTATTTGTAGATAGAGGCCAAGTAGAGCAATTCTGTCCAGTACTATTGGGATAATGTCACCTGTTGTACATAATAAAGAAATGTGCTCAGTTGTGGATTTGCGCTTCAACAGTGCTTAGCTAGCTCCGTAACCAACCTTCTTTATCTGTCTGCTTGGAAATCTTCAGATGAGGTGTATGTGGCTCAGGAGTCTAACTAGTTATATACATAAAAATGGAGTCTTGCTGGCTTTGAACAACTTAGTGGACATTCATTAAAAATACCACACTCACTGGTGGTCAGCTTTAAAACCATGGGGTGGTCCAGGCTTTTTGGATCGTGGGACATGAGCCAGCCAGGGTATGGCTCTGAAAGACAGCCACAGCTATGCTCTACTTTCGTAGGGGCTCTGATTTTAGGGCTTGTTTCATTCTTGATTATATGTAAATGTAACCTTGATTTGTTTTATCTTCATTCACTTACGATTACTGAGTTATAAAGTCTTCCCAGCGTATGGACACTTGGCTTGTAATTGCAGGAAGTTACCTCTTGTTATTCTTTTCTGATATTAACAACTAAATTATTGTCTAGTAATTACAAGCTTGAATAGCGAGTTTTAGTATGACAGCAAGACTATCCAGCTAGCTAATTACACATTAACTGCCCTCATTTCTGGAAGGTTAATAACAAATCCTATTACCATGTTTTAGCTTACAAGCTCTTAAGGTAAGCAGGGTTATAAGGTTTGAACGAGGATGAATTACCTCTAAAAAACACCCAAATAGACGAGAATTGTTTTGAGATTGACAATGCAACAAGAGCAGTGTTTTTGATGAACAAGAGCTTGTTTTCTTCATTGTGATCTATGCAGTAGCACTTATTTTCTTCTGCAACTCTCTGAAGTTTAAATATGTTGGGGGGAAAGGGGCTACAATTAGGCAATGAATGGGAAATTACCTTTTAAGCGGGTTTGGAATGCTTTAAAAACAGTCTATGTCCTGTAACTACACACCTCAGTTTGGTGGCCTGGTAGCCTGGCCCTGAGCAGAATGTGGCTGGTTTTCCCAGTTTCAGCACCCTGCATCCATCTGTCCATCTATCTTTTCTCTTCTCTTTTCTCTTCTTTCTTTCTTTCTCTCTCTCTCCTTTCTCTCTCTCTGTCCCTCCCCCCATCCCCCTTCCCTCTCTCTCTCTTTCTCTCTCTCTCTCTTTCTTTTTTGAGACAGAGTCTTACTCTGTCGCCCAGGCTGGAGTGCAGTGGCGCAATCTCGGCTCACTGTAACCTCTGCCACCTGGGTTCAAGCAGTTCTCCTGCCTCAGCCTCCCAAGTAGCTGGGATTACAGGCGCCTGCCACCGCACCTGGCTAATTTTGTGGTTTTAGTAGAGATAGCATTTCACCATCTTGGCCATGCTGGTCTTGAACTCCTGACCTCATGATCCACCTGCCTCGGCCTCCCAAAGTACTGGGATTACAGGCGTGTGCCACCACGCCAGGCCAGCGCCCTGCATCTTTCATATTGCCCTTTCCCACACAGCACAGGAACACCTGTTTCTAGCTTTGAATACTTAAAAACCAAAATGCTACTACTGAGATTTAAATGTATTTATCATGTATGTTGCAAACATTCTTTGAGTGTTTGAATTCCTACTAATTGTTATTTTTTTCTTTTTTTTTGAGACAAGGTCTTGCCCTGTCACCCAGGCTGGAGTGCAGCGTGGCTCACTGCAGCCTCAACCTTCTGGGCTCAAGTGATCCTCCTGTCTCAGCCTCTCAAATAGCAGAGACTACAGGCATGCACCACCACATCAGGCTAATTTTTTATTTATACTAGAGATGGGGGTGTCACTATGTTGTCCAGGCTGGTCTCGAACCCCTGGGCTCAAGTGATCTGCCCACCTGGGCCTCCCAAAGTGCTAGGATTACAGTCATGGGCCACTGCACCCAGCCACCTTTTTTGAGAGGTGGGAGGAGGGAAGAGTTTGGTGTGTTTTTTAAGCATCCCACTTCTTTTCGGAGGTGTTTTCACCTGTTTCTGTTTTTTTATTTTGTTTTGTTTTGTTGCCTGCATGGCCCTCTTCATTAAGACTTTATCTTTTAAAGATCCCCATGGGCTAATATGAGAAGATATGTGAATCTGCTGAGCTTAGACTTTTTATATATTTTCTCCACACATGAGACCCTCTCAGTCAAGTAATTGTATGAATTCTTTAATATACCTTTTAGTATTTGGTGGCGGGTTATATTATCTTAATTGCAGCTAGTTAGCCTTCAGTAAACTAGGTGCAGCATTGTGAGCCCTGTGGCCAGTTGGGCCTGAGCCACAGCACTGCAGGAAGTCTGGTGGGTTGCTTCAGCTCTCCACCTGTGTGCCCTCAAAACAGGTGGAGAAATGGGCTTTTTGTCACTGAAGTTGAGTTCAAATTAATTGTTTTATTATTTTATTTTATTTTATTTGAGATGGAGTCTTGCTCTGTCACTCAGGCTGGAGTGCAGTGGTGCAATCTTGGCTCACTGCAACCTCTGCCTCCTGGGTTCAAGCGATTCTCCTGCCTCAGCCTCCCAAGTAGCTGGGATTACCGGCGCCCACCACCAAACCCGACTAATTTTTGTATATTTAGTAGAGACAGGATTTCACCATGTTGGCCAGGTTGGTCTTGAACCCCTGACTTCAAGTGATCTGCCCGCCTCAGCCTCCCAAAGTGCTGGGATTACAGGCGTGAGCCACTGCGCCCGGCTCAAATTAGTTATTTTAGAGAATATTACTTTTAATCTCAAAACTGTTTCTTTGAATTCTGCCTGCCTATCCGATTGGTTTTACTGAAGTTTTCCTTGAGGGGCTGTCTGTCATCTTTTAGGGCCCTCTGTTTGCAAGTTTTTTTCAAAAATAACAACTGCTTAGTTGTGTGCAGTGTAGGACTCTTTATAGGTTTTTGACTACTCTTCTTTTCTTGTAGAATTTCACTGTCTTTTAATGTTTACAGACTGCAAGCAGGATAAAATTAAAAATTCAACCATTATTAATATTGCTGCTTTGTAGGAGCTGGTAAAGGAGTAGAAGGTAAAGATCTATTAATTATAGTGTCTAATACACCCTTGAGGAAAATCTGTTAACTCCAAATTATTAAGTACCTAAAGAAATCTGGAGATCTTAATTTATTTGCCCTATTTCAGGCCTTACCAAAAAAAAAAAAAAAAGCTACCTGGTTTTTGTGCATATAGTAGATACCCACCACCACCACCAAAAATAATTGTGGAATGAATGAGATTTCATGGTTGGCTTTATTTTGGGCACATATTGTAAAATTCATGACTTGCGTGGCAGTTCATGACGAATTCAATACAGTTCCTAAAGTCAACCAATGGAATTTTGAAAGGTCAACAGCTGCTTTTCTCTAGTAGTCAAGGATGTGAATAACTTGGGTGAAATTCCCAGGAGTTTCAACTATAATGACCAAAAGTTCAGGGGAAAGAGATCTATGTAAGTCACAGAGGGAATCATCAGTTCTAGACAACAATTGACTTGTGATTTTTGTCCATGTTTTCCTCTAGGTGTGAACAGGATTTTTCTTTCCTTTCCTGTCAGCCCTGTTCCTTATTGAATTACAGAACAGATAAATACCTTAGACAGTAGTGACTATCCCTGTGATTTTCGGCTTGGAAAGCCAGGAGTCCTCCTCCAGAGGGAGAGGGATGATGAAAGAAGTTTGGATAGCATGCTTCTGGAGGATGCAGAATTTTGATTGGCAAATAATCATTGTACATATTCATGGGGTACATAGTGATGTGTTTTTTGTTTTTTGTTTTTGTTTGAGACAGAGTCTTGCTCTGTCGTCCAGGCTGGAGTGCAGCAGCGTGATCTTGGCTTACCGCAGCCTCCACCTCCCGAGTTCAAGCAGTTCTCCAGGTTGCAGAATTTTGATTGAGGGCAAGAGGAACTTATTGTTTGTGGGAAATGACCTAAGTGATTGTTTTAAGGAAACTTTCTCTGATTACAAAGGCGAGAGTATAGAGCCTTTAAGGCCATTTAGTAGATGGCTGCCCTGATCCAGGGCTGGAATGATATATTGGTTTTGACATAGTTACATGCCAGGGGAAATAAAAGAAAAACTAGAGACATTTCTGGGAAACTGAGTGAGTACATGGAAGAAAGGAAGAACACCTAGCCAGATTCCTTCCAGAGGCTTGGAGCCTGAGAGCCAGGGCGTTAGAGTCAACCTACTCCCTTCATTAGGTGAAGGGAATGGGTTTTCAGGAAAATAATCTTAGACATGTAAAGTTTGATAAGACTACAAGACTAGACATATGAAGGACCAGTTATATGGATTTGGTAGTTACCAACATAGACTTCTTATTTTTCTTTCTTTCTTTTTTATTTAAAGAGACTGGGCCTCAGCTGGGCATGGTAGCTCACGCCTGTAATCCCAGCACTGGGAGGCCAAGGCGAAGAGGATCACTTGAGCCTTGGAGTTTGGGACTAGCTTGGGCAACATAGAACTTGTCTCTGGAAAAAAAAAAAGAGAGACTGGGTCTCACTGTGTCATCCAGGCTGGAGTGTAGTAGTTGTGATCATAGCTCACTGTAACTTCAAACTCCTGGGCTCTAGTGATCCTCCCTCCTTAGCCTCCTGAGTAACTGGGATTACAGGTACAAGCCACCACACCCAGTAGACTTATTCCTTTAAAATTGTAGGATGGCCAGGCGCGGTGGCTCATGCCTGTAATCCCAGCACTTTGGGAGTCTGAGGTGGATGGATCACCCTGAGATCAGGAGTTCGAGACCAGCCTGGCCAACATGGCAAAACGCTGTCTCTACTAAAAATACAAAAAATTAGCTGGGCGTGCACCTGTAATCCAGCTACTCTAGAGCTTGAAGCAGGAGAATTGCTTGAACCCAAAAGGCAGAGGTTCCAGTGAGCTGAGATTGTGCCACTACACTCCAGCCTGGGGAGATAGAGCGAGACTCCAGCCTGGGGAGATAGAGCGAGACTCCGTCTCAAAAAATAATAATAATAATAATAATAATAATTATAGGATGACGGCTTCCCGGGGTAACAGTGTACAAAGCTAATTCTTAAAATGCAAATGCCACAGAATTTGAGCCGCTGTGCAGGATGCTGATGTCTTTCCCGATAAGTTTTTTGTTATTTGTTTTTAACAGGATGTTGGGCTTCTGGGGGACAGGTAGTAGAAGGAGAAAGGGGATGGGGTAAGTGGGATTGAGAACGGAAGAATGGCTTTGATGGTTCTTGGCACTTGGCACCACTTGGTGGTGGTTTCTGAGTTACAGCATGTATTTTTCAGTATTAAGTCCGAAAAACAAATGAAGAATATTTAGGTAAAAGTCTCCAAAATGACTGCCTGTGTGCTAATTGTGGTTCCCAGTGAGGCAGAGCATGTCAAGGTTTGGGTATCCACAGGATTTTAACCTGCAGAAAGCAGTGTATATTACATTTTTTTTTTGAGTGGGGGGTGGTAGAGAGAGGGTCTTGCTTTGTCACCCAGGCTGGTATGCAGTGGCATCACAACATACTGCAGCCTCGACCCATCCACCTGCCCCTGACTTGAGCAATCCTCTCACCTCGGCAACTACTGAGCACCTACTCTCCTGAGTAGTTGGAACCACAGGCACATGCCACCATGCCCAATTATTATTATTATTATTATTATTATTATTATTATTATTATTTTGTAGAGACCGGATCTCCCTATGTTGCCCAGGCTGTTATTGAACTCCTGGGCTCAGGCCGTCTTCCTGCCTTGGCCTCCCAAAGTGCTAGGATTACAGACATGAACCACCTTGCCCAGCTTGAAATTTTCCATTTATTTCAAAGGAAATAGAGGAAAAAGAAATAACTTGTGGTCACTGGTTCATAAATAGCCAAGAATAAAACATGAGATGTGTGATTCATCCCCTCTTGTGTTTTCTCCTTCAAGCCCTGCACCATTTCATTGTGAGTCACCTGGAATAGGGCAATTTTACTTTAAGAATTGGTACATTTTTTTCAGTGTAACTCTTTTTAATTAATACATATTCTTTAAGGGATACAGGTAGCTGAAATGTCTACCCTTTGAGGATGTCATATTTGTATTAATAGTTTAGTTCTCTGGTGCAATTTGAAGTATATCTTATAGTCACTTTTAGTAATGTGTGTTACTTCCCTGTAAGGAATAGCAATGTTATACTTCTCCTTTTGCAGTGAAGAAATTGAGATGTAGAAAGGAAGAGACCTGCCCAAGGTCAAAGAGCAAGGCAGTGGAAAGCCTGAGATTAGACTTGTGGTCTTTTAGATTTTTCATCTGTTGTTCACCACTGAGGAGCCAGCTTTCTGTTTGCTGGAGACAGTTCAGCCTAATGGAATTTTCTCTGCCAGATGTCCACATTGTGTTAGGTGATGATTCTAACCATCCTCTAATACCCATTCTCCTCCAAAGTGGCCCTTTAGTTCCCCTCCAGAACAGATCTGCTTTTGACTGCCTGTGGTTTGGCACACCTCTGCCTAGAGATAACAGTGGTAACAGCAGTGTGCAGAAAAGAAAGTGGGAAGGGTCAGGGAATGTCACTAAACCAGAGTCGAGCTGTTAGAGGTGAACATTTTCTTGCAAAAAAGAACCTACGAGCAAATGGCCCTTTCCTTCCCGTCTATTCTTTGGGGATAGGGGATCATGGGCCAGGTAGTATTTCCTGTGCATTTTGCACACAGATGTCTGTATCACACACATACAGATCCCATCCAGTCCTAAACCAGAAGCCCTGGGGTAGGTATGAAGCTGCAACCTTAGGATGCTAAGCAAGTTTTTGGAAAAACTCCACAGGTAATTGTGATGGACAAGCAGGACCTAGACTTAGCCCAGAACCACTGCTCTAGACTAAGTGATGCTACTTTTGATGATAAGTTGTTTATGATTTGGGAGTCTCACTCCATTGCCCAGGCTGGAGTGCAGTGGTACAATCTCAGCTCACTACAACCTCTGCCTCCCAGGTTCAAGCAATTCTCCTGCCTCAGCCTCCCAAGTAGCTGGGATTACAGGTGCCCACCACCACGCCTGGCTAATTTTTTGTATTTTTAGTAGAGACAGGGTTTTGCCACGTTGGCCAGGCTGGTGTGAAACTCCTGACCTCAGGCAGTCCACCTGCCTCGGCCTCCCAAAGTGCTAGGATTACAGGCATGAGCCACTGTGCCCAGCCTGTTTTTAAATAGTAAATATGAATATAAATTATATGCCTAAACTGAGATATGAGTGTTATAATTTTAACATTAATGTAAGATCAGACTGAAGAGTCAGTGCTAATGAACCACATTTTGGTTCTAATTGAGTCTAAGGCAAAAGTAAGAGCTGTTTGCTCATCATAAACCATATACTCAGGAATCTTGGGACTTCCTTTAAAAGTTAAGACAGGCGGAAATGGGGTCGGCTGACTGTACTCTACAGGTTTAGGTCAACTGTATCTGGCTCTCTTCCTTTAAAAAAATTGAAGGTTAATGTTTTTAGATAAAGATCTTTGAACTGACACATTTTTATCGTTATTATTATCGACACATTTTTATCGTTTTATCATTAACAAAAATCTAGGGAAAAAGTGTTCTTTATTTTTCTACAGATGAGTATCTTTATTTTATTCTTGATTTATAGTTTTAGTCTTCTCTGCCAGTGTATTTATCTTGAAAGAAGACTTTCTGCACATCTGCACATTTGAGAGATGCTCCTTTCAGAAGCACCCTTAGGAGTAATCACTGTGTTAGCCACTTGCAGGAAGGCCTTATTGCTTTAAGATGGCAGAGCCATCACATCCTGGCCTCCCGAAGTTGTCATCTTCACCCAAAACTGGGCCTCATGTGTTTCCTTTTCTGCTCTTCTGTTTTACAGGTGTGACTCAGCACTTCTGTAAAATGGATCAAAAATGTGTTAATGCAGGAAGACGGTAGATACAGGAAGGAAGAACCAATAATTAAGGGTTCTTTTATTTGTTTGGAACAAATTCATAGGCAAAGCCTTTTATTGGTAGCTTGAGGAAACTTAAAAGTAGTAGGAAAGGGTATAAAATCTCTTTCTGGGACACGCTAAACTCCTAGTTTTATAACACGTTGTCTGTGATATTTCTCTAGCCCTGAAGCACTTCTGAACATTACTTCAGAACATAAAACCTATGCTTTGTTTTTAAAGGTTTTCGTTGTTATGTAATAGCATCCAGCTGCTAATCCTTTTGAGCAGCACCTGTAATAATAATATGGCAGGAGGAGCCTTCCGTTCGCTGTGTGCAGGTGTCTGCGGGTTACCTCCTGCGGTGGAGCTGCATGAAAACAAGCACACCGTCTCTGTGAATAGCCACAGAAACATCTGAACGTCCTTTGCTTAGCATGCTTCTTTGCACTTGTGAGGGATTCTTTGGGGAGGAGGGTGATCATCTCTGATCCATGGATTTAGCTTCCCTGCCAGCGATGGTATGCGATTTTGACCCAGAGACATGGGGAGCTTGTGCCTTCGTGAAATTTGCGGCAGCGGCAGTGTGTGTTTTATCCATTAACAGAGGCAGCATAGTGGATGAGCTCAGGTTTGAGTTCCTGATCCATACTTAAGCTCTGTGTGCCTCAATTTCTCCATCTGTAAAATGGTGCCTACCTCATTGACTGTAGTGAAATTAAGAGTGTATATGCAGACCATGGAAGAGTTCCTTGCTTGTAGTAAGCACTATGTAAGCATTAACCTGCCATTACTGTTAATATTACTGTTAATGGGCCGGGCGCAGTGGCTCACTCCTGTAATTCCAGCACTTTGGGAGGCCGAGGCGGGCAGATCACGAGGTCAGGAGATCGAGACCATCCTGGCTAACACGGTGAAACCCCTTCTCTGCTAAAAATACAAAAAAATTAGCTGGATGTGGCGGCGTGTGCCTGTAGTCCTAGCTGCTGGGGAGACTGAGGCAGGAGAATGGCGTGAACCCAGGAGGCGGAGCTTGCAGTGAGTGGAGATCACACTACTGCACCCCAGCCTGGTTGACAGCAAGACTCTGTCTCAAAAAAAAAAAAAAAAAAAAATTACTGTTAATGTAACTATTGTTTAACTTTTCCCTGCTATGGGATCACATTCAATTGTAAAACTACTGTTTTTTGTTTTTATTTTTGTTTTTTTGAGATAGAGTTTTGCTCTTGTTGCACAGGCTGCGGTGCAATGGCGCAGTCTGGGCTCACTGCAAACTCCACCTCCTGGGTTCAAGCAATTCTCCTGCCTCAGCCTCCCAAGTAGCTGGGATTACAGGCACCTGCCACCACACCCAGCTAATTTTTGTATTTTTAGTAGAAACGGGATTTCACCGTGTTGGCCAAGCTGGTCTCAAACTCCTGACCTCAGGTGATCTGCCCATCTCAGCCTCCCAAAGTGTTGGGATTACAGTTGTAAGCCACTGCGTCTGGCCTGTAAAACTGAATTTGCTTACCTTTTGGCATTTTCTACCACTGCCTTAATAACTCACCCACCCAAGGATAAAGATAAGAAAATAAAAACATTTTCAGACTTTTCATGTTTTATTGGATATTTCAAACATATGCCAAAATAGAAAGGACATATTTACAGGAAAATGTTATTTTTATTTTATTTATTTATTTGAGACAGGGTTCCACTCACTTGCCCAGGCTGGAGTACTGTGGTGCAATCTTGGCTCACTGCAACCTCCACCTCCCCAGGTTCAAGCAATTCTGCCTCAGCCTCCCAAGTAGCTGGGACTACAGGCACGCGCCATCACACCCAGCTAATTTTTTGTATTTTTTAGTAGGGACAGGGTTTTGCCATGTTGGCCAGGCTGGTCTCGAACTCCTGGCCTTATGTGATCCACCCACCTTGGCCTACCAAAGTGCTGGGATTACAGGTGTGAGCCAAAAATGTTGATTTTTAAAGGCAAAAGAAATGTCATTTGAAATGTGAAAAGTAGAAGTTACACATCTATTGCCTTGAGGTAGCTTTTTAAAATGTTTGTCTTATGCATACACACTGTACATAGTTGTAATTCTAGAAAACATACCATTTTATGGCCTTTCTCTACCCAGCATTCAAGTATAAGCATTTTTTTCATTGAAAACAAATAGTTTTCAATGGTTTTGTACCATAATAATTGTTTCCCTTTTTAAAAAAATTGTAGATAAAACATTGGTGAAAATCTTACTGCAGATAGTTTGGGGGTTATATAGGAAGGTGATTTTTGTTTTGCTTTTTTGATTAGGAGTGTCAGGATTTCTTTCGTGGTACATGAGAACCTTACTATAAAGTGGCTCTTTAGGACCGTTCTGAAGTCAGCCTTATGAAGGTGAAATAGACTCTGATGAAATCACCCCAAGTCTGTGGCTTTTGTTGTAAGGCAGAGCTGCTCTGTGTCAATACCTGGTGTGTGAGAACAGGACGTGGTAGCTGTCATGGGACCCTCTAGCCCATCATTCTCTAGACCTGCACTGTCCAATACAGGATCTACTAGCCATGTGTGGTTATTTAAATTTAATTAGAATTAAATAAACTGAAAATTAATTTCCTTATTCACACTGGCCATATTTTGAGTGCTCAGTAGCCACTTATGGCTAGTGGCTATTGGTTTAGGTGAGCACATATAAAACATTTTTATCACTGCAGAAAGTTCGGTTGAGTAACACAGCTCTAGATTAGTCTCTAACTGCTCAGCTTCTTAACCTTACAGTGATAAGAGCCACCTCTTATAGGTAAGATTTTCTAGAGCAAAGTTGGGCAGACCTTGGGTACTTGTTTTTGTATATGTAGTTTTATAGGAATACAGCCACATCGATTTGTTGACCTATACTTTGGCTGCTTTTGTGTTACAGTGGCAGAGCTGAGTTTTGAGTAGTTATGACAGAGACCATATGTGGCCTGCAAAGCCTAAAAGTATTTGACCCTTTACAAAAAGGTTTGCCTACCGCTTTTATCTAGATCAGGGTTTCTTAACCTCAGCACTGCTGACATTTTGGTCTAGATAATCCTTTGTTGTGGGGCTGTCCTGTGCATTGTGGTGTTTAGCAGCTTCCCTGGCCTTCACCCACCGGATGCCAGTAGCACCGCTTAGATATGACAACCAAAAATGTCTCTAGACATTGCCAAATTCCATGGGGAGCAAAATCACCCTTGGCTGAGAACCACAAATCTCAAGCAATGTGGCTTGGCAAAGCATTCATCTGTAATACTGCAAAGGAGCGCCCATTGTTAAAAGCAAAATTGGTTGAAAGAGCTGACTAAATTAATGAGTAGTTTTTTATGCTACTTAGTATACTTCAGCATTGTCTCCAGAAACAGGAATGTTTTATATAAAACATGACAAAGCAGCTGGAGTGGGGCAGAGACATGGAAGCATTCTCATGTCCTTCCATTTCTCAGGGGTGCTGCAGTTCACTGAGGAGCAGAGTGTGGAAGTTACAGCATATCTGAGCTATGGGGTGTGTGGGTTGTGTTATACCCAGGTTCTCAGGGCCTGCTTTTCTAAAACGCTGGGTAACTGCAGGTGTTTGTTGTTTGCTAACTGTGTGTAGATATCATCTGTGTATGCCTGGCAAGAAAGGAGTTAATAAATGTCACGTCTATAATCCCAGCACTTGGGGAGGCCAAGATGGAAGGATCTCTTGAGTCCAGGAGTTCAAGACCAGCCTGGGCAGCATAAGGAGACCCTGTCTCTATTTAAAAAAAAAAAAATTAGCTGGGTATGGTGGCACATGCCTATAGTCCAATTTACTTGGAAGACTGAGGCTGGGAGGTTGGCTTGAGCCCAAGAGTTTGAAGTTGCAGTGAGGTATGATCACACCTATGCACTCCAACTTGGGCAACAGAGTGAGATCCTCTCTCAAAAAAAAAACTTTTTTAAATAAATAAATGCAGTAGATTGGTGCTTATCTGTCTTATGAATATTTGTAGTCTTATGTGGTCCATATAGATTCCTATCCTCATTACCCAGAATAATTGAAAAATTGGTTATATTTACCTCCATTAGAAGTTGCAAGAATTGAATTAAATGTCAAGTCCTATAAAATTGTGTTCAAGGCTGAGCGCAGTGGTTCACACCTGTAATCCCAGCACTTTGGAAGGCCAAGGCTGGCAGGTCACTTGAGGTTAGGAGTTTGAGACCATCCTGACCAACATGGTGAAACCCCGTCTCTACTAAAAATACAAAAATTAGCCAGGCATGGTGGCAGGTGCCTGTAGTGCCAGCTACTTGGGAGGCTGAGGCAGGAGAATCGCTTGAACATGGAGGCAGAGGTTTCAGTGAGTCAGGATTGCACCACTGCACTCCAGCCTGGGCAATAGAGCAAGACTCTGTCTCAAAAAAAAAAACAAACAAAAAAACCCCACAAAAACTGTCTTCAATTCTTTTAAGACCCAGCATCTGAATACCTTTCAGAGTGGGGGGTTTTGTAAGCTGTAGAAAATGGCTGTGTGAAATAGCCATATAAATAGAGTGAAATAGAATTGGGAAAATTGTCCTTCAAAGTGAATGTCAGGTATATCTTTATCTCGTTCTTCAAATTAAAATTAAAATGTTTAAATTGGTATTGAAATGAATGTGTAATACAAGTCACATGTAATAGAGCACACTCGTATGGAGAATCATCCCCGTGTGAATATCTAAGAAGGTAAGCAGCTTGACTACTGAATGCAAGTGAATTTTAGGTGAACTTGCATTTCCCATGTGTGACATGTTTGTTTGGTTTTTCAGATCTTACCAATATATTTGAGTCCTTCCTGCCTCAGTTATTGGCCTATCCTAACCCCATAGATCCTCTCAATGGTGACGCTGCAGCCATGTACCTCCACCGACCAGAAGAATACAAGCAGAAAATTAAAGGTAAGAGGATGGGTAGTTTAACCTGGAGACAAAAGAACTTAAATCTGTTGGGCTTCAGTCATTAAAAGTCCTTCTTAAATTACTTAGTTCCTAATACTTTTTCTTAGGCCTAAAAAGAGACAGCTGTGGGCTGAAGTAGTGCTCACCAACCTCGGGTGGCAGTAGCACCAGTTTGCTCATCCTTTGCGATTTAGAATCCTATTTTCCCATCCTTAAAACAGTTTACGTGCTGATGGGATATGAGTTTCATTTAAATGAAGATAAGTTTGCGACTGGCCGTGGTGGCTCACGCCTGTAATCCCAGCACTTTGGTAGCCCGAGGCAGGCGGATCACAAGGTCAGGAGATCGAGACCAGCCTGGCCAACATGGTGAAACCCCATCTCTACTAAAAATACAAAAATTAGCCTGGTGTGGTGGCACGCGCCTGTAGTCCCAGCTACTCGGGAGGCTGAGGCAAGAGAATCGCCTGAACCAGGAAGCAGAGGTTGCAGTGAGCCTAGACTGTGCCATTGTACTCCAGCCTGGGTGACAGAGCAAGATTCTGTCTTTAAAAAAGAAAAAAAATCTAAAGCTCCACCTGGGTTCATTGGATTTTCCATTTTACCTCTGTGTATGTTTCAGAACTTTCATAGTGAAAAGTCTAGATACATGAAGCTCCACCAAGAAGCAAAGGAATTCAAAGTTTGTGAAATATACCTGCTGCTTTTAACCAATGGCAGGCATTAGTATCTAGCCAGTTTTTCACATGATGGGCCTATCTGCATAGCAGTCCAGAATGTTTGCTTCCTCAAAATGTGTGGCCTCTCTGAGGTACATTTGCAAGAGGTGGCAGTAGAAGTAATTTACCAGAGCTTGAATGTGCAGGTCTTCACTCTGAAATGTGCAGGTATGAGGCAAACAGGGACTATTCATGAAACAATAGCTTTTCTTCTATTTGTTTTCTAATTCTTCTTCCAAGGTCTCTATAGGGTATTGTTTGGAGCTGTTGTTGAGATAAAGCAGAAATAAATTTACTATAATTAATTAGATCTCAAGTGCTTTGCAAATTAATATCTAATTTATGTAGCAAAATATATAGCTAAGCAAACATGTATTTGAAGAAAAAGGCAGTCAGTTTCAGCCAGATAAAGTGCTGTTATGAGACTATATTAAAATTTTGACATAGGAATCACTTAGCAATGTCTGCAAACCACAGATATCTTGGAGCAGAGTATATTTCTCTAGTTCACATATGCATTCTGTCTCAACAATTTAGCAGTAGCCCTGTTTCAGTACATGTCTGCTATAGTCCCATTTACAAAAAGAACCGAGCCTACATTTATCTTAGAATGGCTCACTCCAGCGTACGGACCCCTAGCCTTCGGAAATGTTCATGTTGGCTATCATTTTGTCTTCCTTAGTAATCTCAGAAAATCATGGCCATCAGACCTGAGCTCACCCCCACTTCCTACTGTGCCTTGATATCTTCTCCCTTCCCTCCTGCATCTTTTCTTTGTTCCTAACTATAGGAAATAAATAAGAGACACCCTTCCTCATTTCTCAAACTCACTCCCACCACCAATCTGTGATCTTGTTCCCCCAACCCCCCGCCCCCTCCCAATGCAGTCTTCCTCCTCCACCCCATCAGAGGTCTCCCTGTTTCAGGAGCAGTGATCTGCTCCTGTGGGCTCTCTTAGGAGTCATGCTGTTTATTCCTTTTCATTTTCAAACTTCTTGCGTCCTCACCTTAAACTCCTCTAGTTTTTTTCCCCTCCTCTGCTTAATCTGTGCCCTCATTTCTTCCCAATCCTTTGGACTCTTCTCAAGTCCCATTTTGCTGGACCTTTCTGCAAGTGTTACATTTTACCCTCATCTTTCTGGAAACTTCTCATTCCATTTCCTAAATGTGGTCATTCACTTAGGACTCGGTCCCTGGGCTCCCTCTCTTCCTTTGTCATCCCTGAGGAGCTGTTTCACCTCTCACAGCTTCAGTCAGTCCCCTCCAGGGAGATGATTTCTGAATGTGTGTCTAGGCCTGGCCTCTCTCCCAAGCTGCTGCTGGACATTTCCATTTGTGTGGCAGTCACCACCAACCCAACACAGCTAACACAGTCAGTGTTCATATTTAGTTGGCGCTGTATTATAGTACATGTTTGAAAAAGTGTTTAAATATTGGATAGCCCGTAGCACTGGGCACCATTGGAGCTGTCTAAAGCTGTCACTTCCCTGCTCAAAACCCTTTGCTGGGTGACATCTTTGCCTGCCATTCAGGGCTCTCTGATACTGAGTGGAATCTACATCTTTGCCCTTACTCCTTTTTTTTTTTTTTTTTTTTTTTTTTTTTTTTGAGACGGAGTCTTGCCCTGTCGCCTAGGCTGGAGTGCAGTGGTGCGATCTCGGCCCACTGCAGCCTCTGCCTCCCGGGTTCAAGTGATTCTCCTTCCTCAGCCTCCCGAGTAGCTGGGATTACAGGCATGTGCCACCACATCCAGCTAGTTTTTTGTATTTTTGTAGAGATGGGGTTTCACCATGTTGGCCAGGCTGGTCTCGAAGTCCTAACCTCAGGTGATATACCCGCCTTGGCCTCCCAAAGTGCTGGGTTTACAGGCATGAGCCGCTGCACCTGGCCATAGTTCTCTCTTAAGGTTGTGTTTAAACATCCCAGCCACTTACTTTCAACAAAACAAAGCCTTTCCCTGGAGTGGCCTCTCCTATGCCATAGCTGGCAGGACTTGGGGGTCAGTGTGGCTGGGACTGCCTCGGCCGTTTTTCGTCCGTAACTGCTTCCCTCTGGTGACACTCAGCAGCTCCTTTTATCTTCCTCTGTTTCCTCCTCCTCATTGGTGACCTTGCTCTTCCTTTCTCTCTCTCAAAGGCCTTGTCCTAGTAAGTACTTAATATACATTTGTTTCCTTGAATACATTAAAGAGGGCTGATAGTATCAAATTCTAGTGTCAAAAAAAGGTCAATATTTATCTTCTACAAAGGAAGACGCAAAATAGTCAACCCATTAGAGGTTAAAAATAAAATTGTTAAAGTTTGAATAAATATTTCTCAATTAAGGTAAATTCCTACCTAATCATGGGCTACTTTAATCTCATCAAAATCATTAGCATAAAATTTTGTTATAATGAATTTGAAGGGCTCTAAGTCTCAAGTCTGCAAACCTTTTCTGTAAAGGACCACATTGGCCAGATGTGGCCTTTATCACACATTCTGTTTATTATTTTTTAAGACAGTTTTTAAAATATAAAAACATTCTTAGCTAGGCCCTGTGCTAGTTATTCAAATCTGGTAGGCCCATTTGGCCATTCAGCTTATCTTCCTATTGCAGTGAGTCCCCGCAACTCTATAGGAGGAAAAACAAAGCCACAAGGGTGTGTTTTTGTGTGGCTTGCATTTTGAATAGGTTTCTGTCATGTCTTTTCCTATTGTGTGGAGGCTGTTCACTTGAAAACAGTATGCACTTAGAGTTTTTAGGAACAAGTTTGTTTATTCAGCAGTTCTTAAAAGCCGTTTCAGCAGTCTTATTCAGCCTAGGGTTCCACCAAGGCTGTAGCAGCGGAAATCTACCTTCAGGTAAATTATACATGGAAAAACCACTCAGAGCCGAGTGGTGTCTCCGTATAGCAGCTTAGTCCTGAGCAGATTGAGCGATGGTTTTTGCCAGCTGCTTCAAAAACCTGACAGGCAGGATCTGTTTAGACTAAAATCGATTCCTAAAATAATAGACCTGGACTGACCGTAATTATGTAACTGCAGATCTAAAAATGATGAAGGATTTCCTTATAAATTACTATGGAATCATGACTGGTCCTATACTATCTGGGAGATGAAAGTAAAAAGAAAGCGTGGGGCTCCCATTTCCCTGGTCCCTGAAGAGTTCTTGGGGTGCTGCAGCACACACATTCCCCTGCAAGCTGAGCCTGCTGTGTTGCTCTTCCCAATACCCCTTTCCTCAGGGGGCAAAATGCAGAAACCCTGTCCCAAAGAAGTCTCCCTATGGGATTCTCCTTAGCTGTAGTGATCATGATTACTGTCATCTTTGTCCCCCCTGGTGTTCAAGGTAAGTTTGAACCTCCGCAGCCTTGCCAGCTTTTTGGGGTCGCCAAAGCACATGCCTGCCCACTCACTGCCCTTGTTGTCTTTCTCCCACCCCGTGCAGAGTACATCCAGAAATACGCCACGGAGGAGGCGCTGAAAGAACAGGAAGAGGGTACCGGGGACAGCTCATCGGAGAGCTCTATGTCTGACTTTTCCGAAGATGAGGCCCAGGATATGGAGTTGTAGTAGAAAAAGCACCTGCTTTTCAGAAAGACTATTATTTCCTAACCATGAGAAGCAGACTATAATATTCATATTTAAACAAAGCAATTTTTTTTATTACTAAACAAGGTTTTTATGAATAATAGCATTGATATATATATATTATATATCACCCTTTAGATCTTGATTTCTTGGTCATTTCTCAACCTGAGGTGCATAGCATATTCCCACATTCCATTTGGTAGCAATATGCGGTCTGAATGCATGCATTCATGAGTCCATGTGGCCAAGTCAGCCTGTGTGCTACTGAACTGTCGAAGGAAATAGCCGCTCTGATAGGTAGATGTGAGTAAAAAGAACAGGAAAAAATTGCTTCTTTTATTGGTTTCCAAAGAAACAAACCAAACCAACCAGCTCTTGGATGTGAAGATAAAATAGTGCTTTTTTGAAATGGAGAGGAAAAACTTGGGGAGGAAGAGGCCTGCTGTGGGGGCATCGGAGCCAGCCATGTAAGAATCAGAGCTGCTCCTTCCTGTGAATCCTAGGTGGCCCTATGTCTTCTGTGGAGTTACAGTATAAAGCAGGGAGCTAATTAAGAGTATTAAAACTTAAAACCATTTTTTGACTCTGATTTTAAGTACATTTTTATATGTCAGTTGCTGCCCTTCACACTACCAGGCCCTGCAGCCACAGTGTTCTGTTGGAGAAACTTGGGGAAGTGTTTTCTGAACCAGTTCTTTTTCTTGGGGTAGAGCGTGAAATCCAGACCTGTTTTTGAAAGGACAGCACAGGAGGAGAAAAGTGACTGGGACGATGCTTCCTCTCATCCAAAACACATGCAGAGTCACATCCTCATCCTAGTGTTTGGCAGTTTGAGACCGCTACCCTGAACTTAAGAGCTTTAAATATGAGGGTTGTGTTTCTGGGGGGGTTATTTTTTTGGTGTGTGTGTGTGTGTATTGTGCTTAGAAAGGTTGCAGATTTCATCTTCACCTACCAAGAGGCGGCCGCCTCCTTGGACAAGCCGCTCATGGACCATTAGACTTGAGAAGACGACCCACGTGGTGACTGCAAAGCCCTGGGTACTTGCCTTCATGTTCTGGTTTGGTTTTCCCTTTTTCTGCTGCTCTTGGCAGCAGCCTGGTCATCATCTGCTTGTGGGAGTGGGAAATGGGTATTTTAGACCCAACACAGGTTCTAAATTTAAAACAAATAATAATTGGAACAAATAAAGGTTCTTGTACCCAGAGTGATTCTACATGGGAAAAACAAACCAGCTTTTTTCAGAGAGTGACCGAATAGGAAGAAGGGATTCAGAAATATGATGTAGTAGAACATGCCCTGCAGGAAGAAAATGTTTTCTCTCCTGCGTATGTTAAGAGGAAATCAGTTTAAAATGCCTGCTAATCAAATGTCGACTCAGCTAACCATATGTCCAGGTTGCTGCAGAGTTTCTTTCAAATCTGAGTGTTGCCTGCTGAACTCGGAGGGGAGTTTGGAGAAATTTTAGACAGCAGCTCTGTGTTCTTTTTTTGCCGCAGCCAATAAGATAATAGCAGAATTAGCCAATCCTAAAACCTTCTAAAGACGATTTTTGAGCATCCCACTGGGATTATTTAATTTTTCTTTTTGACGTGTGTTTTTAGTTTAGAAGTGCTGTATTCCACAAGGTTTAAGTCAGTGAGGTTGGAAGATACCCTATCTTTTTTATTCAAAAAGCACAATCAATCTTTTGTTTGAAAATCTATATAAAGTACAACTTGCTTTTAGCATGATTATTTTCCTAAATAAAAAGACAAAGAATTTACTTACTTTATGTTAATTACGGGCATGAAGCAAAAGGTTTTCTTTAAAAAAAAAAAAAAGTGCAGTGATGTAGGGCTGTGGTTAGTTAACCGTACTGAGTTATCCATCTAGCATCTGTGGCTTGCTGGAAGGGTAGTATTAACTATTTAACATGTAATGGTGTACTTCACTCTTACCTAGCACGCTGTCTTCTCATTGCTTTGGGGGAGGGAGGGTCTCTCTGCTGGCACTGTCTAACTTGCTTACCTGCTGACTTTGCAGTTTGCTTGTGCTATGACATTTATTGTAGGTGCTATTTAGGGTAGGCTTAAAGTGCTGGGTGGTGATTTGAGTTCAAACAATAAAAAATTGTATTTTTTCAATATTGTATAAACAATAGTGTTCTAATTACCTTAAAAAAAAATAATGACCAGTTAAGAATTGCTTTTGATCTTGTCAAAAAACTGAATAGACCCCAGTTTCGGGAAGGTGTGTGAGCAGTGCCATGACTCTGCCCCTTACCTAATCCCACATCTCTCTAATGATAAGACATTGGCTCGCCTCTGACCAGAGCCCCAGCACCAGAGAGCGGAAGATGCAGAATTGTCAAATGACCTGCTGGGGGAGGTTGTAGGAGTTTAGCAGATTTGAGTGTGGCTGCAGAGAGAGAGAGTGTGTGTATGTGTGCACATGTGTGAGAGTGTGAGCGAGAGTGTGTGTGTGTCCATCTAAGTGTGTGTGATGAAGGTGGGATAAGGCTCCTCTGTTAGTGCTGGAAGCTCCTGTAATTGCCGCATGGATCCCACTGTGCCCTCTTGTTCTGTGCAAGTCTGTCCTGTCTGGGCACTAACCTTGGTCCCATGCATGTTTATGTTCTGGGTGGGGCTTTGCCTCTCCACTGGGAAACTGACTTTTGCTGGGTTGAACAGAGTCCCTTATGCTTTTTGTCCTCTCCCTGCGCCTGGGAGAGGTGGGAGTAGGAGCCCAAACACACAGGTACAGAAAGATCTGGAAGAAGGCCTGGCAGTGAATCCAAGGACTCTGGGCCCCCAACAATAGATGGTAGCGTAAGTCTGGAGCAGCGGTGTTTCACCACCAAATGCCTTTCCAGGCTGCCCTTCCAACACTCAGGAGAGCATCCAGATCCCTGGGCAGAGGCTCTACATTCTTGGCTTTAGAGGTGGTGGCAGCGGCAGCAGGTCAGAGCCACTTCTGGCGGTTTCCCTCCCCTTTTTAGTGCCCATAGTTTTTGGATCCTCCCTTGAGTTTTACCAGCACAAGCCATTCTTTGCCCCTGTTCACATAACTGAGCTCAAGCTCTTGCCAAACACCAACAAGCAAGATGGTTGCAACCTGGCAACATTGAATCCACCACCCTTGGGCTCCCTCTGGAAGCCCCAGCACCGGGGGGCTTTTGGGCACAGGGTCAGTGGTAGCCATCTTAGACACTGACATTTGGCTTTGTCGTCAATTTCATCACCCTCCTTGAGGTTACTGTGCAGTTTCAACCAGCATTTTATCCTAGTGAGGTCATTATCAGGAGTTGCCATATCATCTCTCCAGTACCTAACATTTCTCATCCACTTCAAAAGCTGTTCTGACTGCCAGCTGGCTGATCTAAGCTCCTGAGGAATGTCTCCTCTCAAAGGAATTTTTCCCTCCAAAGGCCCCCTGAAGTCCTAGTTGGCATTGGCCTGGCACATGCTTTATGTTAGGCCTCCCGTTGGGATGGCTGAGAATCATGAAAGACAGATCCTCCGCTAGCCTCTGTGGGTCAAGTTTCTGGACACCAAGTCTCTGGGAACTAGTGTTTGATTTTAAATGGCATGTGGCCCTTCCTTGTTTCAGTGACTTAGAAAAGTAAAAGCCATTTAAAAAAGTTAGCAAGATTTTTTATCGACTTCCCAACTGGGCTTCCAGCCTTGTTGAATGAAATCATCTATCTCTGATTGGGCGCAACGAACTGCATTTCTTTGGACTTCTGAATCCATGTTTGTGCTTTCTCTGGCCCGTGAACACCTCGGCGATTCTGTTAGGGATGGGATGAGTGGGAGGAAGCCCTTTGAGAAGGGGGAGCCGGCCCTGTCATGCGCAGGTTTTCCACTCATCTGAGGAAGAGCCAGGGCTCTGAATTTAGCCTAACACTCATCTTGGCTGTGGGCTTGGGAAGAAATGGCCATTATTTACAGATTGTATTTGGTACATATTGTGTGATACTTGAAAAGATAAAAGGGACTGCCAGCCCCTAACTGAAATCTGAAGCTTTTTATCGCTTATTTTTCCTCGCCCTGTCTCCTCCCTTCCACCTTTCTCCTTGCATTGTGATGATCTAGTAGGCACGTCTGTCAACAGGACACATGCCTCCTCTGACTATAACCTCTTAATAGTTGTGTATAATGAAAACTGTAAACTTTTTTAAATAAACGTGTATATACCTTGGCAAATGGCTGGACCTTGATCAATAAGATAATAGCCCTCATGATTACTCTCAGCTGGTTTTCTAAAATACCCTCTCTGTTCTGGCTCCTTTGAGCAGCAGACGCTGGCTTCTTTTGGCTGAGCAGCTCTTAGAATGCAGATGACTAAATTAGTTTGGGAAGGGAGTGGCACCCTTAGGCAGTAATAACCAAGAGGCTCTGCCCAGAGGCCTGTCCTTGAACCTGGAACTCAGATGCACAACTGCTGGCTATGAACGGGGCTGTGAGGCTCCTCCACTAGAGCCGTGGAAAGCCCGAAGGTCCCTATCTACCCCCATGCCTAAACCTTCTAAGCCCTGTCAACTCACGCTGAGTGAGGATACTCCGTGGCCTGGAGTTCAAGGACAGTGCAGCTTCCTGCTGGGACTGATCTGCCTAAACAGGTGGTCCTCTGCCAAGTGCTAAGCCTCCTGGGAGATGAGGAACGGTGGGTTTTGCATGGTAAAATGCTAATCGCTGGATTAGACCGTTTCGATTCCTTTCTAAAGCGTTTGCCTTTAGTTACCACCAGATGGCGATGCCGCTCAGTCTAATGGAGACGGTTTTGTTAGCAGGACCTTAAGACAAAGGAAATAGTGTTGCTTTGTTCGCGTGTTCTCATTCCAGCTCTTTTCCACTGTTTTCTCCTTATTCCCCTAAACTCCTTTTTCTCCTTCCCTACATGCTGATGCATTCGCGCCGGTTGACCCGGCTTCATACCTACCTGCCAGATTGAATGAGGTCGGGCTACTGAGGAATGGTGTGCCAGTGCCTGCTCCCTCCTCACTGGCAGGGAACCCCCCAGCTACCCTGGATGCCTCCAGAGCCCAGAAGCAAAACATTCAATACATTCTTTGTGGGTGGCGTTCATGGACCCTTTAGCCAAAGGACTGAACCACAGAGCCATGAGTTCGAGTCCCAGCCCTTCCTTTAGCTGTGCAACTTCAGGCTCCTCACTGGGCTTTCATGGACCTTGGGTACTGAGCTGTAAACTGACATCCCTAGACTAGTAGGTTCTGACTCTGCCACCTTGTGACTCAACTCCACCCAGGCTGCGAAACAGTGCCCCGTCATAGGATAGAGTAACTGAGAGAGGATGCTGTATATTAACCACGAAACACCAGCGTTTCAACACAGGTTTAGAGTTTTTAGACTCAGAGCATTGGGGGTGTAGAGCACTTTCCAGCCTGAAGGGGACTTAAGAGGTACATGGGTCACGTGAGCAGTCATTCCATTGATCTCAATAAGGCAGCTGCTTTTAAACCCCTCCCAGGAGAAGTCTCAGTGCAGTCGCCGGCACTTGGGTCCCCCGACCTCCCCCCTCCACCAACCCCAGTAATCTCACCCAGCACCACTCAACCTCTCAGCCTCAGTCTAGCTGTTTCCCAAGTGGCAGGTGGCTTGTCACTACCTGCCTGAGTCATTGTTCCTTTCCTGGGAAGGGGACCGGGGTTTCTGAGGCACGTTGTCCTGGAAAAGAAAGCTAGTGGGCTCTGAGCCCCACAGCTTTCTTGCTGGCTCTGAAGACTGCTCTGTCCTCCTGGGAATGAGTGGCTGTGACACTGGATCTGGGGGTGTCCCGCTTCCCACCCAGAACCAAGACAAAGGATTTTTCTGACTCCCACAATCCCTGGAGCTGCAGAGGCCTTGCAGCCCCCTGGCAGGCTGAGCAGCCCTATTTGTAAGTAGCATCTCAGGGGCTCATCCCCCCTGAGTCCCGGACAGTGCAACTTGGGCCCAAGCCTGCTCTCTCGGGCCTCAGGGTGTACTGTGTGTGCACCCCCCAACGTCTTGGGACTGAATAGTTATCCTGACCAGGGATTTAATGTTAGAAGATAAAAGATAGGAGCATTTCCCTCTGGCTGTGTGTATGTGTGTGTGTGCATGTGTGTCTGCACGCGCGCGTGTGTGTACCTATGTAGTGAAGGGTGTTTATTTTCAAAAAAAGGGCACTTCTGTGGACCTGGGCTCCTCAGAGCTCTTTGGGGCTCAAGACTTGGCTCCCAGGACCTGGTGTCGAGGGGTCAGAGGTGGCAACAACGGACTTGGACTCCCTAAGAGAAAACTACACCCTTCTGGCTGCCGGTACTTGGCAATGAACCTAGAAGGGGGTGCCGGATGCCAGGTGCGGCTGGCATTCAGGCCTCCCTCAGCTTCCTCTCCTGGGGTCCTGGCCACCAAGGCCAGCCAGCACGCGGCAAGAGGCTCCTTGAAGAAGCTGCGGCCTCCTTGTGGGCAGCCTTGCCTCTGCTTTCCTCAATTCTGTAAGCAGCGCATCAGGGCCTGCTACGCACCACTCATGTGTTCACGCGCATAGGACAAGGCTTTTAAAGATGCACTTCTTTTTTTCTTTTTCTTTTTCTTTTTTGAAACGGGATCCCACTCTGTTGCCCAGGCTGCAGTGCAGTGGCATAATCATGGCTCACTGCGGTCTCAACTGATCCTCCCACCTCAGCCTCTTGAGTAGCTGGGACTACAGTCACAAGCCACCACGTCCGGCTAATGTTTGTATTTTTTATACAGATGGGTTTTGCCATGTTGCCCATGGCTGGTCTTGAACTTCTAGGCTCAAGCGATCTGCCCACCTTGGCCTCCCAAAGTACTGGGATTAAATTTTAAAACGAGTGTAAATTGTTCTGCAAAACAACTTTGTTTTGTAGGACTACGTGTCACTTTAAATGTTGAAAATGTAGCGTCCAAATTGAGATGTGCTTTGTGAAATGCCCCCTGGATTTCAGAGTTAGCACAAAAATAAGAATGCTCTCATGAGCCACCGCACCCAGCTAAACGATGCATTTCTGCCAACTTGAAAATTATGTGCTGGTAACAAATCAGGATTCCAGAAACATGCCCTCCTCCAGAGAGGACCACCATGGGCAGGGCTGAAGAGGGCTTCCCCTCGCGAGTCTCGCTCACTGCAGTGAGCCCTTCGGTGAGTAGAACAGGACATTAACTGCTTGTGCTGTGCCAAGTGGCTTAGTCACACAGTGGCATAACCATGCTAGAACCTGGGTCTTCAGGCCATCCATACGTGTTCTTTCCAAGAATCATGCTGTGCCAAGCTCAGTGCCTGCCCCCAATGCCCGCTGGGGCTGTGGGTACCTATGTCTGTGTGAACCTCATGCTGCCTGGGCCCTATGAGATGCTCCCTGGCTGACCTCCTGCCCAGGGCTCACTCTATGGGCGTGGTCTCTGAGGATCAGGACCTTTCCCCATACACATCCCCATTTCCACTGACAATGGTTTCCCCAACCTCCGGTACCTGCAGTACGGTCAGAAAATAAAACTAGATTTAACTCAAACCCACTTCCTAGTGCAGAAATATAGAAATAGAATGTGATCTACATTTATCATTAAAAACATTCTAGTAGCCACGTTTTTTAAAAAAGGTTAAATGTTTCATTTAACTCAATATATCAAAAATACTTCAGTGTGAGGCCGGGCGCCGTGGCTCACTCCTGAATCCCAGCACTTTGGGAGGCTGAGGCGGGTGGATCACCTGAGGTCAGGAGATAGAGATCATCCTGGCCAACATGGTGAAACCCCGACTCTACTAAAAATACAAAAATTAGCCGGGCATGGTGGCAGGCACCTGTAATTTCAGCTACTTAGGGGGCTGAGGCAGGAGAACCAGTTGAACCTGGGAGGCAGAAATTGCAGTGAGCCGAGATGACGCCACTGCACTCCAGCCTGGGCAATAGAGTGAGACTCTGTTTCAAAAAACAAACAAAAATTTCAGCATGTAATTCACAGTAAAGGAATGAGATAGTTTCGATTCGTTATTTTTGTGCTAACTCTGAAATCCAGGGGGTATTTCACAAAGCACATCTCAATTTGGACGCTACACTTTCAATATTTAAAGTGCCGCATAGTCCTACAAAACAAAGTTGTTTTGCAGAACAATTTACACTTGTTTTAAAATTAAAAATTAATTAAAATTATATACCACGAAAAATGTGATAATCAATAGCCACAGCTGGCTACCTATTCAGAAGCACGGGCCCTAGCAGCCTCTCCGTGCTGCAGGGATCTTTAGAGAAGCAGGCCTGGCGCGGTGGCTCACGCCTATAATCCCAGCACTTCGGGAGGCCGAGACAGGTGGATCACTTGAGGTCAGGAGTTCGAGACCAGCCTGGCCAACATGGTGAAACCTCGTCTCTACTAAAAATACAAAAATTATGCGGGCATGGTTGCACACATCTGTAATCCCAGCTAGGCTGAGTCAGGAGAATCGCCTGAACCTGGGGAGGTAGAGGTTGCAGTGAGCCGAGATTGCGCCACAGCACTCCAGGCTGGGCGACAAAGCGAGACTCCGTCTCAAAAACAAAAAACAAAAACCACGAAGCTGGCAAGTGACAAGAGCAAAGGAGCAACTTTGCTTGGGAATCTAGGGCAGAACCCAGAACCTCCCAATCCGCGGAGAATGTTCCAGGTACTGGAAGGGTGGACGGCGCACCCAGTCCGGTCCCTGGGGGCGGACTGGGTGGCCAGGCCGGAGCTGGCAGTCAGGGGAGCCTGGGCAGCGCCTCGGTCCCCTTGGGGCCTTGACTTCCAGGACGTGAGAACGCCGCCAGTCCTGCCTCGTGGGCCGGAGCCTAGCAGGCCCCGGTAAAGGAATCACTCTGTGGGTTACACCTGTCCTCCGCGGAACTGAAGCTGCCCGGGCTCCAGGCGTGGACAGCGCAGCCCAGTAGGTGAGCAGGCAGGGGCGAGCAGGGCGGAGCGGGTGGGATTGGGCTGGGCGGGCGGGGTGGGGCGGGGCTGCGGAGTCCGCGCGGCAGTCCCCGCCACGGCCACCAGGGGGCGTACGTGCTTCGTGCTTCGGCACCCGCTCGCGGGCGGGAGTCTGGGTGGGGCGGGGTTGGCCGGGGCAGGGCGGTCCAAGTGGCCCGCGGGCGTGGACCCGGGAGGCCTCTGGCATCTGCCCCACCTGAGAGGTGGGAACCGGGCTGGGAGGGACGTAGATTCCTCATCGACGTGACCCTGGTAGGGAAAGAGCCCCCAAAACAGGGAGTTCGGTAGAGGCGCCAGAGCTGACATGGGCACTGCCGCAGTGCCAGCCACGGCCACCAAACTCTCCCAGCACGGCTGGGCGGCCAAGGCAGGGGTGACGACGAGAGGGGCGGCTCAGCCCACCTCCCCCGCTGATCTGTCGGGAAAGGAGGAAGAAGGGTCATGAAAGCCTCACACACCGCTAGGAGGGGGCATCCTGGAGCAGGGGGCTGGATCAGGACCCGGCTGGATGGGAAGGAGCTGGGTAAAGGGAGGGCACCCGGGTAGGGCGTGGCCCGGGCTGTGCGGGGAGCGGGGAGCGGGGAGTGGACTCAGGGGGAGGGGTCAGCGTTCTGGCTGGCCCGGGGGCACGTGGCCGGGGGGCAGGGTGGGAAGAGGGTGGGATGGTGGGGTGCTGGCTTGGGGCCAGGTCAGGCATCAGAGGCACAAAGTAAAGGATACAGAGAGAGGGGAAGGGAGAAAGGGAGAGACAGAGACCTGAAGCGGGAGGGCCGAGCGGCAGGGCGGGAGGCGAGGATAGTGGGTGGGGCTCGGGCTGCAGGGCTGGAGCCTGGGGGATCTGGAGCACAGGGGCAGGAGGAAGGGACCGGAAGGATACCTGGGCCTGCAGGGCGTTCCCTGCGGAGATTGATTGAGTGAAGACTGCGACGTCCACCTTCAGGGCTCTCTCTAGCTCCCTCTTCCTGTCTCCTATCACTTGCTCTGGGGGAAGCCAGCGGGTTGTTTTGAGCTGCCCTCTCCTTTGGAGAGCCCCACCTGGCTGGGAACCGAAGCCCTGAACCAACAGCCAGCAAGAGCTGAGGCTTGGCGACCACCAGCGCGTGAGCCGGCTGTGGATGCCCGGACCCGGTGCAGCTGAGAATGGCTGCGGCAGGCCTCATCAGCGATCCTGAGCCGCAGCAGCCTGAGAGCAGCTTCCCGGGCTCCTGACCCTTGGAAACTGGGAAATAGATGGGAATGCGGGTTTGCTGCTTTAAGGTTCTAAGTTTTGGGTGTAATCCATTATGCAGCAATAGATACCTAATAGTCTGTGGTTTTTTGGAACCACTGTATTTTCCCCATACTGCTTATCTCTTAACTAGTTTTATGTGAGATAGAAAAATAGGCCGGGCACAGTGGCTCACGCCTGTAATCCCAACACTTTAGGAGGCCGAGGCAGGAGGATCACTTGAGCCCAGGAGTTCCAGACCAGCTTGAGCAACATAGGGAGACCCGTCTCTACAAAAAATGTAAAAATCAGCCCAGCGTGATGGCACACGTCTGTGGTCCCAACCACAAGAGAGGCTAAGGTGTGAGAGCCACTTGAGCCCAGGAGGTTAAGGCTGCAGTGAGCCAAGATTGTGACATTACACTCCAGTCTGGGCTGCAGAACGTGACCCTGTCTCAAAAAATAATAATAATAATTTGTAGCATATTTAAGGCACTGCTATAAATTTTTTAATTTTCTACTTATTACAACTAAACCTAATCTTAAATGATTCTATAATAAAGACTGGAAATAAGAATAGAATGGGAAATTCGTTTCCTATTCTTTCTGTCTGTCATTCTAGCTTTGACTTCCATTTGGAAGGCCACCTCATGGTTCAATACAGTGGCTGGAGCTCCAGAGAAAAGGTGCTCATCTCTCAGCCGACAGCTCCTTTTTTTTTTTTTTTTTTTTTTTTTTTTTTTTGAGACAGGGTCTCATCTGTCATCCAAGCTGGAGTGCAGTGGTGCGATCTTGGCTCACTGCAACCTCCACCTCCCAGGTTCAAGCGATTCTCCAGCCTCAGCCTCCAGAGTAGCTGGGATTACAGGCGCCCACCACCACACTCAGCTAATTTTTGTATGTTTAGTAGAGACAGGGTTTCACCATGTTGGCCAGGCTGATCTTGAACTCCTGATCTCAAGTGATCCACCCACCTCGGCCTCCAAAAGTGCTGGGATTACAGGCGTGAGCCACCACACACGGCCTGACAGTTCCTTTTAAGGAGTCTTGGAAGCCTCCTCCACGCTTCCACTTAAACCTCATGGGCAAAACTGAGCCACAGGCCCACACCCTGCTTAGGGGAAGTTGGGAAATATACTTCTTCACCTGGGCACATTGCCCCCTTGAATAAAATTGGGGTTCTAGTGTAACGTGGACCTTGCATTTTTGGAACTTATTAGAACAAGTCAGCTCTTTAAAAAATTGTGAGACAATTGGGGAAATTTAAACAATAAGTAGTATGTTATGATATGAATAAATTATGATTTTTTTTTTTTTAGAAAGGATCTCACTCCATTGCCCAGGCTGGAGTGCAGTGGCACAACCATAGCTCACTGCAGCCTCAATCTCCGTGGCTCAAGTGATCCTCCCACCTCAGCCTCCCAAGTAACTGGGACCACAGGCGCACGCCACCATGCCCAGGTAATTATTTGGGGTTTTTTTAGATGTGAGGTCTCACCCTGTTGCCCAGACTGGTCTCAAACTCCTGAGCTCAAGCCATCCTCCTGCCTTGGCCTCCCAAAGTGTTAGGATTACAGGCGTGAGCCGCCACACCTGGTGATTATTTTTCTATAGGTGAGAAAGGTATTGTGTTTTGTGATAAAGGTATTGTGTTTTATATGATATTGTGCATATGTATATATTTACTAGTGTATATGTTCAAAAATCACCTGTTGGAAATACTTACTGAATTTATGGATGAAATTATATGTCCAGATTTGTTTCAGAATAATCCAATAATGGGGTGGGAATGTAATAGAAGAAACAAGGTTAGCCATGTGTTAAAGCTGAATGACGGCTATGTGGCATTCTTTATACCATTCTCTGTTTTAAATAGGTTATACATTTTTCATAATAAAAATTTCTTTAGTCTGTTTTTTTGTTTGTTGGTTTTTGAGATGAAGTCTCACTCTGTTGCCCAGGCTGGAGTGCAATGGCACAATCTTGGCTCACTGCAACCTCTGCCTCCTGGGTTCAAGCGATTCTTCTGCCTCAGCCTCCCGAGTAGCTGGGAGTACAGGTGCGTACCACCCTACCCAGCTATTTTTTTTTTTTTTTTTTTGTATTTTTAGTAGAGAATGGTTTAGTAGAGAAGGGTTTCACCATGTTGGCCAGGCTGGTCTCAAACTCCTGACCTCAAGTGATCCACCCACCTCAGCTTCCCAAAGTGCTGAGATTATAGGCATGAGCCATTGCACCCGGCCTTTAGTCTGTTTTTAAGTAAAAGTCTTAAGGTCTATATTTGAAATTTTGCAATTCTAAAAAATCAGGATTCTATTAATATTACTAAGGAATAGGAGAGGTTGGCTTTACCAACATATAGAACAGGCTCTGTCACAGTGACTAGCAGTGGACCTCAGTCCTTAACTGGCAGAGATGGGCCAAATGCCCGGTGATCTGATGTCCTCCCTCCAGGCCTTGCCACCAGCTAGACCCCTCAATTGCCTGGGACTTACTGGATCCTGTGTGTGGCCAGGTTTGCATTCTAGGCCTTGGAGAAAGGGGTTTAGCTGGAGGCATGTAAGACCCTGGCCCAATCCCCAGCAGTTTATAACTTATTTGAGCAACCATCACAAAGCTACAACACCCACACTCCAAGTAGTCACTCCAAGATAGCGGCTAAGTACGTGGCAAAGTACATGTGTGTTCTTTCAGTGAGAAGGGTGAGGCCAAGGTGTGACACCTGGAGGAGGAGGCAGGGATGATAAGGAGAGGAGACCCAACTGAGAGAAGAGCATGGGATCAGGAGGCTTTGCTGAGCCTCGCTGCCAACTGCATGGCCAGAAGGCCGAGGGAAACAGGTTCTGTGCCTGTTTCTGGCCCTAGCAAAGGAATGTGTTGTTCAGGATAAAAAGGCGAGCCACAAAGTCTCCCTGTTAACAGTGACAGTCATAACAACAGCAACAGCAGCTAGTGTTTTAATGTTTCAGGCACCCAGCTAAGGGTTTAACTTACAGCAAGGCCATGAGGCTGGTATGATAACCCTGCAGTGGACACCTGTTATTTCTGCCTACCCAGCATCTGTTCCCCCTTCTTCTGGTATCAGTACTGCAATGCTATTTGAGGGAACAACCCTGCCTCCCTCACCTCATCCAAGTGGTTCTTGGAAGCTAACTCCAAAACTCCCCCTCCCCGCAGTGGTGGGGCCCTCTGACCCAGCCAGCCAGTCAGGTCCCCTACTCCGTTCAGAGAGTAGCACATGACTGGGGCTTCTGTTGAAACCATTGGGAAAGTGAAGAGCCTTTTCCCTCTGGGACTGCAAAGCTCAAAGCTGGTGAGACTAGAACCAGGTTGCAGAGAGGCTGCCTGAGAACCTCCCTGGACTTCTCCTTCAGGGGAAAACGTCAAGCTCCTTCCTGTCATTTGCAATCAATAATCCTGACTAATACACATCTTTAGTATTCAGGTGAGGAACAGAAAGGTGCAGTTATGAGCCCAAGTTTACCATGTCCTCTTAGAGTCTGCAGTAGCCAAAATGGGAAAAGCGGTATCTTGACACTTAGGAAGAGAGACTTCCAAAAGTGCAGATAAAAGAATAAATCTAAACCAAAGCTTTAAATAGAAGAAGGTGGCCTTCGATTAAAGATGGCCAATGGCCAGGTGTGGTGGCTCACGCCTGTAATCCCAGCACTTTGGAAGGCCAGGAGAGGTGGATCGCTTGAGGCCAGGAGTTTGAGACCAGCCTGGCCAACATGGCAAAACCCTGTTTCTAGTAATAATACAAAAATTAGCCAGGCATGGTGGCAGGTGCCTGTAATCCCAGCTACTCAGGAGGCTGAGGCAGGAGAATTGCTTGAACCCAGGAGGTGAGGTTGCAGTGAGTTCAGATCGCGCCTCTCCCCTCCAGCCTGCTGACAGAGTAAAACTGTGTCTCCAAAAAAAAAAAAAAAAAAAAAAAGATGACCAATTGACCATGCGGGTTAATCTCACTCCTCTGACATCAAAACCCCACTAAAATGACAGTAGAGGGTTACAAAAGTGGGCAAGGCACATAACCCACAGACATAAAAAGTAAGGAAGATTAGACATTGGCAAACCAACAATAGCACAACAACAAAAAGATTCTTGTTGTTGGAGCCCAGGAGTTCTGGGTCACCATGAGCTATGATTGCGCCACTGCACTCCAGCCTGGGGGACAGTGAGACCTTGTCTGTAAAACAAACAAACAAACAACCCATTGAAAACTAGAAAACAGGTGTACTTGTAGTAGCTAACTTAATAGATTAAAAACAAAACACTGCAAACTGCCACCCCAAAGATCAGTGGTTCCAGGTTCCTCTGATCAGTGAGGGGTAAACGAAGGACTGTAACAGGAGGTCAAGTTGAAAGCTTAAGACAGCAGGTGCGGTGGCTCATGACTGTCATCCTAGCATTTTAGGAAGCTGAGGTGGGCAGATCACTTGAGGCCAGGAGTTGGAGACCAGCCTGGGCAACATGGCGAAACCCCATCTCTACAAAAAAAATTAGCCAGGTGTGGTGGCATACAGCCTGTAGTTGCAGCTACTTGGGAGCCTGAGGTGGGAGAATCACCTGAGCCCGGGGAGGTTGAGGCTGCAGTGAGCTGTGATGACGCCACTGCATACCAGCCTGGGTGACAGAGTGAGACCCCGCCTCAAAAAAAAAAAAGAAAGAAAGAAAGCTTAAGACATTTTGGGGATCTAGAGCTCCTCCCCACTTCTGTGTACCCAGGCTACTGACCCGTTCCCAGCTGAGCAGAAGACTAGAGGATTCTGCTAGGAGGGGATATGAACACAGCTGAGGGGAAATTACCATACCAAAAATCTAGGTTTAAAGTGACAGTTAATGTGCAGAATGGTATCACGGTCTCCCTCCCTAACGCAGCTCCCACAAGCCTGGGAGCAAGGCTTATTCCATTCAGGCAGGAAATGGAAGGGCTCCTCTGTAAGTACTCAGACCAACTCAAGAGGAAGGACCCAAAGATACTAACATTAGGAGTTTCCCAATGAAATCGCCCTATCAGATTACAATTGGTGAAGGTCATCAGTTGACAAGCTCATCCATGCACGCAGCTTCTAATCAGCTTTATTTTTATTTATTTATTTATTTATTTATTTATTTATTTATTTATTTATTATTTTTTGAGACAGAGTCTCGCTCTGTTGCCCAGGCTGGAGTGCAGTGGTGCGATCTTGACTCACTGCAAGCTCCGCCTCCCGGGTTCACGCCATTCTCCTGCCTCAGCCTCCAGACTAGCTGGGACTACAGGCACCTGCCACCACGCCCAGCTGATTTTTTGTATTTTTAGTAGAGACAGGGTTTCACCATGTTAGCCAGGATGGTTTCAATCTCCTGACCTCGTTATCCACCCGCCTCGGCCTCCCAAAGTGCTGGGATTACAGGCGTGAGCCACCGTGCCCAGCCTTATTTTTTTAATTAATTAATTAATTAATTAATTAATTTTGAGACAGGGTTTTGATCTTGTTGCCCAGGCTGGAGTGCAGTGGCGTGATCTCAGCTCACTGCAACCTCTGTCTCCCAGGTTTAAGCGATTCTCCTGCCTCAGCCGCCCGAGTACACCACCATGCCCGGCTAACTTGTATTTTTAGCAGAGGCGGGGTTTTACCTTGTTGGCCAGACTGGTCTGGAACTCCTCAGGTGATCCACCTGCCTCAGCCTCCCAAACTGCTGGGATTACAGGTGTAAGCCACCATGCCCTGCCTTAATCAGCTTCAAAAATATGAATAGAGCAAGATTCAACTATATGCTATTTATAGGAGATATATTTTAGATTTAAGCATACAAATCGGTTGAAAAAATTTTAATAGAAAATGATACAAATGGTAACCATAAGAAAGCTGCAGTGACTTTACTAATATCAGACAAAATAGACTTTAAAACAAAATATGGCTGGGTGCAGTGGCTCATGCCTGTAATCCCAACACTTTGGGAGGCCGAGACGGGCAGATCAGTTGAGGCCAGGAGTTTGAGACCAGCCTGGCCAACATGATGAAACCCCATCTCTACTAAAAATATAAAAATTAGCCAGGCATGGTGGCCGGCGCCTGTAATCCCAGCTACTCAGGAGGCTGAGGCAGGAGAATCGCTTGAACCTGGGAGGCAGAGGTTGCAAGGAGCCGAGATTGTGCCATTGCACTCCAGCCTGGGCAACGAGCAAGACTCTGTCTCAAAACAAACAAACAAAATATGTCACTAGAAGTAATGAGGGACATTGTATGATGATAAAAAGATCAATCCATCAGAAAAATATAACAATTATAAACATGTACCTAAAAACAGAGCCGCAGAATATATGAAGCAGAAAACAGAATTGAAGGGAAAAATAGACAATTCACAATATAGTTGGAGACTTTAATATCCCACTTTTAATAATACATAGAACTAATAATAGAACTAAATAGGTAGATAGGAAGAAGATCCATATGGAAGCAGAAGACTTGAACAACACTATAAACCAACTAGACCTAACTGACATCTGTAGAACACTCCACCCAAAAACAAGAGAATACACATTCTTCTCAAATGCACATGGAACATTCTCTAGGATAGATTATATGCTAGGCCACAAAACTAGCATCAATACATTTACAAGGAATGAAGTTGTACCAAGGATGTTTTTTGTTCATAATGGAGTGAAATTTGAAATTAACAACAGAAAGAAATTAGGAAAATTCAAAAATATGTGGAAATTAAACATATACTCATAAGTAATCAATGGGTCAAAAAATAGACCACATGGGAAATTAGGAAATACTTCGAGATGAATGAACATAAAAACTCATCATGCCAAAATGTATAGGATGCAACTAAAACAGTATTTATAGGGAAAATTATAGCCGTACCTGTCTATATTTAAAAGGAAGAACAACCACAAATCAATAATCTTAAGTTTCTGCCTTAAGACACTGGAAAAAGAAGAAGAAACTAAGCCCCCAGCAAACAGAAGAAAGGAAATAATAAGGATTACAGTAGAAATTAATGAAATAGAAAATTAAAAAAAAATAGAGGAAATTAACCACACCAAAAACTGACTATTTGAAAAGCTCAACAAACTTTACAAACCTTTAGCTAGACTGACCAAGCAAAATACAAACTAACTAACTAAAGGGGGGAAAAAGAGAAAAGAAAAAAAATTGTGAAAATCAGGAATGAGAGAGGGAACATTACAACCTCACTTTACAGAAATAAAAAAGATGGAGCTCAATGCAGTGGCACATGCCTGTAATTCCAGCTACTTGGGAGGCCGAGGCAGGAGGATAGCTTGAGTCCAGGAGTTTGAGACTAGCCTGGGCAACACAGTGACACCCTGTCTCTAAACTAAAAAGAAAAAATGAAAAGGGAATACTATGAACAACCATAAGACAACAAATTAGACAACTTAGATGAAATTGAGAAATTACTGGAAAGACATAAAAACTAACAACTCAAGAAGAAATAAAATATCTGGATAGACCTATAACAAAAAGCTTGACTTAGTAGTTTGAAAACTGTCCACAAAGAAAAGCTCAGGCCAAACCAGTTTCACTGGTGAACTCTACCCAAAATTTAAAAAGGAAATAATGCCAAATTTTGACACTCTTACCAAAAGATAGAAGAGAAAGGAGCACTTTTCAACTCATTTTATGAGGCTAATAGTATTGTAATACCAAAATCAGACAAAGATATCATAGGAAAAGAGAACCACAGACCAATATCTCCTATGAATATAGATGGAAGAATCCTCAGTGAGATACTGGCAAACCAAAACCACTAACGTGTGAAATGTATTATACACCGTGACCAAGCAGGATTTATCGCAGGAATGCAAGGTTGGCTTAACATGTGAAAATCAATTAATGTAATACATTGTATTACTAGAATAAAGGACAAAACCCACATAATCATCTCAATAGATGCAGCAAAAGCATTTGACAGAGTTCAACACCCTTTAATGATAAAAACACCTGACAAACTAGGAATAGAAGGAAAATTTCTCAACCTGTAAAAAAGAACTCACAACTAGCATAATGCTTACTGGTGAAAGACTGAAATCTTTCCCCTACATCAGGAATGAGACAAGGATGTCTGCTCTTACTGCTTCCTTTATTTATTTATTATTTTTTTTTGAGACAGAGTTTTGCTCTTATTGCCCAGGATGGAATGCAATGGCTTGATCTCAGCTCACTGCAACCTCTGCCTCCCGGGTTCAAGTGATTCTTCTGCCTCAGGCTCCCTAGTAGCTGGGATCACAGGTGCCTGCCAGCACACCCAGCTAATTTTTCATATTTTTAGCAGAGACGGGGTTTCACCATGTTGGCCAGGCTGGTCTCAAACTCCTGACCTCAGGTGATCCACCCGCCTCAGCCTCCTAAAGTGCTGGGATTACAAGCGTGAGCCACCGCACCTGGCTGCTCTTATCACTTCTATCTAACATTGTGCTAGAGGTTCTAGCCAGGGAGGTTAAGCAAGATAATTAAATAAAAAGCATTCAAATTGGAAAGGAATAAATAAAATTGTCTCTATTTGCAGATCACAGTCTTGTATATAAAAAGTCCTAAGGAATAGACTGATTAAAAATCTGTTCGAATGGGCTGACGGAGTGGCTCACACCTGTAGTCCCAGCACTTTGGGAGGCCGAGTTGGGTGGATCACCTGAGGTCAGGAGGTCAGCTGTAATCCCAGCTACCCAGGAGGCTGAGGCAGGAGGAACATGGGAACCAGGGTTCAGGGTTCAGAGGCTGCAGTGAGCCGAGATTGAGCCACTGCACTCCAGCCTGGGCAACAGAGCAAGACTGTCTCAAAAAAAAAAAAAAGTTCTGTTAGAATGAAGAAGTTTAGCAAAGTTGCAGGATACAAGATCAATATACAAAAATCAATTGTCTTATTTCTACATCTTAGAAATGACCAAACCAAAAATAAAATTAAGGAAACAATTCTATTTTCTCTTTTGTTTTTCTTTTTCGTAGAGACAGGGTTTCTTTCTGTCACTCAGGCTGGAGTGCGGTTCATGGTCATAGCTCACTGTAATCTCAAACTCCTGGGCTCAACTGATCCTTCTGCCTCAGCCTCCCAAAGTGCTGGGATTACAGGTGTGAGCTGCTTTGTCTAGCTCAATTCCATTTTCAGTAACATGAAAAATAATAAAATACTTAGGAATAAATGTAACAAAAAAAGCAAAATATGACATTGAAACTGTAAAACATCATTGAAATAATGTAAAGACCTAAATAAATATTAATAAGATATTCCTTCTTCATCTGTTGGAAGACATCTGTTGGAGATCGCACCACTGCACTCCAGCCTGGGTGACAGAATGAGTCTCTGTCTCAAAAAATAAAAATAAAAATAAATAAATAAAATAAATAAAAAAGTAGCCGAGCATGGTGGCGCATGCCTGTAGACCCAGCTACTCAGGAGGCTGAGGTGGGAACATCACTTGAGCCCGGGAGGTCAAGGCTGCAGCGAGCCACGATCATGCTGCTGCACTCCAGCCTGGGTAACAGAGTGAGAGCCTTTCTCAATTTTTTTTTTTTGAAAAAAGTAACACATAGTGCTGGGACAACTGGCTATACATATGCAAACAAATGAAGTTGGATCCCTATCTCACATTGTATACAAAAATTAACCAAAAGTGAATCAGAGACCTAAATGCAAAAGCTAACACTATAAACTGTAGAACTTTTACAAGAAAACATAGTTGTAAATCTTTGTTGGATTAGGTAATGGGTTCTTAAATATGACACCAAAAGCATAAGCAACCACAGAAGAAATAGATAATTTGGAACTTCATCAAAATTAAAAACTATTGTTCTTTAAGGACAGTATCAAAAAGGTGAAAAGACGACCCAGAGAATGGGAGAGAATACTTGTAAATCACATACCTAAAATAGGGGCCTAGTATCCAGAAAATACAAACAACTAGTACAACTCAACAATAAAAGATAACATAATTTTTTAAATGGGCAAAATATCTGAAGAGACATTTCTCCAAAGAAGATATACAAATGGCCAATAAGCATATGAAAACATCCTCAATATCATTAGTCATTACAGAAATGCAAATCAAAACCACAATAATTAGTCAGTCATGGTGGTGCACACCTGTAGTTCCAGCGACTTGGGAGGCTGAGGTGGGAGGATCTCTTGAGCCCAGGGGTTCAAGGCTGCACTGAGCCATGATCCTGCCACTCCATTCCAGCCTCCAGCTGGGGTGACAGACAGAGACCCTGTCTCTAAACAAATAAACAAAAAACCACAATAAGATTCACTAGAGGCCAGGCACGGTGGCTCATGCCTGTAATCCCAGCAGTTTGGGAGGCCGAGGTGGGTGGATCATCTGAGGTCAGGAGTTCGAGACCAGTCTGACTAGCATGGTGAAACCCTGCCTCTACTAAAAATACAAAAAATTAGCAAGGCGTGGTGGCAGATGCCTGTAATCCTGGTTACTCGGGAGGCTGAAGCAGGAGAATCGCTTGAATCCCGGAGGCCAAGGTTGCAGTGAGCCGAGATCTCACCATTGCACTCCAGCCTGGGCAACAAGAGTGAAACTCCGTCTCAAAAAAAAAAAAAAAAAAAAAAAAAAAAAAAAAAAAAAGATTCACTAGAATGGCTATAATAAAAAAGATGGACAATAACAAGTGTTGATAAGGATGTGAAGAAATTGGAATCCTCATACATTGCTGGTGGGAATGTATAATGTTGCAGTCACCTTGGCAAACAGTCTGGCAATTTCTCAAAGGTTAAACAGAGTTACCATGAGACCCAGAAACTTCATTCCTATGTGTATACCCAAGTGAATTGAAAACATGCATCCACACGAAAGCTTGTATATTAGTGTTCATAGCAATGCTACTCATAATAGCTCATTAAAAAACCCAAATGTCAACTGATGAATGGATAAATAAAATAAAATTCGCCCATATAATGAAATATTATTCAGTCATTAAAGGGAATAAAAAATAGTACTACATGCTACAACATGGGTGGACCTTGAATACATTATGCTAAGTGAAAGAATTCAGACACAGGAGGCCACATATTTGTATGATTTCATTTATATGAAATGTCCAGAACAGGCAAATCCATAGAGACAGAAAGTAAATGAGTGGTTGTCAGGAACTGGGCTGAGAGGAGAATGAGAAATGATGGCCAATGGGTAACAGGTTTCTTTTTGAGGTGATGAAAATGTTCTAATATTAGATAGTGATCACAGTTGCATGACTGTGTGAGTACAGTATACGAAAAATCACTAAGTTGTTTGCTTCAAAAGAGTGGATGTCGTGAATGTGAATTATATCTCAATAAATCTGTTATAAAATGTTTCTGAGCCAGGCATGGTGGCTCACACCTGTAATCCCAGCACTTTGGGAGGCGGAGGTGTGCGGATCATTTGAGGTCAGGAGTTCGAGACCCGCCTGGCCAAGATGGAGAAACCCCATCTCTACAAAAATACAAAAAATTAGCCAGGTGTAGTGGCACATGCCTGTAGTCCCAGCTACTCGGGAGGCTGAGGTGGGAGGATTGCTTGAGCCAGGAGGCAGAGGTTGCAGCGAGCCAAGATCACGCCACAGCACTCCAGCCTGTGAGACAGAGTGAGACCCTGTCTCAAAAAAACAAAACAAAACAAAAAAACAAAAACAGAAATGTCTCTCTTAATGAAAGGATTGGGGTGTTTGGGGTGTTTGTTTGTTTTGTTTGTTTGTTTGTTTTATTATTAGTTTTTATATCCATGGTTTAATAGGACAAAATTCAGGAATAATTTTAATCTTTATTTTTTATTTTTTTTTTTTTTGTTTGTTTTTTTGAGGAGTCTTGCTCTGTCACCCAGGCTGGAGTGCAGTGGCGTGATCTCAGCTCATTACAACCTCTGCCTCCTGGTTTCCTGAATTTTTTCTGAATTATAGCCAAAATCAAAGCGTAATCTATCATCACAAATTATTTTTAATGATCTACCTGCTGAGAAATCTATTCAGTTCTCTTCTAATTTGCTGGAAGCTAAGAAGTAGAACTCACCTGACTTGCAAAGCAATTTTCTTTTTACTCAATCACTAAAGTTAATTCCCTTCATCAACTTCCGGCAAGTATACCAAGAAAGCTTAACTAAGACTTATTGAGTAGCTGTAAATTATACATGTTATTTTTTCACTTACAGGAATCTTGCCTAACCTATCATATTCCGAAGGGTTAGGAAACTAAGGTGTGCACAGTGACTCACACCTGTAATCCCAGCACTTTGGAAGGCTGAGGCAGGTAGATCACTTGAAGTCAGGAGTTCAAGACCAGCCTGGCCAACATAGTTAAACCTCTTCTCTACTAAAAATACAAAAATTAGCCATGTGTGGTGGTGTACACTTTTAGCCTCAGCTACTCGGGAGGCTGAGGCAGGAGAATTGCGTGAGCCTGGGAGGTGGAGGTTGCAGTGAGTCAAGATCATGGCACTGCACTCCAGCCTGGGCAACAGAGCAAGACTCCATCTCAAACACACACACACACACACACACACACACACACACACACACACACACAACTGTAATCTTTGAGGTTACCTTCTCTACACAACAGAAATAATTTGCATCTCTCCTGAGCAAAAATATGCAAGTTCACAAGTACCTTCACAGAGCGTGGTCCCTAAGCAACAGTCAAGCAGTCAAACACAGATACCTTCTCCTAGAGAACTGAGTAATCCCACGGTGGACACGATGGCTCACACCAGCAATCCCAGCACTTTGGGAGGCTGAGGTGGGAGGATCGCTTGAGCCCAGGAGTTTCAGACCAGTCTGGGCAATAAAGTGGGATCCCATTTCTACTTAAAAATTTTTTTCAAGGTGGCAGGGGTGAAAAGACAGCCATGCTGTTGCCTTATTTCCATGTTTTGGACAATTTGTCCTTACACTCATTATTTATTGTGTATCTGTGCAATTTAATGTGTTACTAAGATGATAAATAATTTATGACTTGAAGGTTATGGGAAGAAGGTATAGTATTCTTTCAATAAATGTGTGCTCAAGTGTGTTTCATACTCTGGGTTTCCCTTTGGGGAATAATTAACAAAAATCTTGTATTAGAAAATCAGGGGGCCAGGCTGGTGGCTCACGCCTATAATCCCAACACTTTGGGAGGCTGAGGCAAGAGGATCACTTCAGCCCAGGAGTTTGAGACTAGTGCGGGCAACCTAGTAAGACCCCCAACTCTACAAAAAATAAAAAATTAGCTAGGTGTGGTGCACCTGTGGTCAAGGGGCTGAGGTGGGAGGATAGCTTGAGCCAGGGAGGTCAAGGCTGCAGTGAGCCATGATTGTGCCACTGTACTCCAGCCTGGGAGCAAGATCCTATCTCAAAAAACAAGACCAGGTGTGGTGGCTCATGCCTGTAATCCCAGAACTTTGGGAGGCCGAGATGGGAGGATAACTAGAGTCCAGGAGTTCGAGACAGGCCACCCTGGGCAATGTGGTGAAACCCCATCTCTACTAAAAATACAAAACAAAATTAGACCGGCATGATGGTGCACCTCTGTAGTCCCAGCTACTCAGGAGCCTGAGGTGGGAGAATCGCTTGAACCTGGGAAGCAGAGATTGCAGTAAGCTGAGATCACACCACTGCACTCCAGCCTGGGCAACAGAGCAAGACCCTGTCTCAAAAAAAAAAAAAAAAAAAGGAAAAAGAAAGTCAGAAATAATGCCGTTAATTGTGTTAGACATCATGATCTAACTTTTATAGTAACTTTAATAAAAAAGAAAAGCATAAGAACTATTAGTCAGCTGGCAAATAATTTTATTTTTCCTGATGGGAGAAAATATTAAACACTTTATTAGACAAAATAAAATGAAGGTTAATTATAATTGGAACAGTATTTTCAAGTCACATTTTATGACATGAGAAGATAGGTTTTAAAATATGTCACTCATTAAAGCACATGTTCATTTAAAAAAGAAAACCCAGCTGGGCACGGTGGCTCATGCCTGTAATCCCAACACTTTGGGAGGCCCAGGCGGGCAGATCACAAGGTCAGGAGTTCGAGACCAGCCTGACCAACATGGTGAAACCCCGTCTCTACTAAAAATACAAAAATTAGCTGGGCATGATGGCAGGCCCCTGTAATCCCAGCTACTCAGGAGGCTGAAGCAGGAGAATCGCTTGAACCCGGAAGGTGGAGGTTGCAGTGAGCCAAGACTGCGCCACTGCACTCCAGCCTAGGCAACAGAGCGAGATTCTGTTTCAAAAAAAAGAAAGAAAGAAAGAAAACCCAATCATATAGAATTTATGAAACTGAGTTTTGGCCAATCTATCTTCAAAAAATGTGGTAGCCTCCCAAAACACTGCAATTACGTTTAGAAAAATCAGTGTCTCCAACGTATATTGTTTCAATTCTTTTAGGAAAATGTTCTTCTCAGACAATGGTCTGTGTTAAGAATGGATACTGAGACTAGCCTAAAAAGAATTTCTTACATTTAAACGTGGCTGCTCAGTGGAGTGGGGTGGTGTGGAGATGAAGCTATTTTTAATATTCAGTCTTTGTTACTGATGCCAGCTTTGCCCTGGCCTCACGGGACTTTTTCTTTTCTTTTTTTTTTTTTGAGATGGGGTCTCACTGTGTTGCCAGGCTGGAATGCAGTGGCGTGATCTCAGCTCACTGCAACCTCTGCCTCCCGGGTTCAAGCAATTCTCCTGCCTCAGCCTCCTGAGTAGCTGAGACTACAGGCACACGCCACCACGCCCAGGTAATTTTTGTATTTTTAGTAGAGATGGGGTTTCACTTATTTTGGCCAGGATGGTCTCGATCTCCTGACCTTGTAATCTGCCCGCCTCAGTGTCCCAAAGTGTTGGGATTACAGGCATGAGCCACTGTGCCCAGCCGGACTTTTTCTCAAAAGCAACAACACTAGAGTATGAAAGAGGCGAAATGTCATCATCCCCACACCTCCCACCCCCATTCTACAATGTACCTGAATTCTGAAGCCCCAACAAGGACCAAAGAACAGGTTTTTTTTTTTAAAGACGGGGTCTCGCTATGTTGCTCAGGCTGGTTTCAAACTCCTGATCTCAAGCCATCCTTCCCTCTCGGCCTCTCAAAGTGTTGGGATTACAGGCGTGAGCCACAAACTACAGGTTTTTGATGTTGTTGTTTTTTGTTTTTGAGACAGAGTCTCACTCTGTCACTCAGGCTGGAGTGCAGTAGCATTATCTTGGCTCACCACAGCCCCTGCCTCCTGGGTTCAAGCAATTCTTGTGCCTCAGCCCTCCAAGTAGCTGGGATTACAGGCACTGCCACCATGCCTGGCTAATTTTTGTATTTTTAGTAGAGACAGAGTTTCATCATGTTGGCCAGGCTGGTCTTGAACTCCTGACCTCAGGTGATCTGCCTGCTTGGCCTCCCAAAGCACTGGGATTATAGGCATGAGCCACCACACCCGGCTGAAAGTACACTTTTTTTGTTTTTGTTTTTGTTTTTGTTTGAGACGGAGTGTCGCTCTGTCGCCCAGGCTGGAGTGCAGTGGCGTGATCTCAGCTCACTGCAAGCTCCACCTCCCGGGTTCACGCCATTCTCCTGCCTCAGCCTCCTGAGTAGCTGGGACTACAGCCGCCCACCACCACGCCCACCTAATTTTTTGTATTTTTAGTAGAGATGGGGTTTCACCGTTTTAGCTAGGATGGTCTCGATCTCCTGACCTCATGATCCGCCCGCCTCGGCCTCCCAAAGTGCTGGGATTACAGGTATGGCCGCTGCGCCTGGTGGAAGTACAGTTTTTAACCCCTGCTTCACCCTTAACAGATACACAGAAATGACAAGGAAAGGCCCGGAAACTTATAGGCCTGATTAAGCTTTTGGGAGCCATCCCCAAAGCAGATTTTCAAATTATGCGTTTGTTTGCATCTCTGAAGGTTTTTGTACCCAGAGGCAATGAACCTTCAGAATGCCATCGATGGCAAGTGGGGTTCAGAAGGGTGGGGGGGAGCCAGGCCAGGTAAAAGTGGATGTGAAAAACATTTTGTTTTATTTTATTTTTAAAATTTATTTTGAGACAGTGTCTCACTCTGTCACCCAGGCTGGAGTGCAGTGGCATGATCATGGCTCACTGCAGCCTCAACCTCCTGGGCCCAAGTGATCCTCTTACCTCAGCCTCCCAGGTAGCTGGGACTACAGGCATGCACCACCGCAGCTGGCTAGTTTGTTTTAATAGAGACAGGGTCTCTCTATGTTGTCCAGGCTGCTCTTGAACGTCTGGGCTCAAGGATCCTCCTGCCTTGGCTTCCCAAAGTGCTGGGATTACAGGCATGAGGTACCTTGCCTGACTGAAAATATGTTGATGTTATCTCCAGCTGCCGTATGGAAAATATATTGGCTGGGTGCGGTGGCTCATGCCTGTAATCCCAGCACTTTGGGAGGCTGAGACAGGTGGATCACCTGAGGTCAGGAGTTTGAGACCAGCCTGGCCAACATGGCAAAACCCCATCTGTACTAAAAATACAAAAATTAGCCATGTGTGGTGGCATAGGCCTATAATCCCAGCTACTTGGGAGGCTGAGGCAGGAGAATCGCTTGAACCCAGGAGGTGGAGGTTGCAGTGAGCTGAGATAGTGCCAGTGTACTCCAGCCTGGGTGACAGAGCGAGACTCCATCAAAGAAAAGAAAAGAATAGAGAAGAGGGAAGGGGAGGGGAGAGGAGAGGAGAGGAGAGGAGAGAGGAGATAGAGAGCATGCATGGAAGCCAGAGGGCAGTGTCACAATCCAGGCTGGAGAGGTGGTGGCCTGGGCAAGGATGGGCCAATGGAGGGGGCGGGCTTGCTTTGGAGTGGATGTGCTGGGGAGAGAAAGAAGAATTGATGATGAAGCCTGGACTTCTATTTGAGCAACCAGGTAGTGAGAATTCTACCTACTGAGATGAGAAAGGAGGCACAGGAGGAATTTGGGGAGGGAGGGATATGGTGAGTTTAAGAGGATCACTCAGCAGGTGAAAATGTCAGGCAGGAAATTATAGAAATGGGTGCTGTGTTCAGGGGCAAGGCCTTGTGGATATATCCAGTTTGGGAGTCATTCGCACACAGATAATATTGAAAGCCTGTGGAATTGAATGAGGTTACCTAGGGACCTAGGGAGAGAGATGGATAGAGATTCACTTTTCCTACCTCCTTGCTTTCAAACGTGCTTTCTCTCACATCAAATATTTATGTTCATTAGCTCTACTTCCAAACTCTTCATTTTGTTTCAATTATTGAAGCTTTTATTTTGCTGGGCACCATATTGTTTAAAATACTGCTATGGTTTGAATGTGTCCCTCAATGATCATGTCTCAGAAACTTAATCCCCAGTGCAGCAATGTTGAGACTGGGACCTTTTGCAAGGGCTCTGACTTTGTGTGTGGATTAATGTCCTTATCAGCGGAGCGGGTTTATTATAAAAGCAAGTTTGGTACTCTCTTGCTTTCTCTCTCTCTCTCTCTTTCTCTCTCATGCTTTTTTGCCCTTCCACCTCTTGTTATGGGATGACAGACACAGCCAGAGGCCCAGATGCAGGCCTCTCAGCCTTGGATTTTCCAGCCTCCAGAAATGTAAGAAATGAATCTCTGTTCCTAGCTGGACGTAGTGGTTCACGCCTGTAATCCCAGCACTTTGGGAGGCCAAGGCATGTGGATCACCTGAGGTCAGGAGTTCAAGACCAGCCTGGCCAACATGGTGAAACCCTGTCTCTGCTAAAAATACAAAAAATTAGCCGGGTGTGGTGGCGGGCACCTGTGATCCCAGCTACTTGGGAGGCTGAGGCAGGAGAATTGTTTGAACTGGGGAAGCAGAGGTTGCAATGAGCTGAGATTGTGCCACGGCACTCCAGCCTAGGCAACAGAGTAAGACTCTGTCTCAAAAAAAAAGAATCTCTGTTCTTTATAAGTTACCTGGTCTCAGGTATTCTCTTACAAAATAGACTAAGACAAATACTGTTGCTTTCTCATACATCCGGATGGTATATCCTGATGGTGTGTGCCTAGACCATCATTTTGTCATAATATATGAAATGATTGCCTGTTTAGATTTCTTTTGTTGTTGTTGTTGAGACAGGGTCTCACTCTGTTGCCGAGGCTGGACTGCAGTGGCATGATCACAGCTCACTGCAGCCTCTGACCTCCTGGGCTCAAGCAATCCTCTCGCCTCAGCCTCCTGAGTAGCTGGGACCTCAAGCACGTGCCACCATGCCCTGCTAATTTTTAAATTTTTTGGAGAGATTAGTCTAACTTTGTTGCCCAGGCTGCTCTTGAACTCCTGGGGTCAAGTGATTCTTCCACCTTGGCATCCCAAAGCACTTGGATTACAGGCATGAGCCACCCTGCCCAGCCATTATTTTTAAATACTGTTTTTAAATAGGCTATACATAAACACAGTACAAAATTTCACAAAGAGGCCAGGCTCAGTGGCTTATGCCTGTAATCCTGGCACTTTGGGAGGCTGAGGTGAGTGGATTGCTTGAGCCCAGGAGTTCAAGACCAGCCTGGGCAACATAGGGAGACTCCATCTCTACAAAACAAATACAACAACAACAACAAAAAATCAGCTGGCCAGGTTCAGTGGCTCACACCTGTAATCTCAGCACTTTGGGAGGCCGAGGTGGGAGAATCACTTGAGGCCAGGAGTTCAAGACCAGCCTGGCTAATATGACAAAACCCTGTTTCTACTAAAAATACAAAAATTAGCCAGGCATGGTGGCATGCACCTGTAATCCAAGCTACTCGTGAGGCTGAGGCAGGTGAATCACTTGAGCCAGGGAGGTGGAGCTTGCAGTGAGCTGAGATGGTGCCACTGCACTCCAGCCTGGGTGACAGAGCAAGACTCTGTCTCAAAAAAAAAAAAAAAAAATTAGCCGGGCGTGGTGGTGCATGCCTGTAATCCCAGCTACTTGGGAGGCTGAGGCAGGAGAATTGCCTGAACCCGGGAGGTGGAGGTTGCAGTGAGCTGAGATCATGCCACTGCACCCCAGCCTGGGCGACAGAGCAAGACTCTCAAAAAAAAAATGTACTTTTTTCAAAAAGTTGCAAAAAATTATATAGTGAAAAGCAAATCTCCCTGTCCCCACTACTCCTTCATGCTCAGATTCCTTTCCTAGAGGCAGCTAGTAGGGATCGTGGCCTCTCTGAGGTCACACAGCAGGCCACTCCCACAGCCTGGGCTGGTCCCACCCTCCCATGAAGATGTGGTCTTCCCCACTTTCTCAGTGCCCTCGGCTGTCCCACACCCCCACTTCCTCCAACTGAGAGGCTGCCCTTCCTACACAGGCCTGCCCATCCCCTGGCTGGTGGCCTAATTCCTGGAGGCGCTTTCTCTGCCAGTGTGATATGAGTCCATGTAACCATGCCTTATCTCTCCGGGGAGAATTACAGGCTCTTAGGAAAAACCTCTGGGGCCAGCCAGGACCTTCCCACCCAAGGGCAGCTGCCGGAGACAGGCCACAGGCTCAGGACGGAGCCTGGGTCCCTCGAGAGACATCCCAGAGCTGCTGGGAGTGAAAGGTTTGCCAGGTGGGTGCAGGGGGAGAGGCAGGGCTGAAGGCCCTTCCCAGGAAGGTAAGAAGAGCTGCCTCCAGTCTCAGGCTGGATAAATGTCCCAGGGGTCCCCCCATCCCGCAGGCCTGCCCCCTGAGCTGAGGCACCCCCCCCACTCACCAGTGCTCTCTGGATCCACCCATCCTCCAGGCCTGCTTCATCCCCTAATGCCCCCACCCCCAGGAGCCTCTGCCACTGGGCCGTGTTGCTGTCACCACACACGGTCTAGCCTGCTATGGTCTGACCGGGTCCCCTCCACCAGAGTGACCCCCCACATTAGGGCAAGCAATGGGCCCCAGGACCCCAGAACATCAGTGCCAGTGACAGCCTCAGAACAGACCTGTCCACCCCCAGTAAGGAAACTGAGGCCCAGCCCAGGAAGGCCTCACATCTGCGCAAGGTGTCCTCAGAGGCCTCCCTGGGTCTTTCCTAACGCTTCCCATCCAGAAACCTCTCTATGAAGTGATGGTGGGAACAGCTAACGCCCAGGACGTTGAGGAGACATCGCTGGTTTGTGTTTCTCTTCATTTCGATGCAGAGCTGAGAACAAGGAAAAGTAGAGGCATTCAATGGCCCCAGCAACGTAGGGTGGAGCCTGGAGGCAGTGGGCAGCCGGGCTCAGATTACTGCCCCACTCTGGAAACAGGGCGCGGGGCCAGCAGGATCAGTGGCCATTACTAATGCATATGCTGGCTGGGGCCGAGCGGCCATCTCAGCCTCCCTAGCTGGGCGGCCCGGACAGGCCTGGAGGCCTTAGGGCCTGGGGTCGTCCCAGGGCCCCCTTTATGCCAGCCCTGCCTCCGCTATGGCTCTGGGGCAGTGCCGAGAATGACCTGGGCGGTGGGACAGTCAGCCCCCACAGCCTGAGGGCTCAGAGTCACAGGAGGGAGGGGTCAGGCCGAATCCTGGTCCGGTGCTCTCATGTGACATGATCCGCTGCCCCCAGATCCTCCCAAGACACATCTGTGCCCAGCTGCCTCCCCTGGCACTGATGCCACCTCAGATTTGAATTTCATCTTTGCAAGGGAAATGGCCTGTGTTCCTGGCAGGGCCTCCATCTGGGATGTCTCCTTGCTCTTCCCGGGGTGCTCTACCCAGACCCTAGATGGGTAGCTTGCTTTTCCCTAAAGGCAGGATGGAGACAATCCCCGGATCCTTGGGCACAGGGCTTTCCTGGGCTGGGCCTCAGTTTCCCCACCAGGATTCCTGATGCCTTCAGTTTTATTGATAGGTCTGTGTATGCCCTGCCTTGCTGTGGAAAGGACTTCAGGCATTTTGTACCTAACAACCCACTCAGTCTCCTGAGGTACGGAGGCCGATCTCTGGCCTGTTTTCCATGCGCGGTCACATGCTTCAGCACAGAGAGCTTAAGCGACTTGCTCAAAGCCAAACAGAACTCACCCAAGGTCACAGGCCAATCTCCTTATCGCCAGCCCAGGGTTCTTTCCACCGGACTTGTATACCTTCCCATGCATTATTTGCACCCGGCTGGCAGGGCAGTCATCGACCACATCCCTCGTCTCACTTTTCTGGAACATCGACACCGGCCTCTCTGCACTCCCTCTAGCTGCTCTTGACCCACTCCTGTGAGCTGGAGGACGTGAGTGTTTAAAATTCTTAGCCAAATCCTTACCCTCCGGAAAGAAGACAGCCAAATAATGTCTCTGTCCTTCTCCGGGGAGGTCTCATCCCTCGAAAGCCGCCTGTGTCATCCTCATTAGAGTCTCATTCTAAAGTCATTCATTCAGGTCCGGCCCAAATGCAAATATGACACATTCACACACACACACACACACACACACACACACACACACACACACACATTCACATTGCAAGAGCAGCTACAATAAAACATCTTTAATTCATAATTTGACATTTGTGATAATAAGAGCGGGAGAGAATGTACCTTTGCACCCTATATGAAGAAAAAAAAAAGGCTGGGTGAGGTGGCTCACACCTGTAATCCCAGCACTTTGGGAGCCTGAGGCAAGCAGATCCTCACCTGAGGTCAGGAGTTTGAGACCAGCCTGGCCAACATGGTGAAACCCCATCTCTACTAAAAATACAAAAAATTACCCGGGCAAGGTGGCGGAGGCCTGTAACCCCAGATACTCGGAAGGCTGAGGCATGGTAATTGCTTGAACCGGGAGGCGGAGGTTGCAGTGAGCCAAGATTGTGCCACTGCCCTCCAGCCTGGGCCACAGAACAATACTCTGTCTCAAAAAAAATAAAAAGTGTTGAGTAAATAAATAGCATGACTGTGAAAAGAGACATATTTAATATCCTACAAGAATCATATCCACTGGTTCAAGGTTGTCTTCCAGAGTTATGGCAGGGAGACCCGAGGACAGGAATCTGTCTCCTCAGCTGAATCCTGGCCTCCGAGACTCTTCGTATGAAACAGACCTCAGCACCATTTGGGCTCCTGCAGAGCACTTATGAGCTTCCTCTGTGTATGCTAACGGTGCCACACTTCCTAAACCCCAGGCTCCACTCCCTCCTGTGTTACCTACCAAGATGAAGAGCCCTAATTAGGCAGCGGACTCCAAACCTCCTCAAAGGCTGTGGGCCTCCCTGAAGTGCAGTTTGTGGTTGAGTGTCTGGCTCAAGCATCAGTTCTTGGTGCCCTCGATCATGGACAGGATGGTGGGGGATTTCTCCGAAATCGGGATATGTTCTGAAAGAGACACCCAGTAGGCTTGCACAGAACAAGGCTGCAGATACAGAACCTCTCTAAAATGCCAGAACTGACTGTTTCCGGGTGCTTCAGAAATAGACCTGACAACCCGAATGTCCACAAAAGGGAGTAGTCATAGGGATACTCCCTGAGAAGTGCATGCTTAGGTGATTTTGTCATTGTGTGAGCATCACAGGGTGTCCTTACACAAACCTAGATGGCGGAGCCTACTCTAATTCATGATGAGGTCTGGCTGTTTTGTCCAGGCTGGTCTTGAACACCTGGGCTCAATCTTCCTGAGGTAGGAGGCAGGACTCCACTCAGGAGGTGAAACTTGACTCCAGAGGCTGGGCTGGGACACCACACCGAATTGATTTGACGACTCTAGCTACAATAGAAATGGGGCGAAAGCACCTGCCCATATGACACACCCACAGATGCTATTGCAGTTTACTGTTGCCATGCAACAACCGGAAGTTACCACCCCTTTCATGGCAAGATCCCCAAGTTACCACCCCTTCCCATGGCAATGACCTGATGACCTGGAAGTTACCACCCCTTTTCTAGAAATGTCTGCATAATCTGCCCCTTAATTTGCATGTACTTAAAGGGAGCATCGGTAGGAGTGCAGAACTGCCTTTGACCATAAGTCACCTCATTAGCAGAAACTCAAGTGGTATGGAAAGGGCTTCTTATCAATAACAAAAGAGGCTTCCATCACTCAGAAAATTCCAAGGGTTTGGGAACTCTGTGCCAGGACCCAGGAACAAAGACCAGATATTTTTCATATTATACCACACTGCCCACGGCGCCACTGGGAATAGAGATCTGAAATTTGGATGGACACCATCCTGGAGGGACAGACTTGCCATCAACAGTTTATGGCTGTCGTGGACGTTGGGGGTGTGGGTGACATCCCAGAACACCAGCTACATTTGTTTCCTGAAGCTGCTATGACACGTGACCACAATGAGGGGCTTCAAACAACAGAAATTGGTTCTCACAGTTCTGGAAGCCAGAAGTTCAAAATCGAGGCAGGGGCAGGGCCTTCCCCACCTGCTGAGTGTGTCTGTTCCAGGGGTCTCTCCTGGCTGGTGGGAGCTATGGCAGTCCCTGGCGCTCCTGGTAGACGCGTCACTCCAGGCTCTGTCTGCACCATCACCTTGTCTCCTGCTCTGCTGTGTCCATCTCCCCGTGTGTCTCTTATAAGGACACTTGTCATCGCACTTAGGAACCACCTGATAATCCAGGATGACCTCCTCATCTCAAAATCCTTAATTTAATTACATCTGCAAAAGGCCCTTTTTCCAAATAAGGTCCCATTCACAGGTTCTGGGGATCCAGATGTGTATGTATCTTTTGGAGGACACCATTCACTCCACTACACCAACCTTGAAGAAGGAGAACCCAGGCGAGGACCCTGGCTTCCCAGTAGGGAAAGAGTCTGCAGGCACAGGGACGCTGTGGCCCGGTGTGACGAGGGCAAGGGTGTGGGAGACGGAGCTGGGAGGCATTGGGGTAATGATCTGCCTCTCTGAGGTCCTTCGACCTGGGGAAGTGGGAGTCTGGGTGCTGAAAGCAGAGAAGCCCCTTGGTGGAGGAACATCTTAGCAGGTTCCCCTACTTAGGTCATTGGAAGGCTTGCAGATGAGCACGTGCCTGGGGCAGGAAGGCCTCTTGTCCAGTTCTGATTCCCCAGGCCTGACACTGCTTTCCCAGAGAACTGTCGGGAAGAGAGTGTACACCCTGCCTCATGCTGCAGATGCTGGTCCTCAGGAAGTCCTGCTTAGCATCTCTCCTCATGCCCTCATGCTGCAGCCCTGGCAGATGGCCCCGTGTTGGGCTGGGAGACATAGGCACAAGGTCTTTTGTTTTATTTTTATTTTGGGGACAGGGTCTTGCTCTGTCATCCAGGCTGTAGTTCAGTGGTGCAATCTCAGCTCACTGCAGCCTGGACCTGGGCTCAAGCGATCCCCCCACCTCAGTCTCCCGAGTAGCTGGGACCACAGATGCATGTCACCATGCCCGGCTAATTTTTTATTTTTTTGTAGAGATGGGGGCCTCCCTGTGTTGCCCAGGCTGGCCTTGAATTCCTGGGCTCGAATGATCCTCCTGCCTCGATCTCCCAAAGTACTGGGATTATAGGTGTGAGCCTATAATCCTGGGCAGCAGAGGGTCTCTTGGAAAAAAACACACGTCAGGATTGGAGGCTGCTTCCCAGCTCCCTGGTGACAACTACGTGTCTTTGGCTTTGGGGGACAGGTGGGTGGGGAGGGACCCAGCTGCCACCTGGAAGAGACGGGCCAGTCGGTCTTGGAGCTTCATTCCCAGCCTCTGTCAACTTCAAAAGCAATTTCCTTTATTGCTGGTGCCATGGGCTGCAACTCTGGATGAGCGAATCAATGGCAGGAGCAGGTGGGCACAGTTAATACCTGTGTTCAGCTTTATGTTTTCTCAGTGGTAAACAAAGATAACCTGAACTCTAAACAGTCAGTTCCAGGCAGCCCGCAGAGCTCCCCACCCACACTCCTCTCCCTCATTAGATGATGGGCTCATTTGAGCAAAAGGCCTCAGAGCCCTTCCTGGACACCAAGACTAGGGCTGGGTGGGAGTGCAGGGTTCCAGGATGAGAGTCCTGGCACCCCGGCTGGTGGGACGAGCGACTCTGCCTGAGGAAGCTTCCTGCCACTCTCCCGGCCCCCCGCCTGCTCCAGCATCTCAGTGCTCCACAAGCAGACAGTCCTATCTCGCTGCAATTGCTGTGATTATCTCGTTACTCCTGGGGCCTCCAGGCCTGGCTGGCAGAAGGGCACAGGGGCACCTGGGCACCCCTACCACCTGCCCCCCATCCAGTGGGCAGGGGCTGCTTCTGCATCCTGCTGGACCCAGGGCTGGAAGCTGGGGGCAGCTCTCTGCTGGGTGGGCACCTGGGCCTGTGTTCAGTCTCCGGAGGCTGCTAGGGGCGGGGTCCCTCCCCTCCTAGCCTCCTCCCTACCCATGTCTCTGAGGGCAGGACATCATAACTTGGCAGGCCCTCCCTGGCTGACAGTGCACAGCCCCTCAGGGGGCGCCCCTGCAACACCCCAGATGTCAACCCCAGGCTGACCACGGGGATCCCACAGCAGTTCCCATGGGCTTAAGGGGTAAGCCCCCTAGTTACTAGGCTTTCGAACTCTTACCCCAAATGTGCTGAATGCTTTCCATACCTGGGCCTGCAAGGCAGGCACGTTAACCTCATCTACTCCAGGTAAGGAAATAGACTCAGAGACTGGTGGTGTGAGCCCAGGGCACTGAGGGGTTCCCTGAACTTTCCACCCATTGCTTTGTTTGACCCCACGAAGCCCCTTAAGGTGGGCACGCTTGTTATGCCCTGTGCATAGGTCAGGAAATGCGGTGCCTTGCATGAGGTCAGCCAGCCAGGGCATGGCAGCCACCATGGTGCCACGCTGCATGGACCCGAAGGAGGCTGATTTGAACCCCACCTCTCCGGCTAGGGACACCTGGACATTGGGCCTTTGACGCTTCTCTCAGCCCTGACCCCACAGTCAGCAAAAAAGTCAATTCTAGAAGCCGCCTCTATGAAGCCCCACATTCTCTCTCCCATGCTCACACCCCGCATCGTCTCTGGGATTTCCAGCTGTCTCCTCTCCTCCTGCCCTCGGCTTCTGTCCATCCTCACCGCCTGTCACTGCCGTCCCCCCACTGCCTATGGGATCACATGGAAAGCTCCTACCCTCCAAGACCCACCATAACATGACTTTCTGGGCCTCCTGCCCAGAGAAGGAAGGGTCTCGCCAACCCAGGCCGCTCCTCTCCCACCTCAAGCCCCGGGCCCATCCCCCAGGAGGGAGGGGTCTCCCCCATCCTCACTGGGGGGTCTGTCCCAGGTACTGCAGGAGGGAAGAAGCACTTCTGGCTGAGGATCAGAGAAGCTTTCAGTAAGAAGCAGCTTTTCAGGTGGGCCTGAAGGTGGGCTGGGGGTGGGTCAGGTGGGTGGGGGCAAAGCTGAGGTAGGAAGGCTGGCTCTCTTCTGCCACCCAGCCCAGCTGGCCCCAGGTCCCCAGGTATCAATATTGAATCGTCCATGTTTCTGCGGGTGCGGGACCCCTGCAGCCTGAGGTGGGGGGATGGCCAACCTCGAACCCGAGGACAGACAAGCAGGGCAGATCCCATCTCTCCTCCCCATGAAGAACTTTCTAGGCTCCCTAGGCAGCCAACCCACATCAGCTCAGCCCAAGTCAGCCCTCCTCAAGCCTCTGCCTGCAGCCAGGGCCCAGCGCCTGCTGGAATTATGACAGTGTGTTTTGTGTGTGTGTGTGTGTGTGTGTGTGTGTGTGTGCGCGTGTGTGTGCGTGTGTGTGTGTGTGCGCGCGCGCGCGTGCGCAGCTTCTGTAATATGAACCAATAAATGTTTTCGATTTGCACACCTTTGACCCGAAGACACCACTCATCAGAATGTATCCTAAAGAAATTCGCTCTTTCGCAACAGCCAGAAATTGGAAACTGCTCAGCTGTCCTTAGGATGGGCTTTGAATCAATCAGTCAAAGCCAGAAGATGAAACACTATGCAGCTGGTCATTGTCAACAGAATAGAATTTTCCCAAATGGGAAAAGGTTACGCAGTGAGAAAAGGAAGATACAAAAACAGTGTATACAAAATGGTCCCATTTTTTATTAAAACGAAGTGCACATTGGAAAAAAGATGCAGGAACCTGCAGCCGACGGCAGCCAGCGCTTTTCTGGGGTTTGCGTTGTCTGCCGTGGGCTTCCCTGCGATAGGCAGGACTTCTGTAATGGAGGCCAAACATATGTTTTCAAAGGAAATTAGAGAAAAAAGAAAAATAAAATCCCAAAGCATCCAACAAATTCTGCTGGGCCACACACCCAAGGCACACAGGCATGCGGGCCTGGCACCACCCCCAACACCCTCCCACCCCCGCCCCCAGCTTTTTCCCCAGCTTCTCTCACTCAGGTAATGTGATCCCCCCAGGGGAGGGTCTCCTTCCCCAGACTCCTCTCCATAAGGCCAGCCGTGTTTCCTGGGCCCAGGCCCAGAAGGGAAAGGCCTCCTCAGGCCTCGTCTGAGAGCAAAATTATCTCTGCTTCCCATACATGGTACTTCTGGAGTTGCAGTGGGTCTGCAGGACCCTCTGAGATTGGGAGGTAGAGGGGGCGCTCCCTGCCTCCCCATTGGTTAATTATTGTGTAATAAGATACGGAATTGGCTCCTGGCCGGCAGAGACAAAGAGAAGAAATATGCCTCAAGGGTGTCCCATTTCTGTGCACTGTGCTAAGAGCTTGACCTAGATGATTGAATTGAAGCCCATCATGCTCATGAGGTAGGTATGTTTCTAGCCCCATATTGCAGGTGAGGAAACTGAGGCTCACAGAGCTTAGGTAACTTGTTTAAAGTCACACAAGTCTGGGCATGGTGGCTCATGCCTGTAATCCCAGCACTTTGGGAGGCTGAGGCGGGCAGATCGCCTGAAGTCAGGAGTTCAAGACCAGCCTGGCCAACATGGTGAAACCCCGTCTCTATTAAAAATACAAAAAACTGGCTGGGTGTGGTGGCAGGTGCCTGTAATCCCAGCTACTCTGGAGGCTGAGGCAGGAGAATCACTTGAACCTGGGAGGCAAAGGTTGCAGTGAATCGAGATCACACCACTGCACTCTAGCCTGGGCGACAGAGCGAGACTCCGTCCCAAGAAAAATAATAATAAAATAAAATAAAAATAAAGTCACATGAGCCAGGAAGCCAGCACAGTGCTGGTCTCCCAGGCTTGTCCCAGTGGTGCCAGGTCCTAGCCCCTTTCCTGGGTCATCAGGGAAGAGGGAGCTCACTTCTGTTGCTTAGCTGAGGGCCGTGGGTGGGACAGGTCTGGTGAAGCCCTCTGTTCCCAGCCCTCGTCAGCTCTGCCACAGGCAGGTGGGACCTGGGAGCCCAGCCATGGACCGGCTGTTCCTGCTGCCTGCCCCTCTCCCAGGACAGAAGGGACAGGGCTTACCCCTTTAGGGCACGTGCCTGATTGCCTTCTGGATGGTAGAACCTGTTCCCAGGTGAAGCGGGCTCTCCCAGGTGGCTGGAGTGGGAGGGGCTGGAGTTTGGAGTCCTGGGTTTTCCCCATATCCAGGGAAGCAGGGACCAGTCCCCTACGCTCCTCTCACCCTCAGGGGACCCCCTTTGGCTGTGCAGGCTGGCCCTTTGGGGAGCCTGAGTCCTCAGCACCAGGTGTACTAGTCATGTTGCTCAGCGTCACCTTGCAGGACAGCAGGGAACGCAGAGGGAGGCTGAGGAGGGACTGTCTGAGGTAGACAGCAGGGGACAGGAGGGCGAGACTCAAGCAGACAGAAGTGAGAGAAACAGAGCCTGCAAGATCAGGAGCACACAGATTCACAGAGACACTCAAAGCTTGGGAGGGCGCCCACTGGGCACCGGCAGCCTCTGTGGGACATTTTAGCAGCAGGGACTGAGGGGTGGGCCAGGGGATAGGACCAAGGTAGAGTCACCAGACTTAGAAATAAAAATACAAGGCCAGACGCAATGGCTCATGCCTGTAATCCCAGCACTTTGGGAGGCTGAGGTGGGCGGATCACTTGAGGTCAGGAGTTCAAGGCCGACCTGGCCATCATGGCGAAACCCCATCTCTACTAAAAATACAAAAATTAGCCAGGCATGGTGGTGCACACCTGTAATCCTAGATACTTGAGAGGCTGAGGCAGGAGAATCGCTTGAACCCGGGAGGCGGAGGTTGCAGTGAGCCAAGATTGCACCACTGCACTCCCAGCGTGGGCAACAGAGTGAGACTCCGTCTCAAAAACAAACCAAGAAAAAGAAAAGTACAAGATTCCCAGTCAAACTTGAACTTCAGACAAATAACAAATACTTCCAGTATAAGTATATTCTGTGCAATATTTGGGACATACTTATACTAAAAATGTACTCATTGTTTATCTGAAGTTCCAATCTGAATGGTGTCCTGTATTCAACTGGGCACCCAAGACCCAGGGCCTTTTTCTTCAGCTGCAGAGGGCACTTGGAGGGCGTCTCATTGCTCCTTTGGGCCAGGGACGTCCATCTCCATGCAGCTGGGAAGGGGCCTTCAGTCCTGTGCACGCACAGTGGAGGCCAGGCCTTGCCCCAGTGTGGGGAAATGCTGAGCCCCCATCCCCCCGACCAGGACCCCGCCCTCGAGTGCCGGCTCAGACCTAGAAGCCACTCTGCACGACCTGCACCGCACTGTCCTATGGTCCTGGAAACGTGTCAAGGAGCTCGGGTGGGCTGAGGGACTAAGCCTGTGGGTTCCTCAAGGGGTGGGACAAGTGCCCAGAGGAGACACAGCCTCTGCTAAGGGTGTCCAGGGGCCCAGGCCTGGTGGGGAGTGACCAGGGAAATACCACCACCCCACCACCCATAGGCAGCTTGGAACAGCACAGAGTGCCCGGCTGGAAGGGAGCTCCAGCCCTTTGCTTTAATAGATGAGCATCCGAAGGCCTCCAGAGGCCGCTCAGGGTCTAGAGCCCAAGCCCTGGGGCCCTCAGGGCAGTGCTGTCTGCTGTGGTGTGGAGTGCTCCCTTACCTCGGTGGCCTCTGGCCATGACATGTGACTGCCCCTCATGGAGGTCTAGCATTTTCTTTCTTTTTTTGAGACGGAGTCTTGCTCTGTCACCCAGGCTGGAGTGCAGTGGCATGATCTTGGCTCACTGCAACCTCTGCCTCCTGGGTTCAAGCAATTCTCTGCCTCAGCCTCCTGAGTAGAGTAGCTGGGATTACAGGCACCTGCCACCACACCTGGCTAATTTTTGTATTTTTAGTACAGACGGGGTTTCACCATCTTGGCCAGGCTGGTCTTGAACTCCTGACCTCGTGATTCGCCCACCTCGGCTTCCCAAAGTGCTGGGATTGCAGGGCATGAGCCACCGTGACTGGCCGGGTCTAGCATTTTCTACTTAGCAAAGTTCTCTCCCCTCCTCTGTCCCATTTGAGGTGCATAGCCACTCCAGACAACAGACGGACCGGCCAGCACTGCCCTGGTGCACAGCTGGAAACCAAGGCACACACGTCTAGCCCAAAGTTGTACAGAGAGATGGTGGAAGAGCTCCAACCAGAAGCAGAACCCATCTTGGCTGGGGACAGAAGGAGGAACCCAGGGCAACGTGTTGCTCATTCTTCAGCCAGTCTGGGGTGGCCTGGGAGCCCAGAGCTCAGAATTCCCCAGTGCCTGCTGGGCTGAAAGGGATTACTTCTGACCCTCTCCATCACCTCAGTTTCCCCACCTGTGAAGTGGGTGGAACTACGCTGTCATCTCAGGCTCATAGGGGCCCAGAGAGATGCCCTGTTTGATTACAAAATGGATTAAAAGTCTTGGTGTACTTGATACAAGTAATTCTATCCTGCACACAGATAGTTTCATTGAAAAGCAGCCTCGGGTGGCCTTTCACCAGCCTCCCTGTCCCCTGCTCAAGCCCCTGCTGAATGGGCTGTGAGGGAGAGAGACAGAAAGGCGATAAGCTCCTCCTGGAGCCCCAGACGTATTGCTGCAGCTATGTGTTCCTACTGAGGGTTCCCAGTTGGGCAAGGGCTTCCAGGCTGGGCCCTGATCTTGCCCTGCTCCTGCCCACTTTGGGTGCTGGTCTCTGTGGGAAGGGCCATGGTGGCCCTGGCAAAAGGGCTGCAGGCCAGAGGGCAGGGTGCCTGCAGGACACAGGGAAACGCTTGGGTGCCAACCACCTGGCCACAGTGTTCCCAAATTCCACTCACACTGGGCACCGTTGCCAGAGCCTGTGTCTCTCAATGCGAGAGAATCCTGAGTGAAAAATGCTCAGATCTGGCATCTGGCCAAGACCTGGTCCCCTCATGTCCCCTGGACTATCAGGTGGAGGAAAAGTGAGTCAACCCAGGGGAAGCAGCCACGCTGCTACAAAGGCCACCTGAAGACTGTCCCTTGCCACATCACCACTGGCTGGAGGTTCCGTGTAACTCTGTCCCCTCCTTCTGTGGGGCTTTTGTTATTCTTTTTCCATGAACAGCTCTTTTTTTTTTTTTGACACAGTTTCTTCATTATTTTTTTTTTGAGATGGAGTCTCGCTCTGTCACCCAGCCTGGAGTGTGCAACAGCACAATCTTGGCCCACTGCAACCTTCGCCTCCCAGGTTCAAGCGATTCTCCTGCCTCAGCCTCCCAAGTAGCTGGGATTACAGGCGCCTGCCGCCACGCCTGGCTAATGTTTTTTGTATTTGTTGTTTGTTTGTTTGTTTGTTTTTGAGACAGAGTCTCACTCTGTCACCCAGGCTGGAATGCAGTGGTGCGATGTCGACTCGCTGCAACCTCCACCTTCCGGGTTCAAGTGATTCTTTTTTTTGTATTTTTAGTAGAGACAGGGTTTCACCATGTTGGCCAGGCTGGTCTCAAACTTCTGACCTCAGGTGATCTACCCGCCCGGCCTCCCAAAGTGCTGGGATTACAGGCATGAGCCACTGCGCCTGGCCCGTGAACAGCAATTCTGTCGGTGGTCTTTCATTGTCTGCTCCTCGGAGCCCTTCTGGAAGCAGGCCTGAGATAAACAAGCACATAAACGAAATGTGTCCCGGTGGTTTTCAGGAAGTTGGACATTCATGGAGCAGCATTATCATCTCCACAATGACCCCCTCTCCTCCTCCCCGGCGGGGGGCTGGGAACCATCATGCTGGTATCCGGGCCTCTGGTGAACTTGGCCAGTAGCAACCACAAGCTGCAAATGGCTGCTGTGTGTGGCCTGAGACAGGCACAGGCTGGGATGGCAGGGGCTGGACTGCTGATTTCAAAATGGTTGGAAAGTCCCCTGGACTAGAGACTGCTACTTTGGAGCAGAGCAGCTTTCTCTGTTGTTCAGCTGATGCTGTATTGGAATACAGCTCTAGAGTAAAGTTTGAAATTCATAGCTTTTGACCAGGATCTGTGACTGACACAGTCAGCCCAATGAGGCCAAGGCATCTCTAGAGCCCAGGATCTCAGGCTGGCTCCCTGCCCACTGGAAGCCTCTGGGCTTATCCAGGGACACCCAGGATTTCTCTCCTCATGTACAATGGACAGAGGGTCAGTGTGGCACTCAGACCCAGTTCAAATGCTGGCTCTACCCCATCCTAGCTGAGTAACCAAATTATTGAACCCCTCAAGCTTCCATTTTCTTTCTTTTTTTTATTTTTTGAGATGGAGTCTCGCTCTGTCACCCAGGCTGGAGTGCAGTGATGTGATCTCGGCTCACTGCAACCTCCACCTCCTGGATTCAAGCGATTCTCCTGCCTCAGCCTCCCAAGTAGCTGGGACTACAGGCGTGTGCCACCACATCTGGCTAATTTTTTTGTATTTTAGTAGAGACAGGGTTTTGCTATGTTGGTCAGGCTGGTCTTGAACTCCTGAGCTCAGGTAATTTGCCTGCCTCGGCCTCCCAAAATGCTGGGATTACAGGCGTGAGCCACCGCACCCAGCCTTAGCTTCCATTTTCTCATCCATAAAATGGCATAATAATGCTAACCTCACACGGCAGAGGTGAGGAATGGAAAGACCTACCCAATAAATGTCACTTCCCTCCTCTTGGGTTTTAAAATTAATCACAGTTCAGGAAAAGGAAGCCGTGTTCATTAACAAATCCCATTCAACGAACCCCATTCAAATTCATTCAACGAACATTTAATGAATGCCTACTATGTGTCAGACAGGTACTGTCAACTTATGGGCTTTGGGACCATCGGAGATGGGGGTCTGAGCTTGCAGGTAGTGAATAAAGTCAGGGCGAGATCTCACCCTGTGTGGTAATAAGGCATTTTGTACCTGGATTTTTTTTTTTTTTTAGACAGAGTCTCGCTCTGTTGCCAGGCTGTAGTACAGTGGCGTGATCTCGGCTCACTGCAACCTCCGTCTCCCAGGTTCAAGCCATTCTCCTGCCTCAGCCTCCTGGATAGCTGGGACTACAGGCATGCACCACCGCGCCCAGCTAATTTTTGTGTTTTTATTAAAGATGACATTTCACCACGTTGGCCAGGATCGTCTCGATCTCTTGACCTCGTGATTCGCCCGCCTCGGCCTCCCAAAGTGCTGGGATTACAGGCGTGAGCCACCACACCCGGCCATATCTGGATTTTCATGATTAAAACAGAAGATACAACAAATGTGAGAAGAGTCTTTGGGAGGAATATCTTGGTTTTCTAATCTCATGACTGAGAGCAACCTGAGTGAGGTGGCCAGGGGTCTTACAGGTAAGGTCAACACCACCATGTTAACAGTTCTCTAAATGTGGCTCAGCTGAAACTAAGTCGGGACTGGCTCAGCACCTAGGACAGGTGGTCTGAGTAAGTTCCTGCAGTTGCCCCCAGCAGAGTTAAGCAGGGCAGAGCGGACTCCATCAATCCCAACAAGAGAGGTGGAGGTCAGATGAGCCTCTCTAGGGACAAACGGAGGAGCCCGAGGAGTCTCCTCTGCTCTGCAGCTCACTAGCTGGATGGCTTGAGCAAGCCACTCAATCTCTCCAAGTCTCAGTTTTCTCACTCGTAAAATGGGGTTATCCTGAGAATCAGATGAGATGATGTCCATGAAAGCACTTTGTAAACAGCAAAGTGGTACTATGGAGGCCGGGAGCGAGAACGCTTGGGTCTGAGCCTTCATCTGCCAAGTGCCCTCTGAGTGAACTTGGAAAATGCACACTCACAGGAAGCCTCAGATCTTCCCACCCTTCAGAGATCTGAGGGGAAAATGAAAAAGTGTTTGGGTCCTGGCACAGTAGCTCACACCTGCAATCCTAGCACTTTGGGAGGCTGAGGTGTGCAGATCACTTGAGCTCAGGAGCTCAAGCCCAGCCTGGCCAACATGGTAAAACTCTGTCTCTACCAAAATACAAAAATTAGCCCAGGTGGTGGCGGGCTCCTGTAATCCCAGCTACTCGGGAGGCTCAGGTAGGAGAATCGCTTGAACTCAGGAGGCGGAGGTTGCAGTGAGCTGAGATCACACCCCTGCACTTCAGCCTGGGCAACAAATGTCTCAAAAAAAAAAAAAAAGGGTTCAGGGAAGAATTTTGTGCACCATGATCCATCTGGCCTCAGTTGAAGCTGCTTGCTTCCTTGGCTCTCTCTTGGCTCACCTGTGCCCAGTTTCCACAGTGAGCTCCGAAGTGCCTGGAGCCCTTCATTGTGGCGTCTCACTCTGCAACATTCCCCTAACGCTCCAGAGCCAGGCCTTTCTTCTGTCTCCCTCACACTCAGTCACACAGGCACGTAAGCCCATGAAAAGATGCTCACATCATTTGTCATCAAGGAAATGTAAATTAAAACCATGATGAGATATTATTACACACGCACTGGAATGCCCAAACTAAGACATGCTAACATGTATGTGATACCAGTGAATTCACATGTTGCACACCCCAGTACCAATCCGGGATGTGCACCATAGCAGTGAATTTGCATGGTGCATACCCCAGTTTCAATCTTAGAGAAAAATCAAGCCAATGGCTGTCTCTATAGGATAGGCAATGGGGGGAAGCTATTTTGAAGCAGGAAATTTACCTCCTCCTCCAAGTTATACTTACTCCAAGATAGGCCAGGGCCAGCTGGTGTCAGGGATGGCAAGAGTGGGCAGAGGCTACTCCCTGCCTCAGAGACCACCCCCTCCACTTCCTACCCTCCCTTGAAGAAGTTGGCACCCTGTGGATGCTGACTGACTAAAGCCTTGTCATTTCCCCCAAAGGCTGGTGGAACAGAGATAACTAGGGTCATTGATGCTTAGAGGAGAGATGATGGGGGAGGGGGCTCTGAGTGGAGAAGGGACCAAGAACATGCTGCTATTCACCATGTGTGCTTGGAGGGGGAGCATATGGCTAATAATGACCAGCTGTTCTCTGTCAATTCCAGATGGAATCAGAGAAAAATGGGCTTCCCCAGTAGCAAGAAACGTTTAGGTGGGACATAATGATGAACTTCCTGAGAGAGTTGTTGAGAACAGTGGATGTGTGTGTGCACACCCATGCAGGTGCATGTGTGTGCACACCCATGCAGGTGCATGTGTGTGTTGGAGTGTATGCGTGCTGTCACTGGAGCAAGGGAAGACGGCGCTCGGTATAATTCAGAGCACTTTAGGAATTGGAAAGGCAAACCTCAAAGTGACATGAGCCTGTGTCCCTCTGGGCTGGGGACAGAGAGATGGACTCGGGCCCTTTCTCTAGGTACCTCCGAGGGCAATTAGCTAGCTGGTCCATCAGTAAGAACCCCAAACCAGAAATCTGCGGAGCCAGATGGGTACTTACTTTCATGGCCTGACCCCTCCCAGCGGCCTGTGCATTCTCCTCCCCATTAGGGTAGAAGAGTCCATCCATCACCATTGCAGCTGTGATGTCACCACTGCAGGCCTCCACTGCACAGGAAGACGGTTCCAACCCCTCCAAGGCGCTAAATCATTCATGGGCCAGAAAGCCTGGGTGGCAGGAGATTTACTGCCGAAGAAACACTTCAGGGACTTGTGGAAATCAATTCCTTAAAGAGACCCCATCAGCTGGCAGGTGGCCTAGGGCTGAGGCCTGGGTTTGTGTTGGGGACCCATTGAAGTAGGGTTGGAGGGGAGCAGCTCCCTAACTCCAAAACCAAGGATGGAAGGGAGCCCAAGGCTAGGCCCAAGGTTAGGATACATTCCTGACACCCTAGCTTGGGGAGGTGGGAGGAAGAGGAAGAGGAGCGTTCCCCGAATCCAGCCCTGGCTCAGCCGCTCCTCCTGTCACCTGATGGCTGGACTTATACCCATGGGGGCTCTGCTGGTGAATAAGACCAAATGAGGAGGATTGTCAGCATGTGTTTGCTGAGTCTGTTGGCTCCTCAATCTCAGACCACCCCACTTAGTCTCTGCTGGCAGGGGAGCAGGCCAGCTTTGGTTTCTCTGCAGCAGAGGCTGGGAGCATTATCCAGCATGCTTCCTTTTCATCTCAAGGAGAATGTGAGCTCCTCGAAGGCCCACATGGTCTCTGCTTTAAGATCCAGACCAGGCGCAGTGGCTCAGGCCTGTAATCCCAGCACTTTGGGAGGCTGAGGTGGGCAGCTCACTTGAGGCCAGGAGTTCAAGGCTAGCCTGGCCAACATGGCAAAACCCTGTCTTTACTAAAAATATAAAAACTAGCTGGGGTGGGGTGGCATGTGCCTGTAATCCCGGCTACTTTGGAGGCTGAGGCACAAGAATCACTTGAATGGAGGTTGTAGTGAGCCGAGATTGTGCCACTGTACTCCAGCTTGGGTGACACAGAGAAGACTCTGTCTAAAAAAAAAACCAAACAAAAACAAAAACCCAGACCTGTGGGACTTGATGATTAAGTTCTTGGGGTAGCATGTGCTAGTTTTGTTTTGTTTTGTTTTGTTTTGAGACGGAGTCTCGCTCTGTCGCCCAGGCTGGAGTGCAGTGGCGCCATCTCGGCTCACTGCAAGCTCCGCCTACCAGGTTCACACCATTCTCCTGCCTCAGCCTCCGGAGTAGCTGGGACTACAGGCACCCGCCACCACGCCAGGCTAATTTTTTGTATTTTTAGTAGAGACGGGGGTTTCACCGTGTTAGCCAGGATGGTCTCGATCTCCTGACCTCGTGATCCGCCCGCCTCGGCCTTCCAAAGTGCTGGGATTACAGGCATGAGCCACCAAGCCCCACCGCATGTGCTAGTTTAACCAGTTAGAAGAGCATGTGACATCCAGAAGCGGCGTGGGACGTCTGTTGTCCCATGCATATCTAGCATAGTGGGCTCCGTTGGTCCAAGTGCAGCCCAGCTTGTCTGCCTCTGTTTCTGCCTCAACGTGTCTTGGAAAAGAAAAATAAAGGGATGAAGGAAGACAGGAAAGGCTTTTCCTTCCAGCCCTCACTTTACAAATGAGGAAACTGAAGCCTAGAGGTGGAATTGGCTCACTCAAAGACCATATCCATGAGACAGGAAAAAGGGAAGAGGAGAATACCCCTAAAGCCATACTGAGGAGTTTCTGCCTCCCTTGAAATGACCTCCCAAGAGGAAGCCCAGGCATGGCCATTGCTAGCTAAAAGGGGTAGCACAGAGCAGGCAGCTGTGATGGACAGAAAGAAGTCCAGGCCAGCATGTGCTGCCTAGCCTGCCTGAGCCTTAGTTTCTCCGCTCACTGTCCTGCGGGAGAATCCCGCTGGCCCCTGGTTGTGACTGCACCCTGCACAGCCCTTGCTCATTAATTCAAACACATATTCATGGAGCACCTTCCGAGAAAGTCAGGCAGGAGATACCGCAGTCTACAAGGCAGATGTGGCCCTTGCCCTAGTGGGGCTTGCATTTTCCATTAGGAGGGACTTATGCTAAATGCTGGGCAGGAATTCCCCCAAGCTAGCCCATCTGGAGGCTGAGGCCAGGTTCCAACCCAGCATCTGCAGGGAGCTCACAGCAGCTCCAAGTCCTCGACACAGGCCACAGGCTGCTTCCCTTAGGGCAGGGCCTGCTGTTGCTGTGGGAACTCCATCCCCACTGCCTTGGCCAGACCCTCCCTTCTACCGGGGGCCCAGCAGGTTCCCACAGCAGGTACTGCGGAGAGACTGCTGGATTCTGGTTATTGGGGGAGGTTCCTAAAGAGCAGATCAAAGGATTCTGGTTATTGGTGGAGGTTCCTAAAGAGCAGATCAAAGGATTCTGGTTATTGGTGGAGGTTCCTAAAGAGCAGATCAAAGGGCTGGGCACCGTGGCTCATGCCTGTAATCCCAGCACTTTGAGAGGCCGAGGCGGGCGGACCACTTCAGGTCGGAAGGGAAGTTCGAGACCAGCCTGATCAACATTGAGAAATCCGGTCTCTACTAAAAATACAAAATTAACTGGGCATGGTGGCGCACGCCTGTAATCCCAGCTACTGAGGAGGCTGAGGCAGGAGAATCTCTTGAACCCGGGAGGCGGAGGTTGTGGTGAGCCGAGATTGTGCCACTGCCCTCCACCCTGCGCAACGAGAGGGAAACTCCGTCTCAAAAAACAAACAAACAGCAAAGAAAAAAAAAAAAAAAAAAAGAGCAGATCAAAGAACGAACAAAGAGCTTCGGGGATTCTTGATCATTCTTGATCACCTCCCCCCCACCCCCGCAACCCACACACCCCCTCCCCTCCCAACAACCCAAACCGCCTGTGGTCTTTCTCCTCCATCCCCTCCTTCCACACCCGTGCATCCCCTACCCTCTGCCCTGCCTTTTCTCCAAGCAGGAGCGGCTGTGAGCCGGCAGCCAGGGACCCCATGATAACCCTCTTTCTAGGCATCCCAGCAGGAGCTTCGCACCTACCCCTCAGGAGTGTGCCCAGGAAAATCTCTGCAGCTCCCGAGGCCTCTGCTGCCCCACTGGTCCAGAGACCGGAGCCTGCCCAGGGGACCAGGGTGGCCCCACTCCCCAGGTTTCTCTCTGCATTTCTTTAATTTCCGGTTGCGGGAGTTCTCTCCAGACCCACCCAACCTGGCCTAGTGAAAAAAGCCCCAGGAAAGCCTCCAGAGAACTGGGCTCCGTAGGGCTCTGTCTGGAATTAGAAGCCTAGCTGGGCTTCAGATCCCTCCTCTTAAAAACGAGGGGTTGGACCACGCGACTCCCCGCCAGGGCCCAGACACGAACGCGGATGCCCTGCCCCTCCTCCCGCGCCCTGGGAGGGTCGGAGGCGGTGTGCGGTAACCCGGAGGGACGCCCAGGCAGACAGCAAGAGGGGATATTCGCGAAGACGCCGCGGCAGAAAGCAACCCCAGCAGGGCCGGCGGCGTGCAGAGGACAGAGGAGGCGTCCTGGGGAAGAGCGCACCTCAGGCTGGGGGCAAAGAGGCGGTACGCGTCGGGGGAGCTGCCCGCTGTGAGCCGAGGGTGGAGGGAGAAAGGGACTCCTAGGTCCTGGACAGAGCGCATCGCCCCCTCCACAGCGGACTCCTAGCAAGGAAAAGACCGTCCCATCCCCGGGCTGGAGCCGGGCATTCTCATCCAAGAAAGGCACAACGATCTTCCGAATTTGGGTGGTGACTGCAGAGCTAAAAAAAAATTGACCCCTGAAGAAGCGCTTTGCTGCTTACAAAGCACTTGCAAAAACACTTCCTTATTCGAATATTTCCAATTCCAACAGTCCTCCGACCTGGGTAAGCTCCCAATTTACAGACGAAGAAACTGAGGCTCAGAAAGGTCAGGCAGCCAACCAACAAATAACTGTTAAGTGGTTAATAATGCAGATTATTCTAATTTGAGACAGAAAAATCCCAACTCCGAAGAATCCCCAAACGGAAATAAGAGCGTTTTGTTTGGTTTGGGGTCCGAATTATTCAGCTAAATTCTGCTTGGGGCACAGGAAGTGAAACATGGCCCGTGGCCAAAACCATATCTGGGTCACTGACCTTTGGATAATCTGCTGAAGGCTGCGGGGCCCCTCCCCCAACGACCGCAGACACAATCTGCGAGGGAACCTCGCTGGAGTCTTCTGAGCCCTGAAACCTGGTCCTCAGGGCTGGGACCCGGGCTCCACGCATGTGGTGCGTCGAAGGCCGGCTCTTGGGTCTGGGTGCAGAGGGTTGGGGGGCGTTAGGGGATGCAGCGCGGGTCCCTGCTGGGTAGGGGTGGGGAAGCTGGGTTTCTAACCCTGGAGGGACCCAGCCTGTGCAGAGTTCCGCATGGGCCGGAGGGGCTCCTCGCCAGGGCCTGCGCGCAGTTTCTCTCTGGCATCCTCCCAGCCTTCTCCAGAAAGAGGCGCGGATGTTCTCGGCTTATTTTACAGATGAGGAAACCGAGGCTGGACTCGATCCTTTAACCTGGCAGGCCACCTTCTCCTCTGACTTGGGTAGGGGACCCCTCTGGGGTGGACGCTTATGTTTCACCTGCTCGGGGGTCAAAGTCGACCGGGGTGTCGCCTGGTAAAAAGCAGCAAGGGCCGCACCCGCACGCTTCTCTCTCCTCTCGCCTTTGCTCCGAGCGACGATTCTCTACTCATCGAGGATTCATGGGAGCCAAGAGCCCGGGCAAGGCCCGCCGCCCCAGTGCCTCCGCTCTGCAGCTCGCCCTCTGATTCAACTCCTGCAGGCTTCAGCATCCCGAATGCTTATTTTATTTTATTTTATTTCATTTTATTTATTGAGACGGAGTTTCGTTCTTGTTGCCCAGGCTGGAGTGCAATGGCGCGATCTCGGCTCACCGCAACCTCCTCTTTCCGGGTTCAAGCGATTCTCCTGCCTCAGCCTCCGGAGTAGCTGGCATTACAGGCGAGTGCCGCCACACCCGGCTAATTTTGTATTTTTAGTAGAGATGGGCTTTCTCCATGTTAGTCACGCTGGTTGGTCTCGAACTTCTGATCTCAGGTGATCCACCCGCCTCGGCCTCCCAAAGAGCTGGGATTGCAGGCGTGAGCCACTGCGCCCGGCCCAGGTTGCTTTTTAAAAAATCAATTTATTGGCCGGGCGCGGTGGCTCACGCCTGTGATCCCAACACTTTGGGAGACCGAGGTGGGCGGATCACGAGGTCAGGAGATCGAGACCATCCTGACTAACACGGTGAAACCCCGCCTCTACTAAAAAAAAAAAAAAAAAGAAAAAAGGAAAAAAAATTAGCCGGGCGTGGTGGCACGCGCCTGTAATCCCAGCTACTCGGGAGACTGAGGCAGGAGAATCGCTTGAGCCCAGGAGGCGGAGGTTGCAGTGAGCCTAAATAGCGCCACTGCACTCCAGTCTGGGCTACAGAGCGAGACTCCGTCTCAAAACAAACAAACAAACAAAAAACAATTCCTGCAGTTTCTTTTTTTAATTGAAAATTCAATGCAAGAATATGGTAAGCAACACACATTGGCTTCGAACAGTCCCGAAAGACATACAATGAAAAGAAAAATCTCCAACCCTCTGCGCTGAGACCTTTCGTGCAGAAAAAACCTGATGTTTAACCCCCTGCCCCATTTATATTTTTACACAAATAGGAATCCACGTGCCTTTTGCGTTTTTCACTGAACGCCTAGGCGACTTTCCAGGATATATAAAGACCCCATGTTTTCCTCATTCTTTTAAAGAGCTGGGTCGATTCCGAAGACAGAATCTCCTTTCATTTGACAGTCTCTGTGTTTCTCCTTCTTTCGAATCTCTGCATCCTCCGACCCCGCAGCCGGGAAGGAACCACTCCAGCCTCCCGTCCAAACAGAACCCTACAGGGCCCTACCTCGATCAGAGGAAAAACGCACAGAAGCACACGCATACGGTTTTCGAAAAATGTCGGGAAGTTCGTTGGGTTTCCAGTGACTTTGTTGACCCACGAGAATCTAGATGCTAGAGCAAAGGACCGAGGGCTAAGGGCTGGGCCAAGATCGAAAGACTCCCGCTTTGGCTTCCCCGGCACGTGGCCCTGGCGGAGGAAGCACCAGGGACACAGCGGCTGGGGCGGGCACCCGGCGGCAGTCGCGCGGACGAGGGTGCAGGGCGTGCTGAGGCCATCTCGCTGGGCCTGCAGTTTGCAGAGATCTCCGGGTCGCCAAGTACCCACGTGCTCACATGTGCATTTTCTTCATCCCCAGAGGTGCGAGTCATTCTGCCCATTTTGCAAATGGGAAACTGAGGCTTAGAGAGGTGAAGTGAATCCCTCGAGATCGAGATCACAGAGGGACTGGAGCAGGGGAGGACTGGAACTCTGGGTTCCTCTCACTGGGGTTATACTAGTTATGCCATGGGGCCAGGGTTAGCAGGAGAACCTCACCATTCGGAGAGGGGCCAATGGCAGAACCACGGCCGCATCAGTGGGTCTGCGTGAGGGGCTTGTATCCCGGGCACCTTTCCCCCTAGTCCTGCCGCCGGAGGAATGGGAAGGGAGGGGAAGACCGATGGTTACTTCTTTGCCCAAGGTCTTCAGCACGAGTGGGATTGTCATGGAGCTGGCGAAGGGAGCCGTGTGGGGTAGGGACTAGGAGGGAGCAAGCCAGAGGGACAAGCCGCGACACCATTAAAAAGGACGGAGCGCAAGGCGCCGAGTCTCCTAGGTGGGGGCAGCAAGGAAGACAGCGGGTCTTTCCTAAACCTGGCCAAGCGTCGAGGAACCCAAAACTACCCGTCCCGGGGCGCACGACTCCGGGCAGCGTGGGACGCCTGTGGCGAGGCGGAAGGGATCTCTCCAGCGAGAGGGAATGGGGCAATTGCCAGACGGACATTGGATCTGCAGAAGGAGGGGGTAGGATACACGCGGGCTTAGGATGCGCTGGACAGGCCAGCAAAGTGAGGACCCCAGGTCGTCCTGAGCCACCTCTTCCCCCGCCTGAGCCCTGAGCCGTAAGGGATCCAGGGTATCAGGTCCCCGGGGGCCGCCCCCTCACCGTCCGAGTCCAGCTCCGGTTACCTGCCTGGCCTGCTCCTTAAAATATGTATGAGGCCCTTGCGGGTGCAGTTTCGCGGCCCCTCCCGGAGTGGGGCTGGGGGACTCAGGGTGCGAGGGGAGCTGAGGGGGGAGGAAGCGACGCGAGCTCCCCGGCCGGGGCCTTCTCGACTTTCAGCAGCGCATTTAAGAAAAGGTGGAAATCGGATCTGTCTCGGCGGCGCCCCAGCCCCGCCCGCTCCGACGGCCGGACCTCGCGGCCCAGCGGCTAGCTTTCTGCTGCGCGGTGTCTGGTTCTCGACAGCAGGTGAATGGGCCAGGGCGGGGCGCCCGGAGCGCGGGGGGCGGGGCGCGCGTTATAAAGGGGAGCAGCAGGCCGCGGGGGCCACTCGCAGTCCGCAAGGCCTGCGCTTCCCGCTTTGCGGTCCTGGGCACACCCGGCCCGGGTTGCCCAGCATCGCATGGGTCTGAGGACCAGGTAGGGCGCGGGTGCAGAGACAGCCAGGGAGGCTCGAGGCGACCTAGATGGGCGGGGGAATGCTAGTAGGACGGGGAGGGGTTAATGTGGAGCTATCACCCCCTTTTGGCCCGTTGGGCTCTGTGACGTGCTCATTATCTCCGCTGTCCGGGTTCTCGCTCACCGTGCCCATCCCTGGCTGCATGGGGAGAGGGGCCCCGAGGCCCTGAGACTCGTCCAGTTATCCACCTGGGGTGGGAATCTTGCTTCCCGATCCATCTGGCTGCGACATCTACGGCTTCAGCAGGCCCTGCCCGGGAGTCGGGCATATTGAAGGGTTCGTATCCTTGCCGTCACCCTTGGCCCCTCCCGGCTCGGCAGGAGCTGGGGGTGGGGAAACTATAGATTTCCCGGGCCCCGCTTCCACTGCCTCACCCCCTTCTTTTGCTCGAGCCCAAGACAAGGTGTTAACGGTCTTCAAGTGCAAGGGTTAGGTTTGGTGGGAGCATAGGCTAAGCACCACCCTCATTTTACAGGGGCTTCTAGGGTGCCAGATCTGCGGGGGTCGATTGGGAAGAACTAGAAGCTAAAAAGGAGAAGGGCGGATTAACGTTTTATTTTAATCTGGTTTTGAGCTGCCGTTGCCGTCTGGGGCGGCCGGGCGGGGCGGAGCTGGGACTGCCAAGGGCAGCCAAAGCAGCAGGGAGGGAGGGGGCGCTCCGGTGCTCAGGATGCTGGGGAAGAAGGAAGAGGCCACCCCAACGCTGACAGCTTGGAGGACCTAGCCCCTGCCCCCCGGTCCCTTCTGAATGCTCCGGGTGGTGTCAGACCAAAGGACGGTTGAGAAGGATCTAATCCGCGTCCGCGCCCCAGCCCCGGCTGGCCCCGCCCCCTCCCGAGGGAGCCACTGTCGCAGTGGGGGGAGGGGGAGATGGGAACGGGTCTGGGGGGCGGCTCCCCTCCCCCTCCCTCTCTTGGGACAGACAGCCTTTGTTCCCGGCGGCGGCGGCAGCGGTGGCCAGACACCTGTGAGGCCGCAGAACTGGCCGAGGGTGGGCGTGTGAGGACATGGAGGCCCCTTGTCCCCATTCCAGCCCTGCGCCCCTGGGTCCGGGTGCGCCCCCTGAGACAGGTCAGCCTTGAGCACCTTTCTGCGGGGAGACTGCAGAGATCGTCCAGTGGCCCTACGGTGCGCCCCAGCTCCCAACGCACTTCCCCTCCCCCCTCCCAGGGTCGGATTTCCAAGCACGCCACGCCACACACACCTCGGCTAGCTCCGGGCTCAGAGGGCGCTGGGGTGGCAGGGCGTCCGGGCGCACCTCGGCTAGCGGCACCCTAGCCCGAGGGCAGGAGGCGGGGATAGAAGGCGGGCGACGGGACCCCTTGGGGCCAGACCCGGCCGGGTTGGGCAAGCAGGCGGGGCTCCCGGCGTCTCCGCAGTCCCGGACGGGCGTGCCCTGCGCCGCGCACCAACCGGAGCCACATTCAAGGTGAATCATCCCCGGCCCGCCCCCTGCCCCTCCCCGCCTCGCGGCACCTGAGCCAATGGCGCTGCGCGAGGGGCGGGCGGGGCCCGGGGCGGGGGGCGGTAAAACCCTCCTGGAGTCATTCTCTGTGCACTCCGTCGAGCCCCCGCGCAGCCGTGCCGGAGCCGCAGGGCCTCCGTCCAGCCGCGCGGTCCGGGCAGCCCGCGCCCCCTGTTCTTCCGGTCCTCGGGCCCAGGTACCCCTCTGGACCTCCCCCGCCTGCAGCGCGGAGGCGGCTCCTCTTCAGGTGGCCGGGCCGGGGCCTTCCCCGGCAGACCTGTCACCCGACACCCAGGAAGCGCGCGGCCGGGTCCCGGCTCCCCTTTGTTCCCCCGCTGGGCTCGGCGCTCCGGCGCCGCCCCCTCTCGCGGGGCAGCGGAGGTTTGGGCCCGGGCCGGGCGCGCTTCAAGCTCCGTCCATGCGGCTCTTTCCAAACCGGGGCCGTTTTTGCCTGGCTTCTCTGGTGTGGACTCCGCGCGGAGCTGAGAGGCGGCTGTGCGCCCAGCCTGGAGCCGGCGCAGGTGAGTGTCTGGGGCCGGGAGCGGGGGGGCGGGCCGGGCGGAGCCAGAGCGGGGCTCAGTAGAGGAGGCGGAGGCGGGCGCCCGGGACCGGCCGCACTAGAACCCGGGTGCAGGGCAGAAGTCCCGGCGCAGCTGGCTTTCGGGGATGACGCGGCAGTGCCTACTCGCTCTTCCGCGCCTTCAGGCGGAGGCGCCCACGGGGCGCCTGGGTCCCGGGTCCGCCAGTGGCGTCTGCCCAGCGCCCAGCGCTGTTCCCGGGCGGGGGCGGGGGCGGGAGCGGCTGCGGTCCGAGTGCGGCCGGTGCTTGCGAGGTGCCTACCCGCGAGGAGTTTGGCTGGGGTCGGGCTGCGTTTCGCCGCCCTGGTGGGCTCAGGCGGAAGCGCCAGGCTGGGAGGGGGCTGCGGAGAGCGCCGGGGCCCCGGAGCTGGCCCCTCCAGCGTCTTGTCAGGGCTGCGCGGCTGGTTCGAGGCTGCTTCCGTGGCCCGGAGCCGCCCCGCCCAGTCTCTGGGGGAAAGCGGCTCTCAGACCTCCCGTGTGCCTCCACTTCGCGGCCACTCATCCCGGGAACCCCGGCGCACGCGAATGAGACACCGTTCCCCGCCCTCAACTGCCCCATTCCTGTTAATAGCGCTAGTGGCACCCAGGTTCCCAGCCCTTCCCCAAGATCGGCGGCTGGACGGCTTGCCTCTGGCGCCTCACCGGTCAGCGCATCCCAGGACTATGGGCAGTGAGGGTGTCACCCGGGGTCAGGGGTCGCCCGATTCCACGGTGTCCTCCAGGCTGAGCCATTCGTTTGCTCTTCCAACCCGGGCTCCCGGACACCGTGTACAGTAATACCCGCCGGGGGCAGGGGCACTGAGGCCGGCTCTGAGCGATTAGGGCCGAGGGCGGGCGGTGCCGTAATCGACCTCCCCACCCCCACAGGCAAGGTGCGGCGGCGCCTCCCAGGTTTGCGCCCGTCTTCGCAAAGCTCCTGAGGGCGAAAATCCTGCGAGCCAGGTGGCGGATTCTCGGGCCGGGTCACTCAGCTCTACGGGTGCGCATCACCCTCTACCTGTCACCCAGTGAGCCCGACCGATGGGCACCGAGTCGGCGGATCTCTGATCCGAGGCCGAGCCTTCGGAGAAATCTGTCCTAGTGGCCTCATCGTGGCCTGAGCGAACGCAAAGGAACCTGCCCCAAGCCCAGCTCTCAGCCTCGACCCCCACATTCCCCGCGCGGCTCTCGGTTCGGACCTGGGCTCGGAGCGGCAGCCTCCACCACTGCTCGTTTCTTTACCGCTCAAGGCCGCCCCTTCATGCTCCTGCGGGGGAGTTAGCGGGACCTCTGGAGTCGGCCTTACGCAAAGAAGAGAAAATTCTAGGATGCCGGCCTCACTTGTGAGGATTTCGTTTATTCTTTTTCTCCTACCGGGGCCCAGTGGCTCTTGGAGTGAGCTCCGCACCCCAGACACCTGAGTATTTATTTAATGGGTCGGTGGCGGCCTGGGCTTCGGGGAAAGGAGCTCTGGGCCCCTCTCCCAGCACCTCATGGGGACACAGGATGACAGGCGCAGCGTCCAGGGCATGCCCGTTCAAGGGCCCCAGCAGCCTCTAGCCCCTGGGACCTCAGGGGCATTTGATAGAGACTGGAGGGATCAGGACCAGACCGGTTGTGGGTGGCGCGGCTGGGACCCTGGACTCCAGATTCGTTGTGTAGAGGTGGAGAGGAGAGCCAGGAGTCGAGCGGTAGGCTATGTGCTGTCTAAGGACCCCGGAGTACCCATAGCCCAGAGTCCTGCAACACTCACCTCTAACACTGGAAGGGGTTGGGGGCCTGCCCTTTGCATTGGGCACCAGTGCCCAGGAAGGGACACCCCTAGGGGAAAGGGGACTCGAGTTTTAAGAAGGCCCAAGTAGAGTTCAGGAGGGTGGGGCTGAGAGCGACCGAAGGTGGGAGGGGGCGCTTTGTGGAGACCTCCTAGGATGTGTAGGACCCCCACACACCCTGTGAGTCCCTGGCTGCCCAGCCTGGCCTGCAAGTTGCATCTCTTTTGGTCCTCTTCCATTGCCAGGCGCTGACGCCCAGCGGGTGTGGGAGACCTTGTCTTCATCTTCCCACTCCAGAAGCGGATTTCTGTGCCTTTGATCTCAAGGTCAGGGCTGTGTCCTGCAGGGAGGGCAGAAGAGGCTGCTATCCTGACCTGCGCCAAGCCATAGGCCTCTGTTTTCCCTTTTGAGATTCCGAGTGGGGATTCTGCTGCTGATGTCGGAGAGCTCCTCTTACCCGCTTTTCGAGAGAGCTGGGAGACCTTGCTTCCCTAGGGCCCAGGCCCCAGCCTCCCTCCACCAGGATGGAGAGGCCCCAGCGGGCGTGGCACCCCCCAGGCACTGCGGCACTTGGGCTTCCTGTCGCATTTGGGTTAGGAGGGGTGAGGCAGGCGCAGGGGAGGAACCTGGCCCAGCCGACTAGAACTGGAAGTGGAGAGGGATTTGGCTTTGCGAGCTGCTCCCTGTATTCCATCCTATGTCAGTTACAAAGATGAGGAAAACAGACCAAGGAGCTCGACAGAGATGCCACAATTTGAAGGAGCGTACGTGTTTGGCTGCTTTGTTACAGGGCTCTCTCCTCTACCTGGGGTCCCTTTTATTCCTTCCTGGGCTGGGGAGAGCAGAATCCCTGGCTCCATCTGTTCTCCAGCTCTAAGGCCTCTGTGGCTCCTTGGTTGCAAGGTGCTGCGTGTTCCCCTTCCCTAACACCTGCCTCTCCCCATCCTTGGCTGTCCCCAAAAGAAGAATGAAGAATTCTTTTTTTTTTTTTTTTTTTTTTTGTTGTTGTTGAGACAGAATCTCGCTCTGTTGTTGCCCAGGCTGGAGTGCAGTGGTGCGATCTCTGCTCACTGCAACCTCCACCTCCCGGGTTCAAGCGATTCTCCTGCCTCAGCTTCGGGCGCCTGCTACCACGCCTGGCTAATTTTTGTATTTTTAGTAGAGACGGGGGTTTCACCATGCTAACCAGGCTGGTCTCGAGCTTCTAACCTCAGGCGATCCTCCCGTCTCCCAAAGTGCGCTGGGATTACAGGTGTGAGCCACTGCGCCCAGCCAGAAGAAAGAAGAATTCTGCATTCTGTTTAATTATCCCAGGGTGAGGCTTCTTGGGAAAGATTTCTCAAAATAGATCTTCCCACCCCCACCCCCACCCCATGCTGAGCTGTCAGGGTGCTATTAAAATGCAGATTTCCAGGCAGGCTCAAGAATCTACATTTCAACAGGCTCCTTGGGTGATGCTTATGGCTACACCCTAAGCAATGTTCATAACTACCCACCCCATACTCTTTGCTAACACCCTGCCATCACCCCTTCCCCTCCCCACCCAAGGCTGGGAAGTCTGGTCTCTCTTCCTTAGTAGAGTTCAGAAAATTGTAGTAAGGGAAACTGAGGCAGAAGGCTGAGGAGTGACTTCCTGAGATCACCACCTCATCAAGCTGGATTGTCCTCTGGGGAGATAGACCAGCTAGAAGGGCAGAGCCCTGTAGTGGGGGTGTGTGGGAGCAGGACAAAGAGTCCTCGGGAGCAGGAAGGGTGGAGCATTAAGCAGTGTCTAGGGGAGAGCGGATGGCTTTGGCCAAGGTACCCAGATGGAGCTCTGAGGTCCACGGGAGGTAGTTCCTGGGGGTAACATCGCCAAGAGGTCTGCATAGTTTCTGGGCCAGGGCACCTGCTCTGACCCTTCCAGGATATTTTCTAGCCACCCTGCCTTCTGGGCCACCGCTGACCTGGAGTAGGCTGAGACTCTAGTGGCCACTCTGCGGAGGCCCCAGCTTGCCTGCCCTGGGTGCCAGCTCCCCAGAGACCCTCCCTCCCACCCTCTCCCTTCTTCCCGTCCTTCCCCAGGGCCTGTGACACCAGAGGCAGGGCCTCCACAGCAACTTCTCTCTAGGCAGCTGCTCTGGCAACCACTGATGCAACCTTCCCAGCCCCTCCCTCGCTCCTGAGCCTCCGCTTTCCTCCGCAGTCACTCCAGAGCCAGCCAGGAGCCACTCCCTTGCTAGAGTGCATCCGTGCCTCCGGCTCCCTCCAAGCCACCTGGGTGGCTGCAGGACTTCTCTTCTGCCCTCCTTTCCTGGCCTTTTCCTGCCTTGATCCTAGGCCGGCAGCAGAGATGCCCAGCCTGGGCGGTTCACAGTCTGGCCCAATCTGGTCTGGTTTGGGATGGGAGTGGGGGTGAGCAGCAGATTCGGTTTGTTCCTGGGGCTCTGTTTCTGCCACAGGGCAGGCTGGGGGGTGGAGGATAATGGAGACCAAAGTGCCTAGGAGCCTGGGCTGCTGGTGTCTGGGCTCAGAGGCTACGAGAGGCATCTTGGATGTCCCACTGGTCACTGCCCCTGTGGCAGGTTGGGTAGAGAGGAGGCTCTGGCCAGCTGCTTGCCTCTCCGAGCCAGAGTTACTCTGGCAAGGAGATGGATGGTCCTGACCCACTCCCTCCCCAGCCTGGAGGCGCAGTCTGGGTGATGTGGAGGGATGTGGGCCTTCAGGTGGAGATAGGAGACACCTTGGTGTGGTCTTCTCCTCTGCAAGGCCAGAAGGTCAGCTCCTCTCCCGCACTGTCCCTGTCTCCTTGAAGGTCATCTTGGGCTGATGGGGCATGTGGATCTTGTGAAGAGGTGGGATGGGGTGGGGGGTAGAGACCGTAGCAGCCGCTGCTGAGGGCCTGCTGGGGGGCCCCCAAGGGAGTGGGCAGGCTAGGAGCAGGGAACGGGCATCGTGGGCCGCTGGTCTCTCCGCAGGGTCGGCAGGCCGCAGAGTGTGACTCCTGTTCTGTGTATGGCACTGGTAGAATTCACTGTGAACAGTCTCAGTCAGTGAATTACCGAAGGGCCATAAACAGAGCAGAGACAGATCCACGAGGGCCTCCGGAGCACCTTACCCACTTCTGCCTTGAGTGCTCCTAGACGTCGGAAACAGGCTGCTTCCAAGGGTGCAGGGATGCAAGGCCCCTCGTCCAGTGTGTCCCCAGAGAGCCCGCACCAGTGCCATCTGCTTGGCCGATTTTGGCACTAGCACATTTTTGCTTGTGTCTCTCCGCTCTGAGCAATCATGTGCAGTGCCAATATGGGAAAAGCAGGACCCGCAGCTGCGTCCGCCTCCCCTGCATCCTTGTGTCAGGGCCCCAGCCTGCTCCTCCTCAAGGCCTCCTCACCGCCTCCCCAGCCCATCTGGCTCAGCTGCTGTGTGAGGGCCCAGCGCTGGTGGGCAGCCAGATCGCCTTACACTGCCTGGGGCCACGGTAGAGCTGGGAGCCCAGCAATCTGAGCTGGGCCAGCAGATGGGGCCGCCCAGGGCAGAGGTGGGGGAGTCTGAAACCATCTGTAGGGCCATCCTGAATGGTGCCGTGGGTTGGAAAGGCCCAGCCAGGCTCCCAGCACACGCTTGGGGTGAGACCTTGGCTGGCAGCACAGGGCCTGGTCTTTTCTGCTGCAGGTTGTGAAGGGGGCAGCTCCAGGCAGGTGGGCTGCCCTTGAGGTCAGCCTGGGTGTTTCCAGGGGGGCTACCGTCTCTGGAGCTGTAGCCTGCTGTGGAGTGGGTCATCTCCGAACAGCTCCAAGAGGAGGATACTTAGTGGGGCTCGGAGTTGGAGGGCATTTTCAGGCCTGCCCCTAGAAGGTTCTGGAGCAGAGGCCAATGTTCCCCTTCACACACCACACACTGGTAATGTAGCTTCCTGGGTCCCTGGATCTGGGCTATGACTAACTGGCCTATGCTCTCCATCTGGGTGTCAGGTGACATTACATATATAATCCCAACAGTTCCCACCTCAGCCCTGTGGGGCTTGTAATTTTTTAAAATAGTTATCTCATAGATGGGGAACCTGAGGCTTTGAGAGGAAAGGCTTGGCTGAAGAGGTTGGTGAGTGGTAGAGCTGGGTCACTGTGGCTCTTCCGCCACCAGCCACACCTTCCATGGAGGCACCCAGGGCCTGGAGGTGTCTCAGCTCTGAATCTACAGGCCTGGGCTCCCAAGGATGCCCCAGATGGCAGAGACTGAGGCTGGGAGGCCTGGACCTAGTCTGTCAAAGCTGGGGAGAGCCTGGCCAGCCAGGCTGGACCCATGTGAAATCTGGTGGTCAGCAATCAAGCAGGAGACCAGTGGCCGACTTGGGACCAGCTGGGAGCTATCATGCCCCAGGTCACTGGGCCAGCCCCTGATGGGGCTGCTTCTCCCCAGGGAGCCTCAGGCAAGGGTTGGTGGACTTAGCCCAGATCAGTGGGAGTCATTTTAGGTGTCTGAGCCAGGGAGTGCCCGGGTGGGGGATGTGTGTGGTTGAAGCTGGCAGCTGGAGGATGACGGGTCCAGTTGACTGCACAGCAGGAACATGGTGACCAGTGCTGCCTGCCTGGGTGCCCTGGGGACTGCCTTGGGTGGGTTGGGCCTTTTTTTTCTTGTCAGTTAGCTATCACCAAACCGCGAGGAGCCCCCAATAAATTCCCTCTGGGGTGTGGTGCCCGTGTTTCTCTACAGAAGCTCTCCAAGCCCCTGCAGAAAAAAGGAGGGGCTTGTTTATTTCAGGATAGAAGGGGACTTCTGCCCTGGTGAGGTGTCCCTGTAGCTAGGTCTCTCTTCTGATGGCCCCAGCTCTCCCTCTGCCCCTCGGAACCTGGCTGGCCTGTGCCGCACCCTGTCTCTGTGCTCCAGTCCTCCGCCCCGGGTGCTTCCTTAGGGCGTCCTGCTGCAGGTCCCATGGGATAGGAAAGAAGGGATTTCCCGGCCTGAGTGAGAATGAGCCCTGGAGGTGGGGTGGGCACAGAGACCCAGCAAGGGGGGGTGGAAGGCCCCTGGCAGTGACCGGTTCTAGAGCTTTTCCCTGGAGCCTCTGGAGTGTCTGGCCAGGGTTCTGCTCCTTCCTGCCTAGCGGGGAAGGCCGGATGACAGAAGCTGCCCTCAGCCCCTGGGTGGTCTGCAGCTGGGCTCCACCTCCTCACACCTGCCCAGGTGGGCGCCTTTGCTGAGCCCCGAGTGCAGGCACTGGTGTGGGGGCGTGCCTCCACCAGGCTTCAGGCCCGGCTGCTCTGGGGCCCTGCTCCAGCGCTCCAGGGGAGGACCTCAGGCCAAAGCTAGTTTCTAGATCTCCTAATTTACCTAGTTCCGGGCCAGACCTGGGTGGTGAGTTCACCCACAACAGTGACTGTCCCAGAGAGTGGGGGCCACCACAGCTGGCCCTCCTCCCTAAAGACACAATTTCCTACCACCCAGGCTGGGGGCACTTAGGATAGGAGAGGGCCCCTCTTCACCTCCCCACCCTGCAGAACAGGTCCTGGATCCTCCCTTGTGTGGCTTCCAGAAGGTCTGTGAGATGGGCAAAAGGTTCTGCCCATGATCTGTCCAATGGTGTCCAGTGTCAGGCAGGAACGCTGTCCCACTGCAGCGAAGGCCTTTCTTGCTGGAGCGGGAGGGTCACTGAGAAGCACTTTTTGCTTTGTTTTTCTGTTTGTCAAAAGCAGCGGCTCCCAGATGCCCGGGTTTAGGGCGTCCCCCATGTCGGGCACCTTGCTTGGCCTGTCTGGGTGCGTGGAGCGGCAGGAGGGGCAGCTCCCTGGAGGGCTGTATGAGTGGGTTTTCCAGACTCCCCGCCTCCCCCACCACTCCATTTGCTTATTCATTCCAGGCCATTATCCCAGCCTCTGCCCAGCCTCAGGCGGGTCGAAATGCGATCCGGCACCATTGATCGCCTGCAGCCCCAGGCTGCCGATGGAGCCCGGCTGGTGCGGCCACAGCTGGGTGGGGAGGAGGACAGGACCCCCCACATACACACTGGAGGAGGGTGGGAGTGGCCTCCTCAGCAAGTCCCAGGCTTGGGGGCTCCATGGGACCAAGAGAGCCCAGTGCTGCTGATGTCCCAAAGCAGGCCCGCCCACCCTCGGAGAGGCTTCCAGAGTCGTGCCTCTGCTCAGAGGCCAAACCTTCCCCACCAAGCCTCTCCTTTCGGGCAGAGGTGTCCTCCCCAGCGCCCAAGCCCAGGCTGCCGGTCCGGTCTGGGTGCCACCGAGGTCCTGGACTTGGCCCTGGGGATGGCCTGGATCTGTTTGCATCTTAAGCCATCATCCCATCTCACTCCACCCTAAAGGGCAGGCAGGATGGGAGGGGTGGTGGCGGTGGCGGCGGCAGCGGTGTCATTTTGGGGGCCCTGCCAAGTCAGCTGCTCCCCCAGCCGGGGCATGTTCGGAAAATGAGCCTGCTCATGGTGGGCCCATACTGCCCAGGAGGCTTGAGGGCAAAGAGTCCCTTCCAGGCTGCAGGGGAGGCATGGGGATGCAGGGTTGGGGGCAGGCAGCCTGCACCCTTGCTAAAGGCTTGAGATGCCTTCAGGACACTTCAACACCCCTTGGGAAAGGACCTGGCCTCATCAGGGGAAGTGGGAACACGGAAGTGTGCTGCCCTTGGGTAAGTGACTGGCGGTCTGGGGAAATGCCACTCCGAGAATCAGATCGCAGCCAGCCCTCAAAGGGTCTGGGTGTGTGCAGGGCTGCTGGGTGTGTGCAGTGGGTTCTGTGGTCAGGAGAGTGCCGTCTGGATGGGAGATATTTGGTTGGTTTTAGCTTGGCCCATTCCTGCCACTGACTGATGGCCCCAGAGGCTGCCTGTTCCCGTTCCTGGGTAGAAGGTCCCAGCGCCATTGTTTGTCCACTGCTTTTAGGGAAGAGGCCTTGGCAAGTGGAATGCTCTTCCTCCCTTGGACTTGATAGGGAGGAGGAATGTTTTGTGTAGCAACTTCCCTCTCTCCCTTTGGGGTGGGCAGCCTGTGAGCTTTAGGCTCTAGGGAATGGCTTGGGAGCATCTCTCTGGATTAAATGGAGCAGTGACGTGGGCTTAGTAAATAGCAAAACCCAGCCCACATTAGCCATCTCTTCCCCAGCGCCCAGGGGCAGGGCTCTCTGGCCTGGCTTGTGCTGGTTCCCAGAGTCCCTGCTGTCAGGTGCTGGGAGTGGAGGTGCCCTCGGGTTCCCTTGGGAGTGGTGACCACAGCTCAGGGCCTGGGTTGGATCCTGGTGGCTGCCCTAGGGATGGTGTCTGCTCCATGCCTGCCCACAGGAACTGCAGGTTACAGATATGAGGGGAAGGGAGGAGAGGAGGGGGCTGAGGAGGGACCGGGACCAGCAGGAAGGGGGACTGTGGGGTTGGGCCTCCACACCAGGGCGACCCTGCAGGAAGGACCTTGTCGCAGTTGCGGGGATGGGCGCCTCTGTCCTGGCCCTGCCTGGACCATCCTAACTGTCTCTGTCTCTTCCTCAGCACAGACCGAGGCCTCCCCAGCTCCTGGGGGGAGCTGCTTGCCTCCCCCCGTTTTTGGCAATGGTAGAACTCACACTGGTGAGGTAACAGGATCCGGTGGTTCTAGACTTGCCAACTATGGGGCGAGGACTCAGCCGGCACCCTGTGCACAGCCAGCGAGGGAAGGGCCGGCCATGCTGGACCTGCTGTTCTCCGCGAGGAAGGAGGGGACTCAGGTCCCGGACTGCTGGGTAGTGGCAGAGGGCAGGTGCAGCTGGAAGTGACACTCTGTGTTTCCCTGCATCCCCCTGAGGTCACAGGTCCTCAAGTCAGCTGGGAAGCCGTTCTCTGGCCCTCAGGGGTGCTGCCAAGAGGAGCTGGGGTCCAGCTCTGCTCCAGGCTGTGGCCCTGGAGTCTGAATCGAGGAGTGAGGGAACTGGGGGATGTTTGGTTTCAGGGCTTTGGCCTGGCTCCTCTGGGTGGTGAACCTTCTCACCCTCTCCCCTGAAAGGCCCTGTTCAGGGTGGGCTCTAGGGCCCCGAGGGAGGGTCTCCTAACCTTCCACAGGTCACTAAGAGTGGTTCCTTCCTGGGCTGCTGGCTGGGAGGATGAGGGCAGGGAGGGCACGCCGTGCATCACGGACATCCAGTGATCCTGCTGAGGCCATGGAGGGCCAGATGGGATAAGCCTCCAGAGATGTGCAGGAGGAGAGTGTACAAGTCACTTGTGTAAATGCGGGACTGGCCCCCTGGGGTGCAGGTGGCCCATGGGCTGGACCTCTATGCCTCCAGCATTCCACTTCATGGATTTGTTCCTCCTGACGCCTCAGAACCTGAGACAAAGCCTCCACTCACCTTCCCAGAGCTTGTGTTTGCAGTGGGAGCTCCCCTGAGCCGGAGCCGGGCCACAGGGTCAGAGTGAGTGGCACTTCCCAGAGAGTTGGGCTTGGTGGGCAGACCTGCTGGGGAAGCCCGGCCCTGGAGTCTCCTGGCCTGCAGATGGCTCAGGAGCCAGAGTGGGAGCTGCGCGTGTGGTTGAGAGGGTGTGGGTGCAGGTGTAAGTGTGTGTGTGAGTGTGGCCTAGCCCGCAGTGAACGGTGCAAATGCAAATGTGAAGGCCTATCCCCTGCTCCCCAGCCCTCGGCCTGCCAGCCTTCCTTCTCTGGTGCTCCCCATCCCCCAAACCCCTTCTATCAGCCCCCATCAGCCCTCCTTTCTCCTCACCTGCCCTCGGAGGGTCATGTGTGGTTCCATGACCCACCAACCCCTGTGGCTGGGCAGGGCGGGGCAGACATCTATCTGGTGGCTCCAGGCTCAACCGGCTCCGTGCAGCTCACTGCGCTCTTTTGGGGAGACACAGGCCGAGTAGGGAAGGTCTGAGCCGGCAGCTCTTGAGACAGAAAGAGAAGGGAACTGTTCTCCCGCAGGCTGCACTATGCATGTTACATGCCGTGAGCACAAGCAGACGCTGCGTAAACAGGCTGGCTCTGCAGGGCATGAAGAAGGCTGCTCTGAGCTAGGGCCACACGGCACCTGCTGGGACACAGGGAGGGGTGGGGAGTCCTGGAAGATGAGTGACCCTCAGGGAGAGGAGGAGACTCCTGTTGGAGAGCACACAGATTTCCTGGGGTCTATGCCGGGCTGGAAGGCTGGCCATCTTAAGGCTGCATTTGTTCCCGAACCTAAGGACCATGGGAGCCACGCAGCCAGAGGGGGTGTGATCAGATGTGTGTTCTGGTTGGATGGCTCTTGTGGCTGTGTGCAGAATGAAAGGAGGAGTTGGACTTGGCCATTAAGTCCACGATGGCAGAGGAAGCAGGTGCCATGGGAGAAGGACCTTGGATACATGCCCAGGAAGGTGAGTAGGGGTCTGCCAGAGACCAGGGCCTGAAACGGCTCTGCTCTCTGTTCTTTTTTTTTTTTTTTTTTGAGACTTGAGTCTTGCTCTGTCGCCCAGGCTGGAGTGCAGTGGCGCCATCTCGGCTCACTGCAAACCCCGCCTCCCGGGTTCACGCCATTGTCCTGCTTCAGCCTCCTGAGTAGCTGGGACTACAGGCGCCCACCACCACGCCTGGCTAATTTTTTGTATTTTTAGTAGAGACGGGGGTTTCACCGTGTTAGCCAGGATGGTCTCGATCTCCTGACCTCGTGATCTGCCCGCCTTGGTCTCCCAAAGTGCTGGGATTACAGGCATGAGCCACTGCGCCCGGCCTGCTCTCTGTTCTTAAGCTTGTAAATAACAAAACCAGGAGATGTGGGCTGAACGGTTTAGTGTAGTGATCAACAGCAGCATAATCGCGGTGCCCAAGTACTGCTAAGTGCTAAGCATGGAGGTAAGGTCAGTGATTAGAATGCGTTTTATAGTCCAAGCTGGCGTGGAGGAGCCTTGCATCATCTTTGTCCCCCGACCCACATAGCTTCATTTGGCTGGTACAGCTGCTGGTGCTCCATGCTGGCAGGAATAGAATTATTATGGGGCCTCAGCAGGGTGGGCGCTGAAGAAGAAATTGGGGGCTTTGGGCAGATTGAGTCACAGTAAAGCTATTGATCTTTGAGCACAGACTGTGCTACATTTTCATGATTTCAGTGAATCCTCACAACCACGGGCAGCGCACAGATGAGCAAACAGGATCAGGACAATGAAGTGTTTATAGCCAAGGTGAGTGGTGGAGCAGGGAACCCGGGCCCTGGCAACTGCTCCCAGAGGCTGCAGGCCCCGTGCCACACAGCCAGGGGAGGGGGCTGCACTGTGGCCAGTGGACCCTGACCTTCTCCCTGGTGCCCCTTTAGCCCCTGCAGAGACTTCTGCCTTTCCCTAGGATACATGGTTGCTGGGGGTGGCAGAGCTAGAACCAGGGTGGTGGGAAGGCAGGACTGATCAGTGGGATGGTCCCTACGGAATGGAATGTCCCAGCTGCCGTCACCACTGCCACCTCCCCATCTCTGTCCTGCCCTGCTCCACTGACCGTCCTCTGAGCTAATCTGACCACAGTATCCCCACCCTCTCCCTTGGGATAAGCCCAAGCGCCTTACCTGGTTTATGGGGCCTGGTATGACCCAGCCTTGCCATGCAAACTACCCTCCTGCTCCCCCCACCTGTCTTCCTGCTCGCCAGGAAGAAATTGTTTCGCCTTCCTCATGTGGCCTGCCCTCCCCGCCAGCTCTTCCTCCCTTCGAAGCTGGTAAGGCAGCATGTCTCAAATGCCCTGCACACACCTTCCCAGCCTGCCAGTGCTAAAACCACAGGGCTAGGGGTGAGGGTTGAGGTTAGTAGGTCAGCTTCACCCATCAACTGTGGAGGCTTTTTGGGTCCAGGCTGTATCTCACTCACACTTTCATGCCCAGGGCTGGCCTTGGCCTGGTATGGGGCCTGGCATGTGGCAGGGAGGCTGTGGAATTCCAGACCTGGGTGATGCATTCTGACTTCCACACTCTGCGTAACCTCTGACCTCAAGCATCTCCGAAAGTCTTGTCACCCCCCCAAGAGTCTCAGTTCCCGCAGTGGAAGGGACCCTCGTGCATGGGTAGCCCATGGGCCCCCTGAGGTCATAGGAAGGCCTGCCTGGCTCTGACCTCCAAAAGGGAGGGGCTGCCCTGGTGTCAGGGCCTAGGGCGTACAGATGGCTCCACAAGGCAGCTCCTCCAGGTCAGGCAGCTGGAGCCCGGGCACCTTTTGGAGCACAGAGTAAGTGTGCACAAAGTACCATCAAAACCACATGTGAGAGGTTTCCACAAAGACCAGCTTTCCAGCAGAAAGAAGATGGCTGCATTAAGTCCACCAATATTCATTTTTTTTTTTTAAGAGGCATCCAACATTCCTGCAGGGGAAGAGGCTGTTAGGGATGAACTCAGCTGTTCTTTTTTTTTCTTTTTGAGACAGAGTGTTGCTCTGTTTCCCAGGCTGGAGTGTGCTGGCACGATCTTGGTTCACTGCAACCTCTACCTCCTGGGTTCAAGCAATTCTCCTGCCTCAGCCTCCCAAGTAGCTGGGATTACAGGTGCCTGTCACCAAGCCTGGCTAATTTTTGTATTTTTAGTAGAGATGGGGTTTCACCATGTTGGCCAGGCTGGTCTCGAACTCCTGGCCTCAAGTGATCTGCCCACCTCGGCCTCCCAAAGTGCTGGCGTTACAGGTGTGAGCCACCGCGCTCGGCCCCCATCAAGATTCTTGTTAAACACTAACAGCAAAGGGCTGGGCTTGCTGCAGGAGGCATGGCACCCAATGCCAATGGGTCTGCCCTCCTGGTACACACAGCTCAACGCGGGAGCTGGGCTGGGCACGGTTACAAGCCCCACTGGGCAGTGTGGATGGGGCAGGTGCATGTAGTACAGACAGGAAGAGGTGCTGGGGCTGAAGAAAGGCATGGCCTCCAGGGCTGGGGTGGTGCATGGGCTCTGAGTGGAGGGAGCCACCTACATTGAGCCTGAGTAGAGAGAGAAGGGGGAAAGAGCAGGTCCCAGGGGGAGGAATACAGGGGCAAAGTGTGGTGCTTGGAAGGACAGGCTGCAGCCAACTTACAGCAGCAGATTCCTGGAGGAGAATCATGGGAGATGAAGGTTGTGAAGCCCTTGACGTTATCCCTCAGTCTGGGCTCAGTTTGGAGGGCACCCGTGCTGTGGTGTGCGCTGGACCAGACCAGAGATGGTCTGGCTATCCAGGTCCCTTCTGTGGCTTACTCGCTATATTGCTGTGCATTGGAAGACGTTTCAAAACATAAAATCCAGGATTTTTGGTTTTCGTTGGGGGCCACTCAGGAAATTCCAGTTCACTCCATTTCTGGAAACAACTCACCCATCTCCAGGAAAAATGGAAACTGGAGATTTTAGCTATGAAAGATTTGGGTGGTAATGTGAGGTTATTTTCAAGTAGTTGAAAGAATTCTAGTTCTCTATGACTTAAGAGAGCAGAAGCAGGGGCAGTAGCCGACCCCAGACAGGCATGTTCTATACATCACACAGAGCTTCCTGACTGCACCAATGAGGGCCTCGGGTCTGGACCCTCCATCTCTGGAGATGGCCAAGCAAAGGTGCTGGAGTGGGATGCCAACCTCAGGTGGGGACCAGATCAGATGCCCTGTCAGCATGACAATCCTAAGTTTATGTCGAGGCTGGTTCCTCACCCAAGTTGGGGCCTCTCACAACTCCCTAAATTCCCCAGCCATAATCTAGGCATTTAAAAATGTATATAATTGGGAGGCTGAGGCAGGCAGATCGCAAGGTCAGGAGTTCAAGACCAGCCTGGCCAATATGGTGAAACCCCGTCTCTACTAAAAATACAAAAATTAGCTAGGCGTGGTGGTGGGCACCTGTGACCCCAGCTACTCCGGAGGCTGAGGCAGGAGAATCACTTGAACCCAGGAGGTGGAGGTTGCGGTGAGCCAAGATCGCACCACTGCACTCCAGCCTGGGTGACAAAGCGAGACTCCATTTCAAAAAAAAAAGTATAAATGCTGTGATGAGAAAACTGAACACGAAGAGTTTTGCATTCACAGTGGATGTGTCTTTTCTCAAAGAGCAGAAGCTGAACAGTCAGCCCCTGTAGTGGGAGGTGGGCAAGTCCTGTAGGGAGGGTTCTCCAAGCTCTGCTACACGTGTTGGCCCAGGCATGACCTCAATCTTCCAGGGATTGAGGCCTCTCCTTGCACTGGCTTCGCTGGTGTTTCCTGGGGTGAGAGGCCGGCTGGAAAAGGAGGCAGCAGGCCTTGAAGTGGCAGAGAAGGCTCCATCATCAGATGCTAAAACTGCCAGTTTCAACTTTTCCTGGAGATGGAGTTGTTTTCAATAATGGAGTGAACTGGATTTCCTGAACAAGCCTCCCAGTGAAGAGGAAGCACAGCACCCACTGGAGCTTGTCAGGGGAGGTGAGCCACAGGCAGAGGTGCCCATCCCCCATATCCTTGGGGCAGGGTGGGGCTCACACTTTTATGAAAACGGATTTGTGTCTCTTAGGGTTGGGTGGAAATGGAACCTTTCCTTGCCACTGACTAACCCACAAGTCTGAGGTGTCTTCTGTTCATGGAACCAAAGGCATCAGGCTTCTTGATTTGGTGGATCTGGACACAACATGGTTTTATTTTCTATGGTCACTGCCTTGACCTTGTTTGACCTTGTTCTGTTGACTTTCCCTTCTAGCTCCTTTTTTTTTTTTTGAGATGGAGTCTCGCTCTGTCACTCAGGCTGGAGTGCAGTGGCGGGATCTCAGCTCACTGCAACCTCTGCCTCCCAGGTTCAAATGATTCTCCTGCCTCAGCCTCCTGAGTAGTGATCCACCTGCCTTGGCCTCCCAAAGTGCTGGGATTACAGGCGTGAGCCACTGTGCCCGGCCCATTCTAGCTCCTTAATGACATTTTGGGTGAATTCTGTATCTGTGTAAGCATGTACCATCATTCAACCTATCACTTTCAAGCTTCAGTCTCAAACTTGAGTTCAAGTACATGTGCTGCCCTTTTCCTGAGGGGAGGCAGGACCTCGGTGTTGGGAACGTGGTCTTCCTGGTAGACACTTCCCTTCTCTGCTCATGGTCCAGATCCTCCAGAAGCAGGGGGTGGGGGTTTGGGTGGGGGATAGAGGGGTGGGCAAGGAGGGAGGATGGGAAAGGGAAGGCAGAAATCCTTAAGCACTTTCCCCCAGACCTGCGACTCTAATAGCTCCACCCATCTTTGCAGATCTTAGATGGCCCATGGCGGGACCACTGGGGTGGTGGCCAGGGGCAGCTGAGCCCGTTGTATCCTTGTGCTCCCGTGGTTGGCGGTTCTCTTGAGAATGTGGGGTTCCAATATGGGGAGAACTCTGTGTCCACAGTTGTGGCTCTGATCATCCATCCCAGGAAATGGAAAAAGTCACACGCCATTCCTTGCTCAAGCAGCCATTTCAGATGGCCAGTTCACCATACCCGTCTCCCCTCCATCCTTTCCTTAATGCTCTGTAAATAAACACTGAAATGCCACATTAGTTTGGCCCCTCCCAGGAAACTTTCAAAATTGAGGTTTTAAGGTCTAAGGAAATAAAGCTATTTCTTTGGCTATAAAAATGTTGTGAAAGATGCTGAATATAAAATAACTTGGCGTTCTCTTAAACTTAAAAAAAAAAGTACTTAGTGCTTTGTTTCTTCGAGTAACTGTGTCTTGTTCCCTTTCTAGTAATTCCAACCTCTTAGCCAAGACCAGAGCTAAAAGGGCACCTTCATCACACCGCCGACGTTGACCCCAGGCTGACAAATGTGACCTGCTTCCGTTGGTCTTTGAATCCTCATTTCTATTTGCTTTTCAACTTTATTGTATATATCTTTTATGTAACTTACTTCAAGTTATTTTGTAGGGAAATGTGTAAAAAACCCCTGCTTTTTGGGATCATGAAAATATTTCAAAGTTAGATTATGGTGATGGTTGCCCAACTTTGTAAATATACTAAAGATCGTTCAATGGTACGCTTTAAACGGATGAACTTAATGGTATATAAATTATCTCAATAAAACGATTTGAAAAAATTCTTGAGGCTACTGGGGATGGTGGGAGGCGGAGACGGCACACAGCTACCCAAATGACCCCTAATTTACTAAGGCAGGCCTCCACAGACCCAGATAGGCAGTATGGCCCGTGGGGAAGCCGGGGATGCCCGCGCCATCATTCCCCGGCTGCAGCACCCTGGCACATAAAGGCGGCCACTGGCACTCGGGGGTTGCTTTTCCCAGCTCGCTTCCCCCGAGAGCGGCCCATACCCTGCGGTCTGGACCAGGCCTTCCGGATGTCCTGCCATCGCTGATTGGGCCGCAGGTGGACACGTGGTCTCAGCCGGCCAATCGGGTGCGCCCCCGACGGCGGCTCTGGGTTCGGGATGCGCTCGGGCTCTGAGTGACCCCGCGTCGCGTCTCCCGCACCCGGGCCGCCTTCGCCCAGGCCATCTGCGGGCTTCCGCGCTCACAGTCGGGCAGGTGTTGAGCCCCGGCAGGCCTCAGGCGCTTCCCTGCATCGTGGCGTTCAGGCTGGGCTAGAAGACAGGGCCCGCACTGGCTGGGTCCTACGGGAGGAGTGGGCGTCGGCATGGACGGGAGGCCCCTGGGCCAGGGACCCTCAGCTCGGCCGTGCCCCACAGCCCCGCACGAATGCCCTGCTCCCAAGGACCTCAGCAGGGCCCACGAAGTCTTCATCGTCCTTGTCGTTTGACCGCTGTTTTGGACAGATGAGTACCCAGAGGCCCAGGTTAGAGAATCCTATTATGTGATGAGTTACCCCGAACTTCGGCTAACTTAAAAAACATTACTGTATTTAAAAAAAAAAAAAAAAAAAAAAGGTCTATCTTCATGGTTGTTTTCTGCAACCATTTTGGTAAATTCCAGAATTACACATTAATTTATTTGGTGTAAACGTTGCTCTTGCTTTCTATAAAAATAGCTCTGGTAAAGGAAATACCTAACTTCTAAATTAAAAATTTCAGATTTTGAGAATCTGGATGGTAACCCGGGCAGGAGGAGCTGAGTAGGAAAGGGAGCAGAGTGATTTGGGGGATGAGCCAGCCATGTGACCCGGGGCTTCAACTTTCATAGCCCAAATGAGGAGTGGTGGCTAACTTCCCTCGCAGATTAAAGTCCACTATGAGAGGGCCAAGCTTTGGCTTCGTTTCCTGATCACCCAGGGGTTTTTGAGTTCTCCTAGTCTCATTGGGCCCTGAGGTTTTTAAAGACCAACACAGTGCAACTGTTAGTGACCAAGAATGTGTTCAGCATCAACATTTCACTATCCGTCACCCCTGCCAGGATATCACATAGCCAGATTTTTCTTAAGAATACAATCAATGTTATTTTTACATAAAATTATTTAACATTGGATTTTTGCAGAAATATATATATATATATATATATATATATATTTTTTTTTTTTTTTGTAGAGACTGGTGTTGCTCTGTCACCCAGGCTGGTCTCGAACTCCTGGCCCTAAAGCTATCCTCCTGTCCTGGTCTCCCAAAGTCGTGGGATAACAGGTGTGAGCCACCATGCTGGCCAGACTTTTTTGAGTAATGAAAATGTGTGGGAATAGGTGTTTTGGGTTCTCTGAATTTTCTGATTAAACTACCACTGGAAAACTAGGTTCACTCATCCTATGAGATGTATTGAGGCCCTGCTGCATGTAAGGGCACGCGTGTGTGTGGGGGGGGTGGGGAGCGGTAAAAAGGTCCAGCCACGGGAGGCTATTCCAGGTCTATCAAGCTCAGGACACAGTGGAGGTTACTTTATAATCCTGATGTGCAGTTTTGTCCTCTGAATGGTTGGCATAGAGAGCAGAGCTGTAACAGACAGACACATCAGGCCTTATTTCAGCCCTCCAGTTTTTAGTTCTTGGGGAAGATGCCAAGTCTCAGTTTCCACCCCCATAAAATGGAGTCTCTTCTTACCGGATTGTGAAGAGGATTAGAAATAAGGGTGTAAGGTGTTTTACACAGTAAAATGCTAGTAGCCATTTAGTAATTGATAGCTGTAACTTATTATTTTTTGGATAGAGTCTTGCCCTGTCACCCAGGCTGGAGTGCAGTGGCATGATCATGGCAGTCTCAACCTCTTGGGCCCCAGCGAACCTCCCACCTCAGCCTCCTGAGTAGCTGGGACTATAGGCATGGACCACCACACCAGGCTGATTTTTATATTTTTTGTAGAGATGGGGTTTCACCATGTTGCCCAGGCTGATCTCAAACTTCTGGGTTCAAGCAATACACCTGCCTTGGCCTCCTAAAGTGTATTAAGCTTCTTAAAGGGTAGATAAATTCAGAAGTTTCAGTTGAGACCCAGTAAACTTAAATTTCACTAAAAATTTTATTTGCCAAGTACATAAAATTTGGGGAGAACCTCCCAAAAATTAATTAAGCTACTTAAAAAATAACTGAATGCTTTTTTTTTTTTTTTTGAGATGGGAGTCTCACTCTGTCACCCAGGCAGGAGTGCAGTGGCACGATCTCAGCTCACTGCAAGCTCCACCTCCCAGGTTCACGCCATTCTCCTGCCTCAGCCTCCTGAGTAGCTGGGACTACAGGCTCCCGCCACCACGCCCGGCTAATTTTTTGTGTTTTTAGCAGAGATGGGGTTTCACCGTGTTAGCCGGGATGGTCTCGATCTCCTGACCTCGTGATCCGCCCGCCTTGGCCTCCCAAAGTGCTGGGATTACAGGCGTGAGCCACTGCGCCGGGCCCCAACTGAATGCTCTTATACCCTCCACTTTCATCCATTCCAGGCCACAAGAAAAGTGTATCATCGGGGCCTGGCGCAGTGGCTCACACCTGTAATCCCAGCACTTAAGAGAGGCTGAGGCAGGTGGATCACTTGAGGTCAGTTCAAGACCAGCTTGGCCAACAGGGTGAAAGCCCATCTCTACTAAAAATACAAAAAAATTAGCTGGGTGTGGTGGGCACCTGTAATCCCAGCTACTAGGGAGGCTGAGGCAGGAGAATTGCTTGAACTCGGGAGGTGGAGGTTGCAGTGAGCCGAGATCACACCACTGCACTCCAGCCTGGGTGACAGAGTGATGAGGCTCAAGTCATGTTTTTCTAGGCACAGATTCTGGGACCAGCCAGCCTGCCCGCCCAGGTTTGTACCTTAGCTCTGCCTCTTACCAGCAGTGTGAACTTGGCTCAGTTGTTTAACTTAACCTCTCTGTATTTCAGTTTGCTCATCTATAAAACGGGGATGATAGTATTTTGTAAAGGTTAAATAAATTAATATATAGGTAAATCTTTTAATACAGTACAAGGCATATTGTAAGGGCTAAGTGTTCACTGTTATCATTGCTACCATACACTCTGTGTAGACAAACCATAGTTCTCGTAAGCAAGCTAGCAAAGCTTGAGCCCTGGAGAGGGCTCAGGACCCAGGCCTATTCCTGCCTCCTAAGGAGGCTCTAGGTTCTCAGGGCACCTTGGTTCCCCTCTGCAGATGACTGTTATCCCTTCTTCCTCCTTTCCTCACTATATATTCCAGGCCTCCAATACTCAACAAATGTTTGGTAGCAGCCCAGTGGTTTTCAGGATGGAGAAACTCATATTCAGAGGGGCTTGGGGACTAAGAGGAAACCCACGCTCTTCAGTGATTTCAGTCGGAGCCCAGTCCCGGAGCCCTGCCTCCCCTCTCTATTGTACCCCTTCCTCCATGCTGCCGCCAGCATCCTGGGTGACCTCCAAGAGCTGCCTCCTGGAGTAAACAGCAGAGGCCGGGTGGGAGTGCAGGGATGGGGCATCTGAAGCCCCAGTTGTGATGACCAAGGTGCCACCAGCCTGCTGAGGTGGAGTGAGAGGGAAAACACGGACTCTACTCCCTCACCCCACGTAGCTTCTGCTCCAAATAATTAAGCTCCAGTTTCCTCCCTGATGAGTTTTGGTGCTGACACCAAAAGGAAACACCAGGAGCCCGGTACGACTCTGCCATGCCCAGAGCTCAAGCTTCGGAGGCATTACTGAGAGGGGGAGAGAGCGTTCCTTGGGCGTGAGTGAGGCCCAGGGCAAGGAACCCCTCCTCTGCTCTGCCCTTCTGGTTCTCCTCAGCTAATTTGTTCAAGTTTGGAGAATGCCAGTAGTCACCTGTATCACCAGTGGGCCTTCTCAGATGCAAGACTTAAAGCCAGTAACTTTTAGACCAGTCTCCTGGTTTCTGTGAGCACCAGATCCTTGTGTGGAGCCTAGATGATAAACTACGTAACAGAGGACCTTTGAGGGCTCAAATGCGGTAAACAGCTCATTCTGCACTAGTGCTCTGTCCAGATGGTGCCTCATCACCTTGGACTGCAGCGGTTGGTTTATGTAAAGGTCTCCTCCTCACTCCTTGTTTCTCACAGGCAACTACCATGCTTCATTCACCTGGCACATGACAAGCATTCACGTAGTTAAGTGCAACTGACCGTCAGGTCAGGTCTGGTCTACAGATGGGTTTTATTTTGCTTGCAGAGTATGTAAATTTTTTATTTGTTGCGATCACATCTCGTACAAAAATCTGGATTCCCCAGATTCTCTGGACAATTTTGAAGTTGGGGCATTAGGGTCCATCTTCCTGCATGGTGACAATCAGCACCTAGGACAGGCTGCCCCGTTTAGATGGATGCTGTCCACTGTGCCTGTCCCCATCACTCCCTCCTCTCACATGGGAATTGCCTCAGCTTCCTTCATTGATTTGACCTCCCTGGTCTCTATAGACAGCGGAGTTAGCAGCTCCTGTTGGTGACTTAGGCAGGAATGGAAGAGGTCTCCATCGGCCCCACCAAAACCAGTTGTCAATACATGCCTGTGGCAAAGGCAGCATCTGAGGCTTGCCAGGCAAACAGCAGCTAGAAGACGCCTCTGGAGAGACCCTTGGTCAGCAGGTATTCTAAACAACCCAGCTATTTCATGGTAGTCAATAGCACGGATGTGTGGTTGATTTGGCTGCACTCAATCCTTTTTCTAGTCCAGTCTCTGGTGAAAAATAGGCGAGGGTATGCCATTTGTGCAAGAAGGGGGAAAGGTAGGCACTTGGCTTCACTGAACCACCATCAGGCATCAAGGAAAAGGCTTCTTGGCCTTCCCATCCAAGCAAGCATTCTAATCATGGTCACCAGGAAAGTGGCCAAGACACCCAACAATATAAAGAAAGGGTGGTGGGGGTGACAGCAGGTCATTCCAGGCTGAGGCCAGGGCATGCAGAAGCATGGAGGTGCAGGCTACTGGGGTCTATGAAGGGCCTAAGGATGGGGCAGGAGGAACAGCTGGAGCGATGGCATATGCCATGTTAAGAGAGTAAGCTGTGTGAGAAACCAGGGAGTGAGGATGCAGGGGAACAAGTCATGGCTTGAGGCTTCTGCTTGGAGAAAGAAAGACAATTCACTTTAATAGTAATTCCCAAGATGGAGAGGCACCATCACTCACCCTCATTTTTTATTTTTATTTTTTTTTTGAGATGGAGTCTCGCTCTGTTGCCCAGGTTGGAGTGCAGTGGTGTGATCTCAGCTCACTGCAACTTCCGCCTCCTGGGTTCAAGCGATTCTCCTGCCTCAGCCTCCTGAATAGCTGGGATTACAGGCGCCCGCCACCATGCCCAGCTAATTTTTCTATTTTTAGTAGAGACAAGGTTTCACCATGTTGGCCAGGCTGGTCTGGAACTCCTGACCTCAAGTGATCCACTCACCTTGGCCTCCCAAAGTGCTGGGATTACAGGCGGGAGCCACTGTGCCCGGCCTAGGATTTTTTAAATACGATTTTTTCCCCAGAACGTCAGTATAAGAAAACACGTTATATATGAAATGTATGAAATGGAGCAGGTCTGGTGATGGGGCTCGCAGGGGGCTCTGGGCAATCTTCAGTGTCTTCTTTACGGAGGTCCCCAGCGTCGGAGTGGCACAGGTCGGAGACCGCTGATCTCGAGTAGGACTGCATTTTAAACGCAGAACGAGCTGCCCCAAGATAGAGTTCCTTTTGCCTAAGAAGCCAAGAGCTCCTATAGAGATGAACAATTCCACTTCCTGTTGCCACATTTTTAACTATTTATTGAATGAGGCAGTCAAAGACAGAATGGGAAACAACACAGAATCCATGCTCTGCTACTGGGGTTTTGCTTTTTTCTTCGTCTTGGCAACTTCTCAAACTATTTGGAGGTTATTTCACCACAAAGGAACATGGACTTTAAAGTCCCTGGACAACTTCACAATGACGATAAAAAATAATAATTAAAAAAATAACAAATTGTAGAACTAGGACTATTTATATGTAAATTTCCCTCCCCTCCCCCCATTACGTACAGAAAAGAACATATAAAGAACATTAGATAGTTTTATATAAAACAAGCAAATACAAGAATCTGAAACTTCTCTCAAAGGTTGAGCAAGACGTGGAGAATCTTTTAATGTCGCATTAAAAAAACACATTAAATACACCATCACACACATGGGGAGAGCTGGGAGGAGGGAGGAGGAGCTGTCCCTGTACTCAAGGTTCAGAGATTTGGCCTGTTGAAAAGTCAGGTGAATTCAGCTACTGGAGACTCAGGGCTTGCAGCTGAGAAAGACAGAGTTAACGGTTACCAAGAACACCCAGATAGTCAACACCTCTGAGGAGGCAAGCTGCTCCCGGCCTGGGCCACGAGGTTGCATCAAGGAACATGGGCCTCCAGGAGTCCCTTCTGAAGCAGGGCCTGATCCAGGAACACAGCAAACACCCTCAGCTGTTTTCTATGGCCAGGTGTCCCTTCTTCCCTTCCGCGTACTGACCGGGCCCAACCAAGCTTAGCTTCCAAGATCACACAAGATCAGGGGCGTTCAGGGTGCTGTGGCCACAGACCAGATGTCTCTTCTTGTTCATTCCAGCGCCTCCTCTGTGAAGCTACAGACAGTAGAGAAAATTGCTCCCACGGGTGTATCCTGGTCTAGGACGATTTTTCTTTCCTTCCTTTCCCTTCCACTGCCCCCGCCCCCTTCCCATCCTCTCCCCCACCATGCACGCACACACACAAGCACACTTACACGCACGCACTCCTCAAACCCCTAATACTTCGGTTACCTTCAGTTCATATATACGAGCAATTCAGGACTGACCTTAAAACCAGAGCAACATTTTAATAGTCATGAGATCAAGGATTCCTGGGAAGGAGAGGAGATGGGAGGCTGAGGCCCGGGAGCTTTCAAGACATTCATCTGCCTGTGGCAAGGTCAGCACCTGGGCCAGCCCGAGGAGCATCTCAGCTGGCAGACCACGCAGTCCCTGGACCTTGCAAGCACATCTCTGACCCACCCCATGCTGGAGCCTCTTTCCTCAGGTGAGTCCAGCAGGGAGAGTTCTGTGTGGCCACTGGGAGGCAGCTTTGGTGAAGGGCATGGTCACCTCCGCCTGAGTTTGTCAGTAGCTCAACGCATGACCCTGGTATGAACAAAAACTGGGTGACTGTGTCTGGCCACGTACCCTACCACCCACTAAACTGGGTGAATTATTGTTTCCACAGCGCACCTTGATTTCATACAGATAATTCCATGCGGGTTTCATACATATATATATATATATATGTATATATATACTTTATATATATGTAAATGTGTATGTCCATATGTACACATATACATATATTCACACTCACACATACACACACATAAGTATACACACACATTTCCGCAGAAAGAAGTCCTGCCACAATTTGGCTTTTTTGGGACAGTGAAATTGACAATGCAGTTTCTTCACCAATCCCAGAAAATCAAGAGTGGTGCTTTAAAAAATGCAATTCCAAAATCCGCTTTCTTCCTTTTAAAAAAAAAAAGGTTAACAAAACTTTCCTTCCAAAGTCGAGAGACTTAATTCCATTTGATTGCACCTCTGCAAACGTGTAAAAAATTTTGAAGTAGACTAGAAAACGATGCCATAATATGGCTGTATGTCACTGTTCCAATGTCACCACCTCCACAGCTTGGCCGTCCATGGTGACTGCGCTGTCTGATATCCTGGTGGTCACAGGGGCCATGGCCACCTGCACTGGTCCGTTGCCCTGGGCGAGGCTGGTCACCACAGTCTGGTACATGCTCACAGGGATCTGGACCAGGCCTGGAGAGACAAAGAGAAGACCGTTGGTGGGGCTCAGGCTCAAGTTCCCAGATGCTGGCTGGACGGGGGCACCCAAGTCTTGCCTTTGAGGTATCGTGGTCACCAGCCTCAGGTGATCACATACCCATGGCCCAGGCACAAAGACATCTCTTTCCCACCCCATTAAAATTTTTTTCATTAATTTTTAAGATTTATAATTGATATATAGTAACTGTTCATGTTTATGGGGTACAATGTGATGTTTCAATGCATGTATACACTGTAGAATGATCAAATCAAGAAAATTACCATATTAATCTCTTTAAAGATTTATCATTCATTGTGGTGACAACATTCAAAATCTAGCTATCTTGAAACACAGACTACATTGTTATTCGCTACAGTCACCCTACTGTGTAACTGAACACCAGAACTTATTCTTCCTTTGCACCTGCTGGCCAACCTCTCCTGCCCCCCTCCCCAACCCTTCCCCAGACTCTGGTAACTATTATTCTACTCTCTACTTCTAGGAAATCAACTTTTTTCCATTTTAACTTTTTTTTTTTTTTTTTTTAAGAGACAGGGTCTGGCTCTGTAGCCTAGGCTGGAGTGCAGTGGCGTGACCACAGCTCACTGCAACCTCGAACTCCTGGATTCAAGTGATCCTCTCACCTCGGTCTCCTGAGTAGCTGGAACCACAGGCGTGTGCCACCATGCCTGGCTAATATAATTTTTTTTTTTTTTGAGATGGAGTCTTGCTGTGTTGCCCAGGCTGGTCTTGAACTCGTGGCCTCAAGTGATCCTCCCACCTTGGCCTCCTGAATAGCTGGGATTACAGGCGTGAACCACCAACCCTGACCATTTTGATTTTTTTAAAACAGACTATCAGAAAAGAAAAGTTTAGAGAAATTGTGGAAACATGCCTTAGGGTAGGGCCTTCCCAGCTTGCCGTGAGAGGGCCCTGCCTGCCTCCGCATCTAGGAAGCACAGGCCCGTCAGGTGTGAATGTCCCCGGCCTGTCTTCTCCCTCTCAGAACAGGCCACCATTATTTTTCTTTGATATTTGGCTACACTGCCTTCTTCAACCCTCTTTCTGCCTATGCTTAAGTCTCTCTCAGCTTGAAAAGAAAAATCTTGTCCCTCTCCTATCCTGTCTTCTGGCCACTGCTCCGTCTATGTGCCTTCCTTCATAGTCAAGCTTATTTTATTTATTTATTTATTTTTAAAGCCTAGGTCACTTGTTTCCTGATTTCTAGATTTCACACACCAGTAAAATGTAAAAACACATTTTGGGGTCAACTTAAAAAAAAAAGACCCCAGCTACTCCCTAATATCACTATTATTTCAGAGTAGAAAGGATGGCTTAAAGGAAGAAGCACATAACCTCCATAAAGGTAGTCCTGCCTAAAAAGGGAAAGCTGATAATACATTAAAAAAAAGGATTCCCAGTAAGGCAGTAACTAACATATACATCAATCTCTCTTCCTTCTGAAACTAGAATTACAGTGAATGAGGAAAAAAGGATATAACCGAGGGATGTCAACATTTTTTGGGAAGATGCAAAGCAAATGTGAAATGGTTCTGATTGAACAGAGAAGTGGAAGGGGCAACTCCTATGCTCACACAGGGCTCAGCACATAGAGGCCTAGCTACGGCAGAAAGAGGGATGAGGCTAAAAATGAGAATGAGTGGAAAGTTTGAATTTAATTGATTAGACCAACCCCAACATCCAGACCCAAAGACCTTTGCTGACTGGGCCTCTGAGGTTCACCCACTGTATTGAGAAACTGACCCAGAGAGGCCCCTTTTAGTTCTTTTTGACATTTAAACCATAGGCTACTTTGATGAAGATAAAAATTATTTTAAAAAGGGTTGTCAAAATATTTTCTAATGCAAAAAAAATCAAATATAAGATTTTCTTTTCCAATGTTAAATTGTATGTAACTTTTTTCTAAGAGTAAGTTTTGCCAGTTTAGGGATAAGGGGTAAGCATTTGATGATGCAGTGAGACTTCATGAAATGAGACTTGCTGTTATGGTGACGCATCACTAGAAACCCTGGCTCCTCTGGTGTGCCCTCACCGAAATGGAAGACGTGGCCAGTCGCCCCCACACTTGCAATGCAGGCCTGAAAGGAGGAGGAGAGAGGCCAGCCTCCAAGTGCACGTGGGCATGGGGGAAGCACGCAGAAGGGCCAGGCCTTGGCCTACAAAACTGTGGGCTTCAATTTCTTTCAACTAAACCTTTGCAAATTGCTCTTAACTGTCTTTAATTAATCTCTCTTTCAGTTCACCCCTTCCCAGTCACTCAAATTATCTTTCTTTATTATTATTTATTTTTTATTTTTTTAAATAGTGACGAGGTCTCACTATGTTGCCCAGGTTGGTCTTGAACTCCTGAGCTCAAGTGATCCTCCTGCCTCGGCTTTCCAAAGTGCTAGGATTACAGGCATGAGCTACCACACCCAGCCAAAATATCTTTCCATAATGTTACTCCCCTCATCTCAAACATTTAAATTCCATGGTTTTTAAAAGGTTTCCAAAGCTTGTAACAAAGTTCAAATGATTTAGCATGGTCTTCAAGGCCTTTCGTGGTTTGCCCTGGTCCATCTTTCCAGTCTCATCTCCCTCACTCTCTCACAGGTGCCCTGTCCTCTAGGTGCCCCCCACCCCCAGACTACTCTCAGTTCCCCCAATCTATCAGCCACACTCTTTTGGGCCTTTGCTCAGGTTATTCATGAGATAGACTTATCCCCCACTCCTTCCTTTTACACTGGGGTGAGCTTTCCCTCCTTGTGGAACCTGCCCCATCCCAGCCTTATCAATGCTGGAGCAGCCTCCTCTGGATTCACAGGAGGCCCAGGGACAGCCATGGATAAGCCAGCTGGGCCAGTTGATGCATGTCTGCAACAGGCCTTCCCACTTGACAGAGGGTTCTTTCAAGATCAGGCCTGGCTCTGGCTTATTTCATGTTCCTCACAGTATGAAGTACAAAGTGTGCCACAAGTTGCTATCAGCATAGCCTCAAGGGCCATGTACTGCTGGCCTCAACCAACGTGCAGCTGGGCCCTCTCCCCAGCCTCTAGACTCAAGGCATGGGACTGAGTGTATATATATGTGAAGATTGTATAACCCCGTCAGTCCCCCGCCTCCTCCTATCACGATCAGGCTCTCTTCTGGTCAAAACAGGCAAAGTTAACGAAATCACCCAAAATGCCCAGTGGCAAAGCCAAGACACCTGTGTGTTCCTCCAGGGAACCCACATACTGGCAAGTAGCAAGCAAAACCAGAAGCAAAGGTCAGCCTCATTTCACTGCTCTTGCCTCTGGGCTCCATTCAGTTCCAAAAGCTCCAGGCTTGGGGAACAAGTCCCTTGCTGTACAAATACAGTGACTACAGTGTGCAGGGAGATCTTTTCTAACTAACTGTGAGCAACCATCTGGGTTAGGGCTGGTGTGAATAGAAACTAAAAGAATTGTCAAAGTTAAATTTCTTTCACCCTGGCTGTGATGTGTTTGGGTTTCCTATGATGTGGGCCCATGCCCAATTGTTAAAATAGTTTTCATAGTATCACGGAAGATTTTCCCCAGAATAAATGAAGCAAGGTTCTAATGCAAAAATCTATCTATTGGCTGATACTGCCATCATCAGAATGATCTTCTGAACATCTGACCTGATCTTGCTGTTCTCCTTCACAGTTCTTCAGTGGTTTCTAGTGGCCCACGGGATATAAAGTCCAAACCCCTTTGCAGGTATTTAAACTCTTCACGTCGGCCACTGTTGTTCAGTTAAGCCTGGTGATCCACTAATCCCCACTCACTTCACACGCCAGCCAGATGAACTACTTGACTGAGGTTCTCCAAGCACACACCTCCATGCCTTCTGCCTGGAGGGGGCTCCTCCCCAGCCTCTCTCCTCCCCATCTTGGGTCCTCTTCTCCGATGCTCCTCCTCTGCTCCCTGTACAGGCTCCTTGGAGACAGCGGCCTCATTCATCCTCACTGCTCGTATGTCTTGTCCCCAAGGAGACCGTAGATTCCTTAAGGGAGGAATTAAGTCTCCATCTTTGAGTGGCCAGCAGTCAGCAGGTGCTGGAATGTTTTCTACTACCATGAATGAAACCTGCTTACTAAGATTTAACTTGTGTCCCTTCTAGGGACTGCGTGATTAAGGTGGGTGAGCCTTAGGGTGATGAGGCTGTTCTGGAACAAGAGCTTCCAGCCCAGAAAAAAAGCAGCTTCAAAAATACTATATTCAAGACTCACCCAAATAAAGCTGTTTTTGAAAGATTCCATCTTCTGTACTCCACCCCAGACAGGGAAGAAGCATATTTGGCCACACCTGGGTGAGGAAATGGTCCCCACCCAAAGCTCCCAGGGATGAGTAACTGGTGAGGACAGCCACACACCTTAGAAGCACAGGAGAGGGAGGCCATGATGGGAGTCATTTCATAACCTCGCATGCCTTGGAACCCCAATTCCGCTGTTTTCTACATAGAGTTTCTGTCTACTGCCACCTTAAATAAATGCATGACCACTGTAGGGATTTTAAGACCTCTGTCTCTCTCACACACAGCCATTTTGACATGGGATTAGATTAAATCGCCTCAGTGTCTCTGACCTAACAGCCTTCATGTCCCTGGCAAGGGAAAGGGGGAGGGGCTGGAGGCCTGGAAACCCAGCGTGCCCTAAGTCGGGCGGCTGCCCTTGGAAGAGAGATGATTAAATGCTGAGGTACAGTAATCAGGCTGGGACTGTCCCTGCATCTGCTCAGCCTGCCCCTGATTAGCCCTAATCTAGAGGCGCATGTTAATCCAAGCTTGTATTCTGGGTCATTTCGATTGATTAAGCAACAGGAAGCCCTTCGTGTTCTACTTTAAGGGGTGGAAGTGCTCCTTTTTCTTACAGGGCCCTTGTAGAGTCCTGGTAATGAGACCCTTGGCCTCAGTACAGCCCCTTTCTGAGCCCTCTCACCCCCGCTGCATGTCACTTGACTTCTGCTGAGACCCTAGAGAAGTCCACAGGGCAGGGCTCCTTCCCTTTCACGAGTCAGAGCCAGAACCACGGGCTCATCATAAAGGCACATACTTCTAATGTCCTGAAGACTTTAGTATTTCAGAGCTACACACAACCTTGGAGTTAACTCAGTTTAGTAAATACAACCCGTCTTTTTATTTGAACTCAAAAGTAAACATAAAAATTTTATTAAAAAAAAAAACCTCAACACAGATCAAAGGAGGACTGATTTTGTTCCCCAAATGACTGAGTTGATGGTAAAGTCAGGGACCCAGGCCTTTGATTTGGGAGTCTTTTTCCATATATTAGAATGTCCTTAAACACTTAACACCAGGGCCAGGAAGGATCCAGAAGGGAGAGGACTGTCCTCTTTGGGCCCCCTGCTGCTTTTCTTCTCAAGCTTCATGGTAAGGTTTATAGAATTGGTCAAAATGGAAAAAAAGTCAAAGGTGACTCAGAAACTTCAGGTGCCAACATAAAGATTTCCTCGTCAAGCAGCAGTTGGACCCAAATCTCTGGAAGAACTGGCTGCAGGACCATGTTTCCCTGTCAAGGACAATGAGGCCTGACATGGCTCTATTTTTTTTTTTTTTTAATGTGTATCATTCTTGAGCCAAAATGGTGAAACATGCTTTTCCCAAGTCTCCTCTCTTCCCAAATAAATGGCAATAACATTCTTCTAGTTGCTCAGGCCAAAAGCTCTGAAGTCATCCTTTACTTCACACATCCAATGCACCAGCTGATTCTCTCCCTTCAAATACAGAACCCAAATTCAACACTTTTCCCCCTGCCTCCCTGGACAGACACTACCATCTCTTGCCTTCCTTTGTAATAACCCTACTTTAGCGCCTGCCAGAGGGATCTTTTAAAACTTCCGTACAAAGTGATGCCTCTCAGATCACATTACATGGGTGGCAGATGATGATATCTATTCATAAGCCTGGCCTTGCACGCTGCAAAACAAGGGGCCATGAGGTTTTACAGTGGTCTGTCTCTGATGGTGGCACCAGGGGAGCACTGTGGTAGACCACGGGCACCAGTGAGATTTGCTTTAAAGGTTAGGGTCACAGTCTTGCACACTCTGGATTTATCATTCATGAGCCAATCTACTCTATTCCAGATCTCTCCTGGGGCAATGAGTTTCATCACTTGCCTATTGTGTAATGAAATTTACACACATAAACATATGTGCATGTATCCGTGGAAATGGAATTTATTTAGTTATTTTGAGGGACTTTATTTTTCCCAAGGCTAACTTCTTTCAGTATTCAGTATTATTGGATGAATAAGTATGTTTATCATGGTTAACATCTTAAAATATTGTTTGGCAAAAGCCATCCCATCCCATCAAAAACATTACTTTGCTTTCTCCTATCAGGAAAATAAAGTCTAAATAGCTAATAGTTGAAGGAGTTTATGTAGCCTTTCCTGCTAACACCCTACACTATCCCCTCATTACAATCACATGTGTCCCTTGGATGCCATGTGAACTTCCTCAGGCAGGTCTCTCTGTCTGGAATTAGGCCCTGCCAGTCTCAGGCCAGTTCTTCTAGCAGTTTCCACATGGTTCATGGGGTTGCCTCTGAGGGGACAGCCCACCTGGTTTCTCCCTCCTGTGACTTTATTGCCGCCACCATTCATTTGGCCCCAGGTATGTGCTGACCTGTTCCCAAGGAGTTGCTGCTTTTCTGTCTATAAATCTGCATGCTTGCATTGTTGGCAAGACTGTCTTTTTTTTTTTTTTTTTTTTTTGAGACGGAGTCTTGCTTTGTTGCTCAGGCTGGAGTGCAGTGGCCTGATCTCGGCTCACTGCAGCCTCTGCCTCCCAGGTTCAAGTGATTCTCCTGCCTCAGCCTCCTGAGTAGCTGGGATTACAGGCGCGCACCACCACGCCCGGCTAATTTTTGTATTTTTAGTAGAGGTGGGGGTTTCACCATGTTAGTCAGGCTGGTCTTGAACTCCTGACCTCGTGATTCACCTGCCTCGGCCTCCCAAAGTGCTGGGATTATAGGCATGAGCCACCGCGCCCGGCCGAGGACTGTCTTTTAATGTTGAGCAACTTGAACACAGTAGGTGCTCAATAATTGAATATGATATGAAAATGTATCATTGATCATACTCTTCATGAATTTCAGAAACTTGATGGTAGTCCCTTTAGTCTTGCCCTCCACAGACCAAACAGCCTTAACACCTTTTACTCTGATTCAGAATGAAGTCGAATTTTCTCCACAACCATTCTCATGGTGCTGCAGATCAGGTGCATTTTATGTGAGAAAAAGTAGGCTGTTTATTTCCATTAAAGGCTTCCCAGTCAGAAAGACCTACATGTGAATCTTGGTTCTGCTGTTTAATGGCTTGTGAGCCTGTTTCCTCATATGTAAAATGGTGATCACTCATCTCACAGGGCTGCTAAACTAGATAGATGGGATGACACATTAAAATCTATTACAGTGCTTGGCACATAGTAGGTATATAATAAATGCCACTGCTTTTCAAAGATGACTTTGAGTATGAAGTTTGATGGAGTCTGGCTGGGGTCACAGATGTTAGACTAAAGCTCTCGGGAAACAGAAAGAAAAGCAGAGACAACACAGATCTCCTTTCAGCAGTGATTTTCTCCTGCCAGGAAGCACATCATTCACCAAAGGCCTTCAAAGATGTAAAGATTAAAGATAACAGCCATGAAATCAGGGCAGATGGACTGGCAGGCAGCTTCCCTTCTGAAACACAGTGATGGTCAGAACTGGCACTGCACATGACGTAGATGAAGTGGTTGCTAATCGAGTGCACTGGTCAATAAGCAACCAGGCAGAACCACTCCTCAATATTAAGAATGTGAAAAATACAATCAGGGCAGTATGATGTGATGTCATCACCCTGATACATTTCTGAAGTCCTCCAGAAACTAACAGACTTGAGCCAGGCAGAGCACAGGGCTGCAGGGCTGTTGAAGTTATCCAGCACCATAGCTGGCCCTCCTCCCCTCACCCCACGACAAGATAGAGCAGGACAGACAACCTGAGGAAGAATGGGCCTTTCATTTGCCCTCACAGTCTGGGAAACCTTTGGGAATTGTTGTTTGCTGTAACTGAATCTTTCAGCCTGAAGGCCTTCCAAGGTGGTCATGGAAATATCTTTAGTTGGGAGAAAAATATTGATGGCTGTTGAGAGAAAAAGAGAGAGCTAAACAAATAATAAACATGACAGTAGGTGGAAAAGAAATAATTCTTAAAACCCAAAGGGAAATTTACATTACGTAATGCCTTCTTTAGTTTATGAACATGAACGCTAACCATGTACATCAAAGAAATACTGGCCCAAATGGGAACCGGGACCATGATTAGAAAGGAGAGGAATACGTGAGTAAGAAATTAAATTCCGGATTATATTGCTTGAGTTTTTAAGGAGCCAGCAACGGTATCTATAGGTGTTTCTAGGGGTGACAGGCAGGAAGGAAGTCCTTTAAAAATCTTCCATTTACAGGCCTGGAAAAATATTTACATCAGTGGCTGACGTCTAAGGAAAGCCACTATATGAAGAAAAACAGGCATGGTATGTGCCAGTATAGAAGTGGAAGAAGATAACAGGAAATCAGTAAAGAAGCTAGTCTAGCAGGCAGACAGCAGTTAGACAGGCTGAGAATACCAAGGACTAGATGGAAAGAGGACATATGTAGGGCAAGAAGAGGAAGGTCATGAAGAGAATGTCAATATCAAACAAAAAGGAGGTCCAAGTAACCTCATGATAGTAGGGCAAACGGGGAAGAGAAAAAGCATTTCTTTCCCAGTGGTTCTGTTTCTGTTCTATTAGCTGCTTTTGGGACATTTAATCTCCCTTTTCCGTGTTTCCTAAGTCCAAGCTTTTGGGTACATTTGGGGGATTTATGGATTAAAATATGTCTTACATCTGGCAAGTACTGAATATTCTCATGAAGCCAAGAGCAGCCTCACAGGTGCCTTGGTGCACAGGGTGCTTTTCAGCACTCAAAGAGTTTTCTTCTCTCTTGCTGGACCATCTCAAGACTAAGAAAAACTGCTTTCTGGAATAACATTCAAAGGAGTGACTCTGGTTGAGACAGGCTCACTCTATCTTTTGCCTGCTTTTGCAGACCACCAGGAAGCTTTTCATGCCCCTCATCCCATAAGCCAAATATTAAAACTGAATTCATTTTTACTTTATTAGTAAATATATCTCAAGACCTATTTTGGAGATACAATGTCATGATTTCCTCTTGAAATTACTGGCAATGCCCAGGAGCGTTATGAAACGCTCTGTGTTTCAGTATTCAGAACCACCATGGTTTATTATCCTGAAAATTGAGCTCCCAACGTGGGGATGAACAAGCTAACTGCAAGGCCTGTTGACCCTGCCAAGAAGGCTTTAAACTGAAAATGGCAGGAGAGAAAGCGTTCTGCTGAAGCTTGTGGAATATGCACGTGCTCTGGAGCAGCGGTCCCGAGCATTTTTGGCAGCAGGGACTAGTTTCATGGAAGACAGTATTTCCATGGATGGGGGGGGGGTTGAGGGGGATGGTTTGGGGATGAAACTATTCCACCTTAGATCATCAGTTCACAATAGGTTCGTGCTCCTATGAGAATCTGATGCCGCTGATGATCTGACAGTAGGTGGAGCTCGGGCGGTGATGCTTGCTCACCTGCCACCCACCTCCTGCCGTGCCAGGGACTGGGGACCCCTGCTCTGGAGGACATCTGATCTGACTGTACAGAGCAAGGCAAGGGGTACCCAGTAAATTCCCAGAAGAAATCACTAGGAAGAAGGGTGGGAACAACACTCAGGTTGAAGTCTGTGTCCCAGAGGATAGATCATGGCAATATGCAGAGTGCACCAATATTTTAAAATGGAAAGTGGAGCCCAGATGACAAACCTCAGAAGAAGAAAGTCACCAGGAGCCTGCAACAGTCAGGTGCAGAAATGAACAGCAGGCCCACTCAGGAGTTACTCAGAGTTAGGAAGGGAGATTTATTTATTTTTCTGTTATTATTACTTTCAAACTTTTTTTTTTCTTCAAACTTTTTATGATGGAAAATGTCAAATAGGCACCAGGAGAGGGAGGAGTACAATGAACCCCCATGTGCCTGTCATCCAGTCCCTGCCTCTTCTATCTGAGCAGGGATACGCTGAGGCAAGGAAGCTTCCAAAGATGTACTCGTGACTTTTCATCCCCTCACTCAGCATAATCTGTAGAGCACCATTTAGGAAAAAAACCACAAAAAAACTAAAACTTTTTAAGAGCACATAAAGGGCAGAATTAAATTTGCTCTAGGCAGTGAGACACCTGAAAAAAGCAGATCAGTAAGTGGAAATAGACAGTAATGGGGCTTTAGAGTAAGATGGAAAGAACTCTATCCCAATAAAGTTCATCTTCATCAAGTTTTTCTCCTGCTTTTCCTATCTGAACTGTACTTAGCATAGCCAAATTGTTAATGGGGACAAGTTCTTTATAAAAGAATCCCAACTAGAGGTGGGAGGATCACTTGAGGCCAGCAGTTCGAACCTGTAGTCTGGGAATAGCCACTGCACTCCAGCCTGGGTAATGTAGTAAGACCCTGTCTCTTAAAAAAGAATTCCAGCTAATAAATGAAAAGGAAACATTTAACACTAGAAAAATCAGATAATCAATGGAATCAATGGTTACTAAAACTATCAGGTGACCGAGTGAGGGGGACTGCACAGTAGAGGAATCCCACCATCCAAGCAGGAAGCAGCGCCTGGAATGACAGCCTCACAGTGACTCTATCCTCCAGCTGCTTCCTTCTTTCCCCAAAGATGAACCCACCTGTGGCTTTGTCAGTCAGGATCCACTTGCGACCTGCACGATCTGCCATAAAGAGGCCTGACAATAACACAGAACTGTTAAAAAAAAAAAAAAAAAAAAGCACCGGGCAAGATGGGCCACCAGCCCCGCTGCGGCGCTTGCAGCCTCCCATGCACATCTGGTGCAGGGTGCACAGCCTCGCTCCTTCCACCCGTGAGGAAAGCCTTCGGCAAGCATGCCAGCACCAAGTGCTAATGTGCACTTAGACCACCAGATCTTAGTTCAGTTGAAGGGAGAGGAGGTCATTTCCCTCATATTTCCCCCTCGCCGTTGGAATTTGTGATGTGATTTTCTTGTAGCAGACTTACCTTCCTAATTATGTCTTCTTTAAGCTAATATGAAAACTAATTTGTATTCCCTAAGTACCCAGCAGCTGGGTCGGGGGGCAGAGGAGATGGTCCAGGCTTACACTGGCTCGCTCAGAGAAATTGCCCAAGGATTTAAAATGTGTCACGAGTAATCTGCGTGACAGATAATCTGTAGGTAACAAGTAAGAGTTGACTATATTCACATTTGTAAAACCAACAGGCCACTTCTGTATCTTAGGACCACTATGAGGATAAATAACATCATGCTTACATGATTTAAGTTCTTGAGAAAAAAAGACACTGTCTAAATTTGAAGTAGTATTGTTATTTTACGTGGGCTTTCTCCAGGAGTCAAAGCAACTGTGTAGTAGCTACTAGACACAGACAAATGGAAGAAGCAAGATTAAAGGCCCTGTCCTTGGTCCCAAGAGTTGCTGAAAATGGAAAGTGTTGGCAGCCCAGCGTTCCACACCCAGCAGCATTGTCCACACAATGCACAACTTGTTTACACACTCTTGGCCCGAGTGTTCACATGCCCTCTTGTTTTACTAAGGTGCTCCATTTAATGAGAAAAGGACTGTCTGGTCCAACAGCAGGGCTGTGAAAGTTTAATTAGGAGAAGGCCAAGGAGAAGGTCAGCTGAAAGTGGACATTCCTAAAATTAAATTTCCTTTTCATTGTTATAATTCAGGTTTTTTTTTTTTTTTAAACAAGGGGTAGGAGTAGGCAAAGGACATGAAATCCTTGGAGAAAAAAATACAAAAAGGTGAAAAAGAACACAGTCTAGGTAACATGGCTGGAAGGAGTTGTTCCAGAAACATTGAGGCAAATTTCATTTTTTCCTTCCAACAAGCCTGCAATAGAAACTCCCAGGCTTCCTTAAGCAGCCGAGGCATTTCAAGAGGTTCAGACCAACCTCAAACAGTGTGGTCCACTGGAGCTTCCTGTGATGATGGGCACGTTCTGTTTGAGTGCTGTCCGACACAGTGGCTACAGAGTGCTTGAAATGTGGCCAGCGTGACTGAGGAACTGATTTTTAAATTTTATTCTGTTTTAATTAAGTTTAAATAGCCAGAGCACAGCTCTAAAACCTTTCCAGAGCTTCCAGTGTGCCAACTCCATATCATAAACGTGCCTCCGACAGACAGACACATACACTCACACTGTGCAACACTCTTAAGAGTTGCCTTTGTTTAAATGGAAACTCAATCTAAATTGGATGCTTTGTATTCACCTAAAATATAGATTTCTGGTATTTCCCTTATTTAAGTCACAGGTTCTTTCCTTTACTGCCATACCTCATCAACTTATTTTAACACCCTCCAGCCCCTCCCCCACCAGGCCTCTGCATGAGAAACTATCAGCATGTGAGAGCAATGCAGTGTAGGTATCTGCATGTTACAGTGCTACGGGAATAAGGAGAGGATGGGCTGGGCAGAGTCGGAAGACTGCTGGACGCCTCTCTAGCGAGCCAATCTGATAGCATGGTCTTTGTAGTCTCACTCACAGCAGTGTCTCGGTTTCCATATTTAGACCCCTTCAATGATTCTCAGATGCAATTGCTAGGCTTTATGATGGCAAAGTTTTTTGTTTTTTTTTTTTTTTTTAATCAATTTCACTTAGAAAATCCCATTTAGGCTCTGAAAATCTCTAAATTGGGGCCTTTCTAATAATGAAGATTTGGTGTAATTATAATGTCACAGGCAATTGTGCTGACAAAGCAAAACCAGTATGTCTCCTTGCCAGGCCTTTGCTCTCAGTCTGACCAATAGGAGGAGAAAAGAGGCTTTGTCAGGAGCAGATGTGCACTGGGAGGCCCCAGGAAAGCAGATCTGTTGAATGAAGCAGGTGCCACTTAGACATTCACTTCACTGACTCCAACCACAACCTCCCCTTCATTTGATATCCTGCTCTTGGCAGAAGGATGGAGAAAGAGCATCGCACAAAGAGGAAGCATGTTTATCCTGTTCAGATTACTGCTTCTGCCAGGCTGCTGCTGCTGTTGGGTTCTGCACATTTGCTCTTTATTAAGCAAATGTCAGAGCTGGGTGCTGGCAAGTGAATCCCTGTATTTACACAGGTAACCTGAGAGCCAGAGGGCCCCAAACCATCCTGGCTGCGAGGGACAAGCTATTAGAGTTAATAACAGTGCACTGGCATTCCTTCAAAATCCTAATGGAAGCATAAATAAAAAGAGGAAAGTCCCCTTTACCCAAGAACCTGAAAAACTTTATAAGAATTTTTCCTGTTCTAATATTGTGATTCCTGTGTGAACAGTGATTAATGCCCTTTTTACATGCTCAATTAAAACCCACTTTGCCATCCATGTATTGAATAGAAATGACTCCAATTAAACTTGTCCAATTATGGCTCTGGATTTGGTATGCCAGAAAAAAAAATCCCTTTACAGAATAGCGCTCACAATGACAGGCACAAGATTCAGTCTTGGTTTATAAGGAGCTGGAATAATCTAAGACCAAAATCTGCCTTTACATACAAAGACTCCGAAAGATCTGCGGACCTAAAGGGAAGGAGAATGAGACAAAGAAGCATGTAACTTGGCCTTGAGGACACCGTGGATGGAGAGGAGACCACAGTCAGTGGTGTCCATCTGCCAGATGGCAGGGACCTTGGGAATCTGTCCGGAAGCCCTGACCTGAGTTGTCTGCTCGGAATGTCCCTGGCTCAGATTGGTGTTCTGTTCATAGGATGGTGTGCTGGCTCATTGAGTTTCCCCAAGCTGAGAATACCCAACACAGGCAGACCAAAGAGTAAATGAATTTGCATCTATTGAAGTACAGAAAAACAAAAAAAAGAGGACATGAAGGTATGCCAAAGGGACTTGATTCCTTTGGGGCCCTGACATGTCGACTAGAGGTATCCAGTCTTTCACATGAAAAGTATCTAAAAGCTACATCTGAAGGACATGGTCATGGCTTAGATGAGCACTAAGAATAAAGAATGACAGCTACTGGCCTATCATCTCATTGTAAAGGCCCTCTGTGTCTACTTTTGATCTGCAGTCTTTAAGCCTTCAAATAGCAGAGCTTAGGTTAGCAATTCCTGGCATATAAACGATGAATGCCCGAGGCCACCCCAGGTTATAATGGTAGAGAGAGAATGACACATCCCCTCTGGATGTGCAGACTACACAAGGAACCTAAACCCGCAAAGAGGGACAGGAGATACTCTCATGAGGCAGTGCTGGTCTTTCTGAAGGTGTCCACAGCTCAGCATCTCTGCAGGAGGCAAAGAAAAGCACCAAAGAACCCTGGCAACTGGAAATCCCTCCAGCTACGGGGGGTATGCCTGAGGAGTGACAGAAAAGGCCTGGTAATTCTAGAGAAGAGAATCTCAGTATGCCTGAGGGATATGATGGGACTTCCACCAGGAACACAGGCTTCCCGAAGTAGGGATCCTTGTGGGAGATTCACTACCACCTCTCTGCGAATGAAGACTCACTGGCCCTGGCCCTAAGCATATGTGCCAGAAGTACTAAGAGTGAACCTCTGAAGGTTACTTCCCTTCCCATTCGGTGTGAGTGATTAATCATTATAATGGTAATAATCATAACAGCAGTTGTAGCAGTGGTAGTCAACAGTTACTGCATGCCTCCAATGCCCCAGCCAGTAAAGAGAGTAGGACTATAGTCTCTGCTACCCCGCAAATTAGTGCCATCAACACATCTCCCAGGATGGGGGAGATTGGGGAGTCAGGAAACTGCCACCTCTTTCCAAGAGCTATTTTGGAAGGCACTTTGGACTTCAGGAGGTCATTATGAAGACAGAGGAGGAGGACACGTTTGAGAAGTGAAGAATCACCACTGAGCTGTCCCTTCCCCTCCTCAACACCATGAAAAGGTTGGGTGAGAAACACACATGGGGCAGAGAACTGTACCCCTCTTTGAGTGTCTAGAATCAAGAGCCCCAGTGAACAGCTCTGTGCTCCCATTTTTCAGCAGCAGCTCTGTTTCACTGTGAAATCTGGAATTCATGCAATAGTCATGGCTCCTGTCAGCTTTGTGACCCGTCAGGCTTCAGATATTTGATCTTTTGGCGGGCTACTATAAATCCATTACAGCACCTGGCTGCAGATACCTGTAGCCTAGAAGAGAAACTTGCACTTGTGAGGAATCCAAGTGGAAATATGCACATGGCCTGAGTCATGAATAAACTCACTAGGAAGTGAGTCTTGATGTCACCACTGTCTCCGGTCTCAGGTTTTCCTGCTTGGACTCTGCAGTGCATAAAAATAGATCAGTTCTCCTCGCAACCCTCCCACCCTGCTGTTTACTGGCTGCGGATTACTGCAGTCACATGGGTAGATTTTTTTTTTTTTTTTAAAAGCAAAGCCATGCTGTTTATGAGCTGAGAAGGTCACTGGAAGACAAAGCTCATGAAGTATTTGTGTTGTCCTCCCCTGTACAGAGAGGGTACAACTTGCCAGGAGACCACAGTGTTATTGATATAGCCCTTAGATCAGCACCACCCAATAGAACTGTCTTCAGTGATAGACATGTTCTGTATCTACACAGTCCATTAAAGTGGCTACTAGGTACATGTGCCTGTTTACATTTAAATGTGAATAAATTATAATTAAATTAAAAATTCAGTATCTCAGGGCGTATGTGGCTATTCAGCACTTGAAATATGATTGTGACTAATAACTACCTTTTACATTTTATTTCATTTTAATCAACTTGCATTTAAATTCAAATAGCCACATGTAGCTAACAGCTATCATACTGGACAGTACAGATTTAGATGTTAGGTTTTGGTATCATGTTTTTATTTGCCTCTGCTAAGATTTACCGTGAGTCTTTGACTTCTAAAGTGAGTAAAACATAGCTGCCACCATTCTTTAAAATAATCCTGCAAAGGAGTCACCACACCAAGTACTAGCATAACCAGATGAATAATAAAGGCCATGATTTTCATTTGTATTATGCCTTCTTTACTTCCTAGGTAGGCTAAGCTGGCAAGAGGGAGTGAAGGGGAAGAAGGGAGTTTCATTGGGCAGTAGAAAGAGTACTGGAGATCTGGTATGATTTCCAGTCTTACTATTTAAGAGCTGACAGATCCTGGGCAAGTCCCGGTTTTAGCTGCTTCTGAACAGGGCTCAGAAGATCTATTCTACTCAGTTTACTGGGTGAAGGTAGAATAATGCAGACACTGCTTAGCCATTTGCAAGAAGATGATGGTGGCAGTGGTGGTGGTTGTAGCAGTAGTAAAAAAACAAAATGAAAGAATGGACAATGAAAGGAAAAAGATGAAGACCCTAAATAATTATGCTCAATGTGTATAGCCAAAAGGCAAAATTACAGCCGACTGAAATGGTTATTTTCCTGGTATGACATCTACCAACATGCTTCCCAGAATGAAAACGATTCATCTTAGAGAAAAGTTAGCTGACTTAAATGGGAAAGTCCCTGTCTGCAAAGAAAGCCTATTTCCCAGGGGGGCGTGTGGAAGACACTAAGAGACACTGCTGTCCCAAGGTGCTGCACCACATACAGTTCCCAGGAAAAGCCGCCGGCTCCCAGCTCAGCTGGAGCCACAGGCAACGCTGCATACTCCCCTCACTCCTCTTCATTTTGATCCACAGCTCACAGCTCTCCTTATATTACAAGAAGGAATCTTTTCAGGTCTAGGACTATCCCCTCCTCCCCCTCTATTTAAAAAAGGCCTGTGATTCCAAAGGAGAAACAGTTGTAATACACATGAATCTTCATTTGCTTTTTCTTACAGAACAGGCGATGCCTCAGCGCAGTCTGAGACCAGCACTCTAGTGTCTTCATTTTCTCTCAAGGCACTCTATCAACAAGGGAGTGGGTGGAAAAGACCATTTACCTTACAGGAGGGCAGCCTAAAAATCCACAGCTACCAGCTGTGCTGCTCTTTGGGGACCTTGAAGATGAGAGGCTTGTATCCTGGGACTCACAGCTCACACAAAAAACAGTTGCTTAGGGGCTGCCTGCTTCAAGTCCTGAGGCACTGAGCTTACCATCTTTGGATAAAAGCTACAAATAGTATCACAGTGTCATAGAACACAACAGCACTTTTAAGGCTATTATGCTTATGGTGACTGAAAACGCACTCTTACACTAAGACTATTTAATACATTCATTTATTTAAACTTTAAAATAATGAGGCAAAAAGTGATTTAGTACACACTGGAATAGCACATCAGCAACCTTTTTGGGGAGAAACAATAATACAGTTCCTAAATTAACATTTACATCTCAGTGGACTCTTGTGAGAACAAGCCCATATACTGATGTGTCCAGGGAACAAGGAACACAGAAAAAGGTGGAAGGAGATGTGTTTTACAGTCTAACATGTGGAGGATTGGCATCATCCCTCTCATTTTTAAAGAGTTGGAACAGTGGGACATGCAGTAAGTAAAAATGGATGATGGTGGTGACAAAAAGGAAAAAATGGCAAAAGCTACCTTTCATGATAGAGTTGAAATACAATGCATCTGTTGAGATTTGAAGACACATTGTGCCATTTTAGGAGTAAAAAGGCCACACTCATGACCGCAAACTATGTGCAGAAGAGAACAGCAGCCCTAGACAAAGGCAAGTGATAGAGCCTTTAAACAATGTCACCTTGTATTTTCTTCAGTCAAGGTTACAGAAAGGGCTTCTAATCTAGTCCCATTTTTACAGCATCCACCTCTGCAACATACATCTTCATCTGCGAAAGGCAAGCATTCGGATCCGTCTTAAAGACAGGAAAGCAGCGTCTACATAGTACTGTGCACTCCAACATATGTGAGGAATGATGGAGAAGAAATTGATGCTGACAGCTAAAGAATTTTATATTTATGATGCATCCCTGTGCCAGGCACTATGCTAAGAACTTGACAGGAATCATCTTGTTTAATGCTCACAACTTCCTTCTGAGTACAGAACTATCATTATCCTAATTTTTACAGTTAAGGCTTAGAGAGGTTAATTTGCTTGCCTAAGATTACAGAGCTTGTTAGAGGTTCAGCTTTTAGGGTCTCCAGCTCTGCGGGACCTCCCCTCTCCATTGCTCCTCCTTTTACTCTCAGTGCTATACCAGGTATCTACAAAGTTAAATGATCCTCACCACCACCTTCTGTAGCAGAGGTTCTTAACCTTTTTTTGTGGGCTGGAGATGAACAGGGGTGGGGGTGGGGGTGGGAATGCCTCTGGTCTAGTTACACATTCAATCAAAGCTAATACCCTCCCTGCTGCTAGCGGAGGCAAAGAAAAAAAAAAAAGCTATAGATACCAAAAAAAAATACAAATACCTTTGTATAGAATTTCTCAGGGTCCATAGACCCCAGGTTAAGAATATCCTATTGGGCTGGGCGTGATGGCTCATGCCTGAAATCCCAGCACTTTGGGAGGCCGGATCATTTGAGGTCAGGAGTTCGAGACCAGCCTGGCCAACATGGTGAAACCCCATCTCTACTAAAAATTTAAAAAATTAGCTGGGCTCTCTCAGGAGGCTGAGGCAGGAGAATCGCTTGAACCCAGGAGGTGGAGGTTGCAGTGAGCTAAGATTGTGCCACTGCACTCCAGCCTGGGCAAGACAGAGTAAGACTCTGCCTCAAAAAAAAAAAAAAAAAAAAAAATTCTATTGAGCATTGCTGAGATTAAATTCTGCTGAGAAAACATACATATTTTAAAAAGTTTTTAATAAGGTCAAAGAAAACAGGGATGTGAAAAGGTGAAGATTGTCTAGTGTAAAAAGATAGAATGTTTTTCCCTAAAGAAATGTCTATATTAATTTAATTTGGCAGTTGGAATGCATAGTAAAATGTACGTTTGTTTTACAGCACAGTAAGGCAGGGTGGGGTCTTATAATTTTATTTTTTTATTTTGTATTTTATTTATTTATTTTTTTGAGACGGAGTCTCGCTCTGTCACCCAGGCTGGACTGCAGTGGTCTAGGCTTACTGCAAGCTCCACCTCCCAGGTTCACGCCATTCTCCTGCCTCAGCCTCCCAAGTAGCTGGGACTACAGGTGCCTGCCACCACGCATGGCTAATATTTGTATTTTTTAGTAGAGACGGGGTTTCACCGTGTTAGTCAGGATGGTCTCGATCTCCTGACCTCGTGATCCATCTGCCTCGGCCTCCCAAAGTGCTGGGATTACAGGCGTCAGCCACCGCGCCCGGTGGTCTTATAGTTTCAGAAAATATGACGTTGAAGTCTTAAGGTGGAACCTCAGCAGCAAGACTGTTGCCAGGACCAGCCCAGAACGTGGGACACGCTACCCTGAGGATACTTGCGAAGGGCTGTTCCTTCTCTAAGTGTAATGACAATGCCTTGTCATCAGCTTTAATTTTTATTCTATTTTATTTTTATTTTTTATTTACTAGGAAGTCTCACTCTGTCAGCCTGGCTGGAGTGCAGTGGCACAATCTTGGCTCACCGCAACCTCTGCCTCCCGGGTTCAAGCGATTCTCCTGCCTCAGCCTCCCAAGTAGCTGGGACTACAGGCGTGTGCCACCACGCCCGGCTAAATTTTATATTTTTAGTATAGACAGGGTTTCACCATATTGGCCAGGCTGGTCTCGAACTCCTGACCTTGTGATCCGCCCGCGTCGGCATCCCAAAGTGCTGGGATTACAGGCGTGAGCCACCGCACCCAGCAGCTTTAATTTTTAAACAGCCCTCCAGTCCATTTCTCTTCATTCAGAACATGAGGAGGGAGGGTTGAGACCCTAGTCTTAACCAGGGCAGCATAGGTGGTTTCTGAGTCTTCAGTGCTGACCAGCGGAGACAGATGTGCTCTTCAAAATCTCTGGGGGACCCCAAGCAAGGGCTGTAGGCAGAGCCAAGTGGAAGACCCGGTGAGGAGCTGGGGAAACAAATAAGCCAATAAACTCGCTCCAGGCAAAAATGAACACGCCCCTGACCCTTTCCCCAGGATCCACAGCCCTACCACCTTGGTCTCAACTTTGTTAGAGACAGGTGGGAAGGCTGAAAGAGTCCTGGCCTAAACTGAAGGGCAGCAGGAAGGCTTGAGCAGAGGCTTCTAGGAGCTGATGAAACAACTCGTCTGCTGGGGTTCCTTCCTTCTGAATATCATCTACTTCCCCTTAGTTTCCCTGGCTCTAAATAGCACCCGTAGCCCACCACCCAACTCCAGTCAAGAAGACACATTCACTAATTGCAAAGTACTCTGCTCACTGAAAATGTTTAAGGCTGACAGCCAGCCAATGATGAGTTCTGCAACCGGAGAAGCATACAGACCTGTCGGCTCCTCTGGCCAGCAAAGGCAAGCCTGTGTGTGTGCAGAGGGAGGGCTGCTGAGCCCGGGGCACTCAGCAGCATGAACCTCCAGGGTACCCCTACAGCCCTCGGAACAGCTGGGCAGATGGGTGCTGTGGCTAAACTAGACTAAGGCAAGCAGCCTCTGGCAGGGGTGGGGAAAGGTTTGACATTTCCAAATTTATTTGTTCAACAATGGTTATCACCCTGTATTTGTGGAGTCTAGGCAGGAACCCAGAGCTCACATCAAAGGGAGACAGTGTAGTACAGTGGTTTGGAAACAAATTGCCTGAATTGTCTGCCACTCTCTATGTGAACTTGGTTAAGTTACTGAAACTTTCTGTGTCTCAGCTTCCCTATGTGTTAAATCAGTTTAACAGTGTTTACTCATAAAGTTATCATGCGTTTTAAATATAATGCATGTAAAACACTTAGAATGCTTATACATAGTAAGATTATGTAAATTTTGTTAAATGAATAAAATAATGATACAACAGGATTGAGAGACAGAATGCAAGGTCAACAGCTGAGAAGTATGTTGATGTCCTAGGTCAGAGAGCTCCACAAGTGGGGTATGCCTTGCTAACATCTTTTTTTTTTCTTTTTTGAAATGGAGTCTCACTCTGTCATCCTGGCTGGAGTGCAGCGGCATGATCTTGGCTCACTGCAGCCTCGACCTCCTGGGCTCAAGGAATCCTCTCACCTTAGCCTCCTGAGTAGCTGTGACTATAGGCATGAGCCCAGTGCTGGGCTAATTTTTATATTTTTTGTAGAAACAGGGTTTCACCATGTTGCCCAGGCTGGTCTTGAACTCCTGAGCTCAAGCAATCCACCTGCCTCAACCTTTCAAAGCGTTAGGATTATAGGCATGAACTACTTTGTCGGGCCTCCACTAACATCTTTATTACAAAAAATGAAATTGAAAAAAATCAAAAGAATATAAAGGAGAAAGTGAAATTTCAAAGTGCAAGAACACTTGCTTCCCTCACCTGGTCCATCTCTGTGATGAAAACTCCCTATAACCCTGAACCTGGGGAAAGCTGGGGTAGAAGCAGAGGAGAAAACTTGAGTCAATTTTACAGTTTATTAGTGGTTCTGTTTAAAGGCTTGTTAGCATAAAAAATGGCTAAGATAGGGTTTTCTTTCCTTTTCTTTTTTTTTTTTGAGACGGAGTCTCGCTCTATACCCAGGCTGGAGTGCAGTGGCGCAATCTCGGATCACTGCAAACTCCACCTCCCAGGTTCACGCCGTTCTCCTGCCTCAGCCTCCCGAGTAGCTGGGACTACAGGCACCCGCCACCGCGCCTGGCTAATTTTTGGTGTTTTTAGTAGAGACGGGGTTTCACTGTGTTAGCCAGGATGGTCTCAATCTCCTGACCTCATGATCCACCCGCCTCGGCCTCCCAAAGTGCTGGGATTACAGGCGTGAGCCACCGCACACGGCAGGTTTTATTCTTTCAAATGAACTTTAAAATCAGTATAAAGTTCATATTCCCAAAACACTCTTTGGAATTTTGAATAAAAGTTTTTTCAAATTTAAAAGATGAACCTTTTGTTTGTTTGAGACAGTCTCGCTTTGTTGCCCAGGCTGGAGTGCAATGGTGCAATCTCAGCTCACTGCAACCTCTGCCTCCTGGGTTCAAGCAATTCTCCTGCCTCAGCCTCCTGAGTAGCTGGGATTATAGGTGCCCACCACCATGCCCGGCTAATTTTTGTATTTTTAGTAGAGATGGGGTTTGACCATGTTGCCCAGGCTGGTCTGGAACTTTGGGAGGCTGAGGCGGGCAGATCACCTGAGGTCGGGAGTTCGAGACCAGCCTGACCAACATGGAGAAACCCTGTCTCTACTGAAAATACAAAAATAGCTGGGTGTGGTGGTACATGCCTGTAATCCCAGCTACTCGGGAGGCTGAGGCAAGAGAATCACTTGAACCTAGGAGGCAGAGGTTGCGGTGAGCTGAGATTGAGCCACTGCACTCCAGCCTGGACAACAAGAGTGAAACTCCGTCTCAAAAACAAACAAACAAACAAAAACCCCAAAGGACAAAACCCAAAAAAACCCCACTCCAAACCAGCAAATGCTACATCCTCTCTTTTTTCTTGTAGCATCATTAGGAAAAGTGTCAGCTATATTAAAAAATGCTGATGCTTTCTTAGCAGCTCTGCTAAGAGGCTTATTAGGTTGGTGTGAAAGTAATTGCACCAACTTCAAATATGCCATTCCTTCTAATGGCAAAAAAACCCACAATTACTTTTGCACCAACCAATACTTACGAACTTGTTAATCTATTTTGTTTTCCCCCATCTACTTTTCAGGAATGAAAGATAGCTGTATAAATCTGCAATAAGATCTCAGACAGAAGAGTGTTTCTGAGGTGGCCAAGTCCCAATATAATCCTTCTCTTTCATTACGTTTGCTGCAATAGGAAGGAAGAGAAAGGTCTATAGGCCTGGTTTTCTGAGGCTTGCCAACAATGGGTGTTAAGGTCTGGGTGAGAGGTGAGAGGCACTCAGCAAAGAGCTCCTCAAGTCTGAGTGAATGCCTGTATCTGTCAGTCCTGGAGGTCAGGAGTCCTGGAACACAGGGGGTTCTGGGGACCAGCAGAGAGGAAGGCAGAGTGAAGAAAAACAAATGGGCTGAACTGTATGACTTCTTACATTAAGGTGTATAAGATGAAAAGAGTATTGAGATAACTATGTTCAAAAAATGAAGTAAAGGGCCGGGTGTAGTGGCTCATGCCTATAATCCTAACACTTTGGGAGACTAAGGCGGGAGGATCATTTTGAGCCCAGGAGTTTGAGACCAGCCTGGGCAACAAAGGGAGATCCCATCTCTACAAAAAATATAATTTAAAAAATTAGCGCGGTGTGGCAGTGCGCACCTGTGGTCCCAGCGTCTCAGTAGGCTGAGGTGGGAGGATAGCTTTAGCCTGAGGTCAAGGCTGCAGTGAACCAGTCTAGGTGACAGAGTGAGACCCTGTCTCAAAACAAACAAACAAACAAACAAACAAACAAACAAGTAAAGGAAGGAATTAATCTGGTAGCCTTCACCAGCCTTAGGCAATTCTACCTACATCTAAATGAAAAGGCATCTGTGAAAATCTTTATATTGAACCGAACCATGAAACTCCATCCTAAGAGACCAAAGACTCTATTGAAAAAGACAGAGAACATAGAAATAAAGTAATGTGAGTGCTTGGGTAGTTCCTTTAGTGTCGGGGTAGTGTGGGGTACATGTCCAGAAAGAAGTCTTCAGGGTGCGCAGGTGCTAGGTGCAATGTCTTCATCAGGTCTGCTTTGGTGATCCAAAATTTAAACTTCTGGCTTGCATGGGTCATTACCTTTTTTTTTTTTTTTTTCAAGACGGAGTCTTGCTCTGTCGCCCAGGCCGGAGTGCAGTGGCATGATCTCAGCTCATTGCAATCTCCATCTCCTGGGTTCAAGCGATTCTCGTGCCTGGAACTCCCGATTCGCTGGGATTACAGGTGTTGCCACCATGCCTGTCTAATTTTTTGTATTTTAGTAGAAACAGGGTTTCACCATGTTGGTCAGGCTGGTCTCAAACTCCTGACCTCAGGTCATCCACCCACCTTGGCCTCCCAAAGTAGTGGGATTACAGGTGTGAGCCACTGAGCCTGGCTTTTTTTTTTTTTTGAGACAGGGTCTTGATCTCTCACCCAGACTGGAGTGCAGTGGTGTGATCATGGCTCACTGCAGCTTTGACTTCCTGGGCTCTAGCAGTCCTCTCACCTCAGACCCCCAAGTAGCTGGGACTACAGGTGTGCACCACCACTCCTGGCTAATTTTTTAAAATTTTTGTAGAGATGGGGTCTTACTATGTTGTTCAGGTTGGTCTTGGACTCCTGGACTCAAGCAATCCTCCTACCTCGGCCTCCCAAAGTGCTGGGATTACAGGCATGAGCTACTGTGCCTGGCCTATGGGTCATTATCTCTAACTTGAAAAACACCATCCCCTAGGATACTGCTTCATAACCTCACCCGCCCGCGCCACTTCCCAATGGTTATGGACTTCATCAGGCTCCACATGCAGTGGTCCTCTATCCCTGCTAGTTCCATCCCACAAACTCTTTCTACTTCAGAACTGAATGATATCCAAATTGCTCTCAGAAGAGTCATCTGCTATTCCAATTTTGATTTAAACCATACTCTGAAATATGGGATACATGTTTTCCCCTAAGTAGTATCTGTTTCCAAGTTAGTTCTATGTCAACAAACAGCACCTTGTTCTGCTATCATCTGGTTCTTCCTGATAATAAACTCTTTCTGATTAAAAAAACTTGGCCTGGACAGGGTGTGGTGGCTCATGCCTATAATCCCAGCACTTTGGGAGGCAAAAGTGGGAGGATCGCTCGAGCCCGAGAGTTTGAGACCAGCCAGAGCAATATGGAGAGGCCTCATTTCTATTAAAAAAAGAAAAAAGATTAAAAAAAAATGTGACCTACTGGCAGATACCATAAGCTTGTCTGCCCAGAAGTGACAAACATAGGCCCGGCACAGTGGCTTACGCCTGTATTCCCAGTACTTTGGGAGGCTGAGGTGGGTGGATCACCTGAGGCCAGAGTTCAAGACCAGTCATGGCCCATCTCCATTAAAAACACAAAAATTATCTGGGCGTGGTGTGGCACGTCTATAATCCCAGCTACTCGGGAGGCTGAGGCACGAGAATCATTGGAACTTCCAGGAAGCAGAAGTTGCAATGAGTTGAGATTGTGCCACTGCACTCCAGCCTGGGTGACAGAGCAAGACTCTGTCTCAAAAAACAAAAACAAAAACAAAAAGAAGCAACAAACTCTGGCAACAGGACAGAATCCGAAAGAATGATGAAAAAGAGAACCTCTAAAAGTCTAGCCAGATATCAAAATTGCTGATTAAGAGGGAAAAATCTGGTTCCAATCCCAAAGTAAATACTATAGCACTGTGGGCAAAAATGTTAGAAGATAAGAGGATTATCAAAGTTACTTGGATCATATCCCATATGAGATTCATTCTTTGGATTCCCAAGGGCAGATGAAATGATTGGCCTTTGCCTAAAACTGCTGGGATACGGCACAACTCAAGGGTCTGATTTGATACAGAAATGCTGCATTCAGAAAGAGATAACTTCCAACTCTCAAGGCCTGAGTTCAGCAAGTACTGGCAGTCACAGACTGAGGATGGCCTGCTTTGGGGGAAATACTGGCTTTTAGGATGCGAACCAGAATTTTCCCAGATCACAAATGTAGCCAACAACATGAAATCACACCAAATGATTCACACAACCCAATGCTACTGAAAAGAGGCAGCTTCCAGTAATCAATAGTAGCGGGTGTGGTTCAACTTTATTGTATGGCTGAACGGTTCTACTTGGCCGAGAGCCAGAGGGTCCTTGGACTTATTATAAATTCATCCATCTGAAAAGGTGATGCTGGGGAGGAGCCAGAATTATAAAGCAGTCTGTTCTCTCCCAGACAGGTCAAGTCGATTAGAATGGATAATAAAGTTTCCTACTGAACCCACATGGGAAGTTATTTTTAGCAGTTCCATAGTGAATAAGAGCAATCACACTTCACATGAATGCCACATAAGCCAGATATCCTACCCTTTGCTCAGGGTGCCTTAGGACTCTGATGAGGAATAGAAAAAGGTAAAAAAATAGAAGTAGGAGTCTAGCTAGAGAGAGAGGTTCTCCTTAATTCCAACCATGGTCCATTTCATCCTGAACATGTGTGGCTATAAGATGTCCTTTGTCCTACAGCATTCTGGTTGAGATCAACTCTGTCTAGATTTAGATAAGCACAAAAGCCTCTTTCCCTACAGAAAAAGTAGGCTATAGTTTTAGAATTGAATTTGTTTGGCATCTTTGGAAAATGATTCTCAGAAGCCACGATGGCTCTTTGCATTTCCTATGTTATTCTTCTCTGGCGGGACAGAGGTACTTTGTTTCCTCCTATTCCAAAGGAGGACACAGCACTATGTCTTTCTTCAAAGACTTTTCCAACTAACAGAGCATTCGGTTCTTAGGCACCTACCATAAACAAAGTGCCAGGTACTTTTCTTTCTGCCACTAATGCCATTAAGGAACCTTCTGCCTACATGATGAAAGTATGTTATTTATCTATCCTCATTCCAGGATTGGTTTTTTTTTTTTTTTTTTTTTTTTTTGAGACGGAGTCTCATTCTGTCACCCAGGTTGGAGTGCAGTGGCGCAATCTCAGGTCACTGCAACCTCTGCCTCTCGGGTTCAAGCGATTTTCTTGCCTCAGCCTCGCACACCACCATGGACAGGGTTTTGCCATGTTGGCCAGGCTGGTCTTGAACTCCTGACCTCAGGTGATCCACCCACTTTGGCTTCCCAAAGTGCTGGGATTAATAGGCATGAGCCACCGTGCCCAGCCCCATTCCAGGACTTTAAAGCAACAATTTCCCCAAAGCCATGGAGTATTTAATTTGTCCTGCTTAATTATATATTATTTAAAAATATAACAATCACATAGGGTCTCACAGAACAGATCTGGCCCTCCTCTTTGACCCAGACTTCTGAGGCACTTCCTTGGGCAGCTTGTCTTGCCAACTGACTCCTTACCAACATGGACCCAAAGAACTGGGCTGAAGTTGTATATTTTTGCCACCATATTTCTATGAATTTTATCCCTTTTGCTTATTCAGGATATTCACCAATGTCCAGGAAGTCAAAGAGCTGGGGAAGAAGCTCAGGGTAGGGGCATGTAATTGGCTAAATCCAAAGGTCCTTCGTGAGGCTACATATAACAGGAAGCAGAACCACAGTACCAACCAGAGAGGCACCGGCATCACAGCCTGCTGCCTGACCCCAAGCACAGGTGAGACATTGGCGCCTTTCTTGATGTAGTCAGAACTTTCCATGATGGTCCTGCCCATGAGAGAGTCTCTGCTACAGTAAAGGACATTGATCTACCCTATCCGATGAGACAGTAAAAGACAAAATGTGGCTCACAGTGAATTTTAAGGTGCTTCTCAGCAAGTCTTGTCACAAGACGATAATCACTTTTTAAGTAACAATTCAATTAGGTAGCCATTATCACAGTATTTTCCTTCAGGAACCCCCATGTTTCCTACTAGTGAAAGGAATCACAGGCTCCCAGAATATTCCTAGGCATGAAATGTCTACCAATGAAGAAAAAAAAATCGAAGCTCAAACTCTTTCTGAAGGCTTTGTTGCCAGTCATGTCAGGAAGGTTTAAGTGGAAACAGGGAAGAAATTTAATAAAATATTTATGCTCTCTTACCATTAGCATCTTGGACTCCAGTAAGTGCTCCGACGGCTGCTGCGGTTTCCCCAGACAAGACGATCTGTCCCCCACCTTGTAAGGTGGCCTCAGCCAGGGTGGCGACAGCATGGGCGGCAGCTTCGCTGCGGGCACAGGAACAGGAGAGAGGATGATGAATAGAGGAACAGCACTGCAGCCAAGACAAACCATCCTTTCAATGCCTTCCTTGGGTCTTTCTACTGACTCCATGGTTGTGATCCTACCAGCAAATATGTGATAACAGTGCTAATAGATAAAGCCAAGAGTAATTTTGAAATAATATTAATGGCTAGAGAAATCTCAAGTCTTACATAGCTATAAAGCTAATGGTGAGAGTTTCTCAGAACCTCGGTAATTGAGTGTTTGAGGACAGAAGGCACTCATTATCAGTTTCTTCCTTATCAATATCAGCTGAGTGCTTGCAAGCCATAGTGAAAGCTCTGATCCATATTCACAATGCAAAAGCCATTTTGGTTGTCAATCACAAGGTTTTCCTTTTCTCTTTTCTCCTCACAGTAACATAAGGCAGACCATCTGAGACTGTCCTTTTATAGCCAAGGATGAATGATAATATGAGGAGTCAGCAGCAACCTGGACTCACTCTTCAATTAACACTAAATATTAATTTGATTTATAGTTATGCTTTTCAAATACAGAGTAATGGCTGATTAATATCCTGAAAAGTCCAGCTCTTCCCTTTGACTCACTGTATATCCAGGCAGGGCTAAAACAAAGACTTAAAGTTTAAAATTATCACTGCAAGTCCAAACTGTATAAATACAGTTTGCCTCTATAATTACAACAAAATAATAAACCTCCCTACATAGCACAAATGCTCTGTAGAATAGGAAGACATTAACCATTTGTTTATAGCAAGTACTATTTTAGCAGTGTGTCCCATTTTTCTTTCTTTTCCTTGCTATATGCTTTTACTATGTGCATAAATACCCATTTTTCTTGATTCTATGATGCTACAAACTGTAAGACATACTATTATTTCATGGGCCAGTAAGGAAGAAAAATTCCTGACAATTGTAAGATTATAATTTGCCATCCAAATTTCAGAGATGTAAAAATGTGAAAAAACAGGCAATTTCATTATCCCTTCTGGTAAAGTATCAGGTGTCAATTTGCAATTACTGAGGGACTATCGAATTCCAGTAGGCACAGAATAGAGATGGTGGTGCCATTTAGTTTAGCAGAAGTGGACAAATAAGCCAGTCGAGTCAGCTTTGCTCTGAAGCTGCAGGATTTGCTGTAACATGGCAGTGGTCTTGTAAGCACAAGCCGTAAGTGGAGGTGGGTAAGGGGACAGGGACTAATTGGAGTAAACATGTTAGGACTGTGGGCAAAGCAACATGTACCAAACTCAATACAGTCTCCTTTACCTAAGACAGTCAGCACACAAGTAAAACAACAGATATAGTAATTCCCCTGCAAAAGACTTCTTGGTCACTGTAAGGATTTTAGGAAGCAGGAAAAGAAACCGAATGGACAGAAAAGTGTCATTAAATAGAAGAATTTCCTCTTCTTACTAATTTGTCTTGCTTTTTAATTTTTATGCCTGTGTTTTAAACAGTTATCTTTTTCTGATAATAAAAGCAGTATACTTGCTTTTATAGAAAGTTTGAGCAAACTCTATTAAGTATAAAAGAAAATTTTAAATATCATAATTATTTCCTTCTAATCTTAAATACAACTTCAAAAAGATAAGATAAGGCCAGGCATGGTGGCTCACGCCTGTAATCCTAGCTCTTTGGGAGGCCAAGGCGGGCGGATCACCTGAGGTCGGGAGTTCGAGACCAGCCTGACCAACATGGAGAAACCCCGTCTTTACTAAAAATACAAAATTAGCCAGGTGTGGTGGTGCATGCCTGTAATCCCAGCTACTCAGGAGGCTGAGGCAGGAGAATTGCTTGAACCCGGGAGGTGGAGATTGCAGTGGGCCGATATCATGCCATTGCACTCCAGCCTGGGCAATAAGAGTGAAACTGTCTCAAAAAAAAAAAAAAGATAATAATTAGGATTGTACTGTACAGTTTGAAAAATTATTTTGTTGTGGTAAAATGCACATAAAATTTACATTCTTAACACTTAAGTGTGCAGTTCAGGGAGTTAAATACACTCAGAATGCTGTGCAGCCATCACCATCATTCATCTCCACAACTCTCTTCATCTTGTAAAACTGGAACTTTAAACTGGACCATTAAACTTCCTATTCTACCATCTCCCTAGCCCCTGGCAACCACCATTCTACTTTCTGCCTCGATGATTTTTTCATTTTTGTTTTTATTTTTTTAGAGATGGGATCTTGCTATGCTGCCCAGGCTGGTCTTGAATTCCCGGGCTCAAGCAATCCTGCTTTAGCCTCCTGACGCAAATAGCTGGAACTATAGGTGTGTGTGCCTTTGTTGTCATATCTAAGAAATCACAGGCAAATCCAATGTCATTACATTTTGCCCCCATGTTTTCTTCTAAGAGTTTGATAGTTTTAGGTCTTAGATCCATTTTGAGTTATTTTTTGTCTCTGTGATTTTGACTACTCTATCTCACATAAATACAACCACACAGTATTTGTCCTTTTGTGTCTGGCTTATTTCACTTGGCAGAATGTGCTCAAGATTCATCCACATCGTAGCATTTGTCAGAATTTCCTTCCTTTTAAAGGCCGAATAATATTCCATTGTGTATCCATTCATCTGTCGATGATCACTTGGTTGCTCCCATGTTTTAGCTATTGTGAATAATGCTGCTGTGAACATGGGCATACAAATATTTCTCTGAGATCCTGCTTTCAATTCTTTGGGATATGTACCCAGAAGTGGATTTGCTGCAACATACGGTAGTCCCATTTTTAACTTTTTGATGAATTATCATATTGTTTTCCACAGTGGCTATGTCATTTTACATTCCCACCAACAGTGCACAAGGGTTCCAATTTCTCCACATCCTCACCAACACTTGTTATTTTCTGTTTTTTGGATTGTGGCCATCTTAATGGGTGTGAGGTGATATCTCATTGTAGTTTGGATTAGTGATGCTGCACATCTTTTCCTGTGCTTATTGGCCATCTGCATATCTTCTCTGGAGAAATTTGGAGAAATGTCTATTCAAGACCTTTGCCCATTTTTGAATAGAGTTTTTGTTGTTGTTGAGTTTTAGACATTCCCTATATATTCTGGATATCAATCCCTTATCAGATACAATTTGCAAATATTTTCTCCCATTCTGTGGCTTGCCTTTTTCCTCTACTGATAGTCTTTTGATGCACACATTTTAAGAATTTTCGTAAAGTCCAATTTGTCTATTTTTCCTTTGCCATATCCAAGAAATTACTGGCAAATCCAATGTCATGAAGTTTTGCCCCATGTTTTCTTCAAAGAGTTTTATAGTTGTAGGTCATGGAACCACTCTGAGTTAATTTTTATACACTGTGTTAGGTAAAGGTCCAACTTCATTCTTTTGTATGTAGATATCCAGTTTTCCCAGCACCACCACTCACACTTCTGATTTCAAAACTTAACACAAAGCTGTAGTAATCAAAACAGTGTATAGTACTGGCATAAAGACAAACATATAGACCAGTGGAATAAAATTGAGAGCTTAGAAATAAACCTTCACCTATATGGTCACATGGTTTTTGACAAGGGTGCCAACACCATTCAATAGGGAAAGGACTGTCTTTTCAACAGGAGACCCTTGATCTGGAATTACTACTAAGACTGTTCTTTACATTTTTCATGACAGAATTTAATTTTAAAGTGCTTTAAAGTATTTATTAGAGAGACTTTAATGAATATTTTTTAGTACCTAGGCCCTTAATTTTTAATATTTTGCTAAGAAAGTTATGTTAATAAACACTACTACCAACCACTGGGAAAAAAATTTTTTTTTTTTTTTTGAGATAGAGTTTCGCTCTTGTTGCCCAGGCTAGAGTGCAATGGCATGATCTTGGCTCACCGCAACCTCTGCCTCCCAGGTTCAAGCGATTCTCCTGCCTCAGCCTCCCGAGTAGCTGGGATTACAGGCACCCGCCACCATGCCCGGCTAATTTTGTATTTTTAGTAGAGACGGGGTTTCTCCATGTTGGCCAGGCTGGTCTCGAACTCCCAACCTCAGGTGATCCACCCGCCTCGGCCTCCCAAAGTGCTGGGATTACAGGCATGAGCCACCGCACCCGGCCTGGAAATTTTATTAATTACCTATGTCGGAGAAAAAAAAAGAAAAAGATACATAAATATATGACCAGCCAATTTTACAGCATCCACCTGTCAATGATTAATGATACAAATATTTACGCTGTGACCTGAGACTTTATGGAAAGCAGAAAAGTATACTCTTTGGAAAAAGCTGTGTGATAGTCTGAAGAAGAAAACTGTAAATGAGAATTGTTTATATGGAATTAGGATCTTTGTTTATAGGTCACCTCAGTGACTGCTTATTTCCTGTAATTATTCTTACAATTTACAATAATCTCATCTTTATGACCATCAAAGATGACATCCTGCCACTCCTGTACATCCTGAACACACTCTGGCAGAATGAGTTTCATGGGCAGTGAAGGGAGAGGGCAGCTCCCCAAGCCTTGACAGGAAAGTGTACCTGCAACTGATCATACTCATTTCCACTTAAAGCCCTAAAAACTTGAAGTTATCTTCTTTAACTTCTTTCTAAAATGTGGTATGGTAGAAGAAAAGCTGAAAACCAGCAACAACCTAAAACAATCTGGAATGCCAGGGATGAGGGGTCCAATGCAATGGGGGTGACAGGTTGACAGATCAGTACGATTAATTATTCAGTCCCCAGTTAAGGTCTTTACGTGGGGCATGAAGACAACGATGATGCCTATGGTAAGCAGGGCTATCATTTCCAGAGTGATTCTAACCTTTTACACTCAACTTTATGGGAAACGACCAAACTAAACTGCTAGAAAGATTTTTTTTTTTTTTTTCTGAGACGGAGTTTCGCTCTTGTGGCCCAGGCTGGAGTGCACTGGTGTGATCTCGGCTCACTGCAACCTCCGCCTCCCAGGTTCAAGCAATTCTCCTGCCTCAGCCTCCCGACTAGCTGGGATTACAGGCATGCACCACCACGCCCGGCTACTTTTGTATTTTTAGTAGAGACGGGGTTTCTCCATGTTGAGGCTGGTCTCAAACTCCTGACCACAGGTGATTCACCCACCTCGGCTTCCCAAAGTGCTGGGATTACAGGCGTGAGCCACCACGCCCAGCCTAGAAAAAGATTATGTTCACTTAAAAAGGTGAATAGGGATTAAAAAGGCCCTGAGCTAGACCACTTCACAATTTTTAGACAAAAGTCATTTCAAAACCAAAGCTATAAATAAGAGGTTTCCATCAACCTTTTATCTGTAAGCGTCTAATCTTTACCTGTAGGAAAGAAAAGCAGTTGTACCATCCCTGACTTCTCTTCCAGAGAAGATTTCTGATCTAAGTTTTCCATCCCATTTTATTGGACAAATATCACTCCGTATATAAAAGCCCCATTTTATTTTAATAATATGTCTAATTTTAAGTCAATAATATTTCATCTTAAAGACTAAGAGCAGCCAGGCCTGGTGGCTCATGCCTGTAATCCCAGCACTTTGGGAGGCTGAGGCGGGTGGATCACGAGGTCAGGAGATCGAGACCATCCTGGCTAACACAGTGAAACCCCCTCTCTACTAAAAATATAAAAAATTAGCTGGGCGTGGTGGTGGGCGCCTGTAGTCCCAGCTACTTGGGAGACCGAGGCAGGAGAATGGTGTGAACCCAGGAGGCGGAGCTTGCAGTGAGCCGAGATCGCGCCACTGCACTCCAGCCTGGGTGACAGAGCAAGACTCTGTCTCAATAAAAAAAAAAAAAAAAGACTAAGAGCAAATTTTTCTTTCAAAATATGACTTTTAAAAGCAAAATCTTCACAACAAAAAAAAAGACAAATTCTAAAATTCCTTGAGAAGAGGAATTAATCTAAATATTTCCCCATAGCACTGAGTCACAGCCCTGCACACAGTAGACACACAATAAATACTGTCTCAGTGTTAACAATATACTATCAAGTAAGTTTCCACTACTTTAGAAACGTAGAGTAAGTCTACAAAGCCAAATCATGATCTCTACATGCAAGGACTATACTGGCCATATTCAGGAAATGGGTTTGTAGAAGGACATGTTTAAGAGGAACTACAAGTCCAGGACAGCTTAACCAAAGAACTGAAAGTTCAAATTAATCACTGTATCACAAGTAAATGATAATATTACTTCCTTTCCTCTCTGGTTGTTCAGGCTAAATAGCTTATATATAAGCTATTTTTTATATACATATATATGGTATTATATATATGTATGTATGTATATACACACACATACACACACAAATTTTTTTAAAGCTGTGATGTTCTGCTCATTTGTTCACTTTGATTCCCTTCCCACCTCCTTTCCAAAAGTGCTGATTTATTCTTTATTTTGAAAATGAAAATTAACATAGTTTTTAGGTTTTTAAAGGACAATTTCTCCATACCCACTTTGGGTTGTTAGAAAGCCAGGGTGGGCTAAAGGCCGTGGAGCCCTGGGCCCTTGTGACTTGCAGTATGAAATTCTCTTAACAGCGTGGTTGAGAAACAAGTCTGTCCTGCAACTGTCCTGATCCCATTTTACCCTGTAAAAGATGAAGGAGCCCCTCTGCCTCCTTATTCCCCAACCTGCCATTGCACGTAGCTTCCTCTCCCTTCTCACCCTGCGCCCACATCTGCTGTTTACATTGCAGCAGAGGTGCAGGTGGTTATTAGAGAACCATGCTTGTTTTATCTGCACCCAAAACAGAGCAAGCTGCAAGAGGGCAGATTATGAAACTGCTTTGTCATCATAGGAACAAAGACCAGATTTCTCTGTGTATTTCTTACTGAGATGACTTCCAACAGCAAATTCTGTGGAGAGGCTCAGAGTGCAAGGACTAAATGATTCTACTGCATCTCGTCCACAAAGAAGCGAATGTTAAGGGCTTGTTTCTTACATCCAACCCTCCTGACTAAGACATTAGACCATGGGTTACCTCTGTTGGGTTCAGAAAGCCCTGATATTCCCCTAATAGTCTGCTATAGTCTAGTCTCTGCTGCCAGGCTTGGTTTCTTCATCCCCAGCAGAAGCTGCAATCCACCAACCCCTAACACTCATTGGGGCATCGAACTACCTGATTGCAAAGAGATTTCAACATCTCTTTATTCCTCCTCTATGCCACAGTGAACACATTCTCCTTCCTTTGGAGTAAACACTGAGCCACCTCAGCTGCATCTAAGTTTGTTAACAAGCCCTCAGGGGATACCATTACCCGCTTGCCTTTAGAAACAAGCCCTGGTCCTTATAACAAAGAGAGCCCAAATGTGCCTCATATTTTCCACTATGTACAGAGTTCCCAGGACACACACACTTCACTGGAATATCCAAGGTGTTGGCTGCAAGTCTCAATGAAATCAAGTTTTGCTGGTCTTTAATGAGGGCCTGTTAGACCCCAAGCTACAGTCGGGCGGAGAATGGGGGGTGTTACTGGACTAAAGGGACGGAGGGTCTCACTTGGCCATGCCTTTCAGGAAGTTTATCTGGGTGTTTCTCTCAAAGAGAGGGGTAGAATTGAGCCAAGTGTAAGGAACCAAGTAAGACTTTCATGTTACTGAAAAGCAACATGATGAGTATATACGTGAGTGGGGGAAAAAAAGAAATGAAGAGCAACAAGAGCAACATGGCTCAATGGGCTGAAAAAAATGTTCTGATCACTAGGGACTAACTAGGTAACTCTGAGAAGATGTGTTGTGTGTGTGTGTGTGTGTGTGTGTGTGTGTGTGTGTGTGTGTGTGTTTCAGTTTCCTATTCCTAATCAACCACCAATCTCTGGCCATACTTCTTTTAAAATGAAATCACTTAGGCTGGGCGTGGTGGCTTACGCCTGTAATCCCAGCACTTTGGGAGGCTGAGGCGGGTGGATCACCTGAGGTTAGGAGTTTGAGACCAGCCTGACCAACATGGAGAAACCCTGTCTGTACTAAAAATACAAACTTAGCCGTGTGTGGTGGAGCATGCCTGTAATCCTGGCTACTTGGGAGGCTGAGGCAGGAGAATCACTTGAACCCGGCAGGCGGAGGTTGTGGTGAGCCGAGAACATGCCATTGTACTTCAGCCTAGGCAACAAGAGTGAAAATCCGTTTCAAATAAAAAAAAAAGAATCACTTTACCTCCATTCTTACTACTTCAGTTTCCAAGACCTTAACAAGGCGCTCCTGGAGTGCCTCTTCCTAACTGATCTTCTAATCTCCTCTCACTATAATCAATTCAGAATAGACAACTCTTAAAATACAACTTAAATGATAATAACTATAATTCTTGAAATGCTAACTATAGGTTGGACACCGCGATGAGAATTTTATCTATATTATCTCATATACATGATTCTGTGTGATGAGTCTTATCCTCATTATAACAATGGGGAAAACAAGGCTCAGAGGTTATGTTTCTCAGGATCAAATGGTGGAGCCAGGATTCAAACCTGAATCTATGTGACGTTGGAACCCTGCTCTCAGCCACCATACTATACAGCCTCATACAGTGAACTGTATACAAATCCATCACAGCTCTCTAGTATCTATCATAATCAATCTAAACTTTCACTGATTTTATATTTAGGGGAGGTGATCACCCTCCTCTGAATTTCTACAACGTTCACAGTCTTTACCATACAATTCAATAGTGAGTTACACTCTAAGTAATACTGTTTGCTAAGTGTTTTACTTAAATCAGTCTCCGCAATAAGAGTATGATTTCTTTGAGGGCAGAGTATATGCTAGAGCACTCTATTCTCTATTTACAGCCTTACCCAGTAGAGCTGGCATGCCGCAAGAGTTCAGCCCTTACTGTATACAAGACACTGACCTAAGGATTTCACATGGAGTAATTCAGTTCTCATAACACTCCTAGAAGAATGTACTGTTATCACTCCCATTTTACAGAATAGGAGAGCCTGGCTACTGAGAGTTCAAATCAACTGCTCGATGCCAAACAGCTTGTAAGTGACAGAGCTGGGCTTCAAACCCAAGTAGTCTGGCGTCAAGGCTCACACTCTTGACCATTAATTTAAATCCCTGAGCCCATTAAAAATAAAATTGCATCAGGAATGAAGAAGAGGGAGAATGATATGAAGCTGATCTTTCCTGTCAACAACCAGTAGAAAGAACCAGGCAGGGAATAATACAATCGAGTTTCAGAAACCACCTCTTGGAGCATCCCATTTGGCAGCACCCTTCCTAACATACCTGAAGAAAAAAGTTCATTATTTTCCCCAATAATCCAAAACTTATTTATCTTGAGCTCGCTGATAAGCAAGGGCAACACATTTTTCTCAAAAGCAAGTAAAATCAGCCATTTGCTGCTTAAACATGGATTAATACCCCCAACAAAATGCAGTTTCTTTTGTAGGGCAAAAGGACAATAATCCGAAGCCTCTTAATTTGTTCTGTATCCCTTGAAAACATGAAGCACTCAAGCCTTACTGCTTCTGCTTACTGGACACAGAATAGGATAAACGGGAAGGCTTGACCAGCTTGGGCTGGAAGTCAGAAAGGCTACACTGGTTGTTGGGGCTGGGTGGCGGCAGGAGTGAAGAATGATGCGGAGATGATCTTTCCATCAACAGCCAGTAGAAGGAACTAAGCAGGAAACAATACATTGAGTTTTGGAAACTACCTTTTACTGGAGGATTCCATTTCACATCACCTTTCCTAAGCACACCTGAAGGAAAGAAGTTTAATTTTTCTTGGTAAGGACTGACCTATTATAGGCCAAACTACAATATCGTATGGGCCAAGAGTGTTAAGTTCCAACTGCCAACTGTGGCAAACAGAGACACATTTCTCTTTAAGGGGCCTCCACCCATATCTGCAGGGACAGATTTGCGATCCTCACTTATTCCCACACTCTTGCCACCACCTGTTAAGCGCCATAGTGACTGTAGCTCCCTGCTGCATCTCCTGAGAAGCTGCCACTGCGGCCTCTGCCAACGATGCCACCGCCTGGGTGGCCTCTGATGCTTGCGTCGTCTGGATGGTCATCTCACCTCCCTGTAACGTGGCCCAATTTTGTTCCACCTGAGGCAGAAAGGACAAGATAGTAAAAAAACAAAGCCACAAAAGTACAATTTTACAAGTAATTTTTCTAATAATTGCTACTTTTTGGCTAAATACACATACTCTTTAAAATTAACATGACCTGCAATATACAGAACAGAGCTTTAAGCATGCTACCTTTTGCATAAAAAAGGGGGTATTAGAATATATACCTGAATTTGCTTGCATTTGCATGAAGAAATTCTGGAAGGACACACAAAAGCCACTGAATATATTCTCTGGATTGTATGTGTGGGGTTGAGAGGAGTTGGAAACAAGTTGGATGGGAGACAGAAAGCAAGACCTTCCACTGTACCTTTTTTTTTTTTTTGAGAGGGAGTCTCCCTCTGTCGCCCAAGCCGGAGTGCAATGGCACGATCTTGGCTCACTGCAACCTCCACATCCCAGGTTGAGCGATTCTCCTGCCTCAGGCTCCCAAGTAGTTGGGACTATAGGTGTGTACCACCACCCCTGGCTAATTTTTGTATTTTTGGTAAAGATGGGGTTTCACCACGTTGGCCAGGCTGGTCTCAAACTCCTGACCTTAGGTAATCCACCTGCCTCAGTCTCCCAAAGTGCTGGGATTACAGGCATGAGTCACCACGCCCGGCCCACTCTACACTTTTAAATACGTTTCTCAATTTACTTCCCGATATATACATACTTCAAAACAACATGTTGTGCCAGATAAATATATACAATTTTTTGTTAATTTAAATAAATACATAATAAAGTTTAAAAATATATAGGCTGGGTTGTTAGAAATGGGCCATGAGAGGAAAAAAAAATTCAAACTATACCAAAATTTCAAACTGTATCAAAGGGAATATGATACCAGTACTCTAGACCCTTTGTCCAAAGGGTCTACAACTGTGCCTATTTTCTCTTTTATTATTTTATCATTATACAATATTTCCATGTAATGTACCTATTTTCTCGTGTACCTTTGTAGAGCTATTCCTGCTATATGGAAGTATATTTACACAGACACACACACACATTCACCCCATTTCCCCTTTCTACTCCCTCCTCTAAAATAAAAATGGCAGCATATTCTACATATCTTTTGTATCTTGCTTTTTTCACAAACAGTACATCTCTGAAATGATTCCATTTTGGAACATATAAAACTACTTTACTCATTCATGATTCTTAAAAATGGCTGCATAGAATGGCTTTTTTTTTTTTGTTGTTGGAGACGGAGTTTTGCTCTTGTTGCCCAGGCTGGAGTGCAGTGGCGCGATCTCGGCTCACCGCAACCTCCGCCTCCCAGGTTCAAGCGATTCTCCTGCCTCAGCCTCCCAAGTAGCTGGGATTACAGGCACCCCACCACCACACCCAGCTAATTTTGTATTTTTAGTAGAAACGGGGTTTCTCCATGTTGGTTAAGCTGGTCTTGAACTCCCGACTTCAGGTGATCCACCTGCCTCCGCCTCCCAAAGTGCTGGGAAGCATTGCATTATATAGAAACATCATGATTTATTTAACAAGTCATCTTTTCATGCACATTTAAGTGGTTTACAGTCTTTTGCTATTAACAAACAGTGCTGTGATGAATATCCTTATATACTATTATACTTTGTATATTACATGTGAGTCTATTTATAGGGTAAATGCCTAGAGGTAGAATTATAGATCAAAGTTATTTGGCATGTTTATTTTTGATAGAAACTGCTAAACTCAGAAACTAATTTTTTAAAGTGTAGCAAAAACTGCTTTCTTTTTAGTAGGGGAGAAGTTATGAAGACTCTCCCACTGCCCACAGCAAAAAACCCAAAAATAAAAATCATACTCTCTGGTGACAGGATACATGAGAATCCAGGTTTGCTAGGCCTACAGTCTCTCAGTCTTGGCATGCTAACATTTTGGCCCAGGTATCCTTGGTTGTGGGGCTGTCCTGTGCATTGCAGGATGGTTAGCAGCATCCCGGCTTGTACCCGCTAGATGCCAATAGCACCCTCCCCAGTCAGGACGGTAAAAAATGTCTCCAGGTATTGCCAAATGTCCCCTCTGGTCTGGGGTACAGAACTACTGATTTTAGTACAATTCTCTGTGTTTAGAGACTTAGTTCTGAATACCTGTATCTAGTTACTTCAGTCCGTTTTGCTCAATAAATACTGGTTGATTAACTACCCACCCTCAAAACTGAAAAGCAGCAGGGGCAGTAAAAGCAATTTCTATTTGGAAGTACAGCAGGTGATCCATCAGCTCAGGTGTATCTGTCTTTGGACTCCTGGGTCTCAGGACCTTAGCAGTGCTTACTGCAGCTCTTGCTATTCCTGCTTCACATTGCTGGGGCCTAGTGAGTAGTTACCTTGTGCCTGCTTGTTACTGTGTCCCAAAGAAAGTGCTCCAAGCTCTAGGAGGTAGATATTTTAAATGCTTCCTGCTTTAGTTATATTACCATACTTAGATTATGATAATGCTTTTCAGAATGTTTGCCAAAAGCCTCTCAGAGAAAGAGACATTCCTTTGAGTTACCTTCGTGTTTGCCCTGAGTTCTCATGGGCAGTGGATTGTGCCAGCAAGCCTTCAGGGCCCATCACTCCTGAGGCAGAGATATCCTAGAGCTGCAAAATTGCCCCTCAGGAACTCCAAAGCTCTTGCTTTCCAAGGTTGGTTGCTTTGATCTCATTGCTCCAATGAACATCACTACCAACACTGCCACCATAAGAGGCAAGCTGCACTATCAATTCTTAGGTGGCTGATGAGTCCGCTCAAAACATCCACTGAAGCCGGGCAGTGCTGTTGCCTACTGCTAGGGAATGGTCTTCCTGTTTCTGATCTGCCCCTCTATTTCAGTCTGGCCCATGCTGCTGCTCTCACTTGAGTTTGGCCCAGTGAGGCTCTCTCAAGTCCTCAAACTCCAAAGGCAGCAAGTCAATATAGATACTTTTAGTTACAACTATATTTGTAGTGAAAATGGCATTAGAATGCTGCCATATACAGTATAATTTAAGAAAGTTAAATTATATGGCATGGAATGACAGTAAACGGTGAAGAGAAAATAGGAGGAGAAACAGAGAAGAGATTTCTAATCAGAAACACGGCAGGTGATCAAGAAATCAGCTCAAGTGCCAGCATCTCTTCGGAATTTCCTATTCCTGAGTCTCAGTGCTTTCTTAAACTGTGTTTACTTGAGCTCTTGTTGCACTCCCTTCCCCAAAGAAAGGGCCACAAGCCCTAGGAGAGGAAGATATTCAGAAGATATCTCATTAGCTACTATGCATTTCTGAGAGAGGCCCACTACCACAAGGCCCTTCAAACTGTGGCTGTTCCATGCTTTCACAAGTCAATGCACTGAATGTGTTGCTCTCTTTGACAGGATAGAACTCCCATCCCTCTCCTTTGTTTGGCTAGTTCCCACTCTAGTCTAAGCTCAGGGGCTACACCTCTGGGAAGTGTTTCCTGAGACAATTCCACTCCCCTGAAGTCCAGATGAGAGCCTCTCCTCTGCTGTTCCACAGCACCCTGGGCTTGCTGCCAGTAGACCCTTATCTCACTGCAATTGTTCTTTGCTTTTCTCTACCGCCTACCTATGTGCTCCTTAAGGGAAAGGGGAGTCTTTATTATCTTTTATCTATAGTCTCTACAGTGCCTGGCACAGGGCTCAAAAAGTGTTTACTGAAGGGATGGATGGAAAAATACTATTGATATTTTCCTATTTGTTATTCAGCCTGCCCATATTTAAGGTAAACTGACATTCATAAAAATGCACCTAAAATGAGTTATGCAATTCAAAACTGTTACATATATTGATGGTTCAGTTTAAAATTCACGTCTCTAATGTTTTTGCACTTTGGCTTTCTCTTCTAACAGAATTATATATACTATATATCATCCTAGCACTTTGGGAGGCCAAGGCAGGCGGATCATGAGGTCAAGAGATCGAGACCATCCTGGCCAACATGGTAAAACCCCGTTTCTACTGAAAATACAAAAATTAGCTGGGCATGGTGGTGCGTGCCTGGTGCTACTCGGGAGGCTGAGGCAGAAGAATCGCTTGAACCTGGGAGGCGGAGGTTGCAGTGAGCTGAGATCGTGCCACTACACTCCAGCCTGGGCCACAGAGTGAGATTCCGTCTCAGGAAAAAAAAAAAAAAAAAAGGAAACGCAACTCCATTAATGTTATAAATATTATGTGTCAAAAACAAATTATTTTATACAGAAGGAAACGAAGTTACTTTCTTTAAATAGTACCAAGAAACATTCAGTAGAGACATATGGTTGATAACTTTGTCTAAGCCAAAAACTAACACATCTCCTAACTGTACCCCTCGTTGTCTTTTCCACCTCTTTCAGACTTTAAGGAGTGTCATCTTGTTCTAGTGTTCTGGGACTGACAAATTCTTTGCTTTGCTAATCCATATCCTTTAATGATGTTTATATACTTAGAAAGTAAGTGTCCTGTCAACCTTCACCTTTCCTCACCCAATAACCAAGTTTTTCAGTGTCCCAAACTTTCCCAGGCTCCTTAGGTGGAAAGGAGGCACATACGCTTTGCAGCATCCCTTACAGGAAGGCTAGAGTTCATTCACGTAGACATCTCTCTTCCCCACTAGACTGGAGTCCCATGACAGCAAGGATCCTGTGCGAATCAACTCCACACAGCTGCAGCTACACAGGGGTTTGGCACATGCAGGGTGGCCAAGGAGCCTGTGGTGCACTCTCCCTCCATCTCCCAGCCATGTGGCCTTTGCCAGCTCTCCCCCTCTCCTGAGGGGCACAAATGAAAGTGACTTTGTGGTGTTCTAAGGGGAAATGCTCCATGGCTCTCAACAAGGGTGAGATAATACTCTTAGCTTTATTTCTGATACTGCTCTTTGACATCTGTTGGCTATTTTTCAAACTTCAGCACACCACATCAGTATCTTCAAGGGAAACACTCATGGTGACGTAACAAACCCCTTCCTTCACTGTTGCATCTTCACCAATGGCTCAGAGCCTAGGTAATGTTTTTCTCAATGCATTATCCAGCTTCAACACTGCTATGGGACTTTGGGCAAATCATCTAAGCTCTGTTATGTCTCGGTTTTCTCATCTCTAAAGTGAAGATAACAGAACTTTATACTTCATAGGGTTGAGTGTTTAGCCCACCAAGTGATCAATAAAGGTTGGCTGTCTTTAGGTTAATGTCCCATAATTATCCCAATTTTGGTAAGGAAGAATTCTCCTAAGAAATCTTTTCAAAGGCATATTTAAGATGTAATAAATCATGTTACTGACTTGCAAACATATTTATCCTTTCAAAGAAGGCTTCCCTTAGTCAGTTCCAGTTTTAATGTGACATTTTTTTTTCATAAAGACCAAAGATGAAATTCTTTGGGATTCACAGCATAAAAATGGTAAAGGGATAATCCCTTTGTATTGTGTATAATACCAAATGCTATACATTCAAATGTAAAATTCTAAGTTCCTGACATACTAATCCATGAATCTTAATTGTTACAATTAATACACATAGCATAAGACACTTTCTAAAACTTTCATGGTCTCATGCTCTTTAAAAGGTTTAAATGAAAGAGTGCCGCAGACATGCAGGCTACTCCATCTTCTGGACCCTTGCTTTTCCCTCATTATACATTCAAGTATTTAAGAAGATGCAGATGGAATCTCTTTCTTACCTCTCCATCAGCCACGGCAGAATAATTCACTTGGGCAACGGTGACCGTGGTTGGCAATTCTGAAGCATCAGCCAATGTGGCTACTGTTGCCCCCGTACCAACCTAAAGAAAAATATGGAAAGTGGTTAAGTGTCAGTGGATGGATCCTTCCACCTCTTTACTCAGAAGCTGAGACTCATTTAATCCCAAATTCAGCACAGATAACAAAGAATATGCCTTATGATGTGAAATCTAAAATCATAGCTCACTAAAATCATAGTTCAGAGACTATCACGAGTTTCAGAATTTTACTTCAACCAAATAAGTCCATATGAGAAAAGCTATCACATCGCCACATCCATGCCCAGTGTTGGTCAACCAACTTTCTATTCTCACCTCAATCTGAACTTTAGAGGTTCCCAATCAACAAATTGTGTTTTACCTCAGAAGAGGTCATTCAGAAGGAATATTCCCTGATCACTGAGAGTGAAACTGTAAAACAGAAGTCATTTTAAGGCCAGACATGGTGGCCCACATCTGTAATCCCAGCATTTTAGGAGGCCGAGGCAGGAGGATCACTTGAGCTCAGGAGTTTGAGACCAGCCTGGGCAACATAGCAAGACCTCATCTCTACTTAAAAAAAAAAAAAAAATTCAGCCAGGCCTGGTGGCATACACCTGTAGTCCCAGCTACTCGGGAGGCTGAGGAGGGAGAATCACTTGAGCCCGGGAGGTTGAGGCTGCAGTGAGCTGTGATGACAGAGAGAGATCTTGTCTCAAAAAAAAAAAGAGCCCTTTAAAAGTGCTTTGTTTTGGAAATGTCCAGGAAGCTACTCATAGCTCTGTATTTAGCAAATGCAAAGAATTTAAACTATTCTTCAGAAATCAATTTCAGGTAGGAAGATCTTGGGGAGCTATATAAAGTTCATACAAGAGTTCGCACAAAGGAAACTTTCCCTAGTCTGAGGTGAGGTGCCCACTGATCCATCTCAGAAGCCACAGTCTGGTAGCCCTCAGGTTTACTCACCTGGATAAGTGAGACAGTGCCATCAGGGTTACTAAAAGTCTGGACTACAGTCTGTGATGGTACAAGATGAGCTATACTATGTGTGGCTGTGGCCTGTGTTTGCGTTTGCTGATCTTCAAAGGCATACAAAAGGTCTTCCCGCCCATGCTGTTTATAACAGTTTTTAACTATGGTCCGTAGTGCCTGGGTCCATGAAACCTGTCACCAAATGACCGGAAAAGCACATTAAGCCACAAAGAACTTTGGTTATTTAGTCCCAATATGCAATAAGCAGCTACTTCTTTATCAAATCAAACCAAACCAAACCTCTTATTAGACTCTCCTAGGATTACCTCCCACAGACTGGTTCTGGTAGAAAGAAGCTGTGTACGAAGTATCAAAGAGGGCTTCTCATTGGTTTCTTCTTGATCAAAGTCTAGTTTACACCCTATTCCAACCTGAGGCCAAACTCTTAAACTTCTTGCAAAGAAAGATTATTCTGATCAAGAATGGCATATTAAGATTCTCAGTAAACTTCCAAGCTAAATGAAAAATAAATACGTGGCCAGGCATGGTGGCTCACGCCTGTAATCCCAGCACTTTGGGAGGCTGAGGAGGGCGGATGGCCTGAGGTCGGGAGTTCGAGACCAGCCTGACCAGCATGGAGAAACCCCATCTCTACTGAAAATACAAAATTAGCTGGGCATGGTGGTGCATGCCTGTAATCCCAACTACTCGGGAGGCTGAGACAGAAGAATTGCTTGAACCCGGGAGGCAGAGGTTGCGGCGAGCCGAGGTCACGTCATTGCACTCCAGCCTGGGCAACAAGAGTGAGACTCTGTCTCAAAAAAAAAAAAAAAAAAGAAAGAAAAGAAAGAAAAAGAAAAATAAATACGCAAAAAAAGTAAGGAATGGTAGGTAGTTTAGTCTTTCTTGTAAAAGTTTTGTTATTAGCAGACTCAGCTGGCAGACTTCATATCCCTCTAATTCCATATTTACATTTTCAACAATGATTTTTAGTAACCAGAAATAAAAGCATTTCTAAGTGTTCAAAGTGATTAATACTTTTACTTCAAGTTTCTTTGACTTTCCCAAGCACTTCATAAAATTAAAACTGCTCCAAAAGGCAACCCCGAAGACACATTTTAAATTCATCAACTCAACCCAGTCTTCTCTTTATAGTATAGTGATGGAGCGACAAATGGAAAAGGCTATAAATCAAAGAATATCAGTCTTTGGAGGGACAGGCTTAACTATTACACAAAGACTTTCTAGCACAAGATGTAGAAATGACAAAAATTGAGGTGGTTAATTTAGGATGGAAAAGCAACCAGGCAACTCAGTCAGAGGAACTCTCACCCTCTGCTTTTGCTCTTCTGTGCGGACATCACTCCGGACATTTGCCCAGGGGATATCTTCAGGCCACCAGATGGGCTTGCAGCTTTCTTTCCCCCAGCCTGGTTTTCCCCGACCTGTAGAGTACTTGAGCATCTCTGGGATAAATGCCCGAAGCTGGGCCTGGAAGAGAACAGTGTGGTCATCAATACTCATGAAAGACATCTGGGGTGTGTTTATGACTCCTTAAATTCTAACCTTATAAAACAGAGAGGTTTCCAGGAAGGTCCCAGAGAATTCTAAGATGTGACTGATGAAAACCCACTGTTTTCCATAGGTTCCTATATCTCCATGGGTGGTTGAGAATTATAAATATGTTGATAAAGTGCACCTTAGGCTGCATTTTGTAGACTTGTTCCTCTAAGAGTAAGAATATCTACCCCTAAGTTTAATTTCTGCTTCCCAAGATATTACTGGTACTATAGCTTATTTCCCTTCTACAGTTTTCATGCATGTAAGGTGCCAAACTCGGGGTGTTTTCAACACTGTTCTGGAAGTAGGAATCCATGCAATTAGATAAGAGAGAAATAAGAGGCGAGCTGATAAAATCATTATTATTTATAGATGAAGTCACCTTATATCTAGAGAATTCCAAAGAGATCAAATGAAAAACTACTACAAACAATAATGAGAATTCAATAAGGTGGCTGATTATAAAATATAGGAAAACAAACAGGCCTTTAACTTAATAAAAAGGGAAAATAACCCTAAAACTCTTCTAGAAATTTTCCAGTAAGCTAGGCCACTGTCCATGAGTCTGACATATAGACATAGTAAAGCATGTGTGAATTTAAATGCATTATGGACTTCATTCAGATTTATTTTACAAATCAAATCCAGACCAAACAGGTTTTAAACCACAAAGACAACTGCCATTCTTATTTCCTGGCATAGTAACCACACTCTGTGTGTGTTGGGGGAGGGTCTACTTTGTGAATATTCTTAATCGCTGATAATGATTTCTGGCAAGAAAAGCAGTTTATCAATTTATGATCTATTCCTCCTTCCCAGACCTACTGTCTTCCTTTTAACCTGGTGGTCTATAGCACTCCAGATATAAGTAGCATCCTGCAACTAAGGATGCACCCATACTGCCCCTGCAGCTGAAAACCAAAAAGAGGCCACTTTTAGCAATGAATCAGACTCGGGGGTGTGGATTTGTAGTTACAAAGTAAAACAAGAAAAAACAGAAATGAGAATAATTAAGTATTAATGAGAGAATGAGTACAGCAACACTTTAATATTAAAGATTTCTATAAATATCAGGTATTCTTATCATTCTTATAATAAATATTAGATATTATTTTACGAGAAGATGATACAAATTGTTACATAATAGGGAACCATGAACCCAATCAGTAATGTTGACCTAATAAAGTTCTGGTTGACGGTAGCCATGCTGTTAATTCCTGTGCCAAGCCTGCCACTTCACCTCTCTAAGTCCCCCAATGCCCCAACAGTCTCCTGCCTACAGGATATGATATAATACACTCCATATATATTTGGCTCTGGCATCAAGCAGCAGGCTGATAGAAACGTATCCATTTAAAAACCCATCAGCTGGCTCATGCGGTCATTACTTCAGTTATTTTAAGAAAGTACATCTCAAAGTCATTTTTCCCTTTATTCTAATTTCTTGGGAGTGTGTCTTTTTCTAGGCTCAAATACATAGAGCAAGAAAGGGCTTAATCTTCACACACAATATTTTATACTTCTTCATGTTAAAAAAAATGGCTTTCTCAGAGGTATAGATTAAATTGATATAGACTTTCATAAACTCCCTTTTCTTTGAATACCATTAACAGTTTCCAAAAAGGAGAATTCTTTATATTCATACCTAGGAGAGTCTGGAGAAAATGAAATGAGAAGGCTAAATAATTCTAAATTAACAAAATCCTAAAGTGGGTTGGGTGCAGTGGCTCATGCCTATAATCCCTGCACCTTGGGAGGCTCAGGCAGGCAGAATGCTTGAGACCAGGAGTTTGAGACCAGCTTGGGCAACACAGTGGGACTCTGTCTCTACCAAAAATACAAAACTCAGTCGGTTACAGTGGCACGTGCCTGTAGTCCCAGCTACTAGAGAGGCTGAGGCAGGAGGATCGCTTGAGCTCAGGAGGTCAAGGATGCAGTGAGCCATGATGGTGCCACTTCACTCCAGCCTGGGTGACAGAGTGAGACCTTGTCTCAAAACAAAACAAAACAAAACAAAACAAAAATCCTAAAGCGGGTGACAGAGCAAGACCCTGTCTTAAACCAAACAAACAAAACAGAAATCCTAAAGTGATCAGAAAGCACTCACTGTGGAGAATACTAGACTGACAGAGTCTGCTCAGATCCACCTGGAACCCTCTATATTCCCTAATTCTGGTGATCGCTTCACTTCTGACGCCTCACCCTATTTGCACCAATAGTTCCTTATGCTCCTCAGTTCTGGGTCACGTTGGCACCTGGACGTGGATATCTTTCACCCTCAAGTCTTCCTTCGGCTCTCCCACCAGGCCTTCCAACTGAGTTCCAATAACTCAATGTTACTTGAAAGGTGGGCTCAGCATCAGCCTCTTCACTTAAACTCCTACCCTACCCTCTCTCCAATCTACTTGTCTTCTCAACTTTTTTATCTTAGCAAGTAGAAAACCACCCTTTCCCCGGCCACTCAAACTAAAAATGTCAAAGTTATCTTTACTTTTCTCCTTCAACACTTACCTAGTCACACATTGCAAGTCCAGTTCTTTTGTTTTCTTTGAAACGTCTCTGGTGTCTATCCCTTCTTCTCCGGCCCCACCTTTATTCTAATTTTTTGGCCCAAGGCTAGTGTATCCTTCTAGTTGGCTTTCTTGGGAAACTCCAAGTTCTCCCTTCATTCCCTCTTCCCACATATCCTTGCCTGAGAGGTTTTCCTAAATGTTACCTACATAGCTCCAATGCTCAAAACACCTCCAAATGTCTTTTAACTATGGCAACTAAACTAGATCCTTCTGCCCAGCTTTTCAGACCCACCACAATCTGGCCTCACACTACAGTCAGTTCCCATTAATTCCCACCACTCAGCCTTGGTCCTCCATCAGACAAATCTCTGCACTGTCTTAAGAGCTGCTAAGCCCATTCCCGCTTCTTTGCCTTTGTTCTGTCCCCTGGCTGGACTATTTTCCATGCTACTATTCTAATGCCGCCACTCATTCTTTAGTGCCCAGAAAAGTCCTACATTCTTTGTGGAACATATACTAACTATTCATTCATTCTCTCTCTCTCTCTCTCTCACTCTCGGATCTTGCTCTGTGGCCCAGGCTGGAGTGCAGTGGCATGATCACAGTTCAATGCAGCCTCAACCTCCAGGGCTCAAGGGATCCTCCTGTTTCAGCCTTCAGTAGTTGGGACTAAAGGCGCATGCCACCATGCCCAGCTATTTTTTTTCTTTACTTTTCCTTCTTTTCTTTTTTTTCTTTTTGTAGAGAAGGGGTCTCCCTACATTGCCCAGGCCAATCTCCAACTCCTGGACTGAAGCAATCCTCCTGCCTCAACCACCCAAAGTGCTGGGATTTCAGGTGTGAGTCAGTGCACTCAGACTCACTTCTCTTAAGTTAGCTCTTTCTACCAAAAAGAACACAAGGGCCGGGCTTGGTGGCTCACGCCTGTAATCCCAGCACTCTGGAAGGTCAAGGAGAGCAGACTGCCTGAGGTCAGGAATTTGAGACCCACCTGGCCAACATGGTGAAACACCGTCTTTACTAAAAATACAAAAATTAGCCAGGCATGGTGGCACATACCTGTAATGCCAGCTACTCAGGAGGCTGAGGCAGGAGAATCGCTTAATCCCGGGAGGCGGAGGTTGCAGTGAGCTACGATCGCTCAACTACACTCCAGCCTGGGCAACAGAGCAAGACTCCATCTCAAAAACAAAAAACAAACCAAGAAACAAAAAAAACCCACAAGACTCAGAGTTGGCTCTGAATATTAATGTTCTCATCTGCAAAACAGTAATAATAGCAAATATACAAGGTCAATGAAGAGGCTGAGATAGCAGGTATATTAATTAATAGAAGTTTTATTATTATTACCTCAGTCATCAAGCCATCTTTTTTCAGCAACTTCTCCAGTATTCATAACTTTTGTTCTAAAATTTAGAGCTTAATTTGTTATAAAATTTAGGTGCACCATAGCTCTTTGGCAACTGATTGGTAATTCTGATTTTATAATAAGAAAAAGCTGTTTCTTTTTTTTTAAAAAAGTAGATGCTTTAAGCATCCACTCTTCAAATCTATTAAATAAAACTACTCTAAATGTAAAACAAATAAGGACTCAGAAACATCATGGCTTTAATCCAGCACAGTTTTAATCCTTAATCTGGAGAGATTGAGCATCCCTAATTTGAAGATCTGAAATCTGGAATGTTTCAAGTGTCACATGTGGAAAATTCCACCCATGACCTCAAGTCGCTGTCAAAACTTTATTTCATGCACAAAATTATTAAAAATACCCTAAGAAATTACCACCAGGCTATAGTGCATAAGGTGTATATAAAACACAAATAAATTCTGTGTTTAGATTGTGGTCCTATCCCCAAGATATCTCACTAGGTATATGCAAATGTTAAAAAAATCCAAAAATATATGAAATCCAACGTACTTCTGGTCCCAAACATTTCAGGCAGGGGGTACTCAATCTATATTAAGTTTCTATCAAAGTCTAAATGTGACCATTTGCCAAAAATAAATATTTCAAAGGTAAATGAGATTTTACTTTTAAATCAGGGAAAATAGGGAATTTATTCTCCCAATGCAAACAAATAGCTAGCTTTCTGAAATGGTTTACTAATACTGAACACACTGTAATGTACATTAAGACATTCATCATTAGTTTTTCAAGGATGGGTAAAGTGGAAAAAAGCAGAAGGCGGCAGAAGAATGAGTTTATATGTATCTGAAACAAGGTTGAGGATGAGAAATAAAGGGTGCTAGAACCAAGAAGGAACAAATTGATCATTTGGACCAATGATCAATGGCAAGCTATTACCAACCCACCCACAATGTACAGAAAGTTTAGGTGCCTTGTTCTGCTCGGTCCTTGAGCATTAAAAATACGTATTAATACAAGCAGCTCCCTCTCGCACATGCACTGTTTCTCTCCCTTCAATTAAAAAAAAACGGGGGGTGGGGGGATGTACAAGCAGATTACTAATGGAAATTGTCAGAAAAAAGGGTAACCATAATTAGAGGAAAGACAGAACTGGGAAACTTTTCAAAGATGATTTATTTGCTAGAAATCTCTGGATGAGAAATGTTTCAAATTCCTAGGAAGATGATCCTAGAGGCTAATATGTGAGGCAGGAGAAACAGAAACAGTACAAAAAGAAGGTTACTTCCACAGGCAGAAACCTCATCAAGTCAAAAAATGGAACCAGACTGAAATCAGCTGCTGGCATACAAGTTCTAATTCAGGAGCAGATCATAGCTTTTAAAAATGCTAATTATCAAGCATATAAAATTTGCCCCTATACCAAAAGAAGTAAAAGGTATTTTCTACTATAAGAGTTTGTTTTTCAGGTGTGTACATTTTGGGAATGAAGGGTATTTTTTACTTTTAAATGCTTAAGAGATAATTTGACTTCATTGAAAAAGGCAATCTTCCTACAGGTTCTTTTTATACTGTCCCAAATAAACAGTGCTAAGGCTAAAGAGACTATTAATAAAGGGAAACTAGCAGTCCAGTACAGGAAGAGTCAAATGATTCCTTTCCAGAATTCGGAACTGTGCTCTCATTACCAGTTGAATTAATTACTGGTCCTGGAGAGTTCTGGAAACCAGAGCTTCTTGAAGTGCTTGTTAAGGAAGGTTTGTCTTTAATACACAGGGAGACAATCAACAGGATCAGCAAAGCTAAAGCCTAACCTCTCAGACCGTCCTTTAATTGAGCTGGAACAAGCTTTCCTGGACTCTCATTCTGATTTAGGGCTCTAGGTGGGCCTAAGGTACTCTAGCTTGGTCAGTACAGCCACACCAAATCAGCAAAGAATAGAAAATACTACCACTTCCCGGGACAATCAGCAAAGATAAGGATATCAAATTCATGCCTGTGTCAGTGAAAAGTAAAGATTATGTGGAAACCACAGATAGGTTTAAAATAAAAGGTTCTCTAAAACTCTAAAACGTCTTATCCAATTAAAAAAAAATTCTTGCTATGCTAGAAATTTCCTTTGTAAATTCAGTTAGTTCTTTGCTATCCAACAATGCATTATCCTTACACATCCTCCAAATACCCTCTCCTCTTGTTCCCTCTATCTTTGCTCTGCATTTATCTGAGTCTAGGGATTTTGAGGCTCCTGATGTCCATTTAGGCTCAATTACCAAGAAAAGGTCTTTCAGACCAACATATCTGCCAACTCCACCTCTACTGAAGAGGTCAGAGAATACATAATAAATTTAAAGAGAAGGCAGTTGAAAGCAAACCATGTTGAAAGGTTATGTTTGTATAGCCTACAGAAAACAGGAATGTAGCAGGGAAGGAAAAATGGAGATTTTTCAGACTGTGGCAACATTACTTTAACTTAAAATTATTACCGTCCAGGCTGACAGACCCAATTTTATTTGAATGGATATTTAAAGGGCATTAAAGAGCTAAAGCAAAGTGATTCATTTGCCCTATATTGGGAATTATTTGTAGTACTGATCTCTGTTCAGAGAGATGACTATGGTGGTTATTATCAGAAACACCACTCCCTAGTAGTGCCAAGCAAAACACTGGCTTCTCTTAATCTCATTTTCCCTAAAAACACATTCCCATAGAAACCACAAGAGCAAGTTTGGAGAAAAGATCAACGTAACTTCAGAATTAGTGAATTTGAAGGCCAGTCAATGGAGACACTCATTTAGACTCCTCTCTCAAGGCAAGACTTCTGCTTCTGTATCTCGGCACCCCCAACCTATCAAACTTTCTCTCTCTTTTTAATCAAAATGCTCTTAAAGTCCTACCTTCTCTTTGAAGGAGACAGTTTGGTTAGTTTCTGTTACCTTATGCTTGTTGTACTCTTCTGTACAAAAATGTAAATAATATAGATAAAGTCAAAGTCCTCTTTGCCATGTATCCTCCCTCAATCCAGTCTCCTATCCAGAGGCATGGGCTTGATGAACAGCCTTCCTTCTAGGCCAAATTCTATACATTTACATAAATACATGCTAGAAAGGCAGTTTTATGTGATTAAAGAAAAACACAAATGGTACCATATTGTACACTATTTTATAACTTGTTTTTTCCACTCAACATTTTGTCATAGAGATCTTCTCATGGTAGTGCAACTAGAATAATCTAATTTTTAAAAACAGTTGCCTAGTATCCATGGTATAGAATTTCCATTTTATTTAGCCATTCCCCTACTGATAAACATTTAGATTGCTTACAGTTTATGAAATCAGTTTAGCAGAAATTCAGAAAAGTGGAATTGCTGATTAAAGGGTATATGGATTTAACATTTTAACACACTGCCAAATTGTCCTCCAGAAAGACTTTGCCAATCCCACTGTCACTAAGAGTACCAGACAATACCCATTCATCCTCTTCCACATTTTATTACCAAGTTTTCTCTCTTTTTTTTTTCTTTTTCTTTTTTTTTTTTGAGACAGCCTCACTCATCACCCAGGCTGGAGTGCAGTGGTGTGGTCTCGGCTCACTGCAACCTCCACCTCCCGGGTTCAAGTGATTCTCCTGCCTCAACCTGTAGTTGGGACTACAGGCATGCGTTACCATGGCCGGCTAATTGTTTTGTATTTTTAGTAGAGACGGGGTTTCACCATGTTGGCCAGGCTGGTCTTGAACTCCTGACCTCAAGTGATCCACCCACCTCAGCCTCCCAAAGTGCTGGGATACAGGCATGAGCCACTGCACCCAGCCTTATTATCAAGTTTTCTTATTTTGGCTCATCTGATATGGGGGAAATGTTTTCTTATTTTAATTTCCATTACTAGTGAGTTGACAATCTTTTTATATATTTACTGGTTATTTTTCCTTTCTGTGAACTGCTTATAATGTTTGCTTATTTTTCTAATTATCTTTTTCTTATGAATATGAAGAAAATATTAATCTGCTCTGGATATTAATTGTCATATAAATGTAAATATTTCCTTAGTCAAGTTGTATCCTATGTAAGTAATTTATATGGCTATTTTCTTCTCTTTAGTATTTCTGAATATACCCTTATTCTTTACTCACAATATGCCATGTTCTATTTAAGAACACATCCAGTGTTTTTATTTGTTACGTATATATTCTCTCTTTCTTTTCCTTTCTTTTTTGAGACAGGGTCTCGCTCTTTTGCTCAGGCTGAAGTACAGTGGCATGATCATGGCTCACTGCAGCCTTGAACTCCTGGGCTCAAGTGATCCTACCACCTCAGCCTCCTGAGTAGGTGGGACTATGGATGCACCACCATGCCTGGCTAATTTTTAAATTTTTAGTAGAGATGAGGTCTTGCTGTGTTGCCCAGGTTGTCTCAAAACTCCTGGCCTCAAACCATCCGCCTACCTCGACCTCCCAAAGTGCTGGGATTACAGGCATGGGCCACCACATCTGGCCCATATATATTCTCTTAATTTCATTATGCCTACTAAACATGGAAAGACATCATATATGTAAACATTTTTTGATAATTTCAGACAGTAAGAAGAGCCTGCTTTGCCAGTAAATTCTGACACTACAGTATGGAGAAGCAGTTTGGAATTGTGATCCATCATAGTGGTTCTCAAAGTTGCCTGCATGCTGGAATCACTTGGAGAGTTTAAACATTGCAGATGCCTAGATCCATCCCTGAAGACTATGACTTAATTGGTCTGGAGTGTGGCCGGGGCACTAGGATTTTAAGTTCCCTAGGTGACTCTACTATGCAGCCAATTTTGAGAACCACCAAACTAAAATACTTTTTATCCAGCCCTTTTCAAAAAAATTTTGTAAAATAATGGCAAAATACACATAACATAACATTATCATTTTAACATGTACCATTTAGTGGCACTAAATATGTTCACAATGTTGTATAACCATCATAATTATTTCTAGGACTTTTTTTTTTTTGAGATGGAGTCTCACACTGTCTCTCAGGCTGGAGTGCAATGGTGCCATCTCAGCTCACTGCAACCTCCACCTCCTAGGTTCAAGCGATTCTCCTGCCCCAGCCTCCCGAGTAGCTGGGATTACAGACACCTGCCACCATGCCCGGCTAAATTTTTTTTTTTTTTTAGTGGAGACGGGGTTTCACTATGTTGGTCAGGCTGGTCTCAAACTCCTGACCTCGTGATCTGCCCGCCTTGGCCTCCCAAAGTGCTGGGATTACAGGCATGAGCCACTGCGCCCGGCCTATTTCTAGAACTTTAAAATTATCATCTCAAACAAATTCTGTGCCCATTAAAACGATAACTCCTGACTTCTACCTCCCCATGGTCCCTGGTAACTTATATTTTCTTTCTTTTTTTTTCTTTTTTTTTGAGATGGAGTCTCTCTCTGTCACCCAGGCTGGAGTGCAGTGGCGCGATCTCGGCTCACTACAACCTTTACCTCCTGGGTTCAAGCTATTCTCCTGCCTCAGCGTCCCCAGTAGCTAGGATTGCAGGCACCTGCCATCATACCTGGCTAATTTTTTTGTAAATAATACAAAAAAATTTTTAGTAGAGACGGGGTTTCACCATGTTGATGAGGCTGGTCTCAAACTCCAGACCTCAAGTGATCCGCTTGCCTTGGCCTTCTAAAGTGTTGGTATTACAGGCATGAGCCATCATGCCCAGCCACTTCTATTTTCTATCTTTATCATTTTGCCAACTCTAGAAACCCAATATTTTCCTTCTGTGTCTGGCTTATTTCACTTAGCATAATGTTTTCTACTCTTTGGGTAGAAGAGGTGAGACCAATGTTTTTTCAAAACAGAACAAAACTCTCAAAAAACCTAAGCAGATAACTGACTGACTGTTTTGTAAGTAAAACATCTCAAAAGCCGTGTGAATAACTCCTTCCTAATGAAGCAACCACTCTGCTGAACATTTCAGAAGGTTTACCTGAAACTGCTGTAAATTACTATCCTGTTGCATCATCATGCCACGGGAATATTAAAGCAACAAAGATTGCCCCAATGACAGTAAGAGGAGGGCAGTAAGTTCAAGGAAGGTGAGGGAAGGGAGAAGGGAAAGAAGAGTGGATTTTAATCAATAATACCGCCCAGGTCTTTCCAGTGATGATTCTTCTATAATTATATCTTTGCCTGGATGTCTTCTAATACAGATTCCAAAGAGATTTACCACCTCCCAAGAACAAGAGATGCCTACAGGACCCAAGTCTGGTAAAGAGCAGAACTGATTTTCCACTAGCAAAATCATAATTATTGCTTAAAGACTCTGCAAGAAGCTATGCAATTCCTTGAATTCAAAGCATAGTCTGAGAAACAGCAGCATTGGCATCACCTGGGGGCTCACCAGCAAGGCAGAACCTCAGGCCCATTCCAGACCTACTGATTCCTAATCTGCATTTGAACACCACTTCTCAGGTGACTGCTGCACACTCTGAAGTTTGAGAGGAACTGACTTAGCCCATCCACTAGGCCCTGGTCTGTAGTATCCTAAAAGAAATTTACTAACCTGACTTTCAAAATCTGAAAAAGGAGACTTCATTGTAAATGAATTCTGGGGTTACAGAACCTACCCCAAACTAAGGATCCCTTTTGCTAAGCTTTATCTCAACCTCCTCCAATTCTAAAATAGATATGGAGTAAGTATAGAATAAGTTCCAGCCACTATTCTTAAAGGTGCCTAGAAATCCAAATTTTCATTTTAATAACTAAAAATATCATAGAGCTATGTAGTTTTCTAACGTGCAGACCCACCCCCCACCCCCCTGCCAAAATGAGGACTATAATCCAAGTCATGGCACCAAAAGAAGAGACTAAAAACTTTAATATAGTTATAATAATAAAAACAGAAACTTTCCAGGTAAAACATCCTATTTACTAATAAAGAATCATGCTTTCAACAAAACAAAAAAGACAAAAGACAAAAACCAAGAGAGCTGCTTCCTAAAAGAACAGAGCATTTAGTTCTCACAGAACTGCAGACATTGCTATGTACAATTTTTATATGTGTAGGAGACAAGTTTGAGAGTTTTGGGGCAAGTAAAAAATTCTTTTAAAAAGTAAATGTTGGCTGGGTGCAGTGGCTCACACCTGTAATCCTAAAACTTTGGAAGGCCAAGACCGGCAGATTGCCTGAGCTCAGCAGTTCGAGACCAGCCTGACATGGTGAAACCCCTTCTCTACTAAAAATACAAAAAATTAACCTAGCGTGGTGGCGTCCGCCTGTAATCCAAGCTACTGGGGAGGCTGAGGCAGGAGAATCGCTTGAACCCAGGAGGTGGAGGTTGCAGTGAGCTGAGATCGCACCATTTCACTCCAGCCTGGGCAACAGAGTGAGACTCTGTCTCAAAAACAAAAACAAAAACAAAAAAAGTAAATGTTTAGTGCAGACTAGCTGAAAGAGTCAATCTGAATAATGAACACAATACAGTTTTATACAAAAAAGATTTTTTAAAAAGCACTGGCAATATGAATGCAGCCCTAAGTTCTATCTGTCACTAGCTTGCTTCATAAATTTCATTTTCTATTTATGCCTCAATTTTTTTTTTTTTTGAGACTGCGTCTCACTCTGTCGCCCAAGCTGGAGTGCAGTGGTGTGATCTCGGCTCACTGCAACCTCCGCCTCCCGGGTTCAAGCGATTCTCCTGTCTCGCCCTCCCAAGTAGCTGGGACTACAGGCATGTGCCAGCACACCGGGCTGATTTTTTTTTTTAAATTTTTAGTGGAGACGGGGTTTCACCATGTTAGCCAGGATGGTCTCGATCTCCTGACCTCATGATCTGCCCACCTCAGCCTCCCAAAGTGCTGGGATTACATGCGTGAGCCACCGCGCCCGGCTATTTATGCCTCAATTTTCAATCTGAAAAATATTTTGTTTTCGTAGACACCAGGGAAAAGAAAAAAAAAGCCACCTGTGTTGTCTCACTTAATTGTTGAGAAAAATTAAAATTCTTGGTTCATGAACTTTCTCTAATAAAGCATGGCTGAGAGATGGTATGTTCAGGTTATTCAAAAATGAATATAGGCAATACATATAATTAACATTAATAATTAGTAATAATACCTTGGTGTGATGCTTTAGTTTTCAAAACATTTTCCTACACCAAATTTTATTTTTCTTCCTCTAACTCCTTAAGGTAGGAGGGCATATATTTCATCAGAAGATGAAAGTGAGAACCATGGTTATATGTAGTAGAATTGAGACTAGAGAATAGATCTTCTCACTCTGAGTTAGTATTCTTTCCAATAAATCATGCTAACCTTCTCATTTATAAAGATACAAAATAGTGCAACACATAATATTAGAACAATATTGAATATAATTTACTCTCTTTAGATGATTCAGAATGTATCTTAGGATCCTATATAGATTTCTAAGTTAGGGTCATCAATATCAAGTTATCTCTATACCATTAAGTGCAGATAAGATGATTAATAGAGTTGTCTGGTTAACCCAAGTCTATCTCTATTACAGTCCAATTTGATAGTTCTAGAATTTTATCACTTCAAGGAAGCCATAAATTACCCACATGTTCTGAAATCTAGAATTAATGTCCAGTAAAATGTACTTGTTCTTTATGGCTATAAGCTATATCTGAGCTCTGCTTCCTTGACTATAAAATAAGAATTTTTTACAACACACATACACACACACAGAAAGGTGGATTAAATGAGATGCCCCTGTAAAGAACTTAGTAATGTGCCTTCCAACACACAGTATCTATTTAAGAGGAAAATAAGGGGGGAAAAAGAGAGTTGTTGACATCTTCATGTTAACATAAAGTAATCTTTGCGTAAAACAAAGCAGAAACATTATCAAACTTTGCACTTTATTTATTTATTTTTATTTTCTTTGAGACGGAGTTTCGCTCTTGTTGCCCCAGGCTGGAGTGCGATGGCATGATCTCGGCTCACTGCAACCTCCGCCTCCTGGGTTCAAGCGATTCTCCTGCCTCAGCCTCCTGAGTAGCTGGGATTACAGGCATGTACCACTAAGCCCGGCTAATTTGGTTGTTTTTTTTTTTTTTTTTTTTTTTTTTAGTAGAGACGGGGTTTATCCATGTTGGTCAGGCTGGTCTCGAACTCCTGACCTCAGGTGATCCACCTGCCTCGGCCTCCCAAAGTGCTGGGATTACAGGTGTGAGCCACTGCGCCCGGCCTAACTTTGCACTTTAAAATATTCAAGTTTAATATAAAATAGGAAAATAGTTTTTTGTATTTCTATTATAAAAGCAATTCATGCTTATTTAGATAAAGAAAATGAAAATCACCTATAATGCCACCATGTGTAGATAATTAGTGTTAATATTTTAATGTACATCCCTCCAAGTTCTAAACACACAGAGGTGGGCATATTTTATGTTAATGTTTTAGAAAATGAGATAAATCAGATCAATTCTGTGTTCCCAGATTAAAAAAAAAAAAATCTCCCAAAAGAAAGAGAAAAATAAAGCCCTAAACCCCTCAAACTACAGTATATAAGAAATGCTACTTTACAATCAGTTTTTTTTGTTTTTTTTTTTTTGAGATCGAGTCTTGCTCTGTCACCCAGGCTGGAGTGCAGTGGCATGATCTCGGCTCAATGTAACCTCCGCCTCCCAGGGTGAAGCGATTCTTCTGCCTCAGCCTCCCGAGTAGCTGGATTACAGGGGCGTGCCACCACACCTGGCTGATTTTTGTATTTTTAGTAGAGACAGGGTTTTGCCATGTTGGCCAGGCTGCTCTCGAACTCCTGACCTCAGGTGATCCACCCACCTCAGCCTCTCAAAGTGCTGTGATTACAGGAGTGAGCCACCATGCCCGGCAGTGTTAAGATTTTAATGTGCATCCCTCCAAAGTTCTATACACACAGAGGTGGGCATGTTTTATGTTAATGTTATAGAAAATGAGATAAATCAGCTCAATTCTGTGTTCCCAGAATTTTTTTTAAATCTCCCAAAAGAAACAGAAAAATAAAGCCCTAAACTCCTCAAATTACAGTATATAAAAAATGCTACTTTACAATCAGTTTTTTAATTTAACATACCACAAATATAATTCACTGCAATAAAGAGCAAATCATCATTTTTAGTGTCTAACAGTTCACGGAATCATCTCTTTTGGGCTATGCTGCTCGTCTTCCTATATAAATTCTAAACACCATCATAATTTAACCAATCACATTGTTCCCAATTTTCCTATTGTAAGCATGCTGTAATAAACAATGTACATCTGTGTTTAACTGGAGGGCATGATACACACCTTTTAGACTTTGATATGCATTGCCAACCTGCCATCTAGAGAAAGTGTACCAATCTGCATTCTCACTAACAGTGTATTAAACTGCTTGCAGTCCCATACCCTTGTCTATCTAGGTTTGGGTGGAAATAAAACCCTCCTTTTACTCCCATTAATAGTGAAAGTCTTTAGGATCAATTATAAAAGAGAGCTATTGGCTGGGCGCAGTGGCTCGTGCCTGCAATCCCAGCACTTTGGGAGGCCAAGATGGGAGAATCACTCAAGGTCAGGAGTTCAAGAGCAGTCTGGTCAACGTGGTGAAACCCTGTCTCTACTAAAAATCCAAAAAAAATTAGCCAGGCATGGTGGCGCATGCCTGTAGTCCCAGCTACTCAGGAGGCTGAGGTGGGAGAATTGCCTCAATCTGGAAGGCGGAGGTTGCAGTGAGCCGAGATCGTGCCATTGCACTCCAGCCTGGGCAACAGAGTGAGACTCCATCCCCAAAAAAAAAGAGAGACAGAGACAAAGAGGAGCTATTTAGCTCAAGTTAAGAAAAAAGTATTCAATGAAAACAAACAACAATAAAACGTTGAGGGGGGAAAATGCCAGGATCCAAATACTTGGAAATTCCCATTCAATTGGGAGCTGGGTTTTTCATCATCCTGCTCCCTCTTCCTCCTCATTTGTTTGTTTTATTTTATTTGTTATGGTTGACTTTTTAGTCATCATCTTTGGTAAGAAGGGGAAAGAGGGAGCATATGATAGAGAAAATGTGCACCTCCAACAAAGTATCTATGAGTTTGACAACTGAGATCCAGCTCCTCATTCACCAGCACACCAAGCTCTACTGAGTGTGGTTTTGACAAATATGGAAAACAACACTTTCAAATGTCTTACCTCCAAAATGATAATAACTAAACTGTTTGCTGACTTTTGTGGCCAATCCACGATGATATAATATAATCAAAACCTCAGACTGCTTTACCCTAACACACCAAATGTGACAAAGAACAAAAAATACCCATCACAGGAGAGGAGTTTACCTAACACAGTATTAGAAACCAAAGGCTTAGGCAGTAGATGTACTTTACATCTGAGACAGAGTAGATTCTTCACATCAACTAGATAAAAATAATTCACTTTATGTTTTCTTTACTTGAACCAGTCAGAATGCCTCTAGAAACAGAATAATAGAAACTGTAAAAAGACAGTAAAGAAAAGTTTAGATCGGGGTGTCCAATCTTTTGGCTTCCCTAGGCCACATTAGAGGAAGAATTATCTTGGGCCACACATAAAATACACTAACATTAATAACAGCCAATGAGCTGAAGAAAAAAAAAACGCCAAAAAATCTCATAATGTTTTAAGAAAGTTTACGAATTTGTGTTGGGCCACATTCAAAGCCATTCTGGGTCACATGCGTCTTGCGGGACGTGGGTTGGACAAGCTTGGTTTAGATATGCTTTCCTTTCTGAACCACTATTTAGAGATCCTTCCAGTGTCCACAGAAAGGGCTATGAATCCAACAATCAAAAGATCACTATTTAGGTTTATATTTATAAAATATAGTATTACTTCAGACCAAGTTGCTGGTTCAGATGGAATAAAAAATAAAAGTGCCACCCCTGAGCAGCAGCGTCAGCGTCCACACTGAGTAAACAACTGCCCAGGGGACTTGCGATCCTGTTCCCCACCACTGCGCTTAACTCATTTTTGCTCTAACTCTGAAGTCATTTACTGAACAGATACTATTATTTAGATAACATGTTATTTCAGAAGCTGAGCAGCTATACTGAACAGAAGTAAAGGACAGAAACTAAATTCCTGAAATTCTAGCTGGGGAGACCACAAATAAGTATACAAGTTAATAAATGAGACAATTCCAGGTAGTAACAAGTGTTATACAGACAAGAACACAGAGGATGTATTAGTGGCTTGGTAGGGAGAAGAAAGCTTCATTTAGGTGGGATAATCAAGAAAGGCTTGTCTCAGAGGTGATATTTGAGCTAGACTTTGAATAAGATAAAGTCCATCATGCAATCATCTGGGAGAACAATACTCAGGCAAAGGGAACAGCAAAAGCAAAATAACGGATGCAGGGTGTTTGAGGAAAAGAGGGCTACAGTGGCCGCAGCCCAGTGACTGAGGGGAAGATGATGAGGCAGGAAGAGGTCAGATTACATAGGGCCTTCAAAGCCATGGCAGAGTCTGAATTTGATTCTAGGAATAGTGGAAAACCATTACAGGGCTTAAACAAGGAAGTGATATGGCCTGAATTAAATAAATAAATAAATTTATTCATTCATTCATTCATTATTCACTCATTTATTTGAGGCAGGATCTCGCTCTGTCACCTAGGCTGGAGTGCAGTGGCACAATCTCGGCTCACTGCAGCCTCAACCTCTGGGGCTCAAACGATCCTCCCACCTCAGCCTTCCAAGTATTTGAGACTACATGCATACACCACCATGGCCCCAGCTAATTTTTGTATTTTTTGTAGAGACAAAAAAAATACCAGCCTGCTGCCCAGGCTGATATCGAACTCCTGGACTCAAGGGATCCTCCTCTTGATTACAGGCATGAGCTACAACGTCCGGCATGATTTAAGTTTTTTAAAAAACTACTATGATGGCTACATGGAGAATGGACTGCAGCAGACCACAGTGGATAGGCTATATGAGAGATGCTAAAGGCTTGGACTTGGGTGCTGATGGGAAGTGAGAAGAATGGCCAGAGTCAGGGTACATTTCAGAGGTGAACTGACATGACCTGCCACCGGGAGGGTGGCAGGGGAATGTGGAGGGAGAGGGCAAAACAAGGAAATCAGGATTACTTCTATACTGGGACTTGAGCAACCAGATGGACAGTAGTTCGATTAACTGATATGGGGAACGCCTGGAGAGGAACAGATGTGGAGTGGAGAGTAGGAACAACCAAAGGTTCTGTTTGGGGCGTGTGAGGACCAGACATCTAACAGTGAGGGTAAACTGGGTGAAAACAGCATATCGATGATCAGGTAAGAAGAGGAAGAGGGGCCCCAGAAGGGATGAGGGGAGCACCTAGTGAAGGATGAGGATCTTCAGAAGAGGGTGTGGTCAAGAGACAGAGAGAAGATGCTTTAAGGAGTAATCAACTATGTCAAATGCTGCTGAAGACTGAATAAGATAAGGAAAAAAACCTGACAAGTGGATTTAGCAAGATAGAAGTAAATTAATAAAGAAATAGGGTGGGCTGGGTGTGGTGGCTCACGCCTGTAATCCCAGCACTTTGGGAGGCCGAGGCAGGCGGATCACATGAGGTCAGGAGTTTGAGACGATCCTGGCTAACACAGCAAAACCCCATCTCTACTAAAAAAACAAAAATTAGCCAGGTGTGGTAGCCCGCACCTATAATCACAGCTATTCGGAGGCACGAGTAGCGCTTGAACCCAGGAGGCGGAGGTTGCAGTGAGCCAAGATCACACCACTGCCCTCCAGCCTGGGCCACAGCTCGAGACTCTGTCTCAAAAAAAAAAAAAAATAATAATAATAATAAATAAATAAATAGGGTGGGAAAATATGTTAAAAAGGTGTTTGATTTTGATGAAGCTAAACTAAAAATATATAAAGGGGATAATTTCATAAAAATTACTAAGGTATGCTGATTTATCATGCTAAGTACATTTTTGACTTCCCTTCTTAAAGGAAGAGGAAATCAGGCTGGCACAGTGGCTCATGCCTGTAATCCCAGCACTTTGGGAGGCTGAGGCAGGAGGATCGCTTGAGCCTAGGAGTTTGAGATCAGCCTGGGCAACACAGTGAGACCCTCATCTTTAGAAATCGTAAAATTTAAATAAAAATTTTAAAAAGGAAGAGGAAATCAACGACTCAGAAGACTGTCACTCTGACTTTTACATTCTTGCGGAAGGAAGCTGTACTTAGTAATAATTATGGAAGTATTTAGAATTTACATTGAAAGAGGAGCAGAGCAGCCCGAGGGCTAAAAGTTTACTTGGCTACCTTGACTGTGATTCATTAAACTCCTAATGTTCTTTTGTTCAGACCAACCCCAAGCTAAAAGTTTTTTTGTTTTTTTTTAAATCCAACCCAAAGGCCCAAGTGAAAGGGAAAAAAAAACTGCCAGAAGAAAGAGGAGACCACAGCCATGCCCTTGGTTGGGAGCACTTTTCTGGCACTATAATGTCTTTTCCAAGGCTGCTACTGTTTCACTACAAGACTCCAGTCAGCATCTCACTCCCTGGTCAGATCACTGAGGACAAAATGCAGAAAAGTGATCAGAGGCCCGCCCACACCTGTGCCACTTGTCTTTGAGTCTCCTCCTCACCTCCCACCCCTCACCTGGGTCATTTTGTCCACAGAGACTGGAATTCCGTCGATGGTGAGAGGCGGCAGTTCTGAGTTAACCTCCTGTGGCGCAGGGGCGTGTTCTGCCAGAGCAGACTCCAGGTCTTCCAGGATCATGCTCTTGTACTTACGCACCTGCAGGGAATTAAGGGCAGAAGTAAACAAGATGCCCAACAACCAGGGAGGATTGGTGCCAAGCAACAAGAGAGTGGGTGGGGCTGGCCTTCCTGAGCCATTGCATAGCCTTAAAAACAAACACTTCTACAAGCAAATAAAAATACCCACTGGTCCCAAAGACATCATACTGAACATAATTAAATGAAAAGATGATGAAATTGCAGGTAACAACAATAGAAGAGAGCCAGTGAAAAAATTTTCCAGAAATACTGCTTCTTAGTCAAAATCACATTTTCTCAATGAGGGTGCCATTGCCTGTTCCAGGTCTAACAGGCATGGTATTCATGGTTCTGCATTTCCCAGGCCATTGCTTGAACAACCAGCTGTGGCAGCTCATCACCAAAATCATTTTCAAGATCTTCAAGGACTTACATTTCTAAAACTTAAAGTAACCAATTCATTCAAAACTGCTGCTACATTCCTGCAAAGCCAGACTACCAAACAGACAGGAGATTCAAGCATACAAGAGACTGGACTGAAAAGAATCAGAGAAAAAAAACTGATAGGTGTATGTTGTAGCTGAGTGCCACTACTGGTAAGGCCCGGGCCAAAGGGAGCCCCATAGGTCAAATCTCCCTTGCTTCTGGTAGGGCTTGGTGACAGAAGTGAACCTCCAACCCATGACGCCTTTAGCTCTAGCCCAGGTTGGAACCAGATATTGTTGTTCGTTGTCTGCATTCCCACTACTGCCAGTTACATGTCTCAACTTAACAGTAACACACTGGACATGCACACATTCGATCATGAACAGAAAGGGTGGACAGACGCTGGGTCTTCCAACCACCAATATAATGGGTTCATCTGAATGCCTGGAACTTGGGAGAGGAAAAAATGGGTTCATTCACTTAGGAGAATACACAAGGGGTATGAGGATACCTCTGGGAATAACAAAGAAGCCATGGAATTATGGAAATGTGACAAGTGGGCTAGGAAATTAACTTGCTTTCTGGGCTCAAGGCACTATTTTAGGGAAACAAATGGAAGAGAAAATGAGGTTTGACTAGAAGTTCCAGCAATGTTTGAATCCTGGGTTGTCTGCTGAGTGGGCTGGACTCTATACACTTCCTTATAAATACCTCATTATGTGGATTAAAAAAGAAAAATTCCCATACTCTACCCCAAGCATCTGGAAAAATAAATATTATTACTGGCTACATGGTGCAACTTCTGCAGTTGAAGAATCCTCCAAATAGGTCAATAACTAAGGGGATAAGAGAAAAATAGCACAAACTGGTAGACTCATTATCTTTCCAGAGATTCAGTTGTATCCTGGTCTCTAATAAAAAATAAAGTTTCAAAAATTATTGCCATTATATTTATTGCAACATAAGCAGCTGATGTTGCCACAGCAACTTTACAGGATTGTATTTTCTGCTATGTTCCTGTAGTCTAGATAGTATTTATGCTGCCTACTCACACACACACACACACAAATGAATCTTATAAGCCTAGTGATATGGTTTGGCTCTATGTCCCCACCCAAATTTCATCTTGATTGTAATTCCTACATTCTGAGGGAGGGACCTGGTGGGAGGTGACTGGATCATGGGGGCAGTTTCTCCCATGTTGTTCTCGTGATAGTGAGTTCTCATAAGAGCTGATGGTTTAAAAGTGTTTGGCAGTTCCACCGGCATTCCCTCTCCGCACCTGTCTCTCTTTGTCTCTCTCTCTGTCTCTCTCCTGCCACTATGTAAGACGTGCCTTGCTTCCCCTTCTGCCATGATTGTTAAGTTTCCTGAAGCCTCCCTAGCCATGTGGAACTGTAAGTCAATTAAACCTCTTTTATTTATAAATTACCCAGTCACAGTTAGTTCTTTATAGCAGTGTGAAAACGGACTAATACACCTAGCTTCTGGTCTTAGAACTTTAAGGTTTATAAGGTTAAATCCTTCTATTAGGTATAAGCCAATAGGAAGAATGATCATATTAGAAAAACAGGCTGTGTGCAGTGGCTCACACCTGTAATCCCAGCACATTGGGAAGTTGAGGCAGGCAGATCCCTTGAGCCCAGGAGTTTGAGACCAGCCTAGGCAACATGGTGAGACCCTGTGTCTACTAAAAATACAAAAATTAGCCAGGCATGGTAGTGCGCACCTGTGGTCCCAGCTACTCGGGAGGCTGAGGTAGGAGGATGGCTTAAGCCCAGGAGGTGGAGGTTGCAGTGAGCCAAGATAGTGCCACTCCAGCCAGGGTGACAGAGCCAGACCTTGTCTCAAAAATAAATAATTTTAAAATAAAAACAAACTTCATCTGGCTTTTAGAAACACCTGGCATTCAAAAATGGAAAATCATTAGGTTACTACTTCTTTATTAGCCAGTTTCAAACAATTTCAGCCATTTTTATGAGTCAGCTTATCAGTGCTATATAATTCTTTTAAAACATCTTTTGTTTGTTTGTTTTTTAGTGCTAGTAGAGCATCCCTAAGTAATTTGCAACAAAACAACTTCAGGTATTACCAAAGCATTTCTATCTAAGCTTGCTTACTAAAGTTAAGTAACCTTCTCAGAATTACTGACCTCATGTTTTAATTCTATCTGATCTATCAATTCTGAGATGCATTTTTCTTTCATATTTATCAGTCTTCTGAAATTGGGATACATCTTAAAATTGCTATGGACAAGGCAACAACAGGGCATAGCTGTCATTGCCTGCAGCCATGTGAACATGTTTGCTATCCCTGGCCTTTTTACTCAACAAATCATTTAGCACCATTTCAGAAGAGAATGTGAGTCTTGGCTGTTGTCTACTACCTTCCCAATGACAATTTCTGTTAAGATCAAGAAGCATCGCCAGGCACGGTGGCTCACGCCTGTAATCCCAGCACTTTGGGAGGCCGAGGCGGGCAGATCACCTGAGGTCAGAAGTTCGAGACCAGCCTGACCAACATGGTGAAACCCTGTCTATACTAAAAATACAAAAATTAGCTGGGCGTGGTGGTGGGCGCCTGTAATCCCAGCTACTTGGGAGGCTGAGGTAGGAGAATTGCTTGAACCCGGGAGGTGGAGGTTGCAGTGAGCTGAGATTTGCACCATTGTACTCCAGCCTGGGCAACAGGGTGAGACTCCGCCTCAAAAAAAAAAAAAAAAGGACTTGCATCAAACCTGTTGCTGCTTGGGGGCAAAAATTCAGACAATAACAGAGCACTTTTTAAAGAAATATAGCATTGCCTGTTTTCATGATGGCACAGAGGACAATATTACATGAAAAAACACAGACAATGATGACTGAAACAAGAAGTAATTCAAAAGGGTTGGACTCTGAATGTGAAGAAGTTTTAGGAATACCTTATTTCACTTACATTTTCCTTTTTATATATGTATACAAAAATGATATATGATTAAAAGCTATGTCTAAGCCTTGAAAGAGCTCTTTCAATAAGTAGAAAATAAAAATTCTAAGTGATAGCATTGTGTCAACATTTATCAATGTTTTTTCTTTCTTCATAGTACACAAATAACAGCACATCTTATAATCAATGGTGTCACAGATGAGATAAAATACAGGTTTGTGTTCCAACTTATGCCTCCTATTCCAAAAACCATAGCTTACGCCTTTGTCACTTCATACCAACATGTCAATTGGTTGCACAACTAAGGTAAACAACCACTTAAATCAAAATCAGTTACCATTCTCTTGCCTCAATTCATCTTGTATACCACTGCCATTTGAAATTTTGGAAACACTTATTGTCATCAAACACCGTTTATTGAGCACTTACTTTGTGCCAAGCACTACATGTGTTGTCTCAAATAATCCTTACCATAATTCTATAAGGAAAATATTATGTTCATTTTGCAAATAAGAAAACTGAGGCTTAATAAACTTAAGTAACTTTCTCCAAATCATATTAACTAGTAAGAAGTGTAGCCAAAAATCAAACAAATTTTTATGTAGCTCTAAAGCTGGTATATTTAGCCACATCACTATCATTTATCTTTTTTTCTCAAGAAACTGCTATAGTTCCTCACTTCTTATAGGACAAAGTCCAAGTTTCTCTGGCCAGCATTTCAATCTTTCCAATTATTTATTTTTCCAATACTCCTTTGCCAGAGCCTCCAGATAAAGTTGTGCCTGCCTAACCCTGGAGACTATGTGAATGACACCTCTTGAGCTCCCAGCATACAACCTCCATGGAGTCCTATACTGAGCAACTTTGCTCACCTTCTTCCTTCTTTAGCTGCCCAACCTCGTCGCTCACCTTGGCATCTAGCAAGTTCTCTTCTTTGAAACTTCTAAAGACCTTTTTTTTTTTTTTTTTTTTGAGATACAGTCCTACTCTGTTGCCTAGGCTGGAGTGCAGTGGTGTGATCTCGGCTCACTGCCACCTCCATCTCCTGGGTTCAAGAGATTCTCCTGCCTCAGCCTCCTGAGTAGCCAGGATTACAGGTGCCTGCCACCATGCCCGGCTATTTTTTTGCATTTTTAGTACAGACAGGGTTTCAACCAGGCTGGTCTCAAACTCCTGACCTCAAGTGATCTGCCCACCTAGACCTCCCAAAGTGCTGGGATTACAGACATGAGCCACCACATAAATCTGCTTCTTATCCAAATATTTTCCATTTTTCTAGGCCCAATTCAATTCCCACTTGCTCTGAAAAAACTTCCCAAGTATCCTTGCCATAATTCTCTTCCTCCTTTAAATTCCTACTGACACAAATAAACATGTGTCACTTATACTGTTATTTCCAGAATACACTATACACAACCAGTGCATGACATTGCTGAGCATAGGGACCAGGTCTTTTGCTTATTTTTCATACACACACACACACACACACACACACACACACACACACACACACACACTTGAATGAGACAGGGTCTTACATGTTGCCCAGGCTGAAATATAAAATATTTTAAATATACATATACAGGTAACACATTAACAAACATTTTATAATTACCAGAGATGGAGGGTGTTTAGGGTATTTGCAGGAGCCATTAGAGTTTTATTTTGTTTTGTTCTTTGAAACAAGGTCTTGCTCTGTCACGCAGGTTTGTTCACTGCAGCCTCGAATTCCTGAGCTCCAGTGATCCTCCCACCTCAGCCTCCCAAGTAGCTGGGATCACAGGTGTGTGCCACCACACTTGGCTAATTTTCAAAATGTTTGCTATAAGGTCACTGGGCCTTCAGTTGGGTTGCAAAAATAGTCCCAGACAAGATACCATAATTTTTTTGTATTCCTGAAGCTTAACTGGATAAAGGAAGAGTCTTTGGGAAGGTCTCATAAAAAAAATTTTTTTTTAAATTTTCTACAAGCTCCTATGAGACTAAAAACACATTATCATCTGAGGTATGTAACAAAGAGCTGCTGCCCTCAGACCTGTGACTGTGAAGCACATCTGGCTTCCAGCCAGGCTGCAGGCTGTGGCCCCTGAAGTTATGTTGACTTCATCCTATTGTCTCTCCAGCCCCAGTGTCTGCCTCCTTTGTTCTCCTGCCTCAGTTCAGGGCTCTCATTTCCCCTTAGTCCTTTGGGATTCCCAGTTTTGAACCCTGAAACCCCAAAGGACTCAGATGGAATCCTTATCTCATACCTTGTATCCAATAGTGTTAAATAGTTATATGTTGACGAAGTAAATACATGAGCAACGGGGCTTTCACTATACTACTTTCCACATATCTTCCACATTGCATGCAACTCCCACGGTTCTTCATTGCCCTAAAGACAATGATTATTTATCATTAATCATTAGGGAAATGAAAATCAAAATTTGATTATTAATGATAAATGACTATAATAAGACTAGGGTATAAGATTAGGGAATTATTTGTACCTTAAATGTTTAACAGAAGTCAACCAAAATAATTGGGGCCTAGGGTCTCTTTGAGGGATGTAGTTCTTTAATCACTTTTCCAATTTTGTATATGTTTATTACTCTATTGAGGTTTTCGGTTAATATTTATTCTGAGGTTTGGATGTGTTTTGGTTATTTTATTTTCTTACTAAGTTAATCCACTTGGCTGAGATTTTAACTTGCAAGAACAGAACTAATACATAGCCTTTTCTTACAATTTTCAATCTCTTCTTGTCTGCAATTACAGCTATCTTGTTTCTAAAGCTACGTATTAGTTTTCTTCTCCCTTTTCCTCATTAGCATGTAGCAGTTTTTCTGTTTTATCAGACTTTTTATAGAACCAATTCTTGAATTTAACAAGTCTACTTTTCCCTGTTCGCTAACTCATTCATTTCTTTCACGTTTATTTATTCTATTTTTTCTTAGACTTATTTTATTATTCTCTTTCTACCTTCTTTAGCTAGATGGAGTTTCTTTCTTTTCCAACTTTCTCATATAAATTTTTTTGAAAATAAGACAATGAATATTCCTTTGAATACCAGTTTAGATAATACCTTCTAAGTTTTTATTTTTGGTTATCATTTTTGTTTCTAAATAACCTGTAAATTAAGATTTTCTTTTAAAAATTTCCAGCCAGGAGGGGTGGCTCACGCCTGTAATCCCAGCACTTTGGGAGGCTGAGGCAGGAGGATCACCTGAGGTTAGGAGTTCAAGACCAGCCTGGCCAACATGGTGAAGCCTCCTCTCTAGTAAAAATACAAAAATTAGCCGGGCATGGTGGCAGGAGCCTGTAATCCCAACTACTCGGAGGCTGAGGCAGAGAATTGCTTGAACCTGGGAGGCAAAGGCTGCAGTGAGCCGAGATCGCACCACTGCACTCTAGCCTGGGTGATAGAGTGAGACTCCATCTCAAAAAAAAAAAAAAAAAAATTCCGGCCAGTTGTGGTGGCTCATGCCTGTAATCGCAGCACTTTGGGAAGCCGAGGCAGGTGGATTACCTGAGGTCTGGAGTTTGAGACCAGCCTGGCCAACATGGTGAAACCCCGTCTCTAGTAAAAACATAAAAAATAGCCGGGCATGGTGGCACGCACCTGTAATCCCAGCTACTCAGGAGGCTGAAGCAGGGAGAATCACTTGAACACAGGAAGCAGAGGTTGCAGTTAGCTGAGATCGCACCATTGCACTCTAGCCTGGGCAATAGAGCAAGTCTCTCTCTTTCTCTCTCTCTCTCTCTCTCTCTCTCACACACACACACACACACACACACACACACACTCTCCACATGATTGAAATTTTTTTCTTGTCTTTTGAAATTCTAAAATTCTGAATTTTCTGTACTATGATCAGAAAATATTCTCTGGGGCCAGGGCTGGTGGCTCACACCTATAATCCCAACGCTTTGGGAGGCCAAGGCAGGCAAATCACTTGAGGTCAGGAGTTCAAGACCAGCCCGGCCAACATGGTGAAACCCTGTCTGTACTAAAAATATAAAAATTAGCCAGCTACTCAGGAGGCTGAGGCAGGAGAACTGTTTGAACTGGTGAGGCAGAGGTTGCAGTGAGCTGAGACTGCACCACTGCACTCCAGCCTGGGCAACAGAACAAGATCTTGTTTCAAAAAAAAAATTATTTGAGGCCTGGTAGTAATAAATGGTCAATTCTTATAATCCATTTATGTAATTTTTCAAATATGATATATTTATCCCCTTGTAAGGTGTCAATGCTCCTGTATCTATTGTATCAGCTTCTTTTGTTTGTTTTTTGGGCCATTGTCTCACTCTGTCACCCAGGCTGGAGCACAGTGGAATAATCATAGTTCACTGCATCCTTGAACTCCTAGGCTCAAGTAATCCTCCTGCCTCAGCATCTCAAATAGCTGGGATTACAAGTGCACACCACCACACCCAGATCCTTTTTTTTTTTTTTTTTTTTTTACATTTTTTTGCAGAGACAGGGTCTCACTATGTTGCCTAGACTGTCAACCTTATTAAATCTGTTATTCAGATCTCTATATTCTTGTTTATATTTTGCTTTGTTGATCTGGCAAGGATAGTAAATCCTCTTACTATCATTGCGGGGTTTTTTTGTTTTGTTTTTTTTTTCCTTTGGGACAGGGTCTTGCTCTGTCATCCAGGCTAGAGTGCAGTGGTGCAATCACAGCTCACTGCAGACTTGACCTCTGGGCTCAAGCAATCTTCACATCTCAGCCTCCCAAGAAGCTAAGATTATAAGCATGTGCTACCACATCTGGCTAATTTTTAAATTTTTTGTAGAGATGAAGTCTCATTATGTTGCCTGGGCTGGTCTCAAACTCCTGGCCTCAACCAATCCTCCCACCTCAGCTCCCAAAGTGCTGGGATTATACATATGTGCCACCATGCCCCCCCATGGTGGGTTTTAACTATCTTTTTTCCTTACATTTCTAACTTTTTGATCTACATGCTTGGGTATGTATATATGTCTGGTTGACTGACTAACTGATTGAGACAGGGTCTCACTCTGTCACCCAGGCTGGAGTGCAGTGGCATCATTATGGCTCACTGTAGCCTTGATCTCCTGGGCTCAAGCAATCCTCCTGCCTCAGCCTCCCAAGTAGCTGGGAGTACAGATGTGGGCCAGTATGCCTGGCTTTTTTTTTTTTTGTAGAGATGAGGTCCCACTATGTTGCCCAGGCTTGTCTTGAACTCTTGGCCTCAAGCAATCCTCCCACCTCAGCCTTCCAAGTGCTGGGATTACAGGCATGAGCCACTGTACCTGACCCCATGTTTTGCTTTAAAGTTACTTGAAGAATATAAAGGTTCATGATAAATATGTACTTCTTATCTTAGCTGGGTGTGGCGGCACCTGCCTATAGTTCCAGCTACTCAGGAGGCTGAGGCGGGAGGATCGCTTGAACCCAAGAGGAGGAGATTGCAGTGAGCTGAGATTGTGCCACTACACTCTAAGGTGGGCAACTGAGTGCGACCTTGTCTCTAAATAAATAAATTAATAAATAAATACTTCTTATCAATATTAAATGACCCCTGGTTGCCAGTTAATACTTTTTTGCCTTGACAATTAGGCTTTGTCTGATATTAATGCCGTGATCCATGATTTATTTTTGTAGGCATTTTTCTGACAAACTTTTGCCTGTTATTTTACATTCAACATTTGTAACAGATTTACTGATACATAGTTCACACACCATATGTATTTGTTTCCTATGGCTCCCACAAATCACCACAAACTGGGTGGTTTAAACCCATACAAATTTATTTTCTTGGTTTCACTTGGCTAAAGTCAAGGTGTTGGCAGGGCCAGGTCCTTCTGCAGTCTCTAAGGGAGCATCTCTAAGACAGAATTGTTTCTTTGCCTTGTCTAGCTTCTGTCTAGCCTGTATCACTGGCTCCGGACCCCCTCCTTGCATCCAACCTCTTGCTTCCACCAACACATCTACTTCTATGCCAATCTCCCTTTGCTTCCCTCTTATAAAGACACTTGTGATTACATTTAGGGCCTACCTGGATAATCGAGAATAATCTCCCCATTCAAGACCCTTTTAATTACAACTGCACTTTTGCTGTATAAGGTAATAGTCACAGGTTCCAGGGATGGGACCTGCACATCTCTGGGGGTCATTATTTAGTTTGTCATACCATACAATTCACCCATTTAAAGGGTAAGACTTTATACTCATAGGGTCCTAAAATTACCACCAAAATCTAATTTTAGAGCATTTCATTCCACCTAAAAGAAACCCCATGCCCACTGGCGTCACTCTCTTCCCCTTCCCCAGTCTCTGGCAACCACTAATCCACTCTCTCTCTATAAATAAGATTTATCTATCCTGGACATTGCATATAAATGGAATCATACAACATGTGATCTTTTGTGACTGGGTTCTTTTGCTTAGCACAATGTTTTAAAGGTTCATCCATGCTGTAGTATAATATCAGTACTTCTTCCCTTTTTCTTGCTGAATAATATTCCATCCTATGGATATGCCACATTTTATTTATCCATTCATCAGCCGATGAACATTTGAGTTGTTTCCACTTTTTGGCAATTATAAATAATGCTGCTATAAACACTGTATACAAGTTTGTGTATGAACATATGCTTTCAGTTCTCTTGGGTATAACTTAGGAATAGAACTGCTAGGACACATGGCAACTTTACTTTTACCATTTTGAGAGACTGACAAATTGTTTTCCAAAGCAGCTGTACCATTTTGCTTTTTCTTTCTCCAAATCTTCACCAACTTCACCATCCCTGTGGGTATGAAGAGGTATCTTACTGTGGTTTTTATTTTCATTTCCCTAATGACTATGATTATTAATCATCAGCATTAGGGAAATGAAAATCGAAATGTGATTATTAATGATAAATGACTATAATAATGATTAATGATAAATAATTATTTATCATTAGTTCTCATGTGCTTGTTGGACATTTCTACATCTTCTTTGAAGAAATATCTATTCAGACCTTTTGCCTATTTTTATTTTTATTATTATTATTTTTTTGAGACAGAGTCTGGCTGTGTTGCCCAGGCTGGAGTGCAGTGGCATGTGATCTGGGCTCACTGCAACCTCTGCCTCCTGGGTTCAAGAGATTTTCCTGCCTCAGCCTCCAGAGTAGCTGGGATTACAGGCGCCCGCCACCACGTCTGGCTAATTTTTGTATTTTTAGTAGAGATGGGGTTTCACCATATTGGCCAGGCTGGTCTTGAACTCCTGACTTCAAGTGATCTACCCACCTTGGCCTCCCAAAGTGCTAGGATTACAGGCGTGAGCCACTGTGTGTGGCCCTTTTGCCTATTTTTAAATTGGGTTGTCTTTCTTTTCTTTCTTTCTTTTTTTTGAGATGGAGTCTTGATCTGTTGCCCAGGCTGGAGTGCAGTGGCACGATCTTGGCTCACTGCAACCTCTGCCTCCTGGGTTCAAGAGATTCTTCTGCCTCAGCCTCCCGAGTAGCTGGGACTACAGGCATGTGCCACCAGGCCCGGCTAAGTTTTTTTGTATTTTTAGTAGAGATGGGGTTTCACCATATTGGCCAGGCTGGTCTCGAACTCCTGACCTCATGATCTGCCTGCTTTTTATTGTTGAGTTGTAAGAATTCTTTATATATTCTCAATATATATCAGTTTTTTTATCAGACATATCAGAATTCTTTATATATTCTCTACATATGATAAAAGTTTTTTTATCAGACATGATTTGCAAATATTTCTCCCACTCTGCATGTTGTCTTTTCACTTTCTTGATTCTATTACTTGCAGCTGCTTTTAACATTTGTGAGTGGCTGTGAGTATGACACATACATTGAATAGAGGAAGGTTTGATTTGGATTGTTGTTCCAACCTGAAAGAACATCTATGCCTTTAACAAGGCACTTTAACCCATTTATATGTATGGTTTATAACAGAATTAACTGGCCTCACTTGTATTATTGTGTTCTAGACTATGTGTTTTATTCAGTTTTTAAACATTTCTTCCTTGTTTTCTATCTTTTATACAGAGACTTGGTTTTGTTTTTTTTCTTCGGTGCTCTGGAAGATATATTCTGCTTCTAATTTTACTGGTACTTGCAAGTCCCTAACCTGTATTTATCAATGTCAGTCAAAGGTAAAATGCTTTTTATCTCAGTCTAGTGCATCCTGTTTAACAGAGTCTATATCTTCTTGTATTCTATGGAGGACTCCAACAGTTTCCCAAAACTTAAAAAGTTTTTTTTGCAGTGAGTAATTTTCTGAAGTATTTTTCTGAGTCTTCTAGATGAATCTTTTTCATAGATTGCATCATCTTTACTACTACCAGTAGTAGTATTGTTTTAGATTTTCAGTACTAAAGAAGAGAAGAAATGCCCAGATTTCATGTTTGTCAACAGTGTGACAGTAAAGGCTATTTCTCAGGCACCATTTTGAACTAGGAGCCTTCTACTATATTCTTCTAAGGAAAGGTCCTAACACATCCTAATTGTAGGGCTTCAGGAATTTTTGGAAAAACTCAAAACAGAACTCAAAAATGTTAAGAAATACCCACAACATTTCAGGGACAGGAAGATGGTGTGAAAAAAATACAACAAACAGAATTTCGATCAATTGATTACTAATTCTGAACTCAAAAAATGCCTATATTCAATATGGGAGACATCTAATAAATGTCATTTTAAGCTAATAAATTTTACCCTAATAAAAACAAAATGCAATTTAAATCTTTACAGATCATTAATCTACTAATGATTCAAAGTTAATTTGGCGCAAGAAAGAATAGTTCCTATTGTATAAGTATGCAGGGGCAAAAGACTATTTTTATAAAATTAGCTCTGGATAGTTATACAATCAAAATGTTCAAATATAGTTCTATATTTGGAGCACAGTATTAAATCAATTCTTTGATAAATGTAAGATATTTCAAATATGTAACTCAAATAAACTGATCAATAAAATGCCCCCAGGTTTCCCTCAGGAAGTTGACACCTTGGAATTATCTATTATTTTGTTTCTGATATAAATCAGTAATTTTCTTAGAAAATCCTGCATTGGTTTCCTAACAAACAAAACACCTTGTTTCCCCGCCCCCTCCCCCCTTCCCCCGGCCACCCATTGCATCTGGGGAGGTAAAATACCTTGACGTAGGAAGTAAAAAGAGTAATGATCATTTTGTTTTGATATGCATAAAGCAGTCTGAAAACTAGTCCCCACTCCCATGCCTGGATTAGGGGGTAACAGAAATGCCAACTGTTATACTTGACAGAGGATCAGAAGAATGGAAGCAGCCGACAGAAAGCAAAGGGCAAATGAGAACAGCTTGGTTCTGACTTACCACATTCTCCAAAGGTGCTGCACCAAACACTTTAAAGACAGGGTTAGGTTTGGAGGGTGAGATACAGAGGACAATAGCTTGCTGTCCCACACGAGTAGTATATTCATCTAACGTGGCTCGAAGTTTCCTGAATCAGAAAAGGAAACAAGAATAAAAAGTTTTAAAAAGACGGAAATTACAGTGACATAGACACAAATGAGGTAAGACAGTTTATTCTGATCAGATATGCTCTTTTACGTAAAATGTGAAAAGGGGAATGTGAGGTTTGCTATCCTATTCAGCAGAAATATGTACATACCTTTTTCTTAAAGACTACTGATAGAAGGCTCAACTGAAGGTTTTGCTTTGGGACATAGCCATGACACAATTTTGAACATGGTATCATTCTTCTTGATCTGAGCAACATCACTTACTGCTACTTACAATTATAAAGATTACAACTGGCCAGGCATGGTGGCTCATGCCTGCTGTAATCCCAGCACTTTGGGAGGCCAAGGCAGGCGGATCACTTGAGGCCACGAGTTCGAGACCAGCCTGGCCAACATGGTGTAAAACCCGTCTCTACTAAAAATACAAAAACATTACCCAGACATGGTGGCACACGCCTGTAATCCTAGATTCTTGGGAGGCTGAGGCACGAGAATTGCTTGAATCCAGGAGGTGGAGGTTGCAGTGAACCAAGATGGTGCCACTGCACTCCAGCCTGAGCAACAGAGCAAGACTTTTTCTCAAAAAAAAAAAAAAAAAAAAATGCAACCAAGATGTGCTCTTACAGAATTTATTATATCATCTCCATGCTTAATAAAAGGGGTTCAAATGATTTGCTTTTACTATCTTTTATTGATTGTTTATATCTCATTGTTTATATTTCATTGAGATAATTTTGTCCAAAAATACTACAAGCATACCTAGTTTTATTGTGCTTTGTTATTTTGTGTTTCACAGATACTATCTGGGATCTTTCTTTAAAACAAATTAAAGGTTTGTGGCAACCCTATGTCAAGCAAGTTGATCAGTGCCATTTTTTTCCAACAGCATGTGCTCACTTCGTGTCTCTGTGTCACATTTTGGTAACTCTAGCAATATTTCAAACTTCTTCATTATTATAATCTGTTATAGTGATCTGTGATCAGTGATCTTCGATGTTACTATTTTAATTGTTTTGGGGCACGACAGTGCCCACAAAAGATGGCAAACTTGACTGATAAATGTTGTGTGTGTTCTGAATGCCCCACTGACCAACTGTTTCCTGCCTCTCTCCCACTCCTCAGGCCTTCCTGTTCCCTGAGACACAGTATTGAAATTAGGCCAACTGATAACCCTACAATGGCCTCTAAGTGTTCAACTTTAAGGAAGAGTCGCACATCTCCCACTTTTAATCAAAAGCTAGACATGACTAAGCTTAGTGAGGAAGGCATGTTGAAAGCCAAGATAGGCTGACAGCAAGGCCGCTTATGCCAAACAGTTGGCCACGTTGTTAATGCAAAGAAAAGTCCTTGAGGGAAATTACAAATGCTACTCCAATGAACACACAAATGATAAGAAAGCAAAACAGTTTTATTGCTGATATGGAGAAAGTTTTAGTGGTCCGGATAAAAGATCAAACCAGCCACAACATTCTCATAGGCCAAAGCCTAATGCAGAGCAAAGCCCTGACTCTTTCAGAGGTTGGTTCATGAGGTTCAAGGAAAGAAGCCATCTCCATTACATAAAAGTACAAAGTGAAGCTGCAAGTGCTGATGTAGAAGCTGGAGCAAGTTATCCAGAAGATCTAGATAAGTGGCTACACTAAACAACAGATTTTCAATGTAGATAAAACAGCCTTCTACTGGAAGAAGATACAATCTAGGACTTTCCTAGCTAGAGAGGAGAAGTCAATGCCAGGTTTCAAAGCTTCAAAGGACAGGTTGACTCTCTTGTTAGGGGCTAATGCAGCTAGTGACTTTAGGGTCCTTTAAAAATCATGCTAAATCTACTCTGCCTGTCCTCTATAAATAGAACAATAAAACCTGGATGGCAGTACATCTGTTTACAGCATGGTTTATGGAATATTTTAAGACCACTGTTGAGACCCACTGCTCAGAAAAAAAAATTCCTTTCAAACTATTGTTGCACATTGACAATGCACCTAGTCACCCAAGAGCTCTAACGGAGACGTACAAGGAGATTAATGCTGTTTTCATGCCTGCTAAGATAACATCCATTCTGCAGCCCATGGATCAAGGAGTCATTTCAACATTCAGGTCTTTTTATGTAAGAAATACATTTTGAAAGGATATAGCTGCTATAGTGATTCCTCTGATGGATCTGGGTAAAATAAATTGAAAACCTTCTAGAACGGATTCACCATTCAAGATGCCATTAAGAGTACTTGTAATTCATGTGCAAGTACATGGGAGGAGGTCAAACTATCAACATTAATGGAAGTTTGGAAGAACTTGATTCCAAGCCTTACGGATGATTTTAAGGAGTTCAACACTTCAGTGGAGGAAGTAACTGCGGATGCAGTAGAAACAGTGAAAGAACCAGAATTAAAAGTGGACCCTGAAAATGGGACTGAATTGCTACAATATCATGATAAAATTCCAATGGATGAGAGGTGCTTCTTATTGATGAGCAAAGAAAGCGGTTTCCTGAGATGAAATCCACTCCTGATGAAGATGTTATGTATATTGTTGAAATGACAATAAAAGATTTAGAATATTACACAAACTGAATTTATGAAGCAGCAGCAGAGTTGGAGGGGATTAACTCCAATTTTGAAAGTCTTACTGTGGGTAAAATGCTATCAAACAGCACCACGTTACAGAGAAATCGTTCAGGAAAGGAAGAGTCAATCGATAGGGCAAAATTTGTTGTATTATTTTTAAGAAATTGCCGCAGCCACCCCAACCTTCAGCAACAACCACCCTGATCAGTCAGCAGTCATCAACATCGAGGCAAGACCGTCAACCAGCAATAAGATTATGAGTCACTGCAGGCTCAGATGAGCCCTAACATCTTTTAGCAATTAAGTGTTTTAGTGGTCAGGCCCAGTGGCTCACACCTGTAATCCCAGCACTTTGGGAGGTTGAGGTGGGAGGATTGCTTGAGCCCAGGAGTTCAAGCCCAGCCTGGGCAACATAGTGAGACCCCGTCTTTACAGAAAGAAGAAAAAATTCGCCAGGTATGGTGACATGCACCTATTGTCCCAACTACTTGGGAGGCTAAGTGAGAGGATCACTTGAGCCCAGGAGATTGAGGCTGCAGTGAGCCATGATCACACCACTGCACTCTAGCTTGGACAGCAGAGCTAGACTCTGTCTCCAAAAAAAAAGTATTTTAAAATTACGGTATGTACATTGCTTTTTTTTTTTAGATATAATACCACTGCAACACTTAACAGAGTATAGTGTTAACACAACTTTTTTATGTACTGAGAAACCAAAAAATTTCTGTGACTTATTGTGATACTTGCTTTATTGTAGTGGTCTGGAACCAAACCTGCAATATCTCTGAGGTATACCTATGCTTTTAAAATGTTGTAGCTTCAGATTTTCATTGTGATATAAATAATTATTCTTAGTCCTACAGTATTTCACAAGTGAGGATGAAATGAAAACAGCTTTTTTTTTTTTTTAGATGGAGTTTCACTCTGTCGCCTAGGCTAAAGTACAGTGGTGCGATCTCGGCTCACTGCAGCCTCCGCCTCCTGGGTTAAAGCTATTCTCCTGCCTCAGCCTCCCGACTAGCTGGGATTGTAGGTGCCTGCCACCATGCCTGGCTTATATTTTCTATTTTTAGTAGAGATGGGGTTTCACCATGGTGGCCAAGCTGGTCTCAAACTCCCGACCTCAGGTGATCCGCCCACCTCGGCCTCCCAAAGTGCTGGGATTATAGGCATGAGCCACCATGCCCAGCCAAAAACAGCTTAAAAAAATTTTTTTTTAATTTTACTTTAAGTTCTGGGATACATGTGCAGGTTTGTTACAAAGGTATACATGTGACATGGTGGTCTGCTGCACCCATCAAACCGAAAACAGCTTTTTTTTTTTTTTTTTTTGAGACGGAGTCTCGCTCTGTCGCCCAGGCGGGAGTGCTGTGGCGCGATCTCCGCTCACTGCAAGCTCCGCCTCCCGGGTTCACGCCATTCTCCTGCCTCAGCCTCCCGAGTAGCTGGGACTACAGGCGCCCGCCACTGCGCCCGGCTAATTTTTTGTATTTTTAGTAGAGACGAGGTTTCACCATGGTCTCGATCTCCTGACCTCGTGATCCGCCCGCCTCGGCCTCCCAAAGTGCTGGGATTACAGGCGTGAGCCACCGCGCCCGACCCCGAAAACAGCTTTTTAAAATATAGTAACAATGGATGAAACAGAAACACTGCCTCTTCCCTCTGAAATCATGGGAGATGATTTCAAAGTTCTACATTTCAGAATTCTGAAATGTGGTGGGCAAAGGACCACTTATCAAACAAGAAATCTGATGGAATTCCTTGAAACAATGGTTTATATTCACTGTCTCCAATTCCTCTCTCCCTATTCTCTCTTAAAGCTATTCCAATCTTTTCACCCTTACCACTCCTTTGAATATACTCTTGTCAAGTTCAATCATGAACTCCATGTTACTAAATCTAATAGTCAGTTGGCATCTTTTTCAACCCATCAGCAGCATTTGATAGCTGATCACATGCTCTCCTTCCTGACACACTTTTTGTACCTGGTTTCCAGGATACCACTCTCTTGGTTTGTTTCCTGACTCACTGGTTGCTTCTTAGATTCTTTTGCTGGTTCCTTTAATCTCTCTAACCTCTAAAAGGTGGAGTGCTTCAGGCCTCAGTCCATACTCACTCCCTAAGTGACCTCATCCAGTCTCCTAGTTCTAAATACTACCTATATGCTTATAATATCTTCAGCTAAGGCCTCTCATTTCAATTCCAGACTCATATATCCAACTGCTTATTTTGTATCTCCACTTAATGGTTAGAGGCATCACAAACTTACCATGTCCAAAACCAAATTCCTGATTCTGCCTCACCCTCACTGCCATGCTCGCTCCTCCTCCAGTAAATGTCATCGCAATCCTTCTAGTAATCAGACCAAAAATCACCCAGCACTCCTTTCTCTCAAACTCCATGTCAATGAATCATGATGAGTTGACTTTCGAAATACATCTAGAACCTGATCACTTCTTACTATCCATGATGCTGCCATGTTGGTTTTAAGACACTATCATTTCTGGCCTAGATTACTATAATCACCACCTAATTGGTCTCCCTGATTCCATTCTTGTATCCCCACAGTCTATTCTCAACACAGTAGCCTGAGTGATTCTTTAAAAATATAAGTCAGATGATACTACTGCTCTGGTCAAAAGCCTACAATGACATCTCATCTCACTCAGAGTAAGAGTCAAGCCCCTGATATTGGACTATAAGATCTCCTAGGCTGGGTGAAGTGACCCACACCTGTAATCCCAGCATTTTGGGGGCTGAGGCACGAGGATCGCTTGAGGCCAGGAGTCCCAGACCAGCCTGGACAACATAGCAAGACCACATCTATCAAAAAAAAAAAAAAAAAAAAGATCTCCTGGCGTGGCTCTTCTCTACTGCTCTGAACATCCTCTCATATCTCCCTGGCTGTTCCTCAAACACAACTACCACATTCACACCTCGGGGCCTTTGCTCTTGATACTCACCCTGCCTGAGATGTTCTTCCCCCCAGCATCAACATGTGTGCTCTTTCAGCACCTTCAAGTCTCTGTTCAAAGGCTGCCTTAACAAAAAGGATTTCCCAGACCATCCCCGTAATAGAGAAAACTGACTATATCCCCCTACCTCCTGACTTTTCTATTTTCCTTACTCCACTGTATTTTTTTCCCATTGCACTTATCATCAGCTGACATATTGCATATTGTTTTTTTCTTTCCCCCTCTAGCAGGATACAAGCTCTTTAAGGCAATTTGTTTTGTTCACTCTTCCATGCCCAATGTCTACAACAATGGCTTGCACATAGCAGGCATACAACTTTTCTGAATGAATTAATGTGATATTACGTATCTGTTAAATCGTATTTCTTTGTTTTCATGCATTTAATTTTGTAAGAATACTTTTAAGTCTACATCTGTCATCAAGGAATCGAACCAAGCATCCTTGACAAACCTAATCACATATGTTCTAAGTCTGTCATCCACAGGAAGTATTTGAGGAATAGTAACAATATGGATAAGGGAGCCCTCACCGAAGCAAACGTGTTTGTTGCCTCTTCCGGATAGATGGATTAGACTCAAATACATGAGGCCGTTTCCGTTTCTTTCCTGTTGCCACAGCAGCAGCAGCGGCCATTCCCACAGGACCTGAAATAATAACGTATGTGCTGAGATTAGGCAGCTGCCTGTAAACTGTTCAAGACAGAAACAATTAAAGGTACAAAAAAGGTAGCACTGCTTTCCTAATATTGTTGTCGGTAAATAAAGAATGATCCTGATATTATCAATATACTTCACTATTGTTTAACATGATTCATATTATGATTTACCAATAAAACATACAATGAATCTTTTAAAAAAGCAAATGACTTACACCTCCCCATCACACACTAGTTTGAATTTTGTATAATGTTGTTTTTCTTTGGCTTTGTTTTGCCAGCATGCCCATACTGTAAAGGCAATATTCTTAGAGGTGCTAGGAAAAATTGTAGCACTGAGAGGAGAAGTTTGCCAAAATTGAAAAAATTTACAGATTTCAGTATTTACTTCTATCCCTGTACCCCTGTTTCCATTACTCCAAGACAATGCCAAGTTAAGGAAGTTGGAGATAATCACTCACATTTGGAACTCCAACAACACCTAAAGGAGTATCTGAATGAATAACATCTTAATTGAAAAAATTTTCTTCTACATCTGGGAATTGTGCCAAAAATGGAGATGTTCAACACAAGGTCAAGTTGATGAAGGCATTCTGGCAGAAAAGAGATAACTTTCCCACTCTGAGAAAATGTTAATAAAAGTTAGTCTGGCTTGCCTTGAAACTAATGTATAATGTCTTGTTTTGTCTTTTGAAGGGTAGATGGAGGGTAGACTCAAAGGAACTATTGAAGTCTCTGATTCCTGGGACCTCAACATATCAAAGACAATCTTTTTAAAAAGACATTTTACCTTTATCCTTATTTATGAATCTTGTAAAAGGCTTAAATAAAAATTAAATTGCTCATCTGTATATTGGCATATATATTCTAAGTGGCTCAAATAAAATAAACCTCCCTGTAAACCTAAATGAACTTTTCTACATGTTGTTAGTAATATAATCAGCCTGACTTAAACCCCTCTAAAGAACCTCAAAGCAAATAAAAAATAAGCAACTGCTTTTTACCTTTCTTTCCATCATAAATAGCTGTTACAGAAAAAATTTTATGGCTGCATTTACCAACATTTTACTTATTTTTCAAAATTGTGGTAAGAACACTTAACATGTTTGTTATCTACTCTCTTAAAATGTAAAGTGGACAACACATCATTGCTAACTATAAGCCCAATGTTGTACGGCTATCCAGAACTTATTCCCCTTGCATCACTGAAGAGCAACTCCCCATCTGTCCCTCACCCCCAGACCCTGGCAACCACCATTCTCCTCTGTTTCTATGACTATTTTAGATACCTTCTATAAGTAGAATCATGCAGTATTTGTCTTTCTATGACTGGTTTGTTTCACTTATCATAATGTCCCCAAGGTTGAACCATGTTGTCACATATGACAGCATTTCCTTGTGTTTTTAAGGGTGAATAATGTTCCATTGTACATACAGATCACATTTGCTTTAGCCATTCATCCGCTGGTGGGCATTTAGGCTATTTTCACATCTTGCTATTGTGAATAATACAACAATGAACAAGGGAGTGTGGATATCTCTTTGGGGTCCTGATTTCAATTCTGTTGGATAAATACCCAGAAGTGAGACACCAGGATCATATATGGTAGTTCTATTTTTAATTTTTTGGAGGAATCTCCATACTGTTTTCCAGAGCGGCTGGACCACTGTACATTCCCACCTATAGTATATAAGGGTTCCAGTTGCTCTACGACCTCACCGCCACTAGTTTATATTTTTGATAATAGTTGAGCATCTAACCTGTTGGTGATTTCTAAGTCTTCCTTACAGAGATGTTTATTCGAGTCCCTTGCCCATTTTTTATATTGAGTTATTTGGTTTCTTGCAGCTGAGTTGTAGGAGTCCAATATTTTATTATGAAAACTTAAAAACATATGTGCAAAGTTGAATTTTAACATCTTATTATACATATCTATCCATCGTTCTATCCATTCATCAACTCACACTGGGGTTTTTAAAATGTGTTTCAAAGCAAACTGCAAATATCAATATGATCCCCCTAAATACTTCAGCAGGCATAGCATTAGCTAGAGTTCAATATTTTATAATTTTTTTCTTTTGAGGTAAAATTTGCATATAGTGAAGTATACAAATCCAAGTATACATTCAATACATTTTAAAAATGTATATACTCATAAAACTCAAGATCTGGCCAGGCGCAGTGGCTCACACCTGTAATCTCAGCACTTTGGGAGGCTGAGGTGGGAGGATCACCTAAGGTCAGGAGTTTGAGACCAGCCTGGCCAATATGGTGAAACCCCATCTCTACTAAAAATACAAAATTAGCTGGGCATGGTGGTGCACCTCTGTAGTCCCAGCTACTCAGGAGACTGAGGCAGGAAAATCGCTTGAATCTGGGAGGTGGAGGTTGCAGTGAACCGAGATCACTCCACTGCACTCTGGCCTGGGTGAAGGAGCAAGACTCCGTCTCAAAAAAGGAGAGGAGACAGGAGGGGAGGGGAGGGGAAAGGAGAGGAAACTCAAGACCTATAACATCACTCCAGAAAGTCCTTTCATGTCCCTTCTCAGTCAATTCCCATCCTTACTTCTCAGCAATACCTAGAATTCTTCTTTTTTTCACCATACATTAGAGTTTTGCCTATTCTAGAGCTTTAAATAAATGGAATCATATAGTAAGTAGTAAATCATATAGTAATACTCTTTCACTTAAAACTTCACTTAGAATAATGTTTCTAGATTCATCCATGCTGCCACATGAACCAGTTGTTTTTTCCTTTTTGTTGCCAAGTAATATTCCATTGTTTGGATAAACCAGTTTGTTTACCTATTCTTCTATCTGATGGATACTTGGACTATTTCCAGTTTTAGGCTACTGTGCATAAAGCTGCTTGATTTGATTGATTTATAAATTTAATACAGTTCAAATAAAACTCTCAACATGGGATTTTGTGGAATTTGATAAACTGATCCCAGTATTTAAATAGAAGTGCAAATGGCCAAAAATAGCCAAAACAATTCATAAGATTTTAAGAATTTGAAGGCATTCATCCTACCACATATTAGTAATTACAAGGCTATACTCATTAAGGTTATATCTCCACTGATTAGAAGGATGAGATGAGATAAATAAATAAGAGCATAACTATAGTCATTAAACTAGTGTGGAACTGACTCAGGGATAGACAAATCAAAGCAACTGAATTGCAGATTTCATAAACATCCTCCTGTGTCAGAAAGATAAAAAAAAGTATGGGCTATTAAATATATGATGCTGGTTATCCATATGGAAAAATAATGAAATTAGATCCTTACATACAAAAATAAATTACAGGTGGATTAAAGGCCTAAATGTAAAACAATAACCTCAATAAAACAATGAAAAACAAAAGAAAGCTTGTAATCCAGCACTTTGGAAGGACAAGGCAGGAGGACTGCTTGAGGCCAGGAGTTCAAGACTAGCCTGGGCACCATAGCAAGACTCCGTATCTACAAAAAAATTTAAAACCAGGCATGGTGCTGCACACCTGAGGTCCCAGCTACTTGGGAGGCTGAGGCAGGAGGATCACTTGAGACTAAGAGTTTGAGGCTGCAGAGAACTATGATTGCATCACTGCACTCCAGCCTGGGTGACAGAGTAAGATCCTATCTCTAATAAATAAATAAATAAATAAATAAATAAATAAATAAATAAATACCTTTAAAATTGAAAATTAAAAAAATTATAACTTCTACAATAAACTACTATAGAATATTTTATAAAGTCAGAGTTAAGAAGAATTCCTTAAACAAGATCCCGAAAGGATAAACTATAAGGTAAAAGATTAATAAATTTCACAATAATATAAATAAAAACCTTCATGAACAAAAAAATAAATAAATGGGGGTGGGCAACAAACTGGGAGAAAATAATTACAATACATATTATTGGGAAAGGAATACAAAATATAGATCAATAATTTTTATAAATTGACATAAAAAAGACCAAAAAACTGAGTTGGGAAATGGGCAAAGGTATAAACAGGAAATAGGCAAAGAAAGAAAATTGAGACGTCAATAAAGATCCAAAATGGTGCTCTACTTTGTCTTACTGCACTCGCTGGAACCTCTAGCTCAAAAACACAAATTAAACCAACACTGAGATGCCATTTTATACCTACCAGATCTGCAAAAATGAAAAAGACTGGTAACACCGATGGTGAGAATGAGAAGTAACAGGCGCTACAGCATACTGCTTGTGGGGATGTAAATGAACAGGATTTGGAAAGACATTTAGCAATATCTAGTAAAGTTGAAAATGGACATCTTTGGCCCTCCAATTCCCCTCCTGGGTATATCTTCCAGTAGTACTTTTCAAGCTACAGCTAGTATGACCTTTCAGTGACTCATGAGTGTATTTTTTTCTAATAAAATAGAACAGACTAGAACATATCACAGAGTATACAATTTGCAGTAGGGGTTAAGTATTATTTCATTAAAAATTGTAGTTTTGGCTATATGTGTACTCATTTATTCTGGGTCACAATGTAAAATGTATTACTGTGCTACATTGTCAAAACAGAAAAAATTACAAACAACCTGATTATCTACCAATATGTGAAATATTCAGGCTGGATGCGGTGGCTCTCGCCTGTAATCCCAACACTTTGGGAGGCTGGGGTAGGCAGATCACTTGAGGTCAGGAGTTCGAGACCAGCCTGGCCAACATGGTAAACCCCATCTCTACTAAAAATACAAAAATTAGCCAGGTATGGTGGTGTGTGCCTCTAGTCCCAGCTACTCAGGAGGCTGAGGCAGGAGAATTGCTTGAACCCAGGAGGCAGAGGTTGCAGTGAGCAGAGATCGTGCCACTGCACTCCAGCCAGGGCAACAGAGTGAAACTCCATCTCAAAAAACAACAACAGAAAAAGAAATACTCAGATAATGAATGGAATACCATATAACAGTTAAAAACAGCCACATTATCAACATGGGTGAATCTCAGAAAAATGTTGAACGAGATAAACATATTACAGAAACATAGTATCAGAGTGATACCATTAATATAAAATTTAACACATGCAAAACAATGCTAAATATTGTTTAATCATACAGACACATAATAGCAAATATAGACAAATGCAAGAGAATGACAAAGACCAAATCTAGAATACTGGTTACCCCAGTGGAGGGAGGGAGGGAAGGGAGCAGGATTAGAAAGAGTTCCACTGAGAATTTCAACCATATCTGTACTTTTTATTTCTTAAAAAACATTTGATGCAAACATGTGAAAGCAGTAATAACTGACAAAGCTGGGCAGTGGGTGCACATGCATTTGTTATGTCAATCTTGATACTTCTCCATATGATTCAAATATTCAAGTATTTTCTACTTGCTGCACAATTTACCAAAACTATCACTCTCAAGATATTAATTACGTCTATAGACCACGTGAATCTTTCTCCACTTCTTTATTAACCTATCCTTTATCATTTCAAAGAAAATGAAATAATAAATCCAATTTTGTTTAAAAAGAAGTCCTCTAGGGCTAGGCCCAGTGGCTCACGCCTGTAATCCCAACACTCTGGGAGGCCAAGGCAGGAGGATCACTTGAGCCCCGGAGTTCAAGACCAGCCCTGGGCAACATGGCAAAACGGCATGTCTGCAAAAATTTAAAAAATTAGCTGGGCATGGTGGCGTGCACCTGTCCACGAGGATGAGGTGGGAGGATCATCTGAGCCCAAGGAGGTTGAGGCTGCAGTAAGCCATGATTGTACCACTGCACTCCAGTCTGGACAACAGAGTGAAACCCTGTCTCAAAAAAAACCAACAACAACAACAACAACAAACAACATACTGGTGATTGATACTAAAAGAGGTCAACCAACTTGAGATATTGTTTTTATTACTTGAAGATTTCGTTTAGTTGCACTACAAATAAACTTTTTTTTCTTGAAAATCAACAATAATCAGGGGCTGTCTGTGCTGCAGAGAATTAGAAGTGTTTCTGACAGGCAACACAATATAGTGAATGGTCATTTACCTTTTCTGGGTCACCTTTCAGATATGATGAATGCTACAGACCAGCTCCTCAGAAAAATCCCCACGCTGGTTAAGTGGAGTTGGGATTCCAACCCAGGAAGCCTGATTCCAGAGCCTGGGCAGGTAAGCCCTGTGCTCTGCTGCCTCTCGAAATTCCTTACCACACACAGCCCCTAGGCCCTGGGTGGTCTGACTCATGCCTGCCTCACAAGGCTCCAACCACACTGGCCTCCTTCCCATTTCCCATCTGCAAGTCCTTGCTTTCAGTGTTTCTCAGTCTGAAATGCACTTCCCTTTGCTGACACCTAACTGCCTGTCAGTCACAACCTTCCTCCTCAGAGAAGCCTTCCCAGACCACCCAAACTAGCAGCAATCTGCTGTCCTTCTCTCTCCATTACCTTCCCGCATTATTTTATTCAGAGCATCCAATGCTTTCTCAAATTATTTTACTTTATTATTGGTAGCTCTCCCCCACCACTGGATGAAAGCTCCTTCAGAAACAAACTCTTTTCTCCCCCCAATAAGCCTTTCGCACTCCTAAGAAGCAAACTCTTGCCTGCCTTGTGCATAGTATCTACATAGGTTACATATATGTACTATACATTATAATTCCTCAATAATTGAATATTAAATGATCAAATGGAAGTCATTTCTACCAGCTGTGTCTCACTTTCCACATGTGCCACACAAAGGGGTCAAATTAAAGTCTTTGCCTGGTCTTAACACTATCACAAAGCAGTACAGTAATACAGCAAAGCCATGTCTTAAAACCATCTTCCTTCATAGAAAAGCAGTGGACCTGGATTCATTATGTCAAGATGCCCTCTGCTGGGACACATAAGCATTTCACAAAATATATTTTACAAACATTTCAAGTGTTTTGCCCCTAAGACTTATTTTTAAATTCACCACTCCGGAAATACACAGTGGACAGTAACTGACAGTAATAAAGTTGTTGTTCATTGAATCTGTCTTCCTCTTCTTAAATACAGCATATATTCAAAACATGTAGTATTTTGGCCACTCCTCATCATTAATTTCTTGTCTAGCTTTTCTAAATACCTTCTAAGATCAATATCTAATACCATACCCATTCAGGCATGGTTTATATGAAGTCTTTTCACCATGGTGCTAAATGTTCAATGTAAACAGGAAAGTGAAAGATATAAAATGTAGCCCAGCTTTAAGTCATTTAGTAGCCCAGAAAATTTTAAAACCTTAAATTGGATCCCTCTCCCTCTCCCTCTCCCCTACCCTCTCCCTCCCTTTCCCCCTCCCCCTCCCCCTTTCCCGTCTCCACTGTCTCCCTCTCTTGGGGAGCCTGGACTGTACTGCCAAGATCTCCGCTCCCTGCAACCTCCCTGCCCTGGGCTCCGGTGATTCTCCTGCCTCGGCCTGGCGAGTGCCTGGGATTCCAGGCACACGCCGCCACTCCTGACTGGTTTTCGTATTTTTGGTGGAGACGGGGTTTCGCCGTGTTGACCGGACTGGTCTCCAGCTCCTGGCCTCGGGTGATCTGCCCACCTCGGCCTCCCGAGGTGCTGGGATTGCAGACGGAGTCTCGCTCACTCAATGCTCAATGTTGCCCAGGCTGGAGTACAGTGGCGTGATCTTGGCTCGCTACAACCTCCACCTCCCAGCTGCCTGCCTTGGCCTCCCAAAGTGCTAAGATTACAGCCTCTGCCCGCCCGCCACCCCGTCTAGGAAGTGAGCAGCGTCTCTGCCTGGCCGCCCATCGTCTGGGATGTGAGGAGCCCCTCTGCCCGCCCGCCCCGTCTGGGAAGTGAGGAGCGCCTCTGCCCAGCCGCCACCCCGTCTAGGAAGTGAGGAGCGTCTCTGCCTGGCCGCCCATCGTCTGGGATGTGAGCAGCCCTCTGCCCGGCCACCCCGTCTGGGAGGTGGGGAGCGCCTCTGCCCGGCCGCCCCGTCTGGGAGGTGAGGAGCACCTCTGCTCGGCCGCCCATTGTCTGGGATGTGAGGAGCGCCTCTGCCCGGCCGCCACCCCGTCTGGGAGGTGAGGAGCGCCTCTGTCCGGCCACCACCCCGTCTGGGAAGTGAGGTGCGCCTCTGCCCGGCCACCCCGTCTGGGAAGTGGGGAGCGCCTCTGCTCGGCCGCCCCGTCTGGGAAGTGTACCCAACAGCTCCGAAGAGACAGCGACCATCGAGAGCGGGCCATGATGACGATGGCGGTTTTGTCGAAAAGAAAAGGGGGAAATGTGGGGAAAAGGAAGAGAGGTCAGATTTGTACTGTGTCTGTGTAGAAAGAAGTAGACATAGGAGACTCCATTTTGTTCTGTACTAAGAAAAATTCTTCTGCCTTGGGATGCTGTTAATCTTTAACTTACCCCCAACCCCATGCTCTCTGAAACATGTGCTGTGTCCACTCAGGGTTAAATGGATTAAGGGCGGTGCAAGATGTGCTTTGTTAAACAGATGCTTGAAGACAGCATGCTCGTTAAGAGTCATCACCACTCCCTAATCTCAAGTACCCAGGGACACAAACAGGGCCGAAGGCCGCAGGGACCTCTGCCTAGGAAAACCAGAGACCTTTGTTCTCGTGTTTATCTGCTGACCTTCTCTCCACTATTATCCTATGACCCTGCCACATCCCCCTCTCTGAGAAACACCCAAGAATGATCAATAAATACTAAAATAAATAAATAAATAAATAAATAAACCTTAAATTGGATTAAGATGATCCAGGATTGCTAGTGCCCTCGGGCATCTCGCAGAAGCAAACAAAAATCCTCTCTAGAGGAAGATAACATTATACTAGACCCCAAATTATTTCTAGAAATAATTTTCCAAACACAGCATCCAGTATTCATTGAAATATAATAGTACACCAAGAAAAGAGCCAACGTGAACAAGAAATGACATTAACAACATGTAACAGAAACTTGAGAGAGAATTACCAGGTAAATTATAAAATTATTTGTTTAAAAGAAATTTTTTTCCACTATTGGAAACCGTTCAGTGCAAATCTCGGAGGAAACACACACACACACACACACACACACACACACACACACACTAGAAATTCTAAAACTGGAGGAAAAAAAACACTTGGTTAGTAGTTTTGGTTAAACTATTAACAATTACCAAAATTAATAAGTCAATGAACAGATTTAGAAGCACCTTAATAAATAAAGAAAAAACAAAGAAAAGAGAACATAAAAAAGGCACCTTAAACACAGCTGATATGGTTTGGCTGTGTCCCCACCCAAATCTCATCTTGAATTGTACTCTCATAACTCCCACATGTTGTGGGAGGAACCTAGTGGGAGGTAACTGAATCATGCGGGCAGGTCTTTCCGGTGCTGTTCTTGTGATAGTGAATAAGTCTCATTAGGTCTGGGGGTTTAAAAAAAGAGGAATTCCACTGCACAAGCTCTCTCACTCTTTGACTGCTGTTATCCATGTAAGACATGACTTGCTCCTCCTTGCCTTCTGCCATGGTTGTGAGGCCTCCCCAGCCACATAGATCTGTAAGTCCACCGAAACCTCTTTTCTTCCCAGTCTTGAGTATGTCCTTATCAGCAGCATGAAAATGGACTAATATAGTAAATTGGTACCAGGAGTGGGGTGCTGCTGAAAAGATACCTAAAAATGTGGAAGTGACTTTGGAACTGGGTAATAGGCTGGGGTTGGAACAGTTTGGAGGGCTCAAAAGAAGACGGGAAAATGTAGGAAAGTTTGGAACTTCCAAGAGACTTGATGAATGGCTTTGCCCAAAATGCTGATAGTGATATGGACAATAAAGTCCAGGTTGATGTGGTCTCAGGTGGAAATAAGAAACTTGTTGGGAACTGGAGCAAAGGTGACTCTTGTTATGCTTCGGCAAAGAGACTGGTGGCATTTTGCCCCTGCCCTAGAGATTTGTGGAACTTTGAACTTGAGAGAGATGATTTAGGGTATCTGGCAGAAGAAATTTCTAAGCAGCAAAGCATTCAAGAGGTGACTTGGGTGCTGTTAAAGGCATTGTTTTATAAGGGAAGGAAAACATGAAAGTTTGGAAAATTTGCAGCCTGATAATGCAACAGAAAAGAAAATCCCATTTTCTGAGGAAAACTTCAAGCTGGCTGCAGAAATTTGCATAAGCAACAAGGAGACGAATGTTAATCCCCAAGACAATGGAAAAAATGTCTCCAGGGCATGTCAGAGGTCTTCACAGTAGCCCCTCCCATCATAGGCCTGGAGACCTAGGAGGTTTCAAGGGCTGGGCCCAGGGTCCCTGTGCTGGGCACAGCCTAGGGGCTTGGTGCCCTGTATCCCAGCTGCTCCAGCTGTGGCTGAAAGGGGCCAACACAGAGCTCGGGCCATGGCTTCAGGGGCTGCAAGCCCCAAGCCTTAGCAGCTTCCACAAAGGTGTTGAGCCTGCAAGTGTACAGAAGTCAAGGATTGGAGTTTGGGAACCTATGCCTGGATTTCAGAGGATGTATGAAAACTCCTGGATATCCAGGCAGAAGTTTGCTGCAGGGGCGGGACCCTCATAGAGAACCTCTGCAAGTACAGTGTGTAAGGGAAATGTGGGGTTGGGTCGGAGACCTCACACAGAGTCCCTTCGGGGGCACTGCCTAGTAGAGCTGTGAGAAGAGGGCCACTGTCCTCCAGCCCCCAGAATAGTAGATCCACCGACAGCTTGCATCTTTTGCCTGGAAAAGCCACAGACACTCAACAACAGCCCATGAAAGCAGCTGGGAGGGAGGCTGTACCCTGCAAAGCCACAGGGGGCAGAGCTGTCCAAGACCATGGGACCCCACCTCTTGTATCAGCATGACCTGGATGTGAGACATGGAATCAAAGGAGATCATTTTGGAGCTTTAAGATTTGACGGCCCTGCTGGATTTCGGACTTGCATGGGGCCTGTAGCCCTTTTATTTGGCCAATTTCTCCCACTTGGAATGCCTGTATTTACCCAATCCCTGTACCCCCACTGTATCTAGGAAGTAACTAACTTGCTTTTGATTTTACAGGCTCATAGGCAGAGGGACTTGCCTTGTCTCAGATGAGAATTTGGACTGTGGACTTTTAAGTTAATGCTGAAATGAGTTAAGACTTTGGGGGACTGTTAGAAAGGCATGATTGGTTTTGAAATGTGAGGACATGAAATTTGGGAGGGGCCAGGGGTGGAATAATATGGTTTGGCTCTATGTCCCCACTCAAATCTCATCTTGAATTGTACTCTCATAATTCCCACATGTTGTGGGAAGGACCCGGTGGGAGGTAATTGAATCATGGGGGCAGATCTTTCCCATGCTGTTCTTGTGATAGTGAATAAGTCTCACAAGATCTGATGGTTTTAAAAGGAGGAGTTTCCCTGCACAAGCTCTCTCTCTTTTTGCCTGCTGTCATCCATGTAAGATGCGACCTGCTCTTCCTTGCCTTCCACCATGATTGTGAGGCCTCCCTAGCCAGGTGGAACTGTAAGTCCATTAAAACCTCTTTCTTCCCAGTCTTGGGTATCTCTTATCAGCAGCATGAAAATGGACTAATACAACAGCTAAAGAAGAAAATCTTCTGTCTTTCACAAGCTGAAAGACAGAAGAAACTACACAGAAAGATGATACATACAGAACAGATGGTTAAGAGACATACAAGTGAGGAAGACTAACATAAGTAACTGGAGCCATGGAATGAAAAGAGATGGAATGCAGCAGAAGCAAAATCTCATGGCTAAAATTTCCGGGAGAGGGGGGCAGGCCATGTGGGAGATAATCTTTGAAAGAGTAGCGGTTAGAATGAAATAGCTGAATTCTCAATAGCAGCAATGGAATCCAGAAGACAGTGGAACAGTACCTTCAACATGAGGAAAGAATAACCACCAAGCTAGAATTCCATACTCAGTGAAAACATCCTTCAAGGTTGAAGTTTAAGTAAAAACATTCACAGACAAGCAAAAATAGAACTTGTTACTAGCAGATCCATGTTAAAGCAAATATTAAATGGTGTCTTTAGGCAGAAGTAAAACCATCTCAGGAGACCAGTTGGAGATGCAGGAAAAAAAATTAACATTATTTTTTAAATAAAAATATTGTTCGCTGGATGCGGTGGCTCACGCCTATAATCCCAGCACTCTGGGAGGCCGAGATGGGTGGATCACCCGAGGTCAGGAATTCAAGACCGGCCTGGCCAACAGGGTGAAACCCCATCTCTACTAAAAACACAAAAATTAGCTGGGCATGGTGACGCACACCTGTAATCCCAGCTACTCGGGAGGCTGAGACAGGAGAGTTGCTCCAACCCAGGAGGCAGAAGCTGCAGTGAGCCAAGATTGTGCCACTGCACTCCAGCCTGGGCGACAGAGTGAGACTCCATCTCAAAAAAAAAAAAAAAAAAAAAAAGTCCTGTGGTGTTTAAAATACAGTTGTCCCTTCAAATCCTCTTGAGATTGTTTCTAGCATCTTGATGTGTAGATGCTCAAGTCCCTGATATAAAATGGTGTAGTAGTTTCACATGACCTATTCACGTCCTTCTGTATCATTTCTAGGTTACTAATACTAATATTATAATACCTAATACAGTGTAAATGCTATACAAATAGTTGTTGTATTGGCCTTTTATTTGTATTATTTTTAATTGTTATATTGTTACTTTTAATTTTTTCCTAATACTTTTGATCAAAATTGGTTGAATGTGCAGATGTGGAGCCCACAGATAAAGAGAGCCAACTGTATACCAAAAATGAATACAAAGGACAACAATAGCATATAGGATGGGCGCATGAAATGCAAGTGTTCTAAGAAATTTGTATTATCCCTGTAGAGGTTAAAAGTTCCAAGTACATACAACGTTTTGCTTTTCCTTTTTTTTTTTTTTTTCAACTGGACACAGGCTCTCACTCTGTCACTCACGCTGTAGTGCAGTGGTGTAATCATAGCTCACTGCACCCTCAAACACCTGGGCTCAAGTGATCAGTCATCCCACCACAGCCTCCCAAGTAGCTGGGACTAGGGAGCACGTCACCACACCCAGCTAATTTTTTTTTGGTAGAGATGGGATTGCACTACATTGCCCAGGCTGGTCTCAAACTCCTGGGCTCAAGTGATCCTCCCACCTTGGCCTCCCAAAGTGCTGGGATTACAGGTGTGAGCCACTGAGCCTAGTCAACATAAGGCATTGATAAATAAAGGATGTATGTTACAATTTCTACAGGTATTGATAATAGTAAAAGCTTATAACTTTCAAACTAACAAGAAAAAAATGAAAAAATACAAAATTTTCAATCACTACAAAAGAAAACGCCAAGAAAGAGAAAAGTAAACAGAACAGGTAGGGCAAAGAGAAAGCATATAGAAAAGAAGGTAAATTTAAATCTAAATACATGTCAGTGATTCTGTTTAACGTAATTGGAATAAATGCTTCAGTTTAAAGCCAAAACATAGGCAGAATAGATGAAAAAATAAAACCAAAGCCATAACACTGATAGTAAGTGATTACAGACCTCAAGTCTCAGTATAATACAGGCTCAAGTTATAACTGCAAGGCTTAAAAAAGTTGTGATAAAGGCCAGGCATAGTAACTCACACCCGTAATGCCAATAATTTAGGAGGCCGAGGCAGAAGGATCGCTTGAGCCCAGGACTTTGAGGCCAACCTGGGTAACACAGTGACATTTCTGTCTCTACAAAATATACAAAAATTAGCCAGATGTGGTGGTACACATCAGCAGTCCCAGCTACTCCAGAGGCTGAGATGGGAGAATCACTTGAACCCGGAAGATCAAGGCTGCAGTGAATCATGATTGTGCTGCTGCACCCCAGCCTGAGCAACAGAGTGAGACGCTGTCTCCAAAAAAAAAAAAAAAAAAATTAAAGAAGAGCTTCTAATCCAAACAACACTACCTGCAGCTGCCAGATGAGCTGTCACCTCATCAGCTGCTGTGGAGTTGAGTATATCTGAGTCATCGTAAGAGGTGTCCTCGGGAGAAGAAGGCGAGTCTTCATCAGCACTCAGCATACTATGCTCGGTGTAAGTAGCCACATGGACCTGCTGCACTTGCTGGGCCACTGCATGTGCTTCTATGGTAGCCATATGTTCGGTTTGGGTCACTCCGTGTTCCTCCATGAAGTTCTACTGTCAGACAAAAAAGAAAAAGAACAGGATTCAGTGTGTAATATAACACAATGTTTAAACTAAGAGATATTTTATTCAAGAGCAGAGGAACCTTGACAAAATTCCAATTTCACTACTTACCGTGCCACACCAAGTCACAGGAAATGGGAAGCACCATGCAAATGTGACATAAAAATGACAGAGTGGTGTTCTTACGTGAAACCATTTTGATGGAAATTCGCTGTACTAATTTTATACCTCAGATCACAAAACAACAGATACCCTTAATAATAAAAAGACATTCAAATATAACAATAAAAACATACTTAAGATAGCTCAGTGACTAGCATTTGGCCTTGTGAACATAAGAACACTTAGTAAATAAGTGAAATACTTAACATTTTCTTTGTATGTCAAAGACGAGTGAGAGTCAAATAACTTTTTTCCCAAAAATTCAAATTGGTCTTTCTGCTTATAAAACTGCTTCTTGAGGGCATGGCGGCAAGTGCCTGTAGTCCCAGCACTTTGGGAGGCCCAGGCAGGTGGATCATCTGAGGTCAGGAGTTCGAGACCAGCCTGGCCAACATGGCAAAACCCTGTCTCTATTAAAAATACAAAAAAATTAGCCAGGCGTGGTGGTGGGCGCCTGTAATCCCAGCTACTTGGGAGGCTGAGGCAGGAGAAGTGCTTGAACTCGGGAGGCAGAGGTTGCAGTGAGCCAAGGTTGTGCCATTGTACTCCAGCCTGGGAGACAGAGCAAGACTCTGTCTCAAAAACAAACAAACACCCCCTCCAAAAAAAAACCCAAAAAACTGTGCTTCTTGTAAACCCCAAAATGATACAGTAATGTATAAAGCAGTAAGGTTAAAAGTTGGCTCTTCTATTACACTTATAATCTCCACTCCCCCCCACCCCAGAAGTTCATTATTTTTGAAAAATAAATTTGGAGCATACATATATATAGATTTAAAATAAAAACAGGTTCATATTATACATATTGTCTGTCTTTTTCATATTACAATATATCTGGACATTGTTACATGTCAAAACATAACAGATCTACCATATCTTTTTTAAACAGCTGCATAATACTTTATTATATGCATGTGTCATAATTTATATAACCAGTCACTTGCTGATCAAATATGCTGCCAAGTTTTTGCTATTATAAACTAAACATCAATGCAGTATAAAATATGTCCTTGTATATAAAACTTTACATATTAGTTCCTCAAAAAAAAAACAAAAATAGAAGTACCACATGATCCAGCTATTCTTGAATAGACATCTGTACACCCATGTTCATAGCAGCTTTATTCGCAACAGCCAAAATGTGGAAGCAACCCAAGTGACCATCGATGAATGCATGGGTAAAAAAAATGTGGTATACACATACCACTTATTATTCAGTTTTAAAAAGGAAGAAAATGCTAATTAGAAAGAGGGGAATTTCCTCAACCTGATAAAGAACAGCTACAAAAAACCTACTATTAACATCATAATGTGAAAAACTAGAAGCTTTCCCATTAAGATTAGGAAGAAGGCTGGCCGAGGTGGCTCACGCCTGTAATCCCAGCACTTTGGGAGGCCGAGGCAGGTGTATCACCTGAGGTAGGGAGTTCGGGACCAGCCTGGCCAACATGGAAAAACCCTGTCTCTACTAAAAATATAAAAATTAGCCAGGTGTGGTGGTACACATCTGTAATCCCAGCTACTCAGGAGGCTGAGGCAGAAGAATCGCTTGAACCCAGAAGGTGGAGGTTGCAGTGAGCTGAGATCATGCCACTACGCTCCAGCCTGGGTGACACAGCAACGGCGGGACTCTGTCTCAAAAAAAAAAAGATCAGGAAGAAGACAAGGAAATCTCCTCTCACCACTTCTTTTTAACATTGTACTGGAAGTCTTAACTAATGCAATAAGATTTTTAAAAAGAAATAAAGGGTACCCTGATTGGGAAGGAAGAAATAGAACTGTCTTTCTTCATAGATGACATGATTGTTGATGTAGAAAATCCAAAATAATCAATAAAAAAAACTCCTGGAACTAGTAAGTAATTACAGCAAGGTTGCAGGGACAAGGTTGTTTTCCTAAATACTAGAAATGAATAAGTGGAATCTGAAATCAAAAACACAATACCATTTACATTTGCACCACCAAAAAGTGAAATACTGAGTAAGGTATAAATCTAACAAAATATGTACAAGATCTATATGAAAAAAAACACAAAACTCTGATGAAAATAATCAAATAAAAACTAAATAGAGAGAGATATTCCATGTTCATGCATAGGAAGACACAATACTGTCAAGATGTCAGTTCTTCCAACCTGATCTCTAGATTCAACATTGTCCCAATCAAAATCCCAGCAAGTTATTTTGTGGATACCAACCAACTGACACTAAAGTTTACATGGAGAGGCAAAAGACCCAGAACAGCCAAAAAAATACTGAAAGAACAAAATCAGAAGACTGATACCACACAACTTTAAGACTTACCATAAACCTACAGTAATCAAGATAGTATGGTATTGGTGAAACACCAGAGAAATAGACCAATGTAACAGAAGAGAAGGTCCAGAAATAGACCCACATAAATAGAGCCAGCTGATCTCTGAGAAAGGAGCAAAGGCAATACATTAGTTTGGCAAAGTTAGTCTTTTCAATGAATGGTGCTGGAACAAGTGAACAGTCACACATCAAAAAAATGAAATCTAGACATAGACCTTCACAAAAACTGATACAAAATGGATCATAAACCTAAATGTAAAATGCAAAACCATAAAACTCCTATAAGATAACATAGGAGAAAATCTAGTTGACCTTGGGTATGGCAATGACTTTTAAGATACAATGCCAAAGGCGCAATCCATAAAAGCAAAAAATCGATAAGCTGGACTTCATTAAAACAAGAAACTTCTGCCCTGTGAAAGACACTGCCAAAAGAATGAGAAGACAGGACATAGACAGGGAGGAAATAGTTGTAAAAGATGAATCAGAAGGATTGTTATCCAAAATAAGGAATTCTTAAAAACTCAACAATAAGAAAATGAACCCAATTTAAAAAAGGGCAAAACACCTGAAGAGATCTCACCAAGGAAGATATATAGATGGTAAATAAGCATATGAAAAGATGCTCAACATCATATGTCAAGGGAGAATTACAAATTAAAACAGTGAGATATCACTACGCATCTATTTAAATATCTAAACCTCAAAACACTGCCAACACCAAACGCTGTTGAGGATGTGGAGCAACAGGAACTCTATTTCACTGCTGGTGGGAATGCAACATAGTACAGCCACTTTGGAAGACAGTGTGGCAGTCTGTTATAAAATTAAACATACTCTTACCATACAATCCAGCAATTACACGCCTTTGTATTGACCCAAAGGAGTTGAAAACTTACATCCACATAAAAACCTGCACATGGATGTTTATAATTTTATTCATAATTGCCCAAACTTGGAAGCACCAAAATGTCCTTCCGTAGGTGAATGGATAAACTGTGGTACATCCAGACAATAGAATATCATTCAGCACTAAAAAGAAATGAGCTTTCAAGCTATGAGAAAATGTAGAAGAAGCTTAAATGCATATTGCTAAGTGAAAAAAGCCAATCTGAAAAGGCTACACACTTATGATTCCAATTACATGGCCTTCTGGAAAAGCAAAACTATGGGGACGGTAAAAAGATTAGAGGTTGCCAAGGATTGGGGGAAGGGAGGGATGAACAGGCGGAGCATTTTCAGGGCAGTGAAACTACTCTGTATGATACAATAATGGTGGATATGGGTTATACATTTGTTCAAATCCATAGAATGTACAATACCATGAGGGAACCCTAATGTAAACTATGTAATGTACAATACCATGAGGGAACCCTAATGTAAACTATGGACTTTGGGTAATAATGACGTGTCAATGTGGGCTCATCAATTGGAACCAAATGTACCACTCTGGTGCAGGATGTTGATAGTGGGGGAGGCTGTGCAAGTGTAAGGAAGAGAAGTATATGGGAATTATCTGTATCTTCCACTCAATTTTGCTGTGAACTTAAAACTGCTATAAAAAATACAGTTTTATTTAAAACCAATTTTTAAAAAAAGGAAATTCTGACTCATGCTACAACATGGATCAACCTTGAGGATATTCTGCTCAGTGAAATAAGCCAGCCACAAAAAAGAACAAATACTGTATGATTCTACTTATGTGAGGCACCTAGAGTAGTCAAATTCATAGAGACAGAAAGTAGACTATTAGTCGCCAGGGGCTGGGAGTACAGAGTTTCAGTTCTGCAAGATAAAGAGTTCTGGAGATTGGCTGCACAACAGTGTGAATGTACTTAACATTACTGAACTATATGCCTAAAAATGATTATGATGGTAAATTTATTGTTATGTATATTTTACAACTAACTTTTTAAAATTACCCTATATACCAGTGTAATTTCTGTGCAAAGAAGTGACTAATCTGGCCGGGCGCGGTGGCTCACGCCTGTAATCCCAGCACTTTGGGAGGCCAAGGCAGGCAGATCACGAGGTCAGGAGATCGAGACCATCCTGGCTAACATGGTGAAACCCTGTCTCTACTAAAAAAATACAAAAAATTAGCCGGGAGTGGTGGCGGGCGCCTGCAGTCCCAGCTACTCGGGAGGCTGAGGTAGGAGAATGGCGTGAACCCGGAAGGCGGAGCTTGCAGTGAGATGCGCCACTGCACTCCAGCCTGGGCGACAGAGCGAGACTCCGTCTCAAATAAATAAATAAATAAAAATAAATTTTAAAAAAGGAAGAAGTGACTAATCTTACAGGAGAATAATATAACCAGCCTGTATTATCTTTATTAAAAATCTTGTATATTATTTGATTATTTTAAAAAATAAATTCTTTTAAGAATAACAAACTCTTGAAGGTAAATTGCTGGGTCAAAAGGCATATGTATTTTAAATTTTGATGTATATTGAAAAGCTGAGTGCTTCAGTTGTACACTAACACTATCTCTACTTGTATTAATACAAACCCACATGAACATATACACACATTTAAAATTTGACTATCATGTAACAGTATACAGCACTACACATCTGGAGTTTACCAAAAAATGTCAACCACATAGATATAGAAATATGACCTCTATGGCTGCATGTAAAAGAACATAATTATTTATTTATGTAAAATTTTTCTCTTATTTTGTCCCACTCTACTATAGAAGTCTTTCTCCATCTTGAGATCTTTTGATTCTAAAATCCTTTGTTCCTCTGAGTAACTGCTCTCTTAAACTAATCCTGCTATGTCTTTATTCTTTAGGTGATTTGTTTCTATGTAGATAATCAAATTTTCAATTTTCTGAGGTCTTTGAAAACACAGTAAAATGTGAACATTTGGAAAATCTGGGTAAAGGGTACATGAGAATTCTTTGTACTATTCTTGCAACTTTTCCCAAAGTCTGAAATTATGGCAAAATTAGAAAAGAATTTTTAAGCTACCTGATAAGCTACCCTTCCATATCCTGTTTTATGTGAGTTTCAGAATATCCAAGGGAATATATCCTAGCCCCCAGATTTGTACTACTCTAAAACAATTTAACACACTAAGTCACACAATTGAATATAATATATGAGAGAAAGATACCATTAAAATGCTATTTTTCCATCCATTTCACTGTTCTTCGAGACAAACTGCTTAGGGCATTTTAGAATTCTGGGTACTTCAGAATTATTTTTAAATGATTTGGGATTAGATGGCACCTAACTGCTTTTCAAAGGGATTTGTAGGCTATGCGCTTGGCATAATGGATTTCAATTCTTTGCTCCAGAATGCAGTTCACAGCATGAATCAATAGGGCTGTCTGCTTCACAGGCTTGCCATTTCTGCCCAGAGCCTCATCTCTTTCCACCTCTCTCCCTCTCCCATTCTTTGGCCTCTCTAACCATTTTTTTTTTTTTTTTGAGACAGAGTCTCACTCTGTTGCCCAGGCTGGAGGGCAGTGGTGTGATCTTGGCTCACAGCAACCTCTGCCTCCTGGGTTCAAGCAATTCTCGTGCCTCAGCCTCCCAAGTAGCTAGGATTACAAGTGCACCACCAAGCCCAGCTGATTTTTGTATTTTTAGCAGAGACGGGGTTTTACCATATCAGCCAGGCTGGTCTCAAACTCCTGACCTCAGGTGATCCATCTGCCTCGGTCTCTCAAAGTGCTGGGATTACAGGCTTGAGCCACCGCACCCGGCCTCTCTAACCATTTTTATTCAGCACACCCTGTGAAAAGCAAAGGCAAAGGTATTTCTGACTTCTTTTAACTAGAGTGGGATACTTATGAATGATACTTACAATGTTTCCATAAAATCATAAAAGAAGCAGGTTGGTTAATGCCAGATATGACTGATATGACATATGACATATTGCTGGACATCATCAGACCCCACTCTCCCAAGTCAATTTAGTGAAGCATTTTAGCTTTCCTCCATGAGGAGTTAGATTCCCTGGATAGCTAAAGTGATGTGAACTGTCAATAGGTAAAAATATATTAAATATTCTCTATTTTATAAAACAGCACAGTCTATCACCAAGATATCCAGAACCCCTGGACAAGTTACTCAACCTCTAAGCTACAATTCTATCATTTTTTTTAAGTGAAAAAAAAAATGACTACCTATTCGCAAAAGGATGATATGAGGATTAAATGAGATAACCCAGATAAAGTGAGGAACACAGTGCCCAGCAATAAGTGCCTGACATTAATTATGATGATGCCAGAATCTCTATGTCTTCCCGATTCTACCCTTCTTGACTCATTACTTGACTAGTCTCACAAGCACTGGGCCTCAATTTCTTCATTTCTAAATCAGACAGTCATCTCTGAGGATGGTTTTCTTAACTGTGTAAGAGACTGAATCAGGCATCTAAAAAGCCCTATATTAACTCCAGCAACTGAAATATTGTTCTCCTAGACATAAAATAAAGAAACTATAGGAAACCAAGGCCCCTAGCATAATTTCACAACAGTGCACAAAATGAAGAGGCAGCAGATGGACTTGAGAGTGATTCCTCTGAACTGATATAAAAAGTAAGACGAAAGCGCCGGCAATACATAATGACCTGTGACTCAACACCACATTCAAATAAAACAGCATACCTATCACCCAGAGCCAGTGGTGTTCAGCAGATTAGTCAATACTTCATTTAAAAAAAAAAAAAAGGAAAAAGAAAAAAAATTCCCCCAAGCAATAACTTAACATGGTAACAATTTTACTAAAATCTTTCTTACCCTGGATCATCACCTGGGGTGCAATATATCCTTCATCTAAAGGTCCTTCTTGGCCGGACACAGTGGCTCACACTCGTAATCCCAGCACTTTGGGAGGCCAAGGTGGGAGGATTGCTTATGTCCAGGAGTTCGAGACAAGCCTGGGCAACATAGGGAGACCCCCTCTCTACAAAAAATGAAAAATTAGCTGGGCATGATGGCACATGCCTATAGCCCCAGCTACTCAGGAGGCTAAGGCAAGAGGATTGCTTGAGCCTGGGAGGACAAGGCTTCAGTGAGCCAAGATCGCACCACTGCACTCCTGTGTGAGTGACAGAGTGAGACCCTCTCTCTTAAAAAAAAAATTAAATTAAAAAGTCCTTCTTTATAATATAAACTACAAGAGGTTGGGGTAGGGGTACTCTCTGGTACAGAAGAGCTGCTACTTTTGTCCCTCTAGGCCAGTATGGGTGGGTTAGTGGAAGAAAACACAGAAAAAGATTGTCTTGGCCCAGAGCACCCTGGTACTTGTAGTCAATAATACCTAAGGAGCTACTGGAATTTGAAGGAAATGTCCAAGGGAGTTAAATTTAGTCTAATCCACACATAATGGATGAGATTAAGTGTAGAGTATTTTAAAAATCAAAGCAGAAAGAAAAGCAGGCCAGGAAATCTAATCAAAGTGTAACTAAATGTAAAAGAAAGCATTAGTCTAATCAATAGCATTATCATATCAAAAGAAAAACCACAAGAACTGCCTAAGGGAAAATCTGACACCTAGCCTCAGTCTACAGTCCAAACCCGGGGTGGGGTGGGGGGAACCTAGGCTGGCTCAACTTACATTCTTGAACATATCCAGAATATAAACTGCATAACTAGGATAGAAATTTTACCCTTTCTCAAGAAGCCTAAAGAAGCCTAAAGTCAACTATAGGGTTTGCTCCTCAGGGGGACACTAGGGTAATGGATGGAAATCTCACCACAGCAGTAAAAATTAAAAACAATTCCACAGCTCAAGTCAGAGTGAAAATAGAATCAAAGTAAAATGTGGCTTAATTGTGAGTAAAAATGGAACATAAGAAAAGAAAAATCCATTTGACCTAGGATAATTCTCTTTCAAAGAGTGTATGAGTGATGATATCAGACATGGAAAGAAAAAAAATACCCTCCCACACCACTGGGCTCTACAGTTGAAAAAAAAAAAAAATGAAGCTATAGTTGTACATGTAGTTCCATCTCCAGACCCCGACTACAGACCAAAATACAGAAAATGAAATATAATACAAAACAGCAGGTAAAAGTTATGAACCATGACAATGAAAAAGCAAAGATAAGGCTGACAGAAATTTGGAGGCGGGAGAGGGACAGAAAGGTGGAAGAATGGCTAGGAGTATAGAGTATTAATATCCTATCCTTACATGGTGAGGGAGTCAGGAGACATTATTAGCAGGAGATGGAAACAGTATTACAATGTAACTATCAAAAGTACAAGGGAAAGGAAAAGTACTAAAAAAATAAGTACCTTATATTCCATAAAAGAAAGTCAAGCTGGGTGTGGTGGCTCACGCCTGTAATCTCAGCACTTTGGGAGGCTGAGAAGGGCGGATCACGAGGTCAGGAGGTAGAGACCATCCTGGCTAACACGGTGAAACCCCGTCTCTACTAAAAATACAAAAAGTTAGCCGGGCGTGGTGGCGGGCACCTGTAGTCCCAGCTACTCGGGAGGCAGAGGCAGGAGAATGGCGTGAACCCGGGAGGCGGAGCTTGCAGTGAGCCGAGATTGTGCCACTGCACTCCAGCCTGGGCGACAGAGCGAGACTCCTTCTCAAAAAAAAAAAAAAAAAAAAAAAGTCAATAATGCCCATTTGATAAATCAAGAAATAGTGGTATAGACATATTATTTAGAGTTATGGAGGCATTACTGTTTGATGATACTATAAACAAAACAGTTAAACTATAAACAAAAAACAGCTAATTGTCTCTGAAAAGTGGGACTCGGGATGGGGAAAGAGTGGCAAAAGACTATTGATTTTTATTGTAAGTCCTTCTATTTCATCTTTTATTATATGAATGTATTACTTTGACTTTTAACAAAATGAGCTTTAAAAACAAATAGCTATGATATAGTCTTCCAAACTGATCCTTTTGAAAATTAAAATTAAATGACATGTTAGAGCAAACTGTCACTAGATAAATAAAGCTCCCTTCTTACGTTAAGAACTGAGAACAGCACAGTTCAAGTTTAGAAGTGGCCTTGCCTTGAGGAAGACAAACTCCTAATTTGCGGCATCTAAAACTAACAAAATTGTATGACTAATCAAATATTTTTCATACCAATAGGTTAACTTTGTAAATATTCCTTAATACTAATAACACGATAATCCAGTTAACAATGATGCTTTTATATAATGCTTAAGAAAAATAAGCTTTGGGCTGGGCGTGGTGGCTCACGCCTGTAATCCCAGCACTTTGGGAGGCCAAGGCTGGGGGATCGCGAGGTCAGAAGTTTGAGACTAGCCTGACCAACATGGTGAAACCCTATCTCTACTAAAAATACAAAAATTAGCCAGGGGTGGTGGCTTTAATTCCAGCTATTCTGGAGGCTGAGACAGGAGAATCACTTAAACCTGGGAGTCGGAGGTTGCAGTGAGCAAAGATCGCACCACTGCACTCCAGCCTGGGCAACACAGCGAGACTCTGTCTCAAAAAAAAAAAAAAAAGCAAGAAAAGAAAAAAAAGCTTTACCACACAACTTCATAATGACTTAGGGATGAGTGGATGATTTTATGAAAATACTGTAAGCGCCAGGCATGGTGGCTCATGCCCGTAATCCCGAGAGGCCAGAGGCGGGCAGATCGCGAGGTCTGGAGTCAGCCGGGCCAACATGGTAAAACCCCGTCTCTACTAAAGATACAAAAAATTAGCCGGACATGGTGGCACATGACTGTAATCCCAGCTACTCTGGAGACTGAGGCAGGAGAATTGCTTGAACCCGGGAGGCGGAGGTTGCAGTGAGCCAAGATCGCGCCACTGCATTCTCCAGCCTGGGCGACAGGGTGCGACTCCATCTCGAAGAAAAAAAGAAAAGAAAATACTGTAAGCTCACTGAAGTCAGGGCTCGGGTCCATAAAGTCTCTATGAATAGATCTATCATAATGTGCTCTTTGATAAATGATTGTGGGTAATCAGCTGCACATTTTAATAACTAAAGCTACACCCAGGCAGTTACAGTTTCTGTAACTCTCCTACAAGGTTATGCTTGCTGTTTATCTCTCTCTCTCCGTCTCACTTCCAAGCCCTGTCTTCTATTCTTGTCAGAGTTGCACTATTCCTCGCTCTGGGGCTGAGCCTGCCAACCATGTTTTCCAGACTTTACTGCCAGTATCCTGTTAGGTTTTGCCTAGGGAGACTGGAAGGGGAGAGAAGAAGGGATTTCTTTGCTGTTTTCATTGTTATAATATCAGCATTGCTCCAGCAAGAGGAGTGTTGCACCTCCCAACTCCAGCTGTGCCTCTTCTCTCCTGGTGGTTGAGTACCAGCTGAATGGCATTCCACTAGGAGATCAGATTACCAGCTGCAGGAGGACCTCTCTGAGCTTCCAGGTTCTTCTCTTCTGTTCCCCCAAACCTAGGGGTGGTAGTGCTTCCTATCTGGATTACCCCAGTGTCTTTTGTGCTCTTTCATCTTGTAACACCTGTGTACCCAGTTCCCAGAATTAAATTATCTGAAATGCCACACATGGTTTTCTAGGCCCCGATTAATACTTAAAGAAGAAAATACATACTTGCATTCAAAATTACTCATACAGTGCTGGTAAGCAGCAATCCGGGATTCTCATACCCTCAATAAAGAAGTGATGTAAAAAATGAAGCCCATTTTTACAAGACTACAATTAGAGTTTCTGTTTTCAGACACTGATGAATCTCAAATTTAATGAATCATTAAAAAGATGCTAAGCTATAGAGTATAAAATGTCTCACAGGCCTGGCGCGGTGGCTCACGCCTGTAATCCTAACACCTTGGGAGGCAGGTGGATCAGCTGAGGTCAGAAGTTCAAGACCAGCCTGGCCAACATGATGAAACCCTGTCTCTACTAAAAATACAAAAATCAGCCGGGTGTGGTGGTACACGCCTGTAGTCCCAGCTGCTCGGGAGGCTGAGGCAGGAGAATCGCTTGAACCCGGGAGGCGGAGGCTGCAGTGAGTTGAGATGATGCCACTGCACTCCAGCCTGGGCAACAAAGTGAAACTGTATCTCAGAATACATAAATACATAAAAATAAAATGCTTCACACAGACAGAAATGGGACACTTAGAAGTGAGAAGGGAGCATAGACAGGAAAGTAGGTGATATCAACACAAACTTATGTTTGTGAGTCTATCTGACCTACTCTTTAAGTCTAACATTCCTGCAAACCTCAAAATCAACATCATAGTACTATACTGTCTCTTCATAGAAATAACACTGACAAACAGAAAATAATTTGTCATATTACTCGATGAATAGATCAGGTTTTTGGAAACCAAAGAAAATGTGGTAGCAATGGTACCTTTGACCTTTATCTACCATCCTAACTCCCTAGCGGACTGCGTAGACCTACTGAAAATCAGTGGTGGGTAATGGCTATCATTTCCAGCATGGGAAAGAGCGATTTAGAGTTACCATTCTTTTTTCTTATTATACAACTGGGCTCAGCATGTACAAGTGTCTGGAGAGTCTCCTCTCCATTCTACCTCATGCCTACTTAAACACATCCTCACTTCTCCGGCGGGGTGGTACAAACTCTGGAACCAGAATACTGTATTCCATTTCTTGCTCTGCCACTTACTAGCAACTTGGAGAAGTTTCATTTGACTTTTTCTGTCTTAGTTGTAACATCTGTCAAATGAAGGAAAATAACAGAATCTACTTCATAGAATTACTGGGGACAAAATGAATTACTATTTGAAAAAGGGCTTAAGGGGACATGGTATATAGTGAGTGCTATATAAGTGTAACTTATTCTTATTCCATGTACAAAGATGAGGACAGCAAAGAAATGTTGAAGGGACAGTTACATGATTTTTTTTTTTTTTTTTACACTGGGTGAAATAATGTTTACAGATCACATTAGGAATTTTGACCATACAAATACCTCTATCATAGAGTTCTTAATCGTTTTTGAATCATAAACTTTCTTGGGGATGGGTGAAAGCTACAGAGCTCCTCCCTAGAAAAATGCTACACATACAGAATTCTCCAAAATATTCCAATCTTCTTCTATTCAAATTATAAATAGACTATGTATTACTAGAACACTAGAGGGTGCCACAAGCAAAGGAAAAAATGTAAAGACAGCATGGGGAATTTTGGCTTGCCGGAACATCTTTCCATAGAGAAGAGTTAAGTCAATGTACTTCATCAAATGCTTAAAATATGTCAACTCTCTTATAGGTTCTGGATTAGCACTGTCTGGTAGAACTTTCTGCAATGATGGAAATATTCTAAATGTGTGCTGTCCAAAACTGTAGCTGGACATGTGGACTACTGACCACATGAGATCATAAGGAATTAAATGTTTAATTTTAATTAATATTAAATGGCCATATGTGGCTTGTGGCTACTATATTGAACAGTGCAGTTCTACATTCTAAAAAGTTTTGACTTGCTTCTTATCACAGGCCATTATCTATCAGTGTGAAGGTAATTTCTAATAGAGTGGGTTCATACAATTATTCAGGCCATTTGTCCCTTGTGATAATTCAGCACTATAGAGACAGAAATAAAGATTGTCAGCGTTTTGTCCTTGCCCTACAGACGTTCACAGTCAAAAGTACGCTGTCTTTTTACTCATTATAGATGACCCTACCTACCTAATTTCCTATGTTTCTTTACTGAAACATCTCTCTAAGCCCCTGGGTTATAAGAGCTTAAAAAATAAATAAGTGTATACTGAAAGACTGAATTAATACAGTTAAGTAAGTAGGCTTTCGCCATTTAAAAAACAAATCCTATTCTAGTGATATTTGCTAAGGGTTAAGGGAGCACAGAGAAGACAAAACTGCAAGGACATGGGGCAGGCATCCTGAAGGAAATGACAGAGTCTACAGTCAGAAGCTCGTCAGGCTCCAGAATGAAAAAAAGGGCACTGCAGGCAGCAGCAACGGCTTGTGAAAGCACATGGCATAGCAAGGGGACATCAATGAACGCGCAGACAGCAGATTCAGGGGGAGTCTGGGGACCAAAGGAACACAGCTCCCAACTGCCTCCACACCAGATTCTTTCTTTACACTGCCATTTAGTCTACTAAAAATAAAGCTAATGCTGACCCACCTGTCAAAATGAAAGCAGTCTATCCACACTGTATAACATCTTGTAGCTTACAACCCTGTGTCTGGCACACTGCCTGAATGAAGTAGGTGCCTAGTGAAGGTTGGTGACAACAATAAAAAAGCATTAGAGAGTGCATTCTCAAATATGTAGACGCTTACCAGAAGCTACACATATCAATAAAAAGCAGGTGAGTTGTTAAAGCTATCCCTGGTTTAGAAAGATGGTGAATAGGAAGTTTGGTCTACCCAAGCATTTGCAACTGGGTCAGAATGCAGCTGGCATGGCTCTTTTTGCAGAATAATTGTTTGTCCACAGCTGCTCCCAAATTACCAAAAATCAAATAAGTAGTTGCCATGTGTGATAGCAGGATTAGAGGCTGCCTCAATTTCCATTATGGAAAAATAACGTAAATTGCCACAAGTCCCGCCCCCCAGTCTCAAATAAGCACAAAGGACACTTTTATTCAGATCCTGCATACTGTGAAACAGCATTGTTGCCTGGCTGCTTCAGTGGCGGGCTCAATTCTGCTGGATCTGTCACTACACAACCAACAGCCAGTTAAAGCTATTTCCTAGCTTCTGCAGGACAGCTCAATTCATGATTTTTCTTCTGAAATAACTGAACTAAGGATTTGTTTCTGGATAAAATTATGAAAGTATTTAAGTGCCAATACCACAGACCTAGGAATCTCTGCTATTCAATCATTCTCTCCTTCATTCAACAAATATTTACTGAATTCTTATCAGGTACTCCTACATTATTGTAGCATGTGTATTCCAAGAAAACCTATGACTGGCAATTCTAATTTTGTATCTCTAAGTTTAAAAAGTGTATTCTCAGCCTGGGTGAAATGGTGAAACCCCATCTCTACTAAAAATACAAAAACCAGCTGCGTGTGGTAGTGCATGCCTGTAGTCCCAGCTACTTGGGAGGCTAAGGTGGGAGGATGGAGTGAGCCCAGGAGGCAGAAGTTGCAGTGACTTGAGATTGCACCACTGTACTCCAGCCTGGAAAACAATGGGACCCTATCTCATTTAAAAAAAAAAAAAAAAAAATTTTTTAAAGAATGTATTCTTTTAGAAGTGACTTGTGTTCTTTGGGGGTAACTGAGAAAATATAGGGGAATTAAAAATAAACACAAATCACTGTAACCTGAGATAGCTACATTACCAAGTTAACTATTTTATGTATATGCTTCCAGCATTTCCCCTGCTAGTTTCTTATACAGTTGGTTTTGTTTCATTGTTTTTAAACAAAAATGAGCCTATATTGTATATACTGTATTACAAATATTTTTTCACTTAATATAGATTAAAATATTCCATGTTATTAACATTTTTGTATCTTTTTTAAATGTCTACAGAGCATTCCCTGTAAGAACATACAGTAGTTTAGTTTACCAATCCTCTGAAGTCATTTAGGTTATTTCCAATTTCTCACTATTATAAATAGCACTGTTAATGATAACTAGTATTCAATAAATATCTCTTGAATAATGAGTAAATAAATGGTTTAATAAGCTGAGTCTTGGCTGGGCGCGGTGGCTCACGTCTGTAATCACAGCACTTTGGGAGGCTGAGGCGGGCATATAACTTGAGGTCAGGAGTTCAAGACCAGCCTGGCCAACTGGGTGAAACCCTGTCTCTACTAAAAAAAAATACAAAAAATTAGCTGGGCATGGTGGCGAGTGCCTGTAATCCCAGCTACTAGGGAGGCTGAGGCAGGAGAATTGCTGGAACCTGGGAGGCGGAGGTTGCAGTGAGCCGAGGTTGTGCCACTGCACTCCAGCCTAGGCAACAGAATGAGGCTCTGTCTCAAAAAATAAAATAAGCTAGGCTGGGTGCGGTGGCTCACACCTGTAATCTCAGCACTTTGGGAGGCTGAGGCGGGTGGATCACAAGGTCAGGAGATCGAGACCATCCTGGCTAACATGGTGAAACTCCATCTCTACTAAAAATACAAAAAATTAGCTGGGCGTGGTGGCACGCACCTGTAGTCCCAACTACTCGGGAGGCTGAGGCAGTAGAATCGCTTGAACCCGGGATGTGGAAGTTGCAGAGAGCCGAGATCACACCACTGCACTCCAGCCTGGGTGACAAAGCGAGATTCCATTTCAAAAAAATAAATAAATAAAAATAAAATAAGCTGAGTCTTTAAGCACATACCAAATTATTTCCTTAGCTTTTAAAAGACATAAACATTTTGAGTAATCGTACACTTATGATTCTGCATATGTTCACAGCAGGCAGAGAAAGCGAATGCAATAAAAACAGCAATCTAAATATAAAGGAAAGCACACAATACTTGGTGGTGAATGGAAGACAGAATAAAAATATTAACCTTTTATAACCTAGACAATATGCAAGTTGAGTACAGGTATCAGAAGGTAGAATATAAAAAGAGGGACGTGAAGGGGGTATTTACAATCCCATTTTCCAAAATGGCAAGTTAAGAGGCCCTACAGGAAGTTGATGGATCAAAAAATTAAAGTTTATCATTTAAAATTATAAAGATAATTAATAAATGACTTTCAAAGTAATATAAATATCAAATAATGACAGGGGTAAAAAAGTGAGTTAAATTCTCATTTTTCACATCAAAAACTTCACAGGTATCATCTAAAGTTGATAAATCAAGGAACAGAAGTCTAAACACATTATTAAGGCTTATGGAAGTAACCACAAGTGAAGCTAAAAACAGAAATAGTGAAAAAGTTTTTAAAGGCTGTCTCTGGATAGTAGGACTGGGATGGCAAGAAAAGGGAAGAGCCAGGAGGCTTATGGTTATTCATCATAAGGTCTCCACGGCTCTGTGATTTGTTAGGATGTACAAATAACACCCTGATGAAGACTGGCTGAAAAATCTGGAACTGTTTACTTTGGTTCCCAAAGATATAATCTTACCTTGATAACTGGTCAAATCCAACTGTCCACAGAGCATTCCTTTAACCAGAGGCAAACCTAAAATGCTTAAGACTTTGGAGACTAGTTTGATGTTCTCATTTTCCAAATTGTGACCAAGAAAGACCCAGTGAGTTACCCAAAGTCACATCTCTAATTGGTGGCAAATCCAAAACTTGAACCCCTATCTCCTGCTTCTCAATCAAGTGTTCCAGCTGCTCCATCAGAGTCCCACCCTTTGTACCCGAGCACAGTCTCCACTCATTATTTGCTTGGGCTCCTTAACTGCTAATGCAAGCTATTATGTATTAATAGCTTAATAATTAAGCTATTAATTAATTAATCTTCAAGCCAAAATTTGGGTTTTACTGGGGGTACGGTAAATTTGGGTTTTGTCTTTTAAGAGACAGGGTCTCACTCAATCACCTAGGCTGGAGTGCAGTGGTGCAATCATGGCTCACTGCAGCCTTGACCTCCTGGGACCCTCCTGCCTCAGCCTCCAGAGTAGCTGGGACTACAGACGGGAGCCACCACGCCCAGCTAATTAAAAAAATTTTTTTGTAGGGACCAGGTCTCACTATGTTGCCAGGCTGGTCTTAAACTCCTGGGCTCATGCGATCCTCCTACCTTGGCCTCCTAAAGTACTTGGATTACAGGCATGAACCACAGCACCCAGCCGTGAATTTGTATTATAAAACGGTATGTGTGTTGAATTGATTTTTCAAATTGTACCTGCAGCCACCCATCCTGGTCCCTCTAATACATCTCCTGCTCCCTCAACCCTCAACCCCACCATCACTGCCTTAGATAATATACAATAGCTACTTTGAGAGTTGATTCCCACAAACTGAGAGGTCTGACAGCATGATTCTCAGCCACAGGAATAAATGCAGTTTATAAAGTTGCCAAAGCAGTCTTGTGAAGCTACAGTATTCTGTGAGCGCCAGAGTGTTCAACTGACTTTATGTTCTTCTTCACCTATATTAAATTGTTTAGCTAACTATCCATTCCCATTTTCAGTAGATGGAAAGAGAAAAATATTACTTTTTTTAAAAAAGGGGGGGCGGAAGAGCGCAGTGGCTCACGCCTGTAATCCCAGCACTTTGGGAGGCTGAGGCAGGCGGATCACCTGAGGCCAGGAGTTCGAGACCAGCCTGGCCAGCATGGTGAAACCCTGTTTCTACTAAAGACACAAAAATTAGCTGGGTGTGGTGGCATGCACCTATAATCCCAGCTACTCGGGAGGCTGAGGCAGGAGAATGGCTTGAACCCAGGAGGTGGAGGTTGCAGTGAGCCCTGAGATCATGCCACTGCACTGCAGCCTGGGCGACAGAGCAAGACTCCATCTCGCAAAAAAAAAAAAAAAAGGGTTGTGGGGACAAGGGGCTGACTTTTTAAGGAAAATGGAGAGTTGGGCACACCATTTCTATGTTTGTATTAAACCAATTTATAAAAATTATTTTAAGTTGAATTTTAAAAGGTATGAAAATCTGTACAAATTATTATTTATATAAATTTAGGAACAAGGAAACAACAAAATGTAAAACTGGAACCACGCCAATTACTGGAAATCAAGTATATATGGAAGAGTCAAGATCAAATAACCAAAATCCCCATAAATTGTCAGGAGTTTGAGAGCAGCCTGGCCAAAATAGTGAAACCCCATCTCTACTAAAAACACAATAATTAGCCAGGCATGGTGGCGCACGCCTATAATCCCAGCTACTCGGGAGGCTGAGAAGGGAGGATCAGTAAAGCCATGGAGGTCGAGGCTGCAGTAAGCAGAGACTGTGTCACTGCACTGCAGCCTGGGGGACAGAGTGAGAACCTGTCCCAAAAAAAATTCCCATATTTACTTTGTGAGTTAATTCATTGAGATAAACTGTATCTTGAATTACTTAGAAAATTAAAGATGCCATATAATCAAAATTAGAGGCACAGTAGTAAGAAGGAAAAAAAATCAAATTAGAATCCTACACAAGGATGTTAAAGTAAAAAAGCATATTATATTTCAAGACTAAAGCAAAATTTAGAAAGTAATTGAACATAAAATTAAAATGCCTTTACCTAAAACTAGGCATAACATCTCCATTTTAGAATTTAAGTCTATAAAAGATATCACTAAACTCACAGAAGGAGGGGAGAAATGCTACCTAAGTTCCTAAAGAAATCAAAACTACCTAAATAACATTTACACTATATTTCCTGTTTAAAAAAACCAATCACCAAAATTTTTCCATGACTACTACCAATGTTGCCATTTACAAGAAGTATAGGCTAGAGAAGAGAATAATTATCCCATAAGAATAAAAAATATTTTTCTCAATACCACTTTCTCAGTGTAATCTTTGATAAAATTCTCAAAAACAGAAGGGGAAAAGAGGCCATCAAATGTAATTTACCATACCCACATTTATCAGCAGCTACTCGGTCCTGGCCACAATGGATGTCCTGCAGCTGGCTGTCAAACCACCAAAAGCTGCTCATCATCCACCTTCCTAGTCTCTTAGAACTAAGCTCACTTGGGTCAAAACAAGTCAACCGTCTTTCTCGCCAGCAGTAATATGCTGGAATAAAGTGTCAAGTATAATTCTGGCTGCCAAGATTTTGTTCTGAAGAACAGACTTGTAACTATGAAAGGGGACATTAAATTAGAGCTATTGTCTGAAAGAAAAGGGCAATCTGTATCTGTAGCTTGACTGGGATAACACAGGTCTTGATCTGTAGTCAAACCAGAGGAAAAGGAAGCAACCAGAAAAAAACACCACATATCACAACCCCCAAAAAGAGTGAACTATTGAAAAAAAAAAAACTGTGCCAGTAGCAATGTACAAAAAAAACTAGAGTCTACTTTAGAATAGACTCCATGTGCTGTGCAACAAGGAATATTAACTCTTGGTACAGAGAAATATCACAGAAGCCTTAAAGCAGAGGTGTCCAATCTTCTGGCTTCCCCAGGCCACGTTGGAAGAATTGTCTTGGGCCACACATAAAATACACTAACACTAACGATAGCTGATGAGCTTAGAAAAAAAAAAACAAAAAATAAAATCACAAAAAAATCTCATAATGTTTTAAGAAAGTTTATGAATTTGTGTTGGGCTACATTCAAAGGCATCCTGGGCCGCATGCAGCTTGTGGGCTGCGGGTTGGATAAGCTTGTCTTAAAGGATGAAATAGATTTATGTGTATTGACACACAAAAAAATCCATAAAATGATGGAAATTGAAAACAACAGGTTATAAAATCTGCTAGAATGAGTGTGGTCTCATTTTTTTAAGTGTAAATAAATATGGTTGTGGACAAACAAAATAATTTCAAAAGATATACTAAAACTATTAAGAATACTTTTTATCTATGCAAAATAGAATTATGGATTATAAAAACTTTATTTCTGCTTTATAGATTTATTTCTCCCTTCAAAATAATAAGACTGTGATTACTTTTATAACCATTGTTATGTCCAGGTTTGAGAAAGAAAAGACAAACAGCATAAGCTCTTCTTCTTTTTACCAAATGAAATACCAGAGGCCTCCAAACTCATGAAATCAGGGACACATACAGACTTTCCAAGCTGCCCAGTGTCCTCTGGGAGCCATTTTCTTCCTTGCTTTTTTGCAGGGGTTTCCAATGAATCTTCTTCTTCTTTTTTTTTTTTTTCAGCAGAGCCTTTTCTTTAAGCAGAATCCTGTACAGAACCTCAAAATGTAAGGTAACAGTGGAATTTCTTCTATTGAAGGGTATGGGAATGCAGAGAGTTAAAGCCATTCATCCTCCTCACCACTCAGAACTCCAGAGCACAAGTGGAAACATGGTGATTAATCCAAGTATTTCACTGTACAGTTGGGAAACTGAGGACCAAGGATTACTCTCCTGTTAAGCCCTGTCTTATTGACTGGTCTGTGGGTCATTTTACTTACTAGGCATTATAGACACAGTAACTGGGGCCTGCAAGCTTTTCAAATACATACTGAAAGTTTAAGAGAAACTGAAAACACACAAATTGGCTCCAATAACTGTCAAAAAGACAAAGAAACATAATGGTTCTTGAAGTTCAATATGATTCAAGCACTCCAAACACCCTGGCAGCTTTGCAAATGAATACGTTTTTCTATTGTCTAAGGTTTATGTTTAGCCATACGTATCTATCGAAGCAACACAAACTAGAATCAGCTATTGAGAAAAGACAAGTGGAAGAAAAGCAGCAGCAGAGGGATAGTTTTCGAAACTGAAAAGAGACAGAAAAGATACATTGATCAAATTCCCCAAACACCCCAATGGCTTAGTGAGCATAATCTAACAAGATAAATGTTCACAGGCATAAACATATCATTCTAAACTTTGTTCTAAAAAAACCCATTGAAAAGCCAGGTGCAGTGGCTGACGCCTGTAATCCCAGCACTTTGGGAGGCCAAGGTAGGCAGATCACCTGAGGTCAGCAGTTTGAGGTCAGGAGTTTGAGACCAGCCTGGCCAACATGGTGAGACCCCATCTCTACTAAAAATACAAAAATTAGTCGGGTGTGGGGCACACACCTGTAATCCCAGCTATTTGAGAGGCTGAGACACAAGAATCGCTTGAACCCAGGAGATGGAGGTTGCAGTGAGCCGAGATCACACCACTGTACTCCAGCCTGGGCAACACAGTGAGACTCTGTTTTGAAAAAAAAGGAAAAAAACCCACAATCCATTGAACAAAAACAGGATGATGGAGACTTGTGTCATCATCACAGAGAAAGTAAAAAGATTCAGAAACACTGGCTCACAGTAAATTTAGTCTGGAAAAAAAAGTATCACATGACAAGCAACATATGCACAATGTGAACAAAGACCACTCCTGTACTTAGCCCTGGGCACTCCACTTTTAAAGATACGAGAAAAAGCCCGTTACATTTCACTGGGACTATGAAAATGCTTAATTAATGAATAGTTAGAAAAATAAGAGGTGTTTAAATCTAAAGAAGGACTTTAGGAATCTCTCTCATAAAATATTAAAAGACCATTATGAGGAAGAGGAATTAGATTAAGTCTGTGACCCTAATAAAAAAAAAAGGTAGGAAATTATGGCAAAATTCTGGTCAACAGATCATTTTTCTAACGGGGTGTATAGACAGAGTGGCTGGAAGCAGTGAGTTCTCCCATCACTAGATGTCCTCTTGCAAAACCTAGACAACCACTTGGGGGCACTGGAGACGTGGGCCTTGCATGCATCCTGACTTAAACGAGCAGGCAGAAAGAAAGGTAACAAAAAAAGATTCCACCCCAGGAGAGTCTGAACCCTGCGGTCCAAAAGTGTTTATTAGGAAGACTGTCTTAGGTCATTTGGATACATACCCCAGATAAGATTGGATACAGTCCTTGCCCTTCTCCTGGGAGAACAGAATCTATTGATATTCTGCTGCAGCTGGGGGTATGTACAAATGCACATACAAACAGAATTATACAAACAGTATGAAGCTAGCCTTAAGCAAAGGCTCGGTCCTCTTTAAAGAACTGTAACACTCCCAAAGGTGGTGTGCTTAAAAAACAAACAAACAAACAAAAACTGTAACAGTAGAAGCTGAAAAGCTCTCCCAGAGAAAGGTAGGAAAAAAACCAAAACTCTTCTGCTATCATAGTCTTAAAACATTTTATACAGTTGCCCTATAATTAACAAATTACAAAGGAAAGCAAGTTTTATTAACGTATTGTTTCCCTTTTCCCATCTCTGAAGATTATATTCTATATAGTCAAATTAATGCTCCAACAATACCTTACTTAATGCTACAATCTCAACCATCCCCAACCGCCTAGAGACCCTGAGAAAGGACTTGGACTTGTTTTATTTTGCCTTTTAAATTTATACACTATTCCAACAAATGCAGTCCTCTGATTTCTGAGGACAAAGCAGAACTGGTAAAGCAAGATAAAGAGAGTAAAAACACATGGAAAAGGAAAAAAATAGATAAAGAAAAGAGAAAGCAAACAAGAACAAGCGAAGTACAACCAGCTGGTATTATTTATGTAGGGACAACCAGCCCCACAGACCTCAATTACTTGTAATCCTATCACAGGGCAAGCAGTCCATCAATATACCTGAGTAAGGTGTTTTTGAAAAACACACGAGCAACCTGAAAATATATACATCAGCCACTTTGGAAGCCTGTTTGGCAATTTCTTACAAAACTAAACATAGTCTTACCATAGGATCCAACAACTGCACTCCTTGGTATTTACTCAAATATGCTGAAACTTATGTCCACACAAAAACCAGCACACAAATAAATATTCACAGCAGTTTTATTCACAATTGCTAAAACTTGAACACAACCAAGATGTTACTCAGTATGTGAATGATAAACAACTTGTGGTACATCCATACAGTGAAATATTATTCAGCATTAAAAAGAAATGAGTTATCAAGCCATGAAAAGTTATCAAGCCATTAAATACATATTGCTTAGTGACAGAAGCCAATCTGAAAAGGCTACATTTGTATGATTCCAACCATAGGACATTTTTGGAAAAGGCAAAACTATGGAGACAGTAAAAAAAAATAGTTGTCAGGGGTTAGAGAAAGGAGGGAAGACAGGAGCACCAGGAGACTTCTGGATTAGTGAAACCATTCTGAATGATTATATATTTGTCAAAATCCACAGACTGCACAAACACACAGAATGAACTTGAATGTAAACTATGGACTTCTGTTAATATTGGTTCATCAACTGTAACAAATCTACCACACAACAGCAAGATATTAATAAAGGAAATGGGTAGGAGAGAATATGGTAACTCTCCATACTCTCCACTCAATTTTTCTGTAAAGCTAAAACTGCTCTAAAAAATAAAGTGTGTGTGTGTGTGTGTGTGTGTATATATATATATATATATCTTTTTTTTTTTTTAAATACAGATGTAAAAAAACAATATTCCCTTAAAAAATCACGGTCAAAGTGGGGTACAGGGATTTTCAGGCATGGTCAGGAGCTCCACCAATCTAAATCACCACAGCCTGCCGTTATATAATGCTGAATACTTTCACAGATTTATAGTTTATATATTATAAATTTGTTACACATATAGTTTATATATATTTATTCTTAAAGTACAGTTTTATATATATATACACATACACACACACACACATCACTTATAGTTAATAAGTATGGTTATCTAGTGCTGAATACATCTGAACATAAAGGGTGAGCAGTGGTGGGAAAAGACTGAGAAGTCAGGAGGGTTGGTCAGCTGCATCCACTGAAGATTCCATGTTGCTGGTGGAAGTCTCCCCCTCCTGCCACTGGTGAGAAAAATGGCTCAGACTGTTGCTTCTTCACTTTAAAAAGTTTGGTGGAGCTCTTGTTTGCCAACAGTAGCCTATGGTGGCACTTGTCTTAAATTGTGTATCATGCTTTTCCTGCTCCCTCCCTGCAGTGGCATAGCATGTTAATAAAGATCTAACTAAAAAGTGCACAAGGGTTCAAAGGCACCTAGAACAAAAGAAGTCACAACACAGTTCAGTAATCAGTGCTTTCCACAGTGACATCAAGTTGCCAAGAAAAGATAAAATTATAAGCACACCACAGTATTCTGGCTTAATGAGCACAGAAATACTTGTAGGCTTTTTATTTTCCTTTTTCCCATAAAAAATGGTTAAAACCAAAACAGTATTTAACGTTTAAAAAGATAAGCATCACCTATCTGGAAAATTTGTTTACTAGAAAAATCTCATATAAATTTAAAAGCATGTTCAGTAATACAGCCTCTTTCCAGATGCCACTTCTATGGTGTTTGCATATTAAGAAATAGACTATCAATATCTGGTATAGGTAGTAAATTTACCAAGTATGTCTGATATATAATGCTCATTCATTTTCTTTCCCCCTTTTCAACTAAGAATCAATTAAAATGGGATTACAGGCTTTATGTAGCTGTTTTGCAATTTTATGTAATCCTTAAAACTGGGTCCCTTTTATATTAAAGGGTACCAAAAAATACATACATAAGTGGGAAGACAAGAAGCAAAGGAAAAAACCAAAATATTGACTGTAGTATCTCTGGATAGCTGGGCTACAAATTTTTATCATCTTCATACTTCCCTTTATTTTTAAAATTCCCTACAAAAAACATGTATTACTTTCACACTCCATTATATCAAATATCTACAGCATTTAAAGTGAGTAAACTATAACTACATGTACCAATAAAGTTTAACCTCTTATACAAAGCTTAAAAACATATAAAACAATATTACACTTTTTAGTTTTCCCTGCAATCCAAACATTGTTTTTTTTTTCAGTGGATACATATATATATACAGAAAAAGTTTGTAAAAATGCAGGGAGAGAATAAATATCAAATTGAGAATAATGGTCACAGCTGGGAAGGGAGAGGACTAGGATGGGGAAGGGGTGCCCAATAAGCTTCAACAATAACTGTGATTTTTATTACTTTAGGTAGTAGGTATATGGAATTTATTATATTGTTCTATATCCTTTTTTATGCCTAAAGTATTTCAAAAATTGTTTAAAGTGGCAACTACTGTAGTCATACTAAAAACAGTAGGACTTAACCCTAATCTCTTCAAACTACTTAAATGGGGTTATAGTACTGAGTAAATCAGAGATAAATGTATCTATTATAATAAGAAAATTCTTTTAAGAGACAGGGTCTCCCTTTGTCATCCAGGCTGGAGTGCAGTGGCATGATCACACCTCACTGTAGCCTCAAACTCCTAGGCTCAAGCAATCCTTCAGCCTCAACCTCCCAAGCAGCTGGGACTACGTGCACATTACCCACGCTCAGCTAATTTTTAAAATTTTTTTAGAGATGCAGTCTTATTATGTTGCCCAGTCTGGTCTCGAACTACTGGCCTCAAGCAGTCCTCCTGACTTAGCCTCCCAAGTAGCTGGGATTACAGACACAAGCCACTAAGCCTGGCATATAATGAGAAAATTTTTTGAGAAATTTAAAGCAGTTCTGAAGGTCAGCAGTCATGCATATTTATAAGCAAACAGCAATCTGAAATCCGTGTTCCAAAAAATACCTGTAGCAAACATTCCAATCTATGCCTTACACAAAGAACACAAATTTAAATCTGTCCAGTAAACTTAAATATATACATTATTTTGAATATGCCTTTTTTTACACACTTATAACTCTAAAAGAAGATTTTTTACTTTGGTCAGTTTTAAACAGTCTTTTAAGAATGTCATAAAAATAGAATTAATTTCTGACTGGTATTTCCCAGGTTGGTGATTTCAAATCAGATGGTTTCAGTTTATCATCTTATAATATGCTATGATAAAACCAGGCTGAGGAAGTCCAAGGAAACACTGAATAGGCTTCTCCCTGAAAATCAAGTTCCTGGCCAGCCTCCATGGCTCACACCTATAATCCCAACACTTTAGGAGGCCAAGGTGGGAGAACTGATTGAGCTAGGAATTTAAGACCAGCCTGGGCAATATAGCGAGACCTCGTTTCTAGAAAAAATTTAAAACCAGCCTTGGCAACATAGGGAGACCCCATCTCTACAAAAAAATTAAAAAGAAGGAAGGCATGGTGGCGCACGCTTGTGATCCCAGCTATTCAGGAGGCTCAGGTGGAAGGACTGCTTGAGTCAGGGAGATCAAGGCTACAGTGAGCAGTGATCACATCAGGGTAACAAATCAAGACCCTGTCTCAAAAAAAAAAAAAAATTAAATCAAATTCCTTAGAAAGATTCAGAAATATTCAAGGATGTTAAGATGTCCCTGGGTCTCTTGCTATAGTCTCGCTCAACTCTATGAAAAGTAAGTAAGCAAACTGATATAAGAAAGCTCATGAAAATGTCCCACATAAAGGCAGAAACTTTGGCTCAAGTATTTTAAGTATCAACTTCAAAGTTATAATATTTTCATAATATAAAAAATTTTGCTCAAAACAACATATGAGTGTTTCATTTACTGGTCCTCAGCATTTGATACTGATTTAAAATCAATTTAGGACAAAAAGGAGGTCAAACTTCGAAATGCCTACAAAATAATTTTTTTAGGTTAACATAAAACTGGTTTAAATATTCCAGGTATTTGAACTGATCAATCTTTTTATTAATCTACTTTCTTTAAAAGAATAAATAAAAATACTCTTTCAAAGCAATGCCCTCACCCAATTTTACACTTTAACTTCTGTGAGGACAAAATAATCTGACAATTTACCCAGTGTAGTCAGACTCTTTCTTATTCAGGAAACTGCCTCTTCCAATCCAAAGAATATCAGGATTTATAGAAAACAAAGGTTTCCTCGGACTATGCCTCACAACGACAAAACAAGAAAGAAGCCCAACATATTACTTAGAAAGCAGAAGAGGAACAACAAAATGTATTTCTTAACTCACTATGGAAAATCAAAATGATTTGTTTTAACATTCACCTTCTATAATCCCTTTTGAAAAGACATTACTAGATCAAGCACAAGCAGAGAACTATTGAAATTTAAATTGAATGTTTGCTTTTCAGATCAGATCCATCCTAGTTGAGGACCCTCTCTCTAAGAGACCATTACAAATTTAAAGACACAGAAAGTAGAAGACTCATTAATAGGACCCAGGCAAGGCTCAGACTGTTAGCTCTGTAAGTACTATCACCTTATATTTTGTTCTTTTATTTCATCATTTGCATTTACCAAGTGTATATCATCCACATTCCATTTGTTCACTCTATTCTCACAAACGTCTATGGAAAAGCTGCCTGAATGGATGGGAGACTGCCTACATTAATTTTACTCACCAAGTTTTGTCCTGTTTAAATGTCAGCATACCACATTCATTAAACAAATATCCTTTGAGCACCTTTTCTGTGTAAAGTTCTGGACCAGGAACTGAAAGGGGATATTAGGATGATTAGTTCGACCCTCAAATAGCTTAACAGCAGTTCTCAAAGTAAACCATGGGACCCTGGGGGTCCTTGAGATTCTTCAAGTCATCAATGAGGTCAAAATTATTTTCATAATAAATAAGATGCTATTTGCCTTTTCTCAATGCATTTATATTTACACTTATGATGCAAAAGCAATGGTGGGGTAAAACTACTGACACTTAGCACAATTTAAGGTAACAGCACAAAACTATACTAGTAGCCATTATATCTTTCACCTTCATGTGCTCACGATAAAAAGGAGAAAAAAGTCCATTTTATTTAAGAATGTGCTTGATGAGAGTAAATATTATTAATTTTATTAACTCTTCTCCCCAGAGTTATGTCTTTCTACTATTCTGCGTAACAAATGGAAAGTATGCATAAAGCGCTTCTGTTGCATTCAGAAGTGTTGCATTCAGCTTTCTGCTGCATTCAGAAATGGCTGTCTCAAAAAGCGTGTGTGCGGGCCGGGTGCAGTGGCTCACACCTGTAATCCCAGCACTTTGGGAGGCTGAGGCTGACAGATCACCTGAGGTCAGGAGTTTGAGAACAGCCTGGCCAACATGGCAAAACCCCGTCTCACTAAAAGTACAAAATTCAGCCAGGCGTGTGGTGGCAGCTGTAACCCCAGCTACTCAGGAGGCTGAGGCAGAGAATCGCTTGAACCCGGGAGGCGGAGGTTGCAGTGAGCTGAGACTGCGCCACTGTACTCCAGCCTGGGTGACAAGAGCAAGACTCCATCTCAGGAAAAAAAAAAAAAAAGCGTGTGTGCTATGTTTTATGTTGTAAGCTGAATTAGCTGCTTTTTTTCACAAGGAATACAATTTTTACTCCAAAGAGTGGCTGACAGACAAACTATATTGTTCTTCAGACCTCGGTATTTGACAGACATTTTCTCAAAAATTAAAAGTGGGTCTGTCACTTCAAGGAAAACAACTGACAATATTTTTTGCCAATGATGGAAATTTGATATTTGAAGTGATAATTAGAATTTCGGAAAACTTGTATCTGCTACAGTGAGTCTAATAGTTTTCCATTACTTAAAAGCCTTTTCTGATGAGACTGGTGGTGATGTTAAAGAATGTGATTTTTGTGTCAATATTTGAAAGATCTCCATAAACTTGATGAATTAATATTTTCCAAATTACCAATAGATGATGTTACAAAATCATGCATCAGTTAAAATATCCATTCATAGAGCATGATAAACCAATAGGTTTTAATGTAAGAGTAGTTACCATTTCAGATTTCACATTGCAACTCATCTTTAAGAAACTACCACTGCTGAGTTTTAATATATCAAAGAATATCCACAATTATCTGAAAAGGCTCTTAAAATACTCTTCCAACCACATATTTGGTATGAGACCAGATCTTCTTTTTATACTTTAACCAAAGCAACATACTACAGCAGACTGAGTGCAAAAGCAGATGAGACTTCAGCTGTCTTCTCTTAAGCCAGACATTAAAGAGATTTGCAAAAACTGTAAAATATAATGTTTCTCACTAAAGTGTTCTGTTTTGAAAAAGTTGTTTTTCATAAAATAGTAACATAATTAAAATATTAACTTTTTAACATGTACAGGGTTATTTTTTAAATTAAGCACTTTTAAATTTTCTCAGTTTTAATTTCTAATATAGTATCAAAAGTTATAACATACATAAATAAAAGCTATTATATTTGGAGTCCTCAATAATTTTTATGAGAGTAAAAGGGTCAGGAGAGCAAAGATTAAGAACCACCGAGACGGGCAGATCACGAGGTCAGGAGATTGAGACCATCCTGGCTAACACGGTGAAACCCCATCTCTACTAAAAAAACAAAAAAATTAGCCGGGCGTGGTGGCGGGCACCTGTAGTCCCAGCTACTTGGGAGGCTGAGGTAGGAGAATGGAGTGAACCCAGGAGGCAGAGCTTGCAGTGAGCCAAGATCATGCCACTGCACTCCTGCCTGGGCGACAGAGCAAGACTCCGTCTCAAAAAAAAAAAAAAAAAAAAAAAAAAAGAACCATTGGCTTATAGTACAGTAAGAGAGAAAAAAACACAAATAATAATCCAAGGTAGAATGTGATGATTGCCAGAGTCCTTCTATTCCTGGGCATTCCTGCTCTTCCTAAACTAGACCTATGCTACTTACCAGGCTCTTGAAATAATTTATTTAGCTCTGCTGTCAATATAATCAAAATGAGTCATTCATTTAGCAACCATGAAAAGGGTACAAGCAATACCAAGATAATGTGTTAAATCAATTTCAATTGATGGGTTTTTCTTTACTTGCTTTCTAAATAAGTGACCTGAATTAAAATTAGTTTTATTTCCCTGGTAGAAACTGAGTCAGCCTATAAGGACAATTCTTTCACAAAAGACTATATATAATAGTCAATTCTCTTGGAAATGCACCCCACACAATCAAATTGTAATGGAAAGCTATGGAATTTGGTGCCCTATCAACAACAGGACAAAAAACTTGGAGTCCTACAAAGGTCTTGAGGATCAGGATACAAAATGTTACTCTTTTTTAAAAAAGCACTTTTGCTGGGCAAGGTGGTTCATGCCTGTAATCCCAACACTTTGGAGGATTGCTTGAGCCCAGGAGTTTGAGACCAGCCTGGGCAAGATGGTGAGACCTTGTATCTACGAAAAAAATAAAAAGAAAAAAAAATGGCCAAGCATGATGACAGGCACCTGTAGTCCCAGCTACTGGGGAAACTAAGGTGGGAGGACTGCTTGAGCAGGGGAGACTGAGGCTGCAGTGAGCCGAGACTGTGCTAACTACACTCCAGCCTGAGCAACAGAGGGAGATCCTGTCTCAAAAAATTAATTAATTAACAAAAGCACTTTCTGGAGAACCATATGCATATATGCTATCATTTGTGTTTTAAAAAGGGAAGGACACAAACACACAATTTCTGCTTAGCCTACGTGGAAGAATACGCAAGAAACTGCTAGCAGTGGTGGTTTCCAGAAAGGGAAACTGGGAAACCCACTTTTTACTGTATTCCTTTTAACCATGTGCATGTAATACTTATTAGAAACCACACTAACCTAGTTAGTTTGAATATTTTAAAAATACCACTTCACCTATGTCTCTAGTCTTTTATATCAAATGCAAATTCCAAAACTACTAGTAGATATGAAAATCATTAGATGTACATTTGTTACTTTAGCAATGGATACACATCTCACACTTGACAGAAGCATCAAAAGCAAGCTGTCCATCAACCTGAAGGTGATCAGCCATTGATTACCTGAAGGAGTACCTGATTTCCTGATCACAGAAGGAGAATAAAGATGCATCCATCTGCCCAACATAATTGGTGTAGTTGCTACTTCTTCCCCTTTTTGTATTCATCACAGCATTTAAGAAATCTGATAGCACCAAAGTAGGTAAGTTTAAATGCTCCTTTAAGTCACCCAGTAACATTAAATTCAGCATTCATTCAGCTCCTACTATGCACTACGCAGTATGACTTAATGTAACACTTGTAACACACAATGTAATATGTTAGAGGGTGCCCTTGCATCCAAATACTTTATCCAATATAAGTTCAATCACCAATGACAAAGATTTGGAGGTTTTAACCAATTCTAAGTTTAATGAGCCAATCTTATGATGTGGCTACAGATAAACCTAATTCAAACTTAGACTGCCTCACAGTTGGCTAAATGATGTCCAGAACGCAAAAAAAATCGGAGCCACTGCAGCCTGTACTTATCGGACCAGCCCTACAACTCTCATGCTGGGTTCTAGGCCACACAGGATACTCAGGGACTCTGACAGTAGTGCAACTACTGTATGTCGAAGGCAACATTGAATGAGTTAGCTACCATGTGCCAAGTATTTAATATGAATTTTCCTTATATCTTCACAAATCAATAATAAAGGCATTATTGTCCCTGTCTTAAAATTAAGGCAATTCAGCCAGGGATGGTGGCTCATGCCTGTAATCCCAGCACTGTGGCAGGCCAAGGTGGGAGGATCACTTGAAGCCAGGTGTTTGAGACCAGCCTGGCCAACACAGTAAGACCCTGTCTCTAAAACAAAAATTAAAACATGGGGCTGGGTGTGGTGGCTCATGCTTGTAATCCCAGCACTTTGGGAGGCCAAGGCGGGTGGATCACAAGGTCGGAAAATCAAGACCATCCTGGCTAACATGGTGAAACCCCATCTCTACTAAAAATACCAAAAAATTAGCCAGGTGTGGTGGCAGGCACCCGACGTCCCAGCTACTCGGGAGGCTGAGGCAGGAGAATGGCGTGAACCCGGGAGGCAGAGCTTGCAGTGAGCTGAGATCGCACCACTGCACTCCAGCCTGGGCAACAGAGCGAGACTCCGTCTCAAAAAAAAAAAAAAAAAAAAAAAATTAAAACATTAGCCGGGCATGGTGGCACATGCCTGCAGTCCCAGCTACTCAGGAGGCTAACACAGGAAGACTGCCCGAGCCCAGGAGTTTAAGGCAACAGTGAGCCATGACTGAGCCACTGCACTCCAGTTGGGGAGACAGAAAGAGACTGTTTCTAAAAAACTAATAAATTTAAAAATAAATAAATAAATAAAATTAAGATGATTCAGACTCAGAAAAGTTAAATAACATGCTCAAGGTTGCAAACTTAGTAAGTGACATTAACAGAATTTAAGCCCAGAGCTCCTATAGTGGGTTGGACTGTGGCTCCCAAAAAGATATGTTCACATGCTTACCATTGGCACCTGTGAATACTACCTCACTTGAAGAAAGCGTCCTTAGAGATGTAACTAAGGATCTTGAGATCATCCTGAAATATCTAGGTGGGTTCTAAATCCAGTGACAAGTGTCCTTTTAAGGGTGAAGCAGATAGAGATTACACGGAGAGGAGACAATGAGACCATGGAGGCAGAAACTGGAGTGATGTAGCCACAAGTCAAGGAATGCCACCAAAGGCTGGAAGAGACAAAGAACAGATTCTCCCCCAGAGTCTCCTGAGGGAGCGCCACCCTGTGAACACCTTGATTCCAGACTCCTAGCCTCCAGAACTGTGAGAGAATACATTTCTGTTTCTTGAAACCACTAAGTTTGTGGTTTTATGGCAGCCCCAGGAAACGAATGCAGTCCACAAACTCTCTCTCTCCAGCATTCCCTATTGCCTTCCCAAGGTTGAAGGATCTAGGGATATGTAAACTAAAATAGGGACGACTCGGACAATAAGGAAAATGAAAACTATACTTGCTTTTGCAAGCCCTAGAGAACAGAGTAAAATCAGTAGGTAAAAATTTTAGGGATACCACTTGGGAGACTGAGGCAGGAGGATCCCTTCAGCACAGGAGTCTGAGAGCAGCCTGGGCAACACAGAGACGTTGTCTCCAAAAAATAATAATAATAATAAAAAGGCTCAGGGAGAAATTTCAGTTGGGAAAACTTTCCAACCATCCAAATATCTTAAAGACCAACCAGACTTTTGGTAGGTGGTTACGTTTCCTATCACTGGATGTGTTCAAGAAGAGACTGAAGACTTTTAACTTTGGAGAGCAGAGCTTTCTTAGATGATTTAGAATCTCTTCCCATCCTGAGTTCCTAAAATTATAAAATGTTAGATAGTACCACAAAAGCCTAAGTAAAGTAAAATATTACAAATGAGTTTCGCCAGGTTTCTACAATCATTCAAATAAATACTGCTTGCTATGTCTCAGGCACTGTGCTTGGTAATGAACACCAACACAGTATCTACTCTCACGAAGCTTACAATCTGGTGGAACAGACATATATCAAGCAATATGCAAACAAATGTAAAATTATATATATATGACCACCTATGATGAAGGAAAAACGCAAAAAAGAGGGAGACCAGGTAAAACTTCCCTAAGGAAATGATGTTTGAGCAGAGACCTGATGGATTTAGTCATCCTTTGGTATCTGGGGGTGAATCAAAATCCACAGATGCTCATGTCCCTTTCAGCTGGGCCTCCATATCCACAGGTTCTGTATTCTCGGATGGAAAATACCATACCATCTGGCTACAAAATGGATTTCTTCAGAATGAAAGCAATCATTGTGGTGGATTCTCAAGTGAGAATTAGCTCTTGCTTTCATACCTTTCAGATACAGAAGTTTAAGAGAGAAAAAGTTTGCACTTTTTATTCTCAGATTCTCTACCTCCCGCCATGTCTGGAAGATACTGATTTAAGAATCTTGTGAAGCATACATTCTAAAAGTTCTTCTTTTGGAAAAGATCTTAATCTTTCAAAGTAGAAGGGAAGAGAATAAACAAGTCGGACTTTGTCATCGTCACCTCTACAGGCTTTACTATACTTAAGAGAAAAAAATGACATTAGTTTAGATACTAAATGCAGTCACTAAGAAATGATTTACCCTAGATTTGCTTTCCATTTTGTATAAAAAATAAAAACAAAAACAAATCAGTTACCAGAGGGATTAAAAACAGAATTAAATGAGTAGGCAGGAAAATTGGGTTACACTACTAGCTCTAAATAGGATTCTACCATATAAATTTTTTAAGAAAGATACCTTTGAGAAAGTTCCAGTTATTCTTTACACAGAATTAGAATTATATATATCACATATTTCACTGAGTGTATGAGTTGGATTACACAGCATTTTGAATATTTATATTTTATCTATACAAAATCTTTTGAATTCCCTAGAGATAATGCAAAAAAAAAAAAACAGGTATTTTTAACACTACTGTATTATACTATTGCTACTACTAATACTTCACGTGCTGACAACTAGAGTAACTCAGAAGCTCCCAGGGTAAAATAAAAGACCAATGCTATCTTGAGACAAGGTTCTTCACTTCAGAAACTAACCTGCAAATAGAAATCTTAGCTCAGGAAGTATCATGGCAGAGTCAAGAAAAAGCAAGTTAATATGTGAAGGAAATCGAGGTTAACCCAGGATTTAGCTTTCATTCTGCACTAAGTTAGCTTTCATTGGCAAGCCCTTACACCCTTACTCCAAGTTACCCTTACCTCAGCAAGACCATAAAGAGTATGAAATGGTAAGCATTTCCTCAACAAATATGTATTAGGAGAGAAAATTTAAAAATATCTTTTACATTTCATTAAAACAAATGGATCTGTAACTGTCTCATTAAGAATGTTTCAAGGTAAAAATAAATTGATAGTGTGAATATGTATTGTGTATATCCATGTGTGCTTAGAAAAATATCTAAACCAGCTGGTCGCAGTGGCTCAAGCTGGTAATCCCAACACTTTGGGAGGCCAAGGTGGGCGGATCACCTGAGGTCAGGAGTTCAAAACTAGCCTAGCTAACGTGGTGAAATCCTGTCTCAACTAAAAATGCAAAAATCTGCTGGGCACAGTGGCGGGCACCTGTAATCCCAGCTACTCAGGAGGCTGAGGTGGCAGAATCGCTTGAACCTGGGAGCCAGAGGTTGCAGTGAGCCAAGATTGTGCCACTGCACTCCAGTCTGGGCAACAGAGCGAGACATTGTCTCAAAAAAAAAAAAAAAAGAAAAGAAAAGAAAGAAAAATATCTAAACCATGCATATTAAAGTATCTTTGCATTGTAGAATTATCTTTAATTTTCTTCTGTTTTTCTACAATGAACATGACATAGCTTTTTCCATTAAGAGAAAAATATATTTATTGTTTAACATGTAACACAGACTTAGAATCGATTTTGGAAGAAATTTTAATTTAGAAGAAAATTTAAATATCATTTCTGTCCTCCTCATTTTTCAAATGGGGAAAAAGCCCAGTAAAGATAAGTAACTTGCCTATCCAAAATCTGACAGTGAAGTCATTAGGGCCATAATTGTGTTATCTGTATTTATGTTTATTTTTTCTGCTCGTAAACGCTAATGCATTTTCATTAAGGATAACTTGAAAAACAATGGAAGGTATAAGAAAGAACATGAAAATCACCTAATAAGCTTATAGACCAAAGACAACCACTAATGGGGGGTGCTTTTCTTCTAAATTTTTCACTATAAATACATTTCGGCCGGTCACGGTGGCTCACACCTGTAATCCCAGCACTTTGGGAGGCCGAGGCGGGCAGATTACAAGGTCGTGAGTTCTAGACCAGCCTGACCAACATGGTGAAACCCTGTCTCTACTAAAAACACAAAAATTAGCCCGGCATGGTGGCGGGTGCCTGTAATCCCAGCTACTCAGGAGGCTGAGGCAGGATAATCGCTTGAACCCGAGAGGCGGAAGTTACAGTGAGCCAAGATCATGCCACTGCACTCCAGCCCGGGCGACAGAGCGAGATAGTATCTCAAAAAAAAAAAAAAAAAAATTCTATGGAGAAAAACTTTTAAAATAATAGAGCCAAAAATTAAAGAAGACAACAATTTTAACACTCAGTCGCATTACCACATAATTCTGGTAACATATCAGAATTACTTCTTCTTTAGACTTAGCACCTACAGCTAGTTTTGGGGTAAGAGACTAGTTCTATGATGGTATTCCATGATGTGTTCTTACTTAGCAAATCTTGGCTAGTTCTTTGATTTGTGGGCTATTTTTACATGGAAGATCTGTTACCAAAAATTTTATTTCATAATTGTTTAATGAAAGAAAGAACCAAAAAAAGTTCCCAAAGGAAAAGACAAAATACTCCATTCTATCTGGGCCCTCTTTGGAGATTTACTGAATGTAAAGATCATCCACAAACACAAGCTAATTACAAATCACATAACACAAGTTTAAGATTACCCAACATATTTATTCATATCATTCTTGTATTTACCAAGACTACTGGTAAAATAAATAAAAGTTGTAGACCCTCTCCCCAGAAAAATCACAAATTAATCCCAAGTGGCATTAATTTATTTTGAGGGTGGCAAGCAAAAGTATGGATATCACTGCCCCAGAAACTAGGGCCTAGCTGACAAAACTGCCTCCTAATCTAATTTCAAAGATGCAAAGATTAGCAGAAGGAAGTAAAAATTACCAATTATCTAAAATTTCAAAAAGAAATATTTTGGAAATCAAGTAAGATCTAGTGAACACATAATGTGCTTGAATTTCTTAATTTTATTCACGACTTTAGAAATGTGAATGCCAGCAATTTCTTAGCATTAAATCATCCTGGATCTCAAAGTATTCCATAATCGTCATATTTCAGAAAGACACTACAAAAACCATCAACGGTATTTTCATTTCATGGTCAGAAAAAATTTGCAAGGAGAAAATAAATGTCTTGCCCCATATCACTAGACTGAAATATTTGTGCATTTAAAATTTTTTCCAAAGCATAAGCAACACCTAACTTAAAAATGAATTTTTTCTGACAGATGAGCCAGCTTGGTAGAAAAATTTTTTTCCAACAAGCACAATCTATCAATTTGTTTTCTTTCAAAACACTTTCCCTTTAAAACAATAGTAATTTGGGCCCAGTGCGGTGGCTCATGCCTGTAATCCCAGCACTTTGGGAGGCCAAGGCGGGCGGATCACAAGGTCAGGAATTCAAGACCAGCCTGTCCAATATGGTGAAATCCCATCTCTACTAAAAATAAAAAATTAGCTGGGCATGGTGGCAGGCGCCTGTAATCCCAGCTGCTTGGGAGGCTGAGGCAGAAGAATCGCTTGAACCCGGGAGGCGGAGGTTGCAGTCAGCCAAGATCATACCACTGCACTCCAGTCTGGGTGACAAAGCGAGACTCTATCTCAAAAAAAAAAAAAAAAAAGTGATTTGATTCCCCTACCCCATAAAGCCTACTGTATCTACAGTGCATGAATAAACATATACTAAGTGTCAGTCCTAGAGTATAAAAAAACCAAGCAATCCAGAGACTTGACAAAATTCTGAAATCGGTTAAGCTTTGCTTTGGCATTCCTCCTACCTTCCTTCTGGTGCTCCTACTCCCATTTCTAAGAAGTTCCTCGTATCTTTCCAAAGTTCTTCACCTGAGACACCTACTCAAGATTTCTTTCCCTTGATCTGTCTCACTTGTTGAGATAACTGATTTCAGCCAACGAACACAACCAACACTTGATTTAATCATTAACATTTAGTAAAGGCCCTTGACTTTTCTGTGTGTCAACAGCCCCCTTGAAAAATCTCATAAATGTTGTGGACCCTCTCCCCAGAAAAATCACACATGCACTCACACATAACTTTTCAAACAATTTTAAGGGATTCAGGGTCACACAGCCAAAATATATAAACCCCAGAACCAGAAAACCCCAGGTTAAAAACCCCCATACTTAACATATTAATATCATAAAACCTCAAAACTCTGCAAGAGGTTATTTGTATTTTAAGACACTGTCAACTCAAATGAAATCTCCAATTCTCAGAATTTAAGACAATGTAAAAGAGGCAAAAAAAAAAAAAAACAACCCAAACAATATGGAGATTTTTAGGCAGCCTTGTCATTGGGGGTCATCTCCCAAAGCATTTAAGCTGCAACTCCCATTGCAGAGAGACATGGAAGAACAGGACCTATTTCTAAGCATGGGTCTTCTACTAAGTTAGATTCTGTAGGACCTACCCCTGAATTTAGTAATGCTCTAGAAATCTATTCTGTCTAAACTATCATGGTTCCCAGCAAAACAATACATATATATATATATATATATATACACACACACACACACACACACACACACACACGTGTATATATATGTGTGTGTGTGTGTATATATATATATATATATATATATATATATATATATACACGTATGCCAAGTCCAGTTTTTATCCCAATGATTTTTTTTTTTTTAATAGATACGAGGTCTTGCTATGTTGCTCAGGCTGGTCTTGAAGTGCTGGGTTCAAGCGATCCTCCGGCATTGCCCTCCAAACCAATGAACTCTGTGGTATTTCACACGGCTAACTTCCCTGTCAGTATTCACTTAATCCCTCTCTTCAGCTTCTTCAACCCTATAACCTTATCTGTTTAGCCATTCTTTCTCAACTTACTTCATAGGTTTCTATTCTTCTACTTGACCCTCAGATGTAGATGCTCTTCAAGGTTGCCCTTAGTTTTTTTTCTTCACTCCTGATATGGTTAAGCATTCCTAATCCAAAAGTTTAAAATCTGAAATGCTCCAAAATCTGAAACTTTCTGAGTGTTGACATGATGCCACAAGTGGAAAATTCCACACCTGACCTCAGGTGACATGTTGCAGTCAGAATGGAATCAAAACTTTGTTTCCTGCACAAAATTATTTAAAATATTGTATAAAACTGCATCCAGGTTGTAAGATGTATATGAAACACAAATGAATTTCAAGTTTAGACTTGGGCCCTATCTCCAGGGTATCTCATTATATGCATACCAACATTACAAAGTCAAAAAAAACTCCAAAACATTTCTGGTCCTAAGCATTTTGGATAAAGGATACTCAATCTGTACTATTTTCTCTTTCTTTTTTATAGACAGGGTCTTACACTGACACCCAAGCTGGAGTGCAGTGGCCCTATCATAGCTTGCTACAGCCTCAAACTCCTGGGCTCAAGTCATACTCCAGCCTCAGCCTCCCGAGTAGCTGAGACCACAGGTGGCTACCACTATACCTGACAAATTTTTTAAATTTTTGTAGAAACAGGGTCTCACAACGTTGCCCAGACTGGTTTTGAACTCCTGGCCTTAAGTGATCCTCTGCCTTGGCCTCCTAAAGTGTTAGGATTACAGGTGTGAGGCACCATGCCTGGCTTTCTGCAGTTTCTATATGGCATTATACTGATGAATGCAAATCCCCTAATTTATCCCAATGTCCCCTTGAGCTCCAGCCCAAATACCCAGGTACTTACTTGACCTTTCTTGATTCCCAGATATCTTAACACATCTGGAGTCATACTCTATTACCTTCCTCCTCAAATTCTGTTCTTCCTATACATTCCCTATCTTAAAGGCATCATCATCACCCAATAACCACACTATAATCTTTAACTCTTTACTCAATTGTCACTCAAATCTGACAACTGTGAAGTAAAAATTATCCCCAGAATCGATGTCCTTTTACATCACAATTCAATACTCTCACAAGTCTCTAGTCAAATCTTTACATGTCATCTTTTTAAAAACCATAGTGGATGTCCTACTCAAACCTCTTATGGTCCCTAAATGCCTATAGAATAAAGTTCACACTCATGAGCATGGAATTACAAACTCTTCCCAATATGGCCACAACCTTATCAGTTTCACTTTCCACTATTCTCCAAGTCGAGCAAAATCCACTTGCTAGTTCTCAAATCAGACTACTGATGCCCTTCCTCTCAGCCCCTCTTCTCCATCAGTAATGCAGCTACTCCCCCTTCCAAGTCCTACTCAAACTTCCCCTATGTGAAAAGTCTTCCCTAACCTCACTTTTCTCTGTGTATCATTCTCCTCTCCCTAGAAGGAATTTCTCCCTCCTCCTATAATCCCACACCACTCTTTGTTTGCTCTATTTTGGTTCTCTAGAAGTTGTAACATAGCTAGTTGAGCCCATACCTTTCTGCTCTACACGACAAGGCCCAAGATTTGTTACTCTAGCACCTAGTACATGCCCAGAATGTGGTATATCTTTAATCATCGTCAGGTGAATGAATGAGTGGCAAAACTCCAAAGTGAGAATACACTTAAGGAGGTTATTTCTTAATGGAGAGAATGCTTCACTCTCCTTTGAACATAAAACAAGAATCAGGTCCCCTAGTCCCCAACTCCCCATTTCTAGTCCACTGCGCAAACAGTTTTAAGCAATGTTTCATTGGGACATTTCCTCATTTCCCCTTGTTCTTTGTAGGTTTAGCTGCCAGCCTAACCACATTAGCATTCAGTAGCAGCAACAAAACGGACTCTTAAAGTTCTAAAAAGCAAAAACTTTACAATTACCAACAGTAAAATACATGCTCTTTTTAAAAAAAACTGTCTTAATATATATGCATACAAAGCTCATTCTTCATGAAGATTCAGAAAATGGCTTGGCATAGTTTATCCCAACAGGCACCACTTAAAGAGTTCTTAAGAAAATGTCCACTTAAGCCATCAGCCAAACTTTTCACATTTGTTACCACAGAAATCAGCATGCATGAATTAATCGAAATACAATGCATATTAAACAATGCAATTACTATAGTCTAAATCACCAAACTGATAACCCATACAAAAGTAGCTCTTACAACTTTTTTTGAGAATATTTCCCCTAAAAAATTCCAGTGATCATCCCAACCTACAAAACTAGATTATTTTACTAGTATCATCTTCTCTTTACCCCTCTTCTCCCCACCAACACTCCCTCCAACACACACACACTTCTCCTTAAGAGAAACGGCTTCCTCAAGAAATTATCTGATGGTTCAGTAGCAGTTGGAGTTTTACACAAACTATGTTGTGATTGGGCAAGGCAGACTACCAGATCTGGGATTCAGTAGACCATTCCTTACTGTCAGATTATCTTCTAAGTGACTGCTCTTAGAGAAACAACACAGATTTGCCTCAAGAGATTACAAATGTGGTAGGCCTACCTTAACAGCAACTAGTTTTTTTTAAGAAACACGGTCGCACTGTCGCCCAGGCAGGAACACAATGGCATGATTATGCTCACTGCAACCTCAAACTCCTAAGTTCAAGTGATCCTCCTGCCTCAGCCTCCTGAATAGCTCAAACTATAGGCATATGCCACCATACCCAGCTAGTTTTTCGTTTTTTTGTTTTTTTAAATATTCTGTAAAGACAGGATGTCACTACATTGCCCAGGCTGGTCTAGAATTCCTAGCCTCAAGCAATCTTCCTGCCTTGGCCTCCCAAAGTGCTGGGATTATAGGCATGAACCACCATAACCAGCCATTGTTTTCTAATATACTAGAACATCTCTGTAAAGTTTTATTTCTAGCCCTTCTTTGGGTCATAGAAAGTTTACTTGGTATCACATAAATGTTCACATTTTAAAACATTTTAGGCCTAAAGACCACAACATGATGAAGCCTTTTGGATGTTTTGCTAACTACACTGCATTAAGTTGGGCTGAAAATACATTAGCCCAATTCTGAAGTGCACTTTTGAAAAAATAAAAAATATATATATGTGTGTGTGTATATATATATATTCTAAGGTATAAGCAATCCACTTATTTTTCTTGAGCAGTCAAAAATTCCTTTCCCAAGTTTTGTCCATATTGCACTAAAATAACTTCAAACAAAGCATTGTTGTTGCTTGAGGATTAAAAGTTTCCAATAGCTCAATATGGTTTTAATCTCCTGGAAACACCTGAAATTCATTTGTTTCACCTCCTTTTACTATTTATCTTCCAGTCTGTTTACCTTAGTAGAAAACTGATGGATAAAAGTACTAACTGAAAACCCAAGAAAGTGGGTAATCCACCCTCTAGTTAATAAGGAAGGAAATATGATACACAAGGCACAAAAATTAACATGTATCTTGAGACTCAAAAAACATTGGACTTGGTCTAAATAAAATGTTTCTAAAATAACAAGTGGATTCCTTTTTCATTGCTGTTTTACTAAGCATTCATGGAAAATTATATTTGGGTAAGCTCAGGCTGAAAACACTAGCTTTAGCTATCAAGGAAAACATGAAAGAACATAAAGAAAATGTATTTTAGTATAGAACATTTCCTGAAATGTTTTTTACAAAATCAAAGATTTGCATTTTAAGATTGATTTTCCAAATACTCTATATATACATATTAATAAGCATCACACAGTCACACACAAACATCTAAATTCAGATATCCCATTTCCTAGATGATTACTGGCCCAGAAAGGGCGCATCTAAACTCTTGAGGTTAAAGTAGACATTTGTGAAATTCAACAGCCCAGGGAGTTTCCCCTCACCCTTCAATTTTTCACAGTGGCACTGTGTGAATGAATAAGCCTGCTTCAGCATGAAGCAACAGGCTTGTCTAAAGACATCTGACAGAAGCTGAATGTATACATTAACTTCCTGTTGAGGTAGGACTGTAGACTGTTTCTAAAGACTGACAGTTCATAGTTCCTCCAGAAACCAAAAAATCAGCATGCCTTTTCAAATACTCAGGGAAAAATTTTAATTTCAGTAATTACTGTTCATTGTTATTATTCTTCAACTTTACTGAATGCCTTATTCCATACAAGAAAAGGCATAAAAATTTAATCCCAGACCACAGGAGCTTAAATTTCCCTTAAAACAAGTCACTCATTCGTGATTATTTACATAAAATGCTTCTAAAGACAACCCAGAGATTTGGTTGAACCTACAGTGTGCAGGCAATGCAAATTCAGGTATTTAAATCATGGGAAGTTGGCCTTCGGTTCCCTAACAAAATTAGACAAGTGCATAATTATCGTTTAATAAAACAAAAAACCTACAATTTGGGGTCCTAACGACATACACAGGAATTCAGAAGGAAACCTGAAATCCTTTCTCCTTTAAACCTTCTATATCTGGACAAGGGCCCTCATTATCTTCTACTTCTATAGCTCCTTCTCTTAACACAGGAGCTAAATTTCCTTGAAACATGTTATGAAGCCACTGCCAGCACGGTGGCACTTGCCTATAGTCTCAGCTACTGGGGAGGCTGAGGTGGGTGCATTCCTTGAGCCCAGGAGTTCAAGGCCAGCTTAGGCAACATAGCAAGATCCCCATCTCTAACTTAAAAAAAAAAATTATATATATGTATGTACACACACACACACACACACACAAATACATATTTTTATAAGAAAATTATTGGGCCAGGCGCATTGGCTCATGCCTGTAATCCCAGCACTTTCGGAGGCCAAGCCCAGCAGATCACCTTAGGTCAGAAGTTCGAGACCAGCCTGGCCAACACGCCAAAACCCCGTCTCTACTAAAAATACAAAAATTAGCCGGGCATGGTGGCCCACGCCTGTAATCCCAGCTACTCGGGAGGCTGAGGCCGAAGAATCGCTTGAACCCAGGAGGCAGATGTTGCAGTGAGCCGAGATCGCACCACTGCACTCCAGCCTGGGTGACAGAGTGAGACTCCGTCTAAGAAAAGAAAAAGAAAAAGAGAACTATTTCCACAAAAATTGCCGACTTGGGGATAAGAACTTTTCTTTGTTACAGGAGACTATGACCACTGACTACTAAGCAAAAAGTCATTTTCCCTCCTATATGTCGAGTTTGAGGCTGTGTGAGGAAATTAAAGGACTTCAAATAAGGATGGGCCAAAAGATTAAGTAGAGTTTTTGTTTTTGTTTTTTTAGATGAAGTCTCGCTCTTGTCCCCCGGGCTGGAGTGCAATGGCGCGATCTCCATCTCGGCTCACTGCAACTTCTGCCTCCCAGGTTCAAGCGATTCTCTTGCCTCGGCAGCCCCCGCCCCCGCCCCTCCCAGCAGCTGGGATTACTGGCGCCTGCCACCACGCCCAGCTAATTTTTGTATTTTTAACAGAGATGGGCTTTCACCATGTTGGCCAGGCTGGTCTCGAACTCCTGACCTCAGGTGATCCACCCCGCCTCGGCCTCCCAAAGTGCTGGGATTACAGGTGTGAGCCACCGCACCCGGCCGTAAAGAGTTTTCTTAATCTGATTATTGTTTTTTTTGGTCATGGGCCCTGTTGAAAGCCACTAAGTCCTATCAAAAGAAAAAAAAACCCCTTGACACAAAAAAATTCTGCCCACAATTTAGGATCCAAGTTAAGAATAAATATTCTACATTGCATGTGATAATTATGTCTGCTTTCGGACTCATAAAATAAGGAAATTACACTCAGATGCACGGAGAGAACTAGTCATATTTTCACTGTCTTACGGGGTAACCTGTCAAGAACTGTCAAATACAATTTTAGGGAGTCGGGATACTAATGAATCAAACACACACACACACACAAACAGCATCTCCAAGACTCCAGCACCCCCCTTTCCCAATTACTTACTGGTCAAGCCCAAAGGAAAAATAATTTTTTAAAAGGCTAGGCTGAGATGGAATGGGAAAAAGGATCACTGTGAGCACAGATGATGTCCCGGGACAAAAGCTCTGCCCAACACTGCCCAAGCTGACAGGCTCACTCACACTACCTTTCTCCTTATGCGTCTCTCAATACGCAGTCTCTGAACACTTAAAAAAATGTGAATTTTGCTCTGACCACATAAAGAAATCAGCACGATTGACACCAGCTCTAAAATAAGCAATTAATATATTCTAATCTAATGCTTAAGAAGAATGGAGAGCAGGCAACAGCTCCTCCAACTGGTTGGAGCAGATATCACTGGAAGCCCCCCAAGTATTAAGATTTTTAAACAACTTCAAGTTCTGGTGGGCACAGCCAAATACACTGCAGAAACTTTGGGACCAGCAGCCACGACACAACAGGTGAGAGAGGCAGCAGACATCATTGCACGATGGAGTGCACAACATTCAATGACAAACCCGAAAAGGTCTGGGGATATGGGAAAATACCATGCACACGGCCATCTCAGAGCCCCTGTCTTTCCAGTGGCAAAAGGTTCTGTTCCTTCGGAGGGGCGTGCCACTCCCCCTCTCCCTCACCCAGGGGACCACCACCCCAGGCACAGGAAGAACCGCGGCCCCTCCGCGGGCACATCTCAGCTGGGGAAGAAAACACAATGTCGCTCCTTATTTCTGCGTACAAAAGGACTTTGCGCCCTCCTCCTCGAACTGCCGCCCCGGCCACCTCCTAACTTGCAAGAAGGTGGGCAACGCGCCATATTCCAGCGTCCCCCAGTCTACCTGGGTAACAAGCCCACGCCACCCCGGCAGGAGGGAAGCTTCGGAGGTCGCCCAAAGAGCCAGCCTCCTCTCCCGCAGGAGACAGCGGCTCCCGCGCCCCAGCCCGGCCCCACCGCGCCGCCCGCCCGCCCGCCCGCGTACGAGAGCCGGGAAGGGCCGAGGGGGCGAGCCGAGAGCCGCGGCTCCGGTCCCGCGCAGCCCGCCCACCTCCCGCTCCCGGGCCCGGCGCACTCTCCCGCGCCTCCCGCTCCCGAGCTGCGGGAAGGCCGGGCCCCGGGTTCCACGGCGGGGAGAAGGCCGCGGCCCCGAGAGCCCCAGGCGGCGGAGGAGGCCGGAACCCTGGGGCTCTCGGGAGGGCAGCGCCTCCCTCCCGAGCCCGCCAGGACGCCTGGGGCCTAGTGCGGCCTGCGCATCCTCGGGGTGGCGGTTTGGCTGGGCCGGGCCGGGGCCCCCCGCCCGAGGCGGGCCGAATCCGGCGGGGGCCCAGGCCCAGAGCCGGGGGCGGCAGGGTGCCGGCTGCGGGGCGGGCCGGCCGGCCGGCGGGCGGGCGGCGTGTTGCGGCTGCGCCGGGGCTGAAATAGCTGGAGATTGCGCGGTAGGGCACTCACCTCAGAGCGGCTGCGCTACCGTGGGCCTGCGCCGTGGAGACTGCGACCGCGCCGGCTCCTCGCAGCCTCCTGCCACCAGCGGCAATGGCGAGCGCTGCCGCTTCTGCCGCCGCCGCCGCCGCCGAGGAGGGGGAGGGGAGGGAGAGGGCACGCACGCGACGCACGGCCCGGCTTCCCCGCCCGGCCGCCGCCATGATGAGGAGGTCGGCGCGGCTGTGCTGCGGGCAGGCAGCGGAGAGGGCTCGCGGCGAGGGCTCCAGCTTACCCCGCCGCCGCGTCGCGTGCACGGAGCGCTTCAGAGGTTTGGAGGGGGCCGGAACCTCAAAAGCAACTGGATGAGCACAACGCGGACGCCCCGGAGAAGCGGCGCAAGCGGGCCCAAAATGGTTGCTGATCAGACGAGTGGCATCTCTCGCCCCCCTACCGCGGGAATTGGGACCTCCAGACTGTGCCTGGGGGATCGGCAAGTGGTTCCCCTCTGGTTTTTTCGGCGCTGCCTTCCCGGTGGTATCCTCACTCTCTCTCTTTGAAATGACCTCTGCTTTCCTATCTCTAACTCTTCCCAGATATTTGAAAGCAAGTTTTTGTACAAAGCAACATATGAATGTATTCAGCCATTCGATCGTTCGGCGAACATTTCTAGGTGTCTCGTGCTGTGCCAGATATTGTTCTGAGTGCGCTGAAGATGCACCTGTTAGCAAGACAAAGTCCTGGCTCCCACGGAGCTTATTCGAAGCAATAGGGGCCCCCAAGCAGGTGCCTGAGAAGTAGGGAGGGGTGGACAGTGGGAAAACAACCTAACGGTGGAGACACACGAGGGGTCTTTTTTTACTTTTAGAAACGGGGGTGGGTGGTCACCCTATGTTGCCTAGGCTGGTCTCGAACTCCTGGGCCCAAGCGATCCTCCCGACTCAGCCTCCCAAAGTGCTGGTATTACAGGACACCATGCCCGGCAGAGGGGTCGTTTTTGTTGTTTTTTTAGTGTCGTCAGGAGACTCCCTCCATCAGAATTACTCAGGCTGATTGTTTTGAGTCCTGGGACCCAGTTGGTATCCAGAATCTTGGCTTGTTTGCCTAGGAACCTGCATTTTCACATCCCCATCTCCACACCCCTGGTGATTCTTATGCATATAATAATGTGAAAAGCATTGCATTGAAGAATTGCTAAAGGGTGTCAGAAAACGGATTAACAAAATCAGGAAGCTTTAATTTTCAAGATTCTATTAACCTCAAAATTCAACATATCCAAAAATTGAATGTCTTTTTCTCCAGTGTTTTCTAGGAGAGTGCCAACACTAGCCACCCAAGTGCTCAAGCCAGAAACCTGGAAATGATCCATTACTCTTTCCTCTGTCTCTGGAGTCCCCATGTTAAATTAGATGTGTTTGTTTGTGAGACAGATTCTCACTCTATTACCTAGGCTGGAGGGCAGTGGTGCAATCATTGTTCACTGCAGCCTCGACCTCTCTGGGCTCAAGGATCCTCCCACCTCAGCCTCCCCAGTAGCTGGGACTACAGGTCCCCACCACCACGCCCGGCTAATTTTTGTATTTTTAGTAGAGATGAGGTTTCATCTTGTTGGCCCGGGCTGGTCTCGAACTCCTAGGCTCAAGTGATCTGCCTGCCTTAACCTCCCAAAGTGCTGGGATTACAGCCGTGAGCCACTGCACCCAGCCCCAATTAGATTTTTAAAACTGTTGTTCCCTGTCAGTTCTTACTCTGGTTCAGGCTACTGTCATCTCTCCTAGAGACACTGCGGTAGACTCCTCTTGGTCTCCCTGCCACCGAAATTGCCCTCTCCAAATCCACTACAGCTTGAATGGTCTTTCAAGAAAGAAAATCATGTTTTTTCCCTGTTTAAGACTCTTAAAAAGATCTGATTAACACGTAGGATAAAGTCTAAAATTCTTTGAGGTGGCTACAGGGCCATTGGTGATCTCATCCCTGTTGCCATCTCTGACCTCATCTGCCACAGATATTTCTCAGGCTACACTCAAAACTGGGAAGCTCTCAGGTCATTTAAGCCTGGAAATTGTGCCACCTCACAACTGTTGCAAGGGCTGTTCCCTTTGCCCATAACTTCATTTCTCTCTACACCATCTATGCACTTACTTGAATCCTCACCTGAATAATTCTTACCATTCTTTCAGATCCCAACATTAATACCATCGCCTCCAGGCAGCATTTTTTCATCTCCCAAGATTGGGTGCATTAGACCCTTTGTCATCACACCCAGTACTCCCCACGTTTATTGAGCGCTCACGATGCGTCAGGCCCTAGTGGAAGCCTTTATGCACATTATCTTCTTTCTCATTTAATTATCAAGTAGAGCCCACAAGGTAGGTACTACCTTTTTTTTAACTTTTGAGACAGGGTCTCACTGTATCTCCCAGACTGGAATACAGTGGCGCAAACACAGCTCACTGCAGTCTCATCCTGGGCTCAAGCAATCCTCCCATCTCAGCCTCCTGAGTAGCTGGGACCACAGGCAGATGCCTGTTGCCCAGGCTGGTCTCCAACTCCTGGGCTCAAGCCGTTCTACCTTAGCCTCCTAAAGTGCAGGGATTACAGGTGTGCAACTGTGCCCGGCCTGGGTAGTTACTAATATTATCCCATTTTACAGATGAAGAAACAAGGACATATAGGGGTTACTTGCCCAAACCCAGACAATAAGCTAGATCTGAAAGTCATCAGCCTGACCTCAGAGTTGTACTTTTAACCATTATCAGGGTCTCAGGCCAGTACCCACTGATGAAACACATAAGTAACTTAGTGGGTCATTACCAACATTTCATTAAAGAAATAGAAAATGGCAGAGAACATCAAACTTAGTAAGGCTCTTGTTTCGTGAAACTTGTCAGATTCTCTAATATGATAAATACTAAATCTTACAAACATTGAAAATACAAAATTAAACAAAATATTACCAAGGTTAACACAAAAGTATGAATACTGCAGATCTGATTTATTTTACTATCCTCATCTTTAATGCAGAACCTTCTTAGGATTAAATGACATTTACCATTCTGAGCAAACTGAGGTTACTGCCCCAAACGGACTGGGCTTACCTTTGCAGGAGAACAGGGGAGGCTGTGTTTTGGCTGGAGATTTTTGGCTAAGAGTCAAGACACAGAGATTCTTCTGCTACCACTGTGAACACATCAAGTCCCTTTCACATAGATGCTGTTTCCACAAGGGTCTCCCCACACCCTTCCCTACAGATTAGATTCCCGTGATGCCTTATTTAATTCTTGTTGGATCTGTTGATTTGGTTATGAAGTAGGTGAAATTCTGGTAACCTCACCCAGGTTCCTTCCCCTCTTGATTAGATCCAGCCAGTCTGTTCGCTGGATGATTAAATTTGGCATTCATTTTTCTGTGCTTTCCCTATCTGCTACTATCCTAAAGTCATTCTAATGACCAAAAAAGGTGCCTTGAGCCAGACTGTAGAGGGTTCTAATGGCCTCCTTAGAAATTGTGTTTTTTTGTTTTTTTTTTGAGATGAGGTTTCGCTCTTGTTGCCCAGGTTGGAGTGCAATGGTGCGATCTTGGCTCACTGCAACCTCCGCCTCCCGGGTTCAAGCGATTCTCCTGCCTCAGCCTCTCAAATAGCTGGGACTACAGGCATGCGCCACCACGCCCGGCTAATTTTGTGTTTTTAGTAGAGACGGGGTTTCACCATGTTGCCCAGGCTGGTCTCGAACCCCTGACCTCAGGTGACCCACCCACCTCGGCCTCCCAAAGTGCTGGGATTACAGGCCTGAGCCACCATGCCTGCCAAGGAACTGGTTCTTAGTAGGCAATAGACAGTTGACAATTTTGAGCTAAGCACTAAGGTCATAGGAGTGTAGATTCACCAGGGAGTGAGTTGGGCTTCTGGTCTCTAGAGGGCGCTCAAGGCTTCTCCCTCCCCACCCTCTTCCTTCCCCCAAGGTGGAGGTAGGATGGTGAAGAAATTTCATCTCCCCACCACCAAACACACACAAAGGAAGAAAATCTTACTAAAATTGGAGAATATGGAATAACATTTTCTTGGGATGGAGCCCTTAAAAGATAACACGTTCAACAGAAAGTGCTGCGTCTTTCCCGTTCTTCAACATACTCTGAGTGGTAACAAGGGCTGCCCTTGCCTTTCTCAGAGGCAGCCCAGCCAGCTTGTTCTCTTTCCCTCTCCCACAAGGTAGCCAGGCCCTAAGGCTATGGCCCACAGAAAAAGTCTTAGCAAGGCCCCGGGCTTGGGGCAAAGAGGCTGTGGATTTGTCTTTCTCTCTACTTTTTCTGGTTAGTGTGCCTCTATCCCACTCGGAAGAAAAGTTCCAAGACTCAAATTTGGGCATTGATGTGGGGAGGATAGACAGAGATGACCAGAATCCAGCCTATCTTTCCTGACTTCTGCATTGTGGTTCATACCCAGCTAATAATAAAGTGTTCCTTTCCCTGGTGTGTCATTGCACATGTACTCCCCACACTCCTGATGAGTAGAGATGGCTGGCCAAGACAGGATTCAGACATTCCCACATCCCCAACCAAACATCCTCTCCATACCATCTTATTAATCAGTCTTTGAACAATTTCCTAAACTCCCTAACAGGTTGGAGATGGCTGGAAGAAATGAAAAGAAGAACGCCAACAAAGGCGATAAAGAAAAATTCAACACTGCTTGATAACTGATGAGATAGTGAAGGAGTAGGAGGGCAAAAGTCAGAAGTAATTCCAGGTGTTCAAGAACTAAATGCTGAAGAGATGTTAGTGTCGTTGACGGTCTTCTAATGGGAAGTGAATTTCAATAGAAAGAGGATGTGTTTGGTTTCAGACAGACCGAGTGACTGGTGACAACAGGAAAGCCACGTGTTTGGAGCAGATTACTCGGTACAGTCAGCAGCTGGAATGGAAGTGAAGAAGGCCCAGCAGAGCATCAGACCTGAGTGCAAACTATGGTGGTGTTGGTGGAATAGAGGGAAGGGAGAGATTTGAGAGACATTGGGAAGAAAGGTTTTGGTTTTTGAGACAGAGTCTTGCCCTGTCATCCAGGCTGGAGTGCAGTGGCATAATCTTGGCTTACAGCAAACTCCACCTCCCGGGTTCAAGCAATTATCATGCCTCAGCCCCCTAAGTAGCTGGAATTACAGGCAAGTGCCACCACATTCAGCTAATTTTTGTATTTTTAGTAGAGACAGGGTTTCACCATCTTAGCCAGGCTGGTCTCAAACTCCTGACCTCAGGTGATCCACCTGCCTCGGCCTCCCAAAGTGCCGGGATTACAGGTGTGAGTCACCATGCCCAGCCACCAGAAGTTTAATCAAGGCTCAGAGACTGATTCCAGTTTGAGTTTTCTAATAACTGTCTAATACTTAGCTAATAGCTTTGGACAGTTGCTCTTTTTAAAATGAGATCATTCAATCATTGCATTCATCTTTGGGTATGACTCACTAGTCAACAGAGTCCCCCTTCTGTAGAAACTGCCTCATTCACAGAGATGACCTCCACCAGTCATGCCTATATTTGAGACCCTGTCTCTCTTTATCCCCCATTGCTGCGTGATTCAAGGGTGGTCACCTGACCCAGGCAGTGCCAAGTTTATTCTCTGTCTTGGGAATTTAGAATGTTTGTTTGGCTAAGAGACACAGAAACTGGAAGCTGGAGCTGATGATGGAGCTGATCACGCTAATGATGGAGCTATAGAGATAAGATGCATGAACACCACCGAGGTCCCCAAGATTGCCATATTCCTGCAGTGCCTTCTGGCCACAGATAGTTGGTCCAGAAGCAGGTTCCTGACTCAACCTGGGCCAATTAGAGCCTTTCACGGAGATTTTGAAATCAAAGTTGAGATCTCTCTTTCTCTCTATGCCCTTTGGTGTATGTGTACTTGAGCTACAAGTTACCCAACTTTGGAAGCTGTAGACAGAGGCAATTTTCCACTAAATGAAGTGAGAAACAGAAAGTCCATCATTAGTGAGAGAGGAGCAAGGCAGATGCACACAGAGAAGCAGATAGAGGGGAAGCGGGCGGGAGTGGGGCGGGAGTTCCTGGAGTCCCCACAGTGCTCTAGTTTCTGATTCTCTTCCTAAGACCCACAGGATTCCTGCCTTTGGGTTTCTTAAGTTCCTGAATAGCTCCTGATTGCCTTTGTCTTTTTTACGAAAGTCCTTTGAGCATGGTTTCAGGTGAGCAGACAGTCCTAACCTAAAGAGCTGTAACAAATACACGTGGGCTGTGTGTGAGATTCGGGGAGAGGCACCAGGGATCCAGTGTGGGTCAGGCGTGGTGCCGCCCTCAAGGAACTTAGTGGGGAGAAAATGAAGTCTGTACTTCAATAACTACAGTGCAGGCTAGGAAGAGAACACCCTTAGAGATGTGCAAATCAAGCTCTTTGGGAGTTTAGAGGAGGCCTAGGACTGCTAAGGAAAGGCTGGGACTAGGAAGAGGTAAGCAAGTCACTGAGGAGGCAAAATTTAAGAAGCCACCCACTCTCAGGGTGTGTGAATGCAGCGTTGGCACTTGCATGACCCTGAGAATGAGCAACCCCTTAAATGTATCTTAGGCACCTTGCCAGACTCACTTTTAGCTTGCTGGACTAATTGTGGGGATCAGTAGGCCTTCAGAGGAAAGTTAGTGTCTGAGCTGAACTGAAGGATGGGGTGGTTTTGGACTTGGTGGCAATGTCATCTACCTCAAGGTAAAGTAACAATATGGAAAACGCTCCCGTGAAAATTCACAAGGTCTGTTCTAGGATCATCAGGCTCTTCGGTGTGACTTAAGAGTTCAGAGCATGAAGGAGGAGGGGGCAGTAAGAAAAATGGAGAGAACGTAGCATCAGATTCTGCAGGCAAGGAGAAAATTGCTAAGCTGGGAAATAACATAATCAGAGCGGTACTTAAGATGAATCTAACGGAATAGCATGAAATAAAGGAAAGGCTAAGGAGAGGACAAACAGGAGGCTATTGTGGCAATCCAGGCGTGAAAGTCTAAACTAATCAGCACTGGGAATAGAGATGCCATAGGAAAAATAATACATCATTAATATAACTTGGCAATTGAGTAGATGTTGGAGACAAGAGAGAAATCAGAAACACTGCTAAACACTATGCAGCTATAACAAAGAATGAGAGAGCATTCAGTAAGATCACATCCAAGATATGTACATGAAAAACACAAGGGATAGAACTGTGTATATGGCAAGCTATCACTTGCATTTTTTATTTTTTAAATGGTATTTATTTATTTCTTGTTTTTTCCTTTTTTTAAGACTAAAAAATCAATTATAAAATCCTCAACCACTTGACTTTTTTTTTAAGTTCCTGGGTACATGTGCAGGACGTACAGGTTTATTATATAGGTAAACGTGTGCTATGGTGGTTTGCTGCACCTATCAACCCATCACCTAGGTTTAAGCCCCGCATGCATTAGCTCTTTTCCCTAGTGCTCTTCCCCCACCATCCTCCCCTGACAGGCCCCGGTAAGTGTTGTTCCCCTCCCTGTGTTCTCATTGTTCAGCTCCCACTTATAAGTGAGAACATGTAATGTTTGGTTTTCTATTCCTGCATTAGTTTGCTAAGGATAATGGCTTCCAGCTCCATTTATGTCCCTGTAAAGGACATGATCTTGTTTTTTTATGGCTGCGTAGTATTCCATGGTGTATATGTACCACATTTTCTTTATTCAGTCTATCATTGATGGGCATTTGGGTTGATTCCATGTCTTTGCTATTGTGAATAGTGCTGCAATGAACATACGTGTACATGTATCTTTATAACAGAGTGATTTATATTCCTTTGGGTATACACCCTGTAATGGGATTGCTGGGTCAAATGGTATTTCCAGTTCTAAATCTTTGAGGAATCGCCACACTGTCTTCCACAATGGTTGAACTAATTTACATTCCCACGAACAGTGTAAAAGCATTCCTATTTCTCTGCAATCTCACCAGCATCTGTCATTTCTTGACTTTTTAATAATCGCCATTCTGACTGGTGTAAGATGGTATCTCATTGTGGTTTTGATTTGCATTTCTCTTTTTTTTTTTTTTTTTTTTTGAGACAGTTTCAAAAACTTGTTGCCAAGGCTGGAGTGCAATGGTGTGATCTTGGCTCACTACAACCTCTGCCTCCTGGGTTCAAGTGATTCTTCTGCCTCAGCCTCCCAAGTAGCTAGGATTACAGGTGTATGCCACCACGCCCAGCTAATTTTTGTATTTTTACTAGAGACGGGGTTTCACTATGTTGGCCAGGCTGATCTTGAACTCCTGACCTCAAGAGATCTGCCCACCTCCGCCTCCCAAAGTGCAGGGATTACAGGCGTAAGCTTCCACGCCCAGCTGATGGTAGTTTCTTTTGCTATGCATAAGCTCTTTAGTTTAATTAGATCCCATTTGTTGAATTTTGCTTTTGTTGCGATTGTTTTTGGCAATTTTATCATAAAATCTTTGCCCATTCCTATGTCCTGAATGGTATTGTCTAGATTTTCTTCTAGGGTTTTTGTAGTTTGGGGTTTTACATTTAAGGCTTTAATCCATCTTGAGTTAATTTTTGTATAAAGGTGTAAGGAAAGGATCGAGTTTCAGTTTTCTGCATATGGCTAGCCAGTTCTCCCATCACCATTTATTAAACAGGAAATCCTTTCCCCATTGCTTGTTTTGGTTTGTCAAAGATCAGATGGTTGTAGATGTGCGATTTTATATGTGCTGCCAAAGTGAGCACTATTTATTTATTTTTTTAAACAGAGTCTCACTGTGTTGCCCAGGCTGGAGTGCAGTGGCATGAACATAGCTCACGTAGCCTTATTTGCATTTGTAAAAGGGAAATATGTTTTGTTTTGTTTTTTGAGACAGAGACTCACTCAGTCGCCCAGGCTGGAGTGCAGTGGCACCATCATGGCTCACCACAGTCTCAACCTCCCCAGGCTCAGGTGATTCTTCCACCTCAGCCTCTGGAGTAGCTAGGATTACAGGTGTGCGCCACTACACCCAGATAATTTTTTTTTTCTTGAGATGGTGTCTCGCTCTGTCACCCAGGGCTGGAGTGCAATGGTGTGATCTCGGCTCACTGCAACCTCCGCCTCCCAGGTTCAAGTGATTCTCCTACCTCAGCCTCCCAAGTAACTGGGACTACAGGCACCTGCCACCACACCCAGCTACTTTCTGTATTTATAGTAGAGATGGGGTTTCGCCATGTTGGCCAGACTGATCTTGAACTCCTGACCTCAGGTGATCCACCCGCCTCAGCCCCCCAAAGTGCTGGGGTTACAGGCACAAGCCACCGTGCCTGGCCCTTTTTTTTTTTTTTTTGTATTTTTTTAGTAGAGACGGTGTTTCACTGTGTTGTCCATGTTAGTCTTAAACTCTTGGGCTCAAGAGATCTGCCCAACTTGGCTTCCCAAAGTGCCATAAAGGCATGAGCCACTGCACCTGGCCATAAAAAGGAAATATGTAAACAAACATCTTTGCTTACATATGTTTATATATCCCTAGAGAAATACGTACAAAATTGATGACATTAAGTGGCCTGTTTAAGAGAAGTGGGGTGGCTGGGGGTCAGTAGTGAAAGAGAGTCTTTTTAGTGTTTATAATTTGAATATTTTAAATCTTGAACCTTTTGGATGAATTAGCTAATGAAGAAAATTAGTTTAAATTGCTTTTAAAAATAAATAAGTATGAGCCGGGTGCGGGGGCTCATGCCTGTAATCCCAGCACTTTGGGAGGCTGAGGCGGGCGGATCATCTGAGGTCAGGAGTTCGAGACCAGCATGGCCAACATGGTGAAACCCCGTCTCTACTAAAAATACAAAAATCAGCCAGGTCTGGTGGCAGGCGTCTGTAATCCCAGCTACTCAGGAGGTTGAGGCAGGAGAATCGCCTGAACCTGGGAGGTGGAGGTTGCAGTGAACTGAGATCACGCCATTGCACTCCAGCCTGGGTGACAAGGGCGAGACTTCATCTCAAGAATAAATAAATAGGCCAGGCACGGTGGCTTACGCCTGTGATCCCAGCACTTTGGGAGGCCGAGGCGGGCGGTTCACAAGGTCAGGAGATCGAGACCATCCTGGCTAACATGGTGAAACCCCGTCCTACGAAAAATAGAAAAAAATTAGCCAGGTGTGGTGGCGGGCGCCTCCCAGCTACTGGGGAGGCTGAGGCAGGAGAATGGCGTGAACCCAGGAGGCAGAGCTTGCAGTGAGCCAAGATCACTCCACTGCACTCCAGCCTGGACGACAGAGCGAGACTCCGTCTCAAACAAACAATAAAAATAAATAAATAAATAAATAAAATAATTAATAAATAAATAAATAAATATGTAATCCCAGCACATTGGGAGGTCAAGGAGGGTGGATCATCTGAGGTCAGGAGTTCGAGACCAGCCTGGCCCAGATGGTGAAACCCCGTCTGTACTAAAAACATGAAATTAGCTGGCTGTGGTGCTGCATGCCTGTAATCCCAGCTACCAGGAGGCTGAGGCGGGAGAATTGCTTGAACCCGGGAGGTGGAGGTTGGAGGTGGAGGTGGCAATGAGCTGAGATCACGCCATTGCACTCCATCCTGGGTGATAGAGCCAGACTCCATCTCGAAAAAAAAAAAAAAAAGACATAAATAAATAAATAACCCCAAAGCCCAAATACGATACTGAAGTATGGAGCTGAGTGACAGTAGCTCCATTAACAAAAATAAAGAACTCAGGAAGGGAAGTGCACTTGAGAAAAATAATGATGTGTTTGGCTTGGGATATACAGAGTCTGAGATGCCAGTTGTACATACATAAAAGAGAAGAAGCCCATAAGCAACGGAGGAGGGCAAGCAATCCAATAGGAAGTTTGAAACAGCTTTGTCGGAATAGTTACTGTGGAGTGGTGCGAGCAAAAGCCAGAATTCAAGAGGCAGCAGGATGAAGGGAAAGTGGGAATGTATTGGTAACTAGAGTAGTGTCCTTTAAGAGTGGTGGATGGAAAGGGAGTGATGGAGAGGTTGTGATAGCTAGCGAAAGCTTGGGATCAAGGCAGCATGTATGTATTGGGCATGAGGGAGATTGAACCTAGTTAGAGGCTTCTGGAAAGGAATCAGTAGAAAAAGAGGTTGAAGTGATGTTTTTTGTTTTGTTTTTTAAAAAAAGAGAATTATGAATGCAGGGGGTTAGAAAACAAAAAACAAGGGGAAGAAATTGATGGAGGAAGCGTTCTAAGGTGAGAAAGCACAAAAATGGCGGGGGACTGAAAGGATGTGGGGCACCTCCACGTTTGAGAGACTGGAGGGGAAGAAGGAAGGACAGGAGAGGGTGTGGACTTGAGTGTTTGCAGGGGCCCTGGGAGGGAGAGAGATGTCAGGCTGGTTGGTCCCTGCTTTTCTATGAGGCAAGAAACAAAGTCATCTGCTGGAAGGGCCCCCCACCGCCAGTCAACAGGGAGCGGGCAGCAATGGCGAAGGTGTGGAACAGGCCTTGTGGAGGGAGAAGGTGCCAAACAAGGGCAGGCAAGGGAGCTGACCGCCAGCGTTGAGGACCCAGCTGAAACTAGGACCCACTCAGATATGTTGACACCAGTTGACATGGCTCATGCTTTCTGGAAACTTCAACAGCAGACCACAGACATTCAGGTGGCTAACGCATACTTTTGTTTGCTTGTTTTGAGCTTTCTGTTCTGTTAAGTGTCAACTTAGGGTTTTCTTGCTGGTTGGTTGGTTGGTTGGTTTTTCTAATTATGGTAAAATATATTGTATTAGTTTTCTAGGGCTGCCTTAAAATCCCACAAACTGGGTGGCTTACACAACAGAAATGTATTCTCTCACAGTTCAGGAGGCTGGAAGTCTGACATCAGGTGTCAACAGGGTTGGTTTCTCCTAAGGCCCCTCTCCTTGGCTTGCAGACACAACCTTCTAACTGTGCACGTGCATGTCTGGTATCTCCTTCCCTCTCCCTCTCTCTCCCTTTGTGTCCCAGTTTTTGTTTGTTTGTTTGTGTGTTTTGAGATGGAGTCTTGCTCTGTCGCCCAGGCTGAAGTGCAGTGGCATGATCTCAGCTCACTGCAACCTCCGCCTCCTGGGTTCAAGCGATTCTTCTGCCTCAGCCTCCCAAGTAGCTGGGATTACAGGTGCGCACCACCAGACCTGGCTAATTTTTGTATTTTTAGTAGAGACAGGGTTTCACCATGTTGGTCAGGCTGGTCTCGAACTTGACCTTGTGATCCGCCCACTTTGGCCTCCCAAAGTGCTGGGATTACAAGCATGAGCCACCGCACCTGGCCTAATTTCCTCTTCTTATAAGGATGCCAGTCATACTGAATTAGGGTTCTCACTAACTCCATTTTTACTTAATTACCTCTTTAAAGGCCCTGTCTCCAAATAGTCACATTCCGAGGTACTCAGGATTAGGGTGTCAGGATTCAAATTGGCAGGAAGTGGGACGCAATTCAGCTCATAACATACGCATGACATAAATGTACCATGTTAACAATTTCGAAGTGTATAGGTCAGCGTTTTTTGGGGGTTTTGTCTTTGCCTTTGTTTTTTATGTATTCATGATGGTTTGTGTGTCTTACTGCTTACTTGCTTTCTGTAACATGATGATATCCCAGGCAAAAATAAGATGTCTCAGGCTCATTCTGGCCACATACTAACAATCAGCATTCCTATAAAAAGCCCAGGTTCCAGTTAGTGAGGAATATTTATAGACTGCAATTTAGACACTGGGAGAGATCATGACTACTGGGTTGTCATTTCAATGGACAGTGCTATGAAATAAGTATTTTTGAAAACAACGAAAATAGTTTATATCGATATTTCTGATTCAAATTTAACCATCCAATTGTTTAATTAACCTTACTGATTTTTTACCTATATCACTTTTCTCTTACACTGAAAATATTAGTTCTAATAACATTAAGACAATTACCTATTTGCTTTATAATGTATGTAAAATAGCTTCAAAGTAATAATCTCAATATTACTATTTACAGCAAGACTATTGAGGAAATTGTGAGATTTCTTTGCATCTTTGTGTGCTTTAAAAAAATTTTCCACTAAGGATGTATAGTCAAAATACTATGGTCTTGGCAGGGCATGGTGGCTAACGCCTGTAATCCCAGTGCTTTGGGAGGCTGAGGCAAGAGCTTGAGCCTAGGAGTTTGAGACAAGCCTGGGCAACATAGGGAGACTGTCTCTACAAAAAAAAAAAAAAGTTTGTTTTGTTTTTTTGAGACAGTCTTGCTCTGTCGCCCAGGCTGGAGTGTAGTCGTGCAATCTCGGATCACTGCAACCTCCACCTCCTGGGCTCAAGCGATTCTCATGCCTTAACCTCCTGAGTAGTTGAGACTACATACTTGGCTAATTTTTGTTCTTTTAGTAGAGACAGGGTTCCACCATGTTGGCCAGGCTGATCTCGAACGCCTGACCTCAAGTGATCCACCTGTCTCAGCCTCCCAAAGTGCTGGGATTACAGGTATGAGCTACAGCCCCTAGCCAACAACAAAAAAATTTTTTTAAGTAGCCAGGCATGGCGGGATGCACCTGTAGTCGCAGCTACTCAGGAGGCTGAGTCAGGAGGATTGCTTGAGCTCAGGAGTTTGGGGCTGCAGTGAGCCGTAATCGTACCACTACACTCCAGCCTGGGTAACAGAGCAAGACCCTGTGTCAAGAAAAAAAACAAAAAAGAAAAAACTGTGGTCTAAAGACACTTGAAATAATCTTTTTCTCTTTGTTATAATACTAACTTGAGATACACTTAAGCTCATTATTCCTGTTGTGTTAAAAAATGTGTATTGCCCACTTAAGTGTCTGCATACTACTGTGGAAAGTCATGGAATTTTTTTAGTGTAATTTTTGAATTATTTTGGATTTTCTTCTTTTTTTCTTTCTTTTTACTTTCCTGTGTTATTTTAGGAGGGATAATTACTTTATTGGTTGTTTAGTATTTTTTGAGAGACAAGGTCTCACTCTACCCAGGCTGGAGTGCAGTGGTGCAATCACAGTTCACTGCAGCCTTGAACTCTTGGCCTCAAGCAATCCTCCTCCCACCTCAGACTCCTGAGTAGCTGGGACTACAAGCACATGCCAGCTAATTTTTCTCTTTCTTCCTTCCTTCCTTCCTCCCTCCCTCCTTCCCTCCCTCCCTCCTACCTTCCCCTCCCCTCCTTTCTTTCTTTCCTTTTTTTTTTTTTTTTTTTTTTTAAGATACAGGGTCTTCTCATGTTGCCCAGGCTGATCTCAAACAATCCTCCTGCCCCGCCTCAGCCTCCCAGAGTACTGGGATTACAGGTTTGAGCCACCATGTCCATTCCATCTCTACCTTTTAATTGGGATATGTACACTGTTTCCATTTAATTGATGATTGATATGGTTGGCTTTAAATTTATCATCTTTTCTTTTTTTGAGACAGAGTTTTGCTCTTGTTGGCCAGGCTGCAGTGCAATGGCGCAATCTCGACTCACTGCAACCTCTAGCTCCCGGATTCAAGCGCTTCTCCTGCCTCAGCCTCCCAATTAGTTAGGATTACAGGCACGCACTACCATGCCCGGCTAATTTTTGTATTTTTAGTAGAGGCGGTGTTTCACCATGTTGGTCAGTCTGGTCTCAAACTCCTGACCTCAGGTGATCCACCCATCTTAGCCTCCCAAGTGCTGGGCTTATAGGCGTGAGCCACCACGCCAAGCCTAATTTTTTGTATTTTTAGTAGAGATAGGGTTTTGCCGTGTTGGCCAGACTGGTCTCGAACTCCTGACCTCAGGTGATCCGCCTGCCTTGGCCTCCCAGTGCTGAGATTACAGGCGTGAGCCACTGTGCCCAGCCTAAATTTATCATCTTACAAGTTGTTTTCTTTTTGTTCCATGTGTTTCTTGTTCCTTTTCTCCATTTGCTTGTTTTCTTTGGGACTGAGGGTTTATTTTTCTTTTACAATTCCTCGTTATCTCTACTATTGGCTTATTAGCTAAACCTCTTTGTGTATTTATTTATTTATTTTTTTAGTGGTTGCTCTAGATTTTACAAATGTACACTTTTATCACAATCTCCTTTCATTTGATATCACTTCACATTTAATATAAGAACTTAACTGTAATATAAATCAATTTCTGCCAACCTGTCCCTTCTGCTATTTTTGTCATAGGTTCTTTTCTACATATGTTATAAATGCCACAGTACATTAGCCTATTTTCTCTAACAGCGATTATATTTGACTAATTTTAAAATGAGGGTAGCATATGAAAAGATGCTCATTATTTGTCATCAGAGAATTGCAAATTTAAACCACAGTGGGATACCACTACATACCTATTAGAATGACTAAACTCCAGCCGGGCACGATGGCTCATGCCTATAATCCCAGCACTTTGGGAGGCTGAGGTGGGTGGATCACGAGGTCGGGAGATCCAGACCAGCCTGGGCCAACATGGTGAAACCCCATCTCTACTACAAATACAAAAATTAGCCAGGCGTGGTGGCATGTGCCTGTAGTCCCAGCTACTCAGGAGGCTGAGGCAGGAGAATTGCTTGAACCCAGGAGTTGGAGGTTGCAGAGAGCTGAGATCCTGCCACTGCACTTCAGCCTGGGAGACAGAGCAAGACTCTGTCTCAAAAAAAAAAAAAAGAATGATTAAAATCCAAAAAACTAACAATACTAATTGCTGGTAAGGACAACAAGCAACAGGAGCTCTTATTCATTACTGATGCGAATGTAAAATGGTACAGCCACTTTAGAAAACTGGCAGTTTCTTACAAATCTAAACTTAGTCTTAACATATGATCCAGCAAACGCACTGCTAGGTATTTACCAAACTAATTTTAACATTTAAGTCCTCTCAGAAACCTACATGTGATTGTTTATAGCCACTTTATTTTTATTTTTTTGAGACAGAGTCTCACTCTGTTACCCAGGCTGGAGTGCAGTGGTGTGATCTCGGCTCACTGCATCCTCCACCTCCCAGGTTCAAGTGATTCTTCTGCCTCAGCCTCCGGAGTAGCTAGGACTACAGGCATGCACCACAACACCTGGCTAATTTGTGTATTTTTAGTAGAGATGGGGTTTCTCCATGTTGGCCAGGCTGGTCTCGAACTCCTGACCTCAGGTTATCTGCCCGCCTTGGCCTCCCAAAGTGCTGGGATTACAGGCATGAGCCACTACGCCTGCCCTGGATGCACCTTTTTAAATTGTAGGTTTTAGTTTACATAATAATTGTACATATTTTATGGGGTACACGATGATGTTTCAACATATAATGTATAATGATGAGATCTGGGTAATTAGCATATCCATCATCTCAAACATTTATCATTTCTTTGTGTTAGGAACCTTCAATATTCTCCTTCTACCTATTTGAAACTATATATTATTGTTAACTGTATTGTACTCAATATGTATATTGAAACTGTATATTACTGTTAACTGTAGTCATCCTACAGTATTAACTGTAGGGCATTCTAAGTGCACTAGAACTTAATTCTCTTATCTAGCTGCAGTTTTGTATGCTGAGCTTGCAGTGTCTTACAGTGCCAGAAAGAAGGAAGTACTCAGGAAGAACACACACACACACACACACACACACACACACACACACCCCACACACACACCCGATGTGGTTATTACAAAGGGACATGGGAGCCAACTCAAAGACCTCCCAGTGGCCAAAGCTGGAACAATGTGGGGCAATAAAAATAGATGACGTGGCCAGGCACAGTGGCTCACACCTATAATCCTAGCATTTTGGGAGGCTAAGGAGGGAGAATCTCTTTAGCCCAGGAGTTCAAGACCAGCCTGGGCAACATAGGGAGAACCCATCTCTTAAAAAAATTAAAAATTATCTCATCTGAAGGCTCTAGGAGATAAGAAAAATAATAATAAATTAAAATTAAAATTAATTTAAAAATTGGCCAGGCATGGTGGCCCATGTCTGTGGTCCCAGCTACTTGGGAGGCTGAGACAGGAGGATCACTTGAGCCTGGGAAGTTGAAGCTACAGTGAGCTATGATCCCACCACTGCACCCCAGCGTGGGTGATAGAGAGTGAAACTCTGTCTCAAAAAAGAAAAAAATAGATGAAGTGGTATTGGATTGTAATTCAAAGTATAAAATAGATATCCATGAGTTCATAGTGATATAAACAAATGAATGAATGAGGAAAGACAAAGCTCCTATGCAGAATTCTAAATAATGTATGTAGATACTCTGCCTTCAAGGAGATGGAGTATAACTCCCCTGTCCTTAAGTGTGGGCTGAGCATAGTGACTTTCTTCCAAAAAATACAATTTGTAAAGGGACTGAGGAAAGAGTAATTTTACAGACTGTCCGAGCCAGGCGACTGAGGTTAACATCAGCAGTGATCATTCATATTGAAAGTAGGTACCCTTGATATGATGTTATGTGAATGGTACTTGACTTCTATGGTTCTAAAAAACCCATCACCCAGTCTAATCATAATTTTCTCATGAGACAAATTCCAATTGGGGGACATTCCACAGAATACCTTATCGGTACCCCTCAAAACTGTCAAGGTCATCAAAAATAAGGAAAGTCCAAGGAACTGTTGCAGCCAAGAGGAACCCAAGTAGATGTGTTGGATAAATGTCATATGGTGTCCTGGACGGGATCTTGAGACAAAAAAGAAGGACGTTAGGTAAAAACTAAGGACTTTTGAATATGGTGTGGGCTTTATTTATTTATTTATTTATTTATTTATTTATTGAGACAGGGTCTCACTCTGTTGCCCAGGCTGGACTTTTGAATAAGGTGTGGGATTTATTTATTTATTTATTTATTTATTTATTTATTTATTTATTTATTTATTGAGACAGGGTCTCACTCTGTTGCCCAGGCTGGAGTGCAGTGGCACGATCACGGCTCACTACAGTTTGACCTCCTCAGGCTCAGGTGATCCTCCTACCTCAGCCTCCCAAGTAGCTGGGACTACAGGCATGTGCCACCATGCCTGACAAATTTTTGTATTTTTTGTAGATAACGGGGTTTTGCTATGTTGCCCAGGCTTGTCTTGAAACTTCTGAGCTCAAGCAATCCACCCACCTTGGTCTCCCAAAGTGCTGGGATTACAGGCATGAACCACTGCACCCGGCCCTGAAATGTGGACTATAGTTAGTAATAATGTATCAAGACTTTTGTTTTTCAGTCTGGCATGTATCTTAGAAGTCATCTGTCCCATTCATACAAGAAAAAAGCTGAACGAACTGAAAATTAATAACTCTTCTTAGACCCATCAGAGAACTGAGGTCACAGGGCAAACTACTGCCCCCAACACTGGAGGGGCAGACTGGAAAATACAGAGAAACAGAGGGGTGTGTGTGTGTGTGTGTGTGTGTGTATGTGTGCATGTGTGTGTGATGGAGTCTTGCTGTGTCACCCAGTCTGGAGTGCAGTGACTCAATCTCAGCTCACTGCAGCCTCCGCCTCCCAGGTTCAAGCGATTCTTCTGCCTCAACCTCCCAAGTACAGGTGAACTGCCACCACACCTGGCTAATTTTTGTATTTTAAGTAGAGATGAGGTTTCACCATGTTGGCCAGGCTGGTCTCAAACTCCTGACCTCAGGTGATCTGCCTGCCTCAGCCTCCCAAAGTGCTAGTATTACAGACATGAGCCACCACGCCCAGTCAGAGAATCAGAATTCTTTTTTTTTTTTTTTTTTGAGGTGGAATTTTGCTCTTGTTGCCCAGGCTGGAGTGCAATGGTGTGATCTCGGCTCACTACAACCTCCACCTCCCGGGTTCAAGTGATTTTCCTGCCTCAGCCTCCCTAGTAGCTGGGATTACAGGCATGTGCCACCACGCCCGGCTAATTTTTGTATTTTTAATAGAGACAGGGTTTCACCATGTTGGTCAGGCTGGTTTAGAACTCCTGACCTCAGGTGATCCACCTGCCTTGGCCTCTCAAAGTGCTGAGATTACAGGCCTGAGCCACCACGCCCGGCCAAGAATCAGAATTTACCGGAGCAGAAACCTCTGCAGCCTGGGATAGGAGAACCTCAACTGTAATTGCAGGATTGCTAGAGGCTCAGCATGGACAAGTTGTTTGTGAGTTTAAAACTCTGAAGGAGCCCAGTCTCAATGGAGCACCCACACTTTTGTGAGTTTTACCTCTACCCCGTTCTCACAGTGAAAATACGACAAAAATCCTCTCATGCTTCTGTCAGGGGAAAGGGGGAAAGTAGCCATTTAGAAATACACCTAGAGCATTCTCTTCTTCCTAACAAGAGCAGCCCTCAAGGGAAACTATTTCATCATAGCCTAACTGACAGGTTTTACCACAGCCTAACTGGGCTGGGGAAAGGAAAATATCCAACTCTGACCTCTTCTAGCCTTCTTGTCTCATCTAAAGGGGGTAGTGGAGACTGAGAGGCACTTATGAAGATCACAGCTCAAGGGCACAGGCTCACTGAAAGACTGAGACCTGCGGGGCATGGTGGCTCATGCCTGTAATCCCAGCACTTTGGGAGGCTAAGGCAAGCGGATCACCTGAGGTCGGGAGTTCAAGACCAGCCTGACCAACATGGAGAAAGCCCATCTCTACTAAAAATACAAAATTAGCCGGGCGTGGTGGTGCATGCCTGTCATCCCAGCTACTTGGGAGGCTGAGGCAGAAGAATTGCTTGAACCCAGGAGGCAGAGGTTGCCATGAGCCGAGATCGCACCATTGCACTCCAGCCTAGGCAACAAGAGTGAAATTTCACACCGTCTCAAAAAAAAAAAAAAAAAAAAAAAAAAAGACTGAGACCTACTCGTAGGACTTTAGAATGCTTCCCCTTTCCTACAACTCAGGCATCTGAACCAGACTCAGATATGGCAGGGATGCTGGAATGATCAGACCAGGAATTTAACAACTATGACTAATATGCTAAGGGTGCTAATGAAAAAGGTAGGCAACATGCAAAAACAGATGGGTAATGTAAGCAGAGAGATGGACATTCCAAGAATGAATAAAAAAATGCTAGAAATAAAAAACATTGTAACAAAAATGAAGAATGTCTTTAATGGGCTTATTATACACTGGATACAGCTGAGGAAAAAAATCAGTGAGCTTGAAGATATGTCAATAGAAACCCCCAAAACTGAAATGTGGAGAAAAAAGACTGGGCCGGGCAGTGGCTCATGCCTGTGACCCCACAACTTTGGGAGGTCGAGACCAGCCTGGGCAATATGGCAATACCCCGTCTTTACAAAAACAAACAAACAAAAATTAGCCAGGCATGGTGGTGCACACCTATAGTCTCAGCTACTTGGGCGGGTGAGATGGAAGGATGGCTTGAGCTTGGGAGGCAGAGGTTGCAGTGAGCTGAGATCGCACCATTGCACTCCACTGCACTCCAGCCTGGGTAACGGAGCCAGACCTTGTCTCAAAAAAAAAAAAAGAAAAAAAGAAAAAGAGACTGAAAAGAATAACAGAATATCCAAGAACTTAGGGACAATTACACAAGGTATAAATACACATAATGGGAATACCAGAAAAAGAAGAAAGGAACAGAAGAAATATTTGAAGCAATAATGACTGAGAATTTCCCAAGATAAATGTATCAACAGTACCTTTCTTTTGGCTCTTCTCCAGCTAAAGATAGGCCAGAAGTGCTGGGGAGTTACACCTCCAGAAATAGTCCTCAGTCAACTGTCAGATGGGCGTTGAAGGATAACGACCCCAGCTTCTTTCCTCCGTAGTTGGGACGATGTGAAGTGAGTTCTCCACTGTCTCCCCAAGTTCTTCAGCAGGATCCAGCCTCGACACCCACAACAGAACCTTGCCCTATTGCACACCCTCTGTTGGCTTAACTTCCCTTCCCCGTCTCGCTTTCCTATTCCCAACAGAGGTTCCCAAGATCACTTCCCAAATAAAATATTGCATGAAAATTATTGCCCACAGGATTGCTTCTGGGGGAATCCAACCCAGTCTAACAAGATATGTTCATTAAGATTTATTACCTTTATAATAGAGAAAGATAGATAGGGAAAAAATAATCACATCTATAAGGTGTTTTCAAGCATGAACCTAAAAATAAGATTTTAGCCAGACTCTAGTGTATTCATATTATCTGAGTAACCAGGCATTGATGAATTTGGACAGCAGGGAATGGAAAGGATTTCTTAGCTAAATGAGTTAGAGTACTTTAAGTTGCATATTTGATATTTTGGTACCAGGCCCGCTGTAATGCAAAAGTTGGATAGGAAAACTTGCATTCTGGGTATAGTCTCATTATCAACCATGTGCCATGTTTTTCTTACCTAAAGAGTAGAGAAAATAAAAGTGTCCCCTTTATGTAAATAAGACTATCAAGAGTGTAAACTGCTTCAAGGTGCTTGGAATTTAATCTATATTATTATGCTATTTTTTGAACAGCTAAGTGAAATTTACTTTGTATTTTTATCTGACATATATTCACAGTGCTAAGTATTTTAGAGATGACCATAAATGCTGGGTAAATAATAAACTATTTTCAAATTATAGAGAAAGTGACTAAAACTCTGAATGAGAAAAATAATGTATTTTACTTTAAAATACATTAATGTGGAGGAAGAAAGATTAGAAGGAAATGTATCAAAATTATAAAGCAATTTATGTTTAAATGGATGGGAGAGGTTAGGGGTTTTATTTGTTTCTAGTTTCCGAAATTTTGTTTGTATGATTATATTATTTTCATAAGGAATACAGTATTTTAGAAGAATGATTTGTAGAAACAAATGATAGCAGATTTCATCAAAGGAAAGTTACTCTAGGCCAGGCACAGTGGCTCGCACCTGTAATCCCAGCACTTTGGGAGGCCGAAGCGGGCGGATCACTTGAGGACAGTAAAGACCAGCCTGGCCAATACAGCAAAACCCGTCTCTACTAAAACATACAAACATTTAGCTGGACATGGTGGTGCATGCCCATAATCCCAGCTACTTGGGAGGCTGAAGCATGAGAATCTCTTGAACGCAGGAGGTGAAGGTTGCAGTGAGCTGAGATGGCGTCACTGCACTCCAGCCTGGATGACAAAGCAAGACCCTCTCTACAAGGAAAAAAAAAAAAAAAAGGAAAGCTACTCTAATATTCTGCTGTCCTCTTGTTTACATTTGACATTTTCACAATAAGAAAAGACTGGCCGGGCGCGGTGACTCATGCCTGTAATCCCAGCACTTTGGGAGGCCAAGGCGGGTGGATCATGAGGTCAGGAGTTCAAGAACAGCCTGGCCAGAATGGTGAAACCCTGTCTCTACTAAAAACACAAAGATTAGCCCGGCGTGGTGGCGGGTGCCTGTAATCCCAGTTACTCAGGAGCCTCAGGCAGAGAAATGCTTGAACCTGGGAGGCGCAGCTTGCAGTGAGCCGAGATGGCGCCACTGCACTCCAGCCTGGGCGACAGAGCGAGACTCCATCTCAAAAAATATGTATAAAAATAAATTAAAAGAAGATTCAGAAAACCACTGTGCATAATTTTGGCAGCCACTGGATTATTAAATAGGGTCTCCTCATTGATTTTTAAGTATGTATTTCTAATAAATTTTTTTTTTTTTTTTTTTGAGACGGGGTCTCACACTGTCGCCCAGGCTGGAATGCAGTGATGCGATCTCGGCTCACTGCAAGCTCCGCCTCCTGGGTTCACGCCATTCTCCTGCCTCAGCCTCCCAAGTAGCTGGGACTACAGGCGCCTGCCAGCATGCCTGGCTAATTTTTTTGTATTTTTAGTAGAGACGGGGTTTGACCATGTTAGCCAGGATGGTCTTGATCTCCTGACCTCATGATCCGCCCGCCTCGGCCTCCGAAAGTGCTGGGATTACAGGCGTGAGCCACTGCTCCCCGCCTCTAATAAATTTCTTAAATGACATTTAACATCCGCCTTAAATTTCTTAAATGACATCCGCCTCCCGGGTTCAAGTACACAAATGAGAAGTGTAGATGTCAATGAAGTTTCAGTTAACTCACCTGTGTAAACTTCCACCCAGGAGAACTATTAGTAGTATGTCACCAGCACCCCAGATTCCCCCCTCAACACCTGACTTCTAACACCATATATTAGTTTTGCTTGCTTTTGAAGCTTATATAAACAGAAATTTACGGTATGAATTATTTTGTACCCTGCTCCTTTTGTTTAACATAGTTTGTGAGAGTAACCATATCCTATGTAGCTGTTAGTCATTTGTACAATATACCATAATTTATCTAGTCTATGATTCTGGACATTGAAGGTGTTTCTGGTTTGGTATTATTCATGAAGAATGCCTGTATATTCTTGTGTATGTCTCTGGATGCACATAAATGTGCAGTTCTGTTGGGTGAATACCCAGCAGTGGAAGTGCTTGATTATCAGCTATGTGTATGTTCAGTTTAGTAAATATTTCCAGTTTTCTAAGGAGTTTGCACCAGTTTCCACTCCCATGAGCAGTGTGTGAAAGTTGTCATTGGTCCACATTTTTTTGCCAACACTTGACATTGTCAGTCTTTCTAAATATAGCCATGCTGGTAGGTGGGTGTGGTATCTCATGGTAGTTTCAATGTGCATTTCCTTGTTAACTAAAGAGGTTAAACACCTTTCACATCCTTACTATTTGTATAATTTCTCTTTTTTGGGGGGGGTGGGGATGGAGTCTTGCTCTGTCACCTAGGTTGGAGTGCGGTGGTGTGATCTCAGCTCGCTGCAATCTCCACCTCCTGGGTTCAAGGATTCTCCTGCCTCAGCCCCTGCAAGTAGCTGAGGCTACAGGCACTCTCCACCACACCTGGCTAATTTTTGTATTTTTAGTAGCGATGGGGCTTCACCATGTTCGTTGGCCAGGCTGGTCTTGAACTCCTGACCTCAGGTGATCTGCCCGCCTAGGCCTCCCTCCCAAAGTGCTGGGATTACAGGCGAGAGCCACCATGCCCAGCCTCCTTTAAGGGACTTCTAGCCTGGGAAGGGAGCCAGACATTTACACAGGGAAAGGTGATCAGCAGCACTGACTGGCAGGAACTCTTAATGCCAAATGTAGTAAACACGAGGCCAGAGGCAAGAAGGCTTCATTCTTCCCTGGAGTAGTCAGAAGGATTCACAGAGAAAAGGGGACTGGGGGTGTGTGTGGGGGGTTTTTTTTTTTTTTTTTTTTTTTTGTTTGTTTGTTTGAGACTGAGTCTCATTCTGTCACCAGGCTGGGAGTGCAGTGGCACTATCTCGGCTCACTGCAACTTCCACCTCCCAGGTTCCAGCAATTCTCTGTCTCAGCCTCCTGAGTAGCTGGGATTACAGGCTCCTGCCACCACACCCGGCTAATTTTTGTATTTTTAATAGAGACGGGGTTTCACCATCTTGGCAAGGCTGGTCTTGAACTCCTGACCTCATGATCCACCCCCTCGGCCTCCCTAGGGGCTGGGATTACAGGCATGAGCCACCGTGCCCAGCCCTGTTTTTGTGTTTTTTGTCTTATTTTAGTAGATAGTACATTGACACATTGACATGGTCCAACATTCAAAAGGTACAAAAGGGCATACTGTGAAAAGCCTTCCTTCCAACCTAGTCCCCTGAGCCTCTCAGTTCAAGACTGAAGTTTGATGGATCTATAGGATTTGCACCATAAACTGGGCTCAGTGCCCTGCTCCTATAATCCTAGCTACCCAGGAGGCTGAGGTGGCAGGATCACTTGAGCCCAGGAGTTAGAATCTAGCCTGGGCAACACAGCAAGACCCTGTCTCTAAAGACAAAAACAAACGAACATAAAAAGACACCTGAGGCTAGAGTCTTGGGGTAGGGAGTAAGGCACTGGTGGTGAATGTCATTTAAGTCAACGTTATGAGTGAGAATTTGGAGGACCAGGCTCAGGTCCTGCTGCCAATGGCCCAAGCCATGGAGGATTTCTGGTGAAACTGAGGGAACTGTTAGTTTCAAATAGCCCCAGTCTGGGTGAGCACAGGGTCAGTGAACACACAGAGAGGCCATCCTGTGCTGTGCCATAGACTCCAGGGGAACAGCACTCTCTGATCCAGTAAGAGTAGTATCATTTTACTGAAAGCTTTGTTTTTAAAATTTACTTATTTATGGATTTATTTACTTTTTAAAATACATATTTTATTTTACTTTATTTCTAAAAATAAATATCCATAAATTTTTTTTTTGTAAATTTTAGAGTTATAGAAAAGTTATAAAGATAGTACAGAGTTCCCAGATCCACAGCCAGCTTCCCGTTATTAGCGCATTTTGCGTAAATCTTAACCAGTACATATTAACATCATATGGGAGCAGTAAGAGCCGTGGACAAAACCCCTCATACATGCGGTTAAAGAAGGAAGTGGCTTTATTTGGCCGGGAGTGTTGGCAGACTTGTGTCTTAAGAACTGAGCTCCCTGAAGAAAGAGTTCCTGGCCCTTTTAAGGGCTCATAATTCTAAGGGGTCCACGTGACAGTGTCGTGATAGACTGAGCAAGCATGGGGTATGTGACTAAGTTGGGGTAAGCAAGGCAAGTATTTCTCTATTCCATTGTCTGTGATCTATAGATAGCACAAGCGATTAGGATGGGGGTTAATCTTTAACCTACAGGCCTGCCTAGTGGCACCGATCAGTCTGTTATTTTTCAGTTTTTACTTCCTCCTTTTCTTTGGAGACAGGAGGCAGTAAGAGAAATGGCCTCTCTCCTCATTCCCCCCTTTGAGAACCTCACTCACTAGTGGGAGTTCTCACTCTCATCCTCACTATCCAGGTCTTCCTGCGAGACAGATCAATAGTGATTCATGTAATACATTTGTGCTGAAGTTTTCTGATGAACCAAGGTGGCAACAAAACTTCTTAGTAGTTGGGGAACTATGGGTGGCAAACAAGGGAGCACTAGGCAGGTTCCTAACACTACTACTATACCTATTGTAAGAGTTTTAAATCCTCCTAGAGCTGGAAACCACTTTCCAAATAGGGATCCAGGATCAAACCCATGCCAAACCTGCATGGGCACATGTGCCCACTTTGCTATGTCTCTAACTATATTTTCGACTACTTGTCCTTAATCGTCTATTTGCAGACAGCAATTGGTCAAGTTGAATTTTCCACAGACTTCTCCCTCAGCTGCCAGCAAATAGTCTAAGGCTAATCTATTCTGATAGATCGCATTTCTCGTTTGGGTTTCCTGCCGGGCTAAAATAGTCAAAGCTCTGCCAGTTTCGTTAGTGATTATTTCTAAAATAGCCTGTAACCATATGATCCAGTTAAGCATGTAGTTGGGGGTTCGGTATCCCCACGAGCTGTCTTGTGCCCATGTGGCAGACCCATAGTACTGTATGATTCTTTCAGGGGGACACTCATCATCTTTCCAATTACCTATGGCTATGCTTCTTTTTTCTCGGGAGGTATAGGAAGGGAAACCTAGAAGCTCACCTGTCTTTCCAGGTAACAGGAAAAAGGATGGCTTAATGGTACCAATGACACAACTACCTGACCAATGGACAGGGTAGGCTCTGTGCCCACATATCCAATACAGTCCAGTGGGAGCCATCCACTCCCGATGAAATTCTGAATGGGCCTAAAAAGTTTGCAACTTAGGAAACTTACTGAATGGGTTCTTTTCAGTATGGGTTTAAGCCCCACCAGATGATTGTCTTTGCTGTGCTGTTATACAGCTTTTGTCCTAGGCAACTGAGCTTTCCTACAGGGACAGTGAAGTTTTTCCTCCTCTAGCTATGCAATATTGTCCAATAATGGAAGTTTTTAAGACCCAGAAGTTGCTAGTTTGGGCCTTCTGGACTGGAATTGTGTCAGGAACTGGATCAGGAGGCACCAACTCTCAGGCTTCCCAAGGCCATCCGTATCCTATAGTGGTCCCCCCACATACATAACAGGAAGTAACATTGAGGGAATGAGCTATATTTTCTGCCAACAGGAGAAACAAGTTCTTCATCTTTTTTGGAAGCTCGGGTGCTGGCAGATTCAGCTCATCATAAAAGGTCTGAAACACTGGTTTGGGAGAGCGCCTGTGGACCTCCCCTTGGACTGAAATATTTACTCGGGAATCCAGTCCACTTCCATCAATTCCTAGAGTTACATACTCTCCTGTTTTCCAACAGGGATCAAGGGGATTGGTAATTAGCAATTCTAATGGGTTACAGTGACCACTAGTGCAGGAAGAGTTACTCCTTCCTTTTTGAAGGCAGACAGGGTCCTTCCCTTCTCATCTTTTTTTCCAGGTGGCCTAAATGACACAGGATCAGTAACTACATTCATCACTACATTCAGTCCCAATTCATGACAAACATACTTATTTTCTGCTATATAGCCCCTTTCCCAATCTAGAGAGCCACATCTTATTCTATTTCCACACAAGTCACTGTTGATTGCCACACAGGGTCAAATTTTAAGATAATTTGTTTGGGAACTCCTTTCTCTTCTGTTCTAGTTATTATTTTGCTCATATCAGCTTTTTCCCGGCTGCCAGTCCTCAATCTTATTTCAAAAACGGTAGTCATAGGGGGCTCAGATGGGTTATAGGACACATCAGGCTGGTCACTTACTGGGCTACATACCTTGTATAGAGTAGCATTATACAAACAAGTTCCTTTTAGAGTCCCAGTACACTCATAATAACTATAAAATAATAGGACTGCAGCAACCTTTTGTCCTACCTAAGTGACTTAATGTATACACTGGGAACAGTCCTCAGTCTGAGGAAGGTCAGTTGAAGTCCTTACTGTACAAGTCCAAAATTTAAGGAAAATGAGTCCTGCAGTGAGTTTCCTCATGCTTCGGCCATGAGTGGACCAGTCGGCTTCCGGGTGTGACTGGAGCAGGGCTTGTCGACTTCTTCAGAGTCACTTTGCAGGGGTTGTCTAGGCTTGGTCTCACCTACCAGGTCTCCGGTGCTGCAGGTTTTACGCAGCTGTGGTGGACCCAGGCTGGGATTCCCTCTACCTTCACAGCTGTGGGAGTGGTCAAGATGACAGTCTGGGGTCCTTTCCACCGTGGCTGCAAGGGGGCTACGTTCCAGTCTTTGATCCACACTCATCACCTTTGCTGTCTTCTGTACCAAGTCAGCCACAAACGCCGGCCCATTTTCTGAGCCGATCCATAAGGGCAGTCCAAACCTAGCGATGAGATCTCGGAGAAGAACACGAGCTTTCTTGGTTCGTGTTGGATAGGCCTCCACCCACCCAGAGTATGTACACACTGGAACTAGCAAATACTTGTTACTGCCACATTTGGGCATCTTGGTGAAGTCTATATTGAGATCTTCAAAGGGGGCTTCTCCATAAGCTTGTATGCCAGACAGGACGGTTGGACCTTGCCTAGCATTGTGCTGTCAGCAGGTGACACACTGCTACGCCACCGTTTTGGCAAGGGCTGACAGATGTGAGACATAGAAGTACTGGCCTAACAAATTTTCAAGTGACTCTTGGCCTAGGTGGGTGGTCTCATGCACAGCCAGTACAACTGCGGCTCCTAGCAGCAGTGGCATGGCTATTCTTCCGTCTGATAACCGGATCCAGCCCTCTTCTATCACCTGCCCTCCTTCTGTCTGGAGAAAGTCCTTCTCTTCTTTAGAATAAGTAGGTACAGCCAGGTGCGGTGGCTCACACCTGTAATCCCAGCACTTTGGGAGGCCGAGGCAGGTGAATCACAAGGGCAGGAGATCGAGACCATCCAGTGACACCCCGTCTCTACTAAAAATACAAAAAATTAGCCAGGTGTGGTGGCAGGCACCTGTAGTCCCACCTACTTGGGAGGCTGAGGCAGTAGAATGGCGTGAACCTGAGAGGCGGAACTTGCAGTGAGTTGAGATCATGCCACTGCACTCCAGCCTGGGCGACAGAGCGAGACTCTGTCTCAAAAAAAAAAAAAAAAGAAGAAGTAGGTACAAGGTCAGGTGCTTGAGGGAGCAGGGGGGCTGTGACTGATGCCCGGCAGGGGGTGGATATTGCTTTTCGAGCTTCTAAGTCTCCTCTGTAGTTCCCTAAGGCAATCGAGGTGGAAGCTCGCTGGTGTCCTCTGCAGTGCATGACTGCCACCTTTTGGGGCTTCCACAGTGCCTCTAATAATTGCAGGATCTCTTGTTGATACTTTATGTCTTTTCCCCCAGAGTTCAACAGGCCTTTTTCCTTGAATAATGCACCATGTACTTAGAGGGTTAAGAAGGCATACCGAGAGTCAGTGTAAATGTTTACAGTCTTACCTTCACTCAGCTCTAAGGCCCAAATTAAAGCAATGAGTTCGGCCTTCTGGGCTGAAGTGCCCTGGGGCAATGATTTGGCTTCAATGACAGCATCCAGGATTACCACCGCATATCCCGCACACCTCTCTCCTTGTGGGTTGATGAAGCTGCTCCCGTCCACGTACAGCTCCCAGTCTACTGATGTCCAAAGATGGTCTCGGAGGTCGGGCCTGCTAGAATAAACTGAGTCCAACACCTCTACACAGTTATGTTCAACTGGGCTCTCTGATACCAGGAGCAAAGTGGTGGGGTTTGGGGTGTTGCAAACTTCAATGGTTATGTGGAGATTCTCACAGAGCAAGCTTTGGTACCTAGTTAGTCTAGCATTTGTTAGCCAATGATGTCCTTAGACGTTCATTAGTGGTACCACAGCATGGGGGGCCTTTATGTTTAGGTTTTGCCCAAGAGTTAGCTTATCTGCTTCTTGTGCTAGCAGGGCTGTTTCTGCTAAGGCCCTCAAACATGGGGGCCAACCCTTAGAAATCCCATCTAGTTGTTTAGAGAGGTAGGCCACTGGCCTCAGCCAGGGCCCCACAGTCTGGGTCAAAACTCCAACCGCTATTTTTTCTCTCTCTGACACATATAGTGTAAAAGGTTTTGTCAGGTCAGGTAGCCCCAGGGCTGGAGCCGACATGAGTTTTTTTTTTTTTTTTTTTAAACTCATGAAAAATTCGTTGCTGTTGGTTGTAATAGATGTAGTTTATCCAATCTACATTTTTATTAACTGTCACCCACCAAAATATTGACTCAAATCCTGCAACTATTTGATTTCAGGCTTTAAACTTATCTGATATTCCCCATGGGACTCCAATTGCATCTAAATAGATGTGAGAGTCAAAAGACCTATAAGGGGCTTCTCTCGCTCTACGATGTCTTATTTTTCCTCCCTCTGTTTGATGAAATGCCAGGGTGAAAGGGATAGCCAATTGGACTAAAGCACAAGTGCCACTCCAGTTACTCGGCAGAGTGTCCAATAAAGGTCCACTACGATACCACCGCATATCCGCTTGGGGACGAACAAGGGCTGACTGACTGATAAGCTTTTGAAAATTCTTAAGCTCACTGCATCCCTTCAGGTCTCCAAGGAATGCTAAGTTTCCTCCCTGTCATGAGAGACATGAAGTGAACTTAGTGTTGGGAGACAGAAGCTGGGTGGCCCTCAGGGGCTGACCCACAGGGTGCTGAACTTCAGGACATAGCAGAGAGAGAGCTTGGCACGACTTATTACTCCAGGCTGTAGAATCCTGGAAAAGAGATACCATGCAGTCCACGCCTGGTCGACTGGAGGACCACTTTAGTGGAAAGGGGACAATCTGGGTCTCTGGTCTGCCATGTGCACAAGCATAACAATTGCTTTTGTTTAACATGCAGATGGAATATTTGATCTATTCCAACCAAGCATTTGCATCTTGTTATCCTGTCTTAATTGCTAAAGTTTGTTTTGTCTTTAACTTCTATGATCCTCTAGTAAAATGAATGTATGGTTTTAGGAAATTACAAAAACCGGTTGGGGCAGTCCATCCTTGCTCTTTAGTGGCCCACAGAATGTTGGACCAACTATGGCATAAAAACTCTACATCAGGGGACAAGACTCCTGGTTGACTCTGGGGTCTTTATCAAAATCTCCCCAGATTAAATGGTCCCAATTTACTAATGCCCAGTCTGAGGAGAGTCAGGAGGGGCAGAGTTACTTTTCTGAAGTAGAGAGCTGTCTTTGATTTGGCAAGTCCCCACAGGGTATAACAAGGCAAGCATTAAATGTAATAGTTTGAGGTGAAATTGATTTAGTTTTGTTAATAACTAGATGGTCAGCAACAGAGCAAGGACAGAAGTAATAGAATAGATGAAAGAGTTAAATTTCTCTTAGCTTCAGTTTGGTAGGATTTTCCCTTGGGACTATGGCCCACAACTCTGGAGGGGGTGGTACTTTCTTGACTTGGTTGTGATGAGTCTATCCATTTTTGGCTGTACGAACAGCAATCTCAGTGGTTAGCAGCACAAGGTAGGGTCCTTCCCAGGCTGGCTCGAGTTTTCCTTCTTTCCACCCTTTGATGAGAACGTGATCTTCAGGCTGGTGCTGGTTTACTGGAAATTCTAGGGGTGGTACGTGTGCTGAAAGACTTTTAGTTTTGAAGGAAAGTAAAGTGGAAGATAAACCAAGTATATAATTTCGAAGAAATTGACCTTTTGTTGTAAATGTGGGGACATCAGCAGTGGACTTTATAGTCCTTGGTGCCTTCTTACTGAGAAATTTCCTTTAACACCTATTTTTATTAGTTTTTAGACCAAAGAAAGACAAACACCATTTTTTATTTGACAATGCTTCCTGTATGATTTTTATACCAGATAAGCTAAATTTCACCTTTATATTAGTGTGTTATTAATGTTAAACTTAGTTTCAATAAAACTTTGTAGATATATTTATTCAATTTTTAATGTCTGACCATAAGGTAAGATTTTTATAGACTCTTTTTAACCTTTTATAATTTTTGTTAAAGAGCAGGTTAATGCTTCAAGAAAAACCCATTGTGTTTTTATTTTAATGTCCAGTCACAGAAAAACTGGATGATACCCCTTTAACTTCAGCCAATATGTTTACACACAGAATTTCCTTTACAATTAACGTTTCAAAACTTGCTTAAACCTTCAAAACAAAATTTTTTTAACCTTTTAATGTAGGTAAAAATCCACATTCTTATGCCTCCTTATAATCCTTTTATTAAAAGTATATTTTACTTTCCTTATACACCTTGCATATAAACTGTTTCTTCAATAGTTTTACATTCAGGAGGCCTAATTACTTTGAAATTATACAGCATTTCTTGCATAAGTTGCTTTTTATAGCACATTTTTTTTCTTTCACGACTTTCACAGACAATTCTTCGACATGCCTCAACTTTCTGACTTATTGCAAACATCCCTTTCTTTAAACAAGAAGTTAATTTATTTCAGGACAAGAATTTACCATATAACATTCTTTTTACATAAATTCTCCCTCTCTTTGCCACTAGTACAACTGCCGCCTGTCCTCTTAACCACTGTGGGGGGTTTAAAACCAGCTGTAACCAAAGGTCTATGTACGGAAACTGGTCTGGGTATCCTGGCTTACCAGCTACCTTGTGCCATACCTTTGAAACAAGGGACCTATCTAGGCTTCCTTCTGATGGCCAACCCACTTCTAATGCTGGCCAATCTATCTCACACAAGGTCCTAAGTTTTCCTGGGGTCACAGTAACCCCATCATCTCCATTAAAACCTTTTTGGAAAATTTTTTTTAACATAGTCCCTAACGGGGTGGGCTTACTCTGTGTTTTACCCATTTTCCTCTCCGAGACAAAACAACACTCTTGCCACAAGAAGGGAAAGAAAAAGGGCAAAGAGTAAAAGGTAACTCACTCGTCAAGCAATTCACACCAAATCAGAATCAATACCAAAACCAAAGTGCCGATAAAGGCATGCTCATTCATCAAGCAATCAAACCAAGTCAAAATCAAAAGCAAAACCAAAGTGCCAATAAAGGCAGGCCACGCTTCCACTGAAATGCAGTGGGCAAGTTCCCAAGACCGGTCCTACCGTATTCCAGATGTCCAGACTCCAAGTGCCAATTCCTTCCTGGTGTTCAGCCACTGCATTGATCCTCCACGGGGGCCTGCCAGGCACCGCTCTGACTAGGCGTTCCACTGGGGCAAGTGTCTACCCAGGAGCGCTCTCAGGATCTGCTTCGCTCAAGCTGGCTGGATTCCCCCAACAGGGATGCTCCAACAGGGCAGGCCTAAGCCGCCTAGGGGCTGCCTCGGCCAACCTTCAACCACCTCGCTTCCCTGTCAGGGAACCAAGAAATGTAGCAGGACAAGCCGTGGACAAAACCCCTCAGACACTGGGTTAAAGAAGGAAGTGGGCCAGGCGCAGTGGCTCACGCCTGTAATCCCAGCACTTTGGGAGGCCAAGGCGGGTGGATCACGAGATCAGCAGATGGAGACCATCCTGGCTAACACGGTGAAACCCCCTCTCTACTAAAAAACAAAAAATTAGCTGGGTGTGGTGGCGGACGCCTGTAGTCACGCTACTCGGGAGGCTGAGGCAGGAGAATGGTGTGAACCCAGGAGGCGGAGCTTGCAGTGGGCCAAGATCGCGCCACTGCACTCCAGCCTGGGCGACAGAGCAAGACTCCATCTCAAAAAAAAAAAAAAAAAAAAAAAGAAGGAAGTGGCTTTATTTGGCCGGGAGCATCGGCAGACTTACGTCTCAAGAACCAAACTCCCTGAAGAAGAGTTCCTGGCCCTTTTAAGGGCTTACAACTCTAAGGGGTCCATGTGACAGGGTTGTGATAGATTGAGCAAGCGTGGGATACCTGACTAGGTGGGGGTAAGCAAGGCAAGCATTTCTCTGTACCATTGTCTGTGGTCTCATTGTCTGTGGTCTACAGATAGCACAAGCGATTAGGATGGGGGTTAATCTTTAACTTACAGGCCTGGCCAGTGGCGCCCAATCAGTCTGTTATTTTTCAGTTTCCTCCTTTTCTTTGGAGACAGGAGACAGTAAGAGAAATGGCCTCTCTCCTCAATATAATCTTTTGTGGTTGAGAAACACCCCTCTGTGTTACATGTACTGATCTGTGGTCATATGTACTGATCCCTAGATTTTTACCTTTTTAGCTTACATTTTCTCCTCCTGGCAAACACCTATGGTTGTTTTGTTACCAGCTCAAATGTCACCTCTGCAGTAAAAAGATTTTCCTGTCTTCTTTGGAAGCTAACTTTTACTGCTGCTGTGTTGCCATATTCACAGCCCCCTATCTATGACTGTGTCCTTGGAGGCCCTGGCAAACACCATGTCCTCTGTTCTCCCAGCATTCTCCCAGGGTTCTAGGTCCAATTCCAGTCAGGATTCAGCTGCAAGCCACAGAAGAATCCCAGCTTCAGTTTCCTTACTTGAGAGTTGAAGGGGTTGAGTCAGGACTGGGGGATCCCCATTTCTGATATCTTCTGCTTTTTAAAAATAGAATTATAAGGGCCGGGCACGGTGGCTCACGCCTGTAATCCCAGCACTTTGGGAGGCCGAGGTGGGTGGATCACGAGGTCAGGAGATCGAGACCATCTTGGCTAACACGGTGAAACCCCGTCTCTACTAAAAAATACAAAAAATTAGCCTGGTGTTGTGGCGGGCGCCTGTAATCCCAGCTACTCAGGAGGCTGAGGCAGGAGAATGGCGTGAACCCCGGAGGCGGAGCTTGCAGTGAGCCGAGAGAGCGCCACTGCAGTCCGGCCTGGGCGAAAGAGCGAGACTCCGTCTCAAAAAAAAAAAAAAAAAATAGAATTATAGGCCAGGCGTGCTGGCTCATGCCTGTAATCCCAGCACTTTGGGGGGCTGAGGCAGGTGGATCACCTGAGGTCAGGAGTTCAAGACCAGCCTGGGCAACATGGTGAAAACCCATCTCTACTAAAAATACAAAAATTAGTCAGGTGTGGTGGAGGGTACCTGTAGTCCCAGCTACTCAGAGGGCCTGAGGCAGGAGAATTGCTTGAACCTGGGAGGCGGACTTTGCAGTGAGCTGAGATTGTGCCACTGCACTCCAGCCTGGGTGGCAGAGCAAGACTCTGTCTCAAAAAAGAAAAAAAATAGAATTATAGAATTTTAGTATTGATAAGAGATTTCTTTTTTAAAAAATCCTATTATTATTATTATTATTATTTTGAGACAGAGTCTCTCTCTGTCACCCAGGCTGGAGTGCAGTGGCACGATCTCGGCTCACTGCAACCTCCACCTCCTGGGTTCAAGGGATTCTCCTGCCTCAGCCTCCCGAGTAGCTGGGACTACAGGCATGTGCCACCACGTCTGGCTAATTTTTTGTATTTATAGTAGAGATGGGGTTTCACCATGTTAGCCAGGATGGTCTCGATCTCCTGACCTCATGATCTGCCTGCCTCAGCCTCTCAAAGTGCTGGGATTACAGGCACAAGCCAAAATTTACCATCTTAACCATTTTGAAGTGTACAATTCAGTGGCAGCAAGTACATTCACACTGTTGTGCAACCATCACCATCATCCCTCACCAGAACTCTTTTTGTCTTGCAAAACGGAAACTCTGTACCCATTAAACACTAACTCTGCATTCTCTCCTTCCTCAAGCCCCTGGCAGTCACCATTCTACTTGCTGTTTCCATGAATTTGACTGCTCTAGGTACCCCATATAAGCGGTATCATACTGTATTTCTCCTTTTGCATTGGGCTTATTTCACTTAGCATCATGTCATCAAGTTTCATCCATGTTGTAGCATGCATCAGAATTTCCTTTCTTTTAAATTTTCCTTCCTTTTAGTGAATACTATTCAATTGTGTGTATATACCACATTTGTTTATCCATTCAGTGTTTTGAGAGTTCTTGCAGATCCTATTTCACTCCTTCATAATGTGCACTGTCAAGTACTTTCCTAGGAGGCCAAAGGCCTTATATGTTTCTTATTTATTGGGCAGAAGGACCAATTGGTGTGATTATCTTTTCTCAGGGACCACAAGCTGACCTCTGACACCTCCGGAGGCCAGAGGCCATGTCTTTGGTTGACTTGGTTTCTGGAAAGAAACACTTTCTTTCCAAGCCCTTTGGGATCTCAGCCCTGTTAGCTGGAAACATCCTTCTGGAGCTGGACTGGTCCATGGGGATCAGGAGCCTGCAGACATCTTGCTGGGCAGCTCCTGCCAAGGTGCTCGGGACGGTGTTTTTTCACATTCCCCACAAGGAGCTTCAGGTGTGCTGCCTTTTTTCACCCTGCCCTTCTTTTTGGGCTCCTGAGGCACAACCTTCTCTGTACCCACCCTCGGCTCCATCTTTTCAGATATTGCGTCACCCATGCACCTGGGGCCTTTGCTGAAGCTTTCACAGGGAAATCTGGGAACCTCAGCCTCGATTCTTCTACCTTCTTAAAAAAAACAAACGGCCAGGTGCGGTGGCTCATGCCTGTAATCTCAGCACTTTGGGAGGCTGAGGCAGATGGATCATCTGAAGTCAGGAGTTGGAGACCAGCCTGGCCAACATGGTGAAACCCTGTCTCTACTAAAAATACAAAATTTAGCTGGGCGTGGTGGAGGGTACCTGTAATCTCAGCTACTCGGGAGGCTGAGGGGCTGAGGTGGGAGAATTGCTGGAACCTGGAAGGCGGAGGTTGCAGTGAGCCGAGATCGCACCATTACACTCCAGCTCAGGTGACAACAGCAAGACTCCATCTCAAAAAAAAAAAAAAAAAAAAATAGTAAGAGAGCACCTTTATCAGGAAATACACACTGAACGTTTAGGGGTAAAGGAGCACCATTTCTCCCAGTTACAAACAGTTCAGAAAAAGATGCATCTGTATAAACATGTTCAGAGAGAGGATGACAAAATGAATGGGGTAAAATGTAGACAACTGGTGAATCTTGGTAAAAGGCTTATAGGAACTGCTTGTACTACAGTAACTTTTCTGTGTTTGAAGTTACATCAAAATTTAAAAATTACAAAAACAACAAAATTTCTCTTTTAGAAACAGTACTACTCCCCAAGAATTAAAAACAAAAGATTTTTTTTTAAACCTTTTTTTTTAAACATAATATTCCAAATTACAAAGCAGGTAATTTTCACATCTGTGCTCACCTTTGATGTTCCAGATATTTGTTGAGCCATTAAAAGATGGTGTCCCAGCCTTCAAGGCCTTGACGGTTTAGCAAAGAACACAAGAAGTATTGAGTGCCATCCACATCCATGCCAGGGCAGGGGATGATGTTCCAGTGGGAAGTGGTGGAGGGGGCCTGGAAAGTTCTTAAACTTCAGCTAGGTCTTGAAGAGTGAAAACATGGTGGAGGGGACCTGGAAAGTTCTTAAACTTCAGCTAGGTCTTAAAGGGTGAAAACATTAAGGAGGCAGATGCAAGGAGAGAGGACAGAAAGCAGGGCAATTCACTGGGGAGGGGAACAATGTCTGTTGAGGTGCCTATTATACACCAAACGCTGTGCCAGCAGCTGTCCTCTGTGGGGCTAGCAGCTGTCTTCTGACTTAGACCTTGGAAGTCAAATACGATGATCTCACTTTACCAGGAAGTCTTGGGTGTGGAGAGAAGCCAGTAACTTTCCCATTCAGGATGTGACTCTCCGAGTTCCAACCAGATGTGCTTAATTCCAAACCATGCTGCTCTGCTTCTATGCAGAGGAAATAGCCATTATTCTTGCCTCCATTTTGCAAATTGTTGTTGAGCTTCCTCAGTTTCCCCAAGGATCACTGTGTTGGAGACCATGAACAAGAATGGATATGAGAAAATGCAGTAAGCTCAAGGTGGATTGGCCCTCTCTAGGGACTCACCACTCCCTGCCAGGGTGGGAGTTAGGGCAGCCTACCAGAAGTCCACTTCTCTAGAATAAAATATACACGAGGTGCTTAGAACAACACCTGGCACATAAGAAGTGCTATATTCATGGTTACCCGTGTTATTATTATTATTATTATTAATTATTATTTTGAGACGAAGTCTCATGCCCAGGCTGGAGTGCAATGGCACAATCTTGGCTCACTACAAACTCCGCCTCCCAGGTTCAAGCAATTCTCCTGCCTCGGCCTCCTGAGTAGCTGGGATTACAGGCATGCACCACCTTGCCCAGCTAATTTTGTATTTTTAGTAGAGACGGAGTTTCTCCATGTTGGTCAGGCTAGTCTCGAACTCCCAGCCTCAGGTGATCCACCCACCTCGGCCTCCCAGAATGCTGGGATTACAGACATGAGCCACCACACCTGGCTAGTTGCCTGTGTTATTATCGGGAAACAATAGCAACTTCCCCATGGACCCAGCCACAGTGAAACATTTTCTAGATCAGAAACTGGCTCTCTGGCGAGGCCGAGGAAGGCAGATCACTTGAGGTCAGGAGTTTGAGACCAGCCTGGCCAACATGGTGAAACCCCATCTCTACTAGAAACACAAAAATTAGGCGGGCTTGGTGGTGCGTGCCTGTAGTCCCAGCTACTTGGGAGGCTGAGGCAGGAGAATTGTTTGAACTTGGGAGGCAGAGTTTGCAGTGAGGCAGAGTTTGCAGTGAGCTGAGATCGTGCCACTGCACTCCAGCCTGCGCAACAAAGTGAGACTCCATCTCAAAAAAAAAAGGAGGAACTGGCTCTCACCCTCAGCTCTGGCCTTTTAAGTGCTCTGTGTTCAGGAGTGGGTCCTTCTGGCTGAACCCTACTTGAAGAATTAATGGCTCCACAAGGAGGGCACTAAATCTTCTCCAGCTACACTGAAGATAAATGTACAGCTGACCTTGCAAATGTCTACTGCTGGAGAAAGGACCCTATGCGTGCCTGAGGTCCATAATAAGCGTAGGAAGTCTTACCCGGGTACAAGGTAGGGATCATTGTCTCTGCAGAATAGATTAGACTGAAAAAGCCTAAATAACCTATTCATTTCAGAGTAAGTGGTTGATCTGGGTTCTGAAACCAGTTATCCCTGGCTGACATTCATTCCACTAGACTGCACTGACCCCCTCTAATCCATGTCTTAATCCACTGTAAAAGCTTCACTCACAATAATGACAAGGACCCATGAAACCCACCTAGGTCTCTGCTGGCAGAATCTCAGGCAAAAGATAAGATTCCTTAGAATTACTTTAGAAGATTTTTTATGCTAATTTACAGCTATTCGCACCAATCAAGTGGATTTTCTTACTCTCTGAGAAAAATGGAGGATGATTAAATGCAATTTCCACTGCAGTACCAAGCAAGAGGGCCAGGAGAATAGCAGACCTGCATCTCTCCTGGAAATTTCTCCCTAAGTACAGCTACCACAGCCACCCAGGTTTTCCCAGGACAATCTCATTTTCAAATTGTGTCTAGTTACATTATCTTGCATTTTAATTTTTAAAATGCAGTCATTCTGAAGAAATGGAATTTAGGAAATATTTGTCAAGCACTCTGTAGGTACCAGGAATTTTTCTAATTGCTGTGGCTGCTAAGGTGAATAAGACCGACTTGTGGGGGAGACAAAAATGAGAGGCCCTTAAGTATCAGCCTCAAACTCTGCCTCTCTTCTAATATCCAACAACTATATCTTCTCCAACATCTCTCCATCCCCACTAGTCACCATTATCTCTTACTTGGGTAACTGTAACCTCTTCTATCTATTTCCCTTCCAATCCATTTTCCAGACTATTGCCACAGTAGTCCCCTTTTAATGCCTCCAAAGGCTGCCTTTGCTCTGCAAGATCAAAGGAGTTGGGACTTGATCAGGGCTCCTGTCAACCTCTCTGGTTTTGTATCTCACAGCCCACCACCACCCCCTTCTAAATTCCACAGGAATTAATTAATTAATTAATTAATTAATTTATTTATTTATTTATTGAGACAAGGTCTCACTCTGTCAACCAGGCTGGAGTGCAGTAGCGCAATCGCGGCTACACTACTCCTAGGCTCAGGCGATCCTTCCGCCTCAGCTTCCTGAGTAGCTGGGATTACAGGCATAGGCTATTGTACCTGGCCCAGAGAAATCTTGAGGTCCTTGAAAACATCCTTCTTTCTCCAGTCTCCAGGTGTGCATAGATTGCTGCCTGAAATGCCATTGCCTATACTTCTTTCTATCCCCAGTCTTCCTTGACTTGTAATGCAGCATATTGGAATTGACAAATTAGTTATTTCCTTCTCTAAACTCCAGTGTGATGGTGGAGACCAAGTCCTGTTCATCTTTGTACACCAGAGCCTCGGGCAGTGGCTGGAGGACCTGAGGTGCTCAGTCAATACTTGCTGGATGAACACATTAATGGGTGAATGCAGTGATGCTGCGGGGCTGTTAAAGGCAAACAGAAGAGGGATGCACGTTGAAATCCAAGGAAGAGAGAAGTTTCCCAAACTAGTCATTTCTTTATTTTGTGTTTATTTTTTTTTTCTTTCTTTATTTGGATTTCTGTTCCTGTGTTAAGTAGTCATTTCCTTTTGTTTTTTGTTTGTTTGTTTTTTAAGATGGAGTCTTGCTCTGTCTCCCAGGCTGGAGTACAGTGGCGCAATCTTGGCTCACTGCAACCTCTGCCTCCCAGGTTCAAGCGATAGGCAGCCTCCCGAGTAGCTGGGATTACAGGCACACACCACCACACCCAACTAAATTTTGCATTTTAGTAGAAACGGGGTTTCGCCATGTTGGCCAGGCTGGTCTCGAATTCCTGACTTCAGGTGATCCACCTGCCTCAGCCTCCCAAAGTGCTGTGATTACAGACGTGAGCCACTGCACCTGGTCCCATTTCTTGAAATGAGTCTTGAAAGACATTTTTTAGCCAGGAGGAAAAATGGAGAGAAGAGCATTCCAGCCAAACAGAGTTACAGCTGCAAGAGAATGTGTGCTTTGCTCAGCAAAGAACTGAGAATGGCTGGTGCATGTGAAGCATGCAAGGTGAACAGTGAAAGGATGAGTTTGCAATGTCTGCTAGAACGGCCACACGGAGACATGCTGGAAGCAGATGATTACCTGTGTCCAGGGCTCAGAAAAGAGGGCTGGACTGGAGATACAGATTTGGATATAGGTAGAGGTGGAATTCTGGGGAGTGGGTTGGACTATGCAAAGAGAGTGTGCTCACAGAGAAGAGAATGGTCTAGGACAGAATTCTGAACAGTGCTGACATCTAAGAGACAGGTAGAGGAAGGAGTCAGCATAAAGACTGAGAATTCTCTGGCCAGGCGCGGTGGCTCACACCTGTAATCTCAGCACTTTGAGAAGCCAGGATGGGAGGATCACTTGAGGCCAGAAGTTCAAGACCAGCCTGGTCAAAATAGTAAGACCCCATCTCTATTATTTAAAAATATTTTAATTAAAAAAAAAAAAAGACTGAGAAGTCTCAAGAGAAGGAAGGAAAACAGAAATATATGGGGGCAAGAAAGCCAACATATGGAATGAGATGTTGTAGGTTGAAAAGTATCTATTGATATCTGTTGGTCCATGTGTGAGATTCCTATTTTTGATGTAACAAGTTGTCACAAACTTAGTTTGCCCTCTGGTTCCCAAAGATTCACATCTGTCCTAAGTGCAAAAATATATTCACCCATAATGTCTCAACCCACTGAAGCAACAACTCAAGTCCAAAATGTCAGTGAAGTCTCATCAGCTCTAAAGTCCCAAATCTCATCATCTGTATCATTTAAATTGAATATAGGTGAGTTGTTGGTACAGTCCCTCTTGGGGCAAAACTTCTCTCCATCTGTGGATGTTTGAAAATAGAAAACAAGTTATCTGTTCCCAAGATACAATGCTGAGACAGCCATAAAATAGCAATTGTAGACATTCCCATTCAAAAAAGGGAGAAAACAGAAGGAAAAAAGGAAGCATCAGTCCCATACAATTTCAAAATCTATCCAGGCAGGCCAGGAGTAGTGGTGTTCACACCTGTAATTCCAGCACTTTGGGAGGCCAAGGTGGGCAGATCACTTAGGTCAGGAGTTCAAGGCCAGCCCGGGCAACATGGTGAAACCCCGTCTCTACCAAAAATACAAAAAAAAAAAATTAGCTGGGCATGGTGGTGTGTGCCTGCAGTCCCAGCTATTCAAGAGGCTGAGGTGGGAGGATCCCTTGAGCCTGGGAAGTGGAGGTTGCAGTGAACCGAGATCACACCATTGCATTCCAGCCTGGGTGACAGAGTGAGACTGTCTCAAAAAAAAAAAAAAAAAATCTATCTGGGCAAACATTAGTTTTCCAGACCTGGTAATGATCCTCTGTGGTTCAAGGCTCCACCCCACCCTCTGGGCTCAAACCTTCGCCCTCTGAGTCATCATTCCTTTTTCATGAAACATGGCTGGTGTTTGCAGCTGAATAGTTTTACCAGCCTGTTTCTTGCCAGTAGAATTTTGGGGATCCACAGCCTTCTTACATTTCATCCTCTCTCTCTCCCTTTCAGTCCAAGCTGGCAGTATTTCTGCTGGAATAAAATTCTCAAGAGCCTAGTGGGTTTCCTGTGAATGTCATGGGGATTCATTCCATTAGATAAGAGGCTTGTGCACAAATCCTTTCAAGATAACCTTTTCTCTATGTTTGGCTTTTGCCGACATGGCTGGGGGGGACTTATGAATCCCATAGTCTTTAAACAACCTTCTTTTTTGTTTGTTTGTTTTTCTTTTTTTGATCCAGGGTCTCACTCTGTCACCCAGGCTGGAGTGCAGTGGTGCTATCAGGGCTCACTGTAGCTTCAACTTCGTGGGCTCAAGCGATCCTTCCACCTCAGCCTCCTGAGTATCTAGGACTACAGGCACGTGCCACTATTAGGCATGTCACTTTTTTTTTTTTTTTTTAAGAGACAGGCCTCACTCTGTTGCCCAGGCTGGTCTTGAACACTTGGGTTCAAGTGATCCTCCTACCTCAGCTTCCCAAAGTGTTGAGATAACAGATATGAGCCACTGTGCCTGGCCTAAAGAGCCTTTCATGTGACTAATGATGCTGACTTTTTTTTTTGAGACGGAGTCTTGCTCTGTCACCCAGGCTGGAGTGCAGGGGTGCAATCTCGTCTCACCGCAAGCTCCGCCTCCCAGGTTCACGCCATTCTCTTGCCTCAGCCTCCCGAGTGGCTGGGACTACAGGTGCTCACCACCACGCCCGGCTAATGTTTTTGTATTTTTAGTAGAGACGGGGTTTCACCGTGTTAGCCAGGATGGTCTTGATCTCCTGACTTCATGATCTGCCTGCCTCAGCCTCCCAAAGTGCTGGGATTACAGGCGTGAGCCACCACACCCAGCCCCTTTTCTGTTTTTTTAAATCTTTCTAAGGTATTCCCAAAAGGTTGTCTAGACACCTTTGGGTTTTCCCATAGAGCATACTTTCCTGACAGTGAATATCTTAATTTTAACATCTTTTGCAATCTAGCCTGATAAATTCCCAAATCATCCAAGTCCTCAGTCCTCTTTGTTTAACAATTTTCCCCTCATTTGATTTATTTCCTCTTGCATTTTGCTATAAACAGCAAGAAGAAACAAGGTTGCATCTTCAATGCATTGATTGGAAATGTCCTCAGCTAAATGTCCAATCACATCATTTATAAATTCTGCTCTCCATATGACTGTAGTACACAATTCTGCTCAGCTTTCTGCCACTATATAACAATGATTCCCTTACTTCTGTTCCAATAATTGACCCCTGCTGTCATTTAAATGTTCCCTCCAAAACTCATGTTAAAATGTATTTGCCATTGTGACTGTGGGTCACAGGGTCTTAGAGGTGGGACCTCTAAGAGCTGATTAGGTCATCAGAGCTCTACCCTCATGAATAGATTAATGCTGTTATCATGAGAGTGGGTTAGTAACAGTACTTAGTTACAGTCATAGTAGGAGTGGGCTCCTGGTAGAAGGATAAAACCACTCTCTGTCTTACATGCTCACTTGCCATGTGATGCCTCCTACCACAGGATAACCCCCACCAGATGCCAGTGCCATGTCTTAGACTTCCCAGCCTCCAGAACCATGAGCCAAGTAGACTTCTATTATTATTATTACTTTTTTTTTTTTTGAGACGGAGTTTCGCTCTTGTCACCCAGGCCGGAGGGCAATGGCTCGACCTCAGCTCACTGCAACCTCCGCCTCCCAAGTTCATGTGATTCTCCTGCCTAGCCTCCTGAGTAGCTGAGATTACAGGCACCCGCCACCATGCCCAGCTAATTTTTTTTTTTTTTTTAGTGGAGATGGGGTTTCACCATGTTGGCCAGGCTGGTCTTGAACTCCTAACTTCAAGTGATCCACCCACCTTGGCCTCCCAAAGTGCTGGGATTACAGGCATGAGCCACCGTGCCTGGCCAAATTCTATTCTTTATACACTACTCAGTCTGTGGTATTCTGTTATAGCAGCAGAAAATGGACTAAGACAAGCCCTCATCAGCAATGTCTTTAATATCTATATTTCTAACAACAGCTTGTTTGTGATTATTTTGGTATTCTCCGGGGTGATATATGTTTTCTCTACCATGCCCCTCATTTCTTACCATTACCATGCCCCAGGTAATGGGGCTTGACTGGCAGAATTATTAACATTGATATTTCTACTAACCAGCCCATTCAAGGCAATTCAGGTTTTTTCTGTCAAGCTCCTCAAAACTCTTCCAGCCTCTTCTCACTGCCCAATTCCACATTTTTAGGCATTTGTTACAGCAGCACCCCACTTCTAGGTATCAAAATCTGTATTAGTTCACCTTTGCTGCTGTAACAAATTATCCCAAACATAATGGCTTAAATCAACACAAATTTATTATCTTGTACTTTCATGAGTCAGATGCCTGAAATGAGTCTCGCTGGGCTAAAATCAAGGCATCGCAGGACCGTGTTCCTGCTTGAAGCTCTATGAGAGAAATCATTTCCTTGCCTTTTCTTCCAGAGCCCTCCCACAGTTCTTGGCTCATGGCCCCATTCCTCCATCTTCAAAGCTGGCAATATCAGGTTTAGTCCTCAACCTGCTGCCATCTCTCTAGTTCTGTCTCTTCTGCTTCCCTCTTCCATATATAAGGACTCTTGTGATTGTATTGGGCCTGCTAGGATAATCTGGATTAATCTACCCATACCAGCAACTAGCAATCTTAATTCCAGCTTCTACCTTAATTCCCTCTGCAACCTTAATTCCCCCTTGCCATATATAAGCTGACTTTTTTTTTTTTTGAGACAGACTTTCACTCTTGCTGCCCAGGCTAGAGTGCAATGGCATGATCTCAGCTCACTGCAACCTCTGCCTCCTAGGTTCAAGTGATTCTCCAGCCTCAACCTCCCAAATAGCTGGGATTACAAACACCCACCACCATGCTCACCTAATTTATTTCAGAGATTCAAATGTGAACATCTCTGTGGTAGGGGATGGTGGGGGGGGGGGGGGGGTGCCGGCATTATCCTGCCTACCACAGTACATGAATTTAATCACAAGTAATTCAGGCAAACCTAAATTAAGGGACATTCAACAATAGAACTGGCCAGTATCCTTCAAATGTGTTAAAATCAGAAAAACAACAAACAGAAAGAAAGCCCGAGGAACAATTTCAGATTAAAAAAAAAAACTAAGGTGACATGATAATTTGATGTGGTTTGGCTGTGTCCCCACCCAAATCTCATCTTGAATTGTAGTTGAGAGAGGGAGGGAACGGATGGAAGGTAATTGAATCATGGGGGCAGATTCCCCATGCTATTCTCATGATAGTAAGTTCTCACAAGATCTGATGGTTTTATAAGGGGCTTCCCCCTTTGCTCGGTTCTCATTCTTCTCCTTCTTGCTGCCCTGTGAAGAAGGAAGCATTTGCTTCCCCTTCCACCACAACTGTAAGTTTTCTTTTCTTTTTTTTTCTTTTTTTTTTTTTTGAGACTGAGTCTCTCTCTGTTGCCCAGGCTGGAGTGCTGTGGAGTGATCTTGGCTCACTGCAACCTCTGCTCTTAGGTTAGGTTGTCATCCCTCTGTCTTGGACAATTACAAGAATCTCCTAAATGGTTTCCCTGCCCAGGGTGGAGTGCTATGGGGTGATCTTGGCTCACTGCAACCTTTGCCTCCTGGGTTCAAGCTATTCTCTTGCCTCAGCCTCCCGAGTAGCTGGGATTACAGGCGCATGCCACCACACCCAGATAATTTTTGTATTTTTAGTAGAGATGGGGTTTCACCATGCTGGCCAGGCTGGTCTTGAACTCCTGACCTCAGGTGATCTACCTGCCTCAGCCCCCAAAGTGCTGGGATTACAGGCATGAGCCACTGCTCTCGGCCGACTATAAGTTTTCTGAGGCCTCCCCAGCCATGCTGAACTGTGAGTCAATGAAACCTCTTTCCTTTATAAAGCACCCAGTCTCGGGGATGTCTTTATTAGCAGCGTGAGAATGAACTAATACACAATCTAACACAATATGTGATCCTGGATTGGATCTGTCCCATCAGCGGAACAACTGACAAAATTTAAATTAAGGTGTACAGATTAGTTAATGGTATCAGCGTTAATTTCCTGGTTTTGTTAATTGTATCGTGGTTATATATCATGCACTTTAGGGGAGCTGGGTAAAGTATATATGGGTTTGGGTTTTGTTTTTTAGTATATTTGCAACTTTTTTGTAAATCTGAAATTATTTCTAAATTAAACATTTTAAAATGTAAAGAAAAGTATCCAGCCGGGTGCGGTGGCTCACGCCTGTAATCCCAGCACTTTGGGAGGCCAAGGCAGGGGGATCACAAGGTCAGGGGATCAAGATCATCCTGGCTAACACGGTGAAACCCCATCTCTACTAAAAATACAAAAAATTAGCTGGATGTGGTGGTGCGCACCTGTAGTCCCAGCTGCTCGGGAGGATGAGGCAGGAGAATTGCTTGAACCCAGGAGGCAGAGGTTGCAGTGAGCCGAGATTGCGCCACTGCACTCCAGCCTGGGTGACAGAGCAAGACTCTGTCTCAAAAAAAAAAAAAAAAAAAAAAAAAAGAAAGAAAGAGAAGTATTCAGTGGTGATCTTAGAAGAGTAGTTTCTCTGGTGTTTTGGGGACAGAAGCCAAATTACCCCAAGTTAAGAAATGAACAAGAGCTGAAATGATGCAGAGGCACCTTTCTTAAGAAGTTGACTATGAAATGGAGCAATGCAAAGACATCAGTGGGTGGCTGAAGGAAGCCATGTTGGGTACTGTTTTCTTAAGATGTAACTGGACGCTGTCTCCTGGACATCATCCACGTTCTAAAACCTCCAAATTCAACTCTTCTCTCCTCCGTCTGTACTGACATGCTAAAGACCTTTTGGAAATTAATCTGAAAGCAACAGAGGAGCTCTTGATGGATTTAAAGAGGAGACAAAATAATCAGGTTTTTTGCACTTTAATACCAGTTCCGTTGCCAGCATAGATATTGGAGGGTAATGATATTGGAGTCAGGGAAACCATTTAAGAGATTCTTGTAGTTGTCCAAGACAGAGGGATGACAACCTAACCTAAGGCAGTAACAGTAAAAATAGAAAGGAGGAGAAGAAGGGGTAGGTGTGATGGCTCATGCCTGTCATCCCAGCACTTTGGGAGGCTGAGGTGGGAGGATTGCTCGAAGTTGGGAGTTGGAGACCAGCCTAGGCAAAAGAGTGAAACCTTGTCTTTAATAAAAATAATTTTTTTTTTGAGATGGAGTTTTGCCGTTGTCGCCCAGGGTGGAGTGCAGTGATGCAGTCTCAGCTCACTGCAACCTTGCCTCCTGGGTTTAGGCAATTCTCCTGCCTCAGCCTCCCTAGCTGGGATTACAGGCAACCACTCCGATGCCCAGCCAATTTTTGTGTTTTTAGTAGAGACGGGGTTTTGCCATGTTGGCCAGGCTGGTCTTGAACTCCTGACATCAGGTGATCTGCCCACTTTGGCATCCCAAAGTGCTAGGATTACAGGTGTGAGCCACTGCACCTGGCCTATTGATTTATTTATTTTAGAGACAGGAGTCTCACTCTGTTGCCCAGGCTGGACTCGAACTCCTGGGCTTAAGGGATCCTCCTGCTTCAGCTTCCCAAGTAGCTAGGACTACAGGCAAGCATCCCTGTGCCCAGCTTATTTATTTTAGAAAGAGCTTTTGGAAATAAAATGTTCATAACAAAAGTTTTAAATTCAATAGAAGATAAAATTGTGGAACTCTTCTATTAAAGGTAGAATAAAAAAATAAAGAAAATAGGTGGTATGGAATCAAATAACAAAATCAGTGACACAGACCAGGAGGTGTAGTTTCTGGCTAATAAGAGTTCTGGGGGCAGGGTAGGGAAGCAAAAAAGAAAATAGAAGAAGCTTTCAATGAAGAAATGCAAGAAAACCTCCAGGACTGAAGAACATGAGTTTCTAGAATGAAAGGCTCACCAATTAGCACAGTGAACAAATGAAAAAGAAAAAAAAACACCGATCATCAAGGCATATTTTCCTGAAATTTTAGAACACTGGAAATAAACAAAGATCCTGTGGTAGGCAGGATAACTGCCCCTTGCCCCAGGATGTCTATGTTCTAATACCCAGAACCCTGTGAATTTGTTAGGTTATGGCAAGGGGGAATTGAGCTTGCTAATCATCCGATTTTAACACAGGGAGACTATCCTGGATTATCTGGATGGGTCCAGTGTAACCACAAGAGTCCTTAAAAGTTCAAGAGGGAGGCACAAAAGGTAGAACTGGATGAATGGCAGCCTGCGAAGGACTTGGCCCAAGACTGCTGGCTCTGAGATGAAGGAAGGGACCATGAGCCAAGTAAAGTGGGCAGCTTCTAGAAGCTGAAAAGGCAAGAAGATAGATTCTCTCCTAGAGCCTCTGGAAGGAATACATCCAGCCAACACTTAGATGGCCCAGTGAGATCCGTGTTGGACTTCTGATCTACTATAAAATAGTAAGTTTGGCCGGCATGGTGGCTTACACCTGTAATCCCAGCACTTTGGGAGGCCGAGGAGGGCGGATTGCCTGAGGTCAGGGATTTAAGACCAGCCTAGCCAACATGATGAAGCCCCATCTCCACTAAAAATACAAAAATTAAGTCCGGGTGTGGTGGCTCACGCCTGTAATCCCAGCACTTTGGGAGGCTGAGGTGGGTGGATCACGAGGTCAGGAGATCGAGACCATCCAGGCTAACATGGTGAAACTCCGTCTATACTAAAACTGTAAAAAATTAGCCGGGCGTGGTGGCAGGCACCTGTAGTCCCAGCTACTCGGGAGGCTGAGGCAGGAGAATTGCTTGAACCTGGGAGGTGGAGGTTGCAGTGAGCAGAGATCATGCCACTGCACTCCAGCCTAGGTGACAAGAGCGAAACTCTGTCTCCAAAAAAAATGTTTGTGTTGTTTTAAGTTGCTACATTCTTGGTAATCTATTACAACAGCAACAGAAACTAGTGCAGCTCCTAAAATTTTTCACAGAGAAAAAGCCTATCACATTAAAAGATCAAGAAACTAGAATGACATCAAACTTCTAACAGCAGTAATGAAAGCAAAACACAGTGGAGCAAAGCCTTCAAAATTATGAGAAAAGATAACTTCCGACACAGACTATATACCCAGCCAAACTATTAATCATTATGAGGGTGGATGAAGATATTTCCAGTCTGCCAGGCATTGGGAACTTTGGTGCTGTGCACCCTTTTGTGTGTGTGTGTGTGTGTGTGTGTGTGTGTGTGTGTGTGTAAGCCACTGCAGGCTGTGCTCCACTAAAATGCAACGTAGGGAACAGGGGATGCAGCACAGGAGGGAGGTGAGGAAATTCACAAGGTGACAATGAGGGAAAATCCCAGGATAATAGGGCTAGAGAGTACCCTTGCAGGCTGGTACAGGTAGACAGAGCTCCAGGAGGTGAATACCAGAGGGAATAAAAAGGAACTAATAGAGGGCTGGGTGCAGTGGCTCATGCCTGTAATCCCAGTACTTTTGGGAGGCCAAGGTGGGCAGATTGCTTGAGACCAGGAGTTCAAGACCAGCCTAGCCAACATGGCGAAACCTCATCTCTACTAAAAATACAAAAATTAGCCTGGCATGGTGGCAGGCACCTATAATCCCAGCTACGTGGGAGGCTGAGGCACGAGAATCGCTTGAACCTGGGATGGGGTGGTTGCAGTGAGCCAAGATTGCACCATTGCACTCCAGCCTGGGTGACAGAGGAAGACTCTGTCTCAACCAAAAAAAAAAAAAAAGGAACTAATAGAGGAGGAGGAGGAAGATCCTCTGTCTCTTCCCTTTCTCTTCTCTGGGCTATTAATAGCAACTTCCATCCTTCCAAAAGTGTTGGAAAGAGTAACTGTGACCTTTCTCTCAGCCCACTTGCCCACTCCCTCCCTCTTCCCCAGGGAAGATGGTGAGTATTGATTGGTGATGCTGGGAAAGGCCTCAGCATGTGAGGTGCCTCTCTTCCCTCTGGAGAGGCTTGTTTTCTGCACAACACAGCCTTGCCTGCCTGTGGTCGGATCCCAGAGCACGCTCCGCCTCTTTGGAGGGGCCGCCCGCAATTCCAAGAGGAGGTCTAACGCAAGGAGTGGGCCGTGGTCAAAGATGCTTGGCTACCAACTAAGTTCTGTCCTCCATGCCCCTTTATCTAACAATGTGGATATTTTATCTCAATTTATCCGATTCCTGCATTGCTTTTGAATGCAGAGGGGAATTTAAACACAGCAGATTATCTGATTCGTTTGTATGAACAACTTGGATTGAAGGGCTGTTGGAGGATGTGCTGCATACAAAGCAAAGTAAGTGAAAAACCAAGATAAATATTAACTGTGGGGAGAGGGAGGGTAGGAAATTGTACAAACAATGAAATTAAAGCACAGTAAGTCGACAGCCTTAGCATTCCTTTACTCTAAAAGGTTTACCTACAGCCGCCTATGCACCAGGCAGGTTCCCAGGCCCTGGGAGACCTAACAGTAAACAAAGTCCCTGCCCTCAATAAATATATAATTGATATTCAAGTCAATAAGTATATAATATAATGTCAGGATGTGTGTGTGTGTGTGTGTGTGACATCTGTGAAGAGAAGTAAAGCTGAGTAAATGGATGGCAGTGAGGATATTATTTTAGATAGGAGAGCAGGAAGTTCTCGCTAATCAGGTGACATTTTAGCAGAGTCGGGAATGAAATAAGGAAGCAGACAGGAAATGTCAGGAAGGCGAGCACTCTGATGGAGAGAAGGGCAAGTGCAAAGATCCTCGGGTAGGAGTGTTCTCAGGTCTGAGGAGCCAGGGAGGCCAGTGATGCTGGAGACGAGTGAGTGAGAGGGAAACAGCTGGAGGTGAGGGAGACAGGGAGCCAGAAGCCAGATCCTAGAGTGGTTTTTAAGACATGGCAAAGACTGAAATGATTCGTAATCACAATAAACTATACACCAAATATTTATTTAACTAAAATATGTGATCAGAGGATGGAGGTTGTGCAAAAACATCAAATCCTCACCCACCAATAACAGAAAACCAACAGATATTACCTAAAATTGGTAAATGAAGAAATATACGAGTGAGCACATTATTTGGAAATGTGGAGATAAGAACCAGAAGAAATAGCTAGAAGAGTTGCCTCTGCAGAGGAGCCTGGCTGGGTAGGCAAGGAGTGGGGAAGGAGACTTGTTTATTGTTGGAAGTCTTTTATTGTAATTGAATTTTCAAACTACATGCTATATTGCTTTGACTAAACAAAAAATCAAAACAGGCCAGGCGTGGTGGCTCACGCCTGTAATCTCAGCACATTGTGAGGCCAAGAAGGGAGGATCACTTGAGCCTAGGAGTTTGAGACAAGCCAGGGCAACATAGTGAGACCTTGTCTCTACAAAAAATCAAAAAAATTAGCCAGGCATGGTGGCATGTGCCTATGGTGCTAGCTACTTGGGAGGCTGAGCCATGAGGATTGCTTGAGCCTGAGAGGTCAAGATTGCAGTAAGCCGTGATCATGCCACTGCACTCCAGGCTGGGCAACAGAATGAGACCCTGTCTCAAAAAAAAAAAAAAAAAAAAAAGCCAGGCACAGTGGCTTACACCTGTAATCCCAGCACTTTGGGAGGCCAAGGCAGGTGGATCACTTGAAGTCAGGAGTTTGAGACCAGCCTAACCAACATGGCAAAACCCTGTCTCTATTTAAAATACAAAAAATTAGCTGGGCATGGTAGCATGCATGTGTAATCCCAGCTACTCGGGAGGCTGAGGCAGGAGAATCGCTTGAACCCAGGAGGCAGGGTTTGCAGTGAGCCAAAATGCCACCACTACACTCCAGTCTGGGTGACAGAGTAAGACTCTGTCTTAAAAAAAAAAAAAAAAAGAACAAAAACCGGAGCCAAAAACCACCCTAAAGACTGAGGAGTGACTTTCCATGTCTTAGGTCCACAGGCAGTGGCAGAGATGACCTCCTTCTATTACGTTGAAATCTGCTCCCTCGAATTTTCACCCATTGGCCTAGTTCATCTATTTGGAAAGACCCTGATAAGGCTGCTCCCTCTTTCCCATGAGGGCCATTGGATATTTGAGGGCGGTTCTCTCAGGAAACAGATCTCCTGAGACTGCCAGCTCCTCTGCCTCTTTCTCCCAAGACAAGGTTTCCACACAGAACCAACTCAGCGATAAGCAGTGGCTGCAGATGGGGCAGCCAGGCCATGATAAGGGATGGGACAAGGGTTTGAACTTCAGCCCCAAAGCCACCGAGGCCTTCCTGCTCTCCTTCACAGCACGGTGCCCCACGTTTAGCAGGAGGAATCCTCAGAGGGGCCCTTGTATTCACGGAGCACTCACTGCACTCTAGTTTGCGTGCTAGAGGCTTTATATGCATTATCTCACTTAATCCTCAAAAACAACCCTGTGTGTTTAATGCCATTGAACTATCCACTTAAAATAGTTAAGAAGGTACATTATCCAACCCTGGCAACAGTGAGACCCTGTTGCCACAAAAAATTTTTAAAATTGGCCGGGTGTGGTAGCACTTACCTGTAATCCCAGGTACTCGGGAGGCTGAGGCAGGAGGATGGCTTGAGCCTGAGAGGTCGAGGCTGCAGTGAGCTGTGATCACGCCGCTGCACTCCAGTCTGGGCAACAGAATGAGACCCTGTCTCAAAATTAAAAAATAAAAAAGAGGCCAGGTGTGGCGGCTCATGCCTGTAATCCCAGCACTTTGGGAGGCCAAGGCGGACAGATCACCTGAGGCCAGGATTTTGAGACCAGCCTGGCCAACATGGCGGAACCCCGTCTCAACTAAAAATACAAAAATTAGCTAAGCATGGTGGCGCATGCCTATAATCCCAGCTACCTGGGAGGCTGAGGCAAGAGAACTGCTTGAACCTGGGAGGCGGAGGTTGCAGTGAGCCGAGATCACACCACAGCATTCCAGCCTGGGCCACAGAGCGAGAACCCGTCTCAAAAAAATAAAAATAAATAAATAAATAAGAGAAGGTATATTTTGTGTTATATGTATTTTACCACACTTTAAAACCAAAGCCACAGCCTTGTGTGGAAGGTATTGTCCCCATTTTTGAGAAGAGGAAACAAAGGCTCAGAGACGTTAACTCGCCCGAGCTACCCAGCTAGTCAGTGGGTGTCTGAGCCAGGTGTGAACTCAGGTTTGCCTGGCTTCAGAGCTAATGGCTTTCTGCGCTGTTGAGATGTCCCAGGTAATAAGGTAAATGCTCAATGAAACTGAAGGAATCAGCTATGGGCAGGGATTGTGATCTTTCTTTAGAGTCTCACCATGTTGCCCACTGCCAGCTTGGCCCTCCTCCCTGGAATAGTGAACAACTGCCCTGAAAGAGGCGACCCATCAGCCCGTTTCTCACCCACGAAGCCCACGTCAATGAGGGCCATGAAGTTGCAGCAGAAATCGAGCCCAGGTGATCGTGCAGCTCTGAGGCTTCTTCAGTACTTCCCAGGACATTTCCTTCCCTTGATTTCAGGCTCTGAATCAGCTTAATTTTTAGATGATGCAAATTGAATTCTTTCTCAGCAGGAGCTGGGGGAAATGACACCTGACAGAGGGCAGACAGAGCAGCAGCCGATCATCTAACCCAGCTGCAAGTGCTGGAGCCGGGGTGGGGGCGGGGAGGCGGGGGGATGACGCAGGAGGACAAGTGGAGGTGTGAGGAATCATTATAATAATAAAGCAGGCAAACACGTTTCTACAGTGGGCCGGGTGGCAGGCACTGTTCTGAGCACTTTATATGTATTAATTCACTTAATTCTCATAACCGTGCTATGAGGTACTTGTTATTGTCAATTAGCTAAAGGGTACAGAGTTTGAAAAGATCATTTGGCCATGTGTGGTGGCTCATGTCTGTAATCCCAGCACTTTGAGAGGCTGAAGAGGGAGGATTGCTTGAGCTCAGGAGTTTGAGACCAGCCTGGGCAATGTAGGGAGACACCATCTCTACCAAAAATTAAACAAAATTAGTCAGGCATGGTGACACGCACCTGTGGTCCCAGCTACTCAGAAGGCTGAGGCAGGAGGAGTGCTTGATCCTGGGAGATCGAGGCTGCAGTGAGCCACTATCATGCTACTGTACTCCAGCCTGGGCAACATAGCAAGACTGTCTCAAAAAAATAAAAATAAGATAATTCAAAGTACTGAATTATTCTATATTTTTACAAAAAGTATTGTTTATAATACACAAAAACTAAAAACCACCTAAATGTTCAACACCAGGGAATATTAAAGCCATGGAATTAAGGCAGACAAAAAGAATAAATAATCATAATAACCATGATTTACTGGGTGCTGCCCATGTCCATGCATGCTTTACATACACTATCTCGTCTTTACAAGGACCTCATAAGGGAGGTCTTAGTAGGAGACCATTGTGCAGGTCCGGAGACTGAGGCTTAGAAGCTTTCGAAGGCTAGCTAGGGTAGATTTGAAACCCAGCCCCATCTAACTTCAGGACCCAAGCTCTTACGTGCTATGTCACCTATGTCACCCTGCCTCTGAAGACTAGAAGGCAAAAGGCATTGCACAAAACTGCTACCGACCAGGATGGCAACCACATAAAACTTGAGGCCATGAGAAAATGCCAGTGACGACTGTGATATGTGATCTAGGTACAGGGTTAATTTGAGTGCAATGAGTGGAAGTTGTTATCTCTGAATACAATTGTCAAAGAAGGCCCAGAACAACACTCTTCCTTGGTTGCACGGGTCACTGTTCCCCTTTAGCTGTCAACATGCTCTCTGCCACTTTGGGCATCTGGTCCTTCATATCCGGGGTTCCAAAAGGGAGAAAGAGAGGTGTCAGAAGGTAGTATTTGTCCTTTCCCAGGCTTCTCTGCACTGACACATTCCTTGTAGAAGTCGTCTGCTAGGGGCAGCTGACTGTGGCCAAGCTGTCTCTGCTGCTTGCACTTCAGATGAGACGCAAGTGTCCTCTCTCCACTTGCATGCCTCCTCTGTCTCCTGGCTGCTGTGTCCTTTGATGCATCTCAGTTGCACAAGGCATCTCAGAGATGAAACGTGGCCCTCTCTTTGACTTTCACTCACCAGAGTTCTGTCAACATCGTGGAGTTTACTGGTGACTTCAGAGGGGAGACAGGAGAGGCTTACATCGCAGCCATACAATGTCAGCCCCTTCAAAGTCCTCTGCCCACTCTCACCAGTCCCAGCCTCTCTCTGCCCCTCTGGCTCTTCTCCGTGTCTCTGGCTCGTCCCTTTTACCACCCCCTTTCTTCTTTATCAGTCTCCTCCCTGGTCAGGAGCAAAACCAGGGACTCTTCCTTTTGCTTCCTGCGAGCTGCTTCTCCTCAGCCACCAGCTACCTGCATTCCCACAAGTCACGCATCTTACCCCAGGAGACATATCAAGGTTCTTTTCTTCAAAGACACGTCTTTTCCTAAAAAGAATTCTAGTAACAACTGTTAACAAAAAATATTAAAAAAAAAAAACTTTTTAATATCCGTGATCATCTTAGGGCAGCTGTCCCAGAAAACAGACAGACAGAGATGTGTGCAGGAGGTTCATTGGGAAACAGCCGCTGTAAGGAGGGAAGGCAGCAAGACTGAACAGAGGGAGGGGTGAGGCTGGGGAGCATTGCAATGAGAGCATTTGCAGGTTCCTTGGAAAGCTCTGCAGCTGGAGTGGCCCTTTGGAGTTATACCACTGAGGCATGGGAGCCAGGCCTTTGTTCACCCCACTCCATACACACATTAACCATGTCAGGCATGGGGTATCAGGCAGCCCACTTGGCTGAGGACAATTCATCAGCAGGAAAACTCCCGGCAGCCGGGGAAATGAGTGCCCCAGTCTTGAAGGCGGATGTGGTTGGCACAGCACAGCACCCACTATGGTCGTAATAGTTTTTAAAAAGTAGGAAATCCCGGCCAGGTGCGGTGGCTTACGCCTATAATTCCAGCACTTTGGGAAGCCGAGGCAGAAGGATCACTTGAAGTCAGGAGTTAAGGACCAGCCTGGCCAACACGGTGAAACCTGTCTCTACTAGAAATGCAAAAATTAGCCGGGCGTGGTGGCACGAGCCTATAATCCCAGCTATTCGGGAGGCTGAGGCAAGAGAATCACTTGAACCTGGGAGGTAGATGTTGCAGTGAGCCAAGATCGCACCACTGCACTCCAGCCTGGGCGACGCAGTAAGACTCAGTCTCAAAATAAATAAATAGGCCGGCCGCGGTGGCTTACGCCTGTAATCCCAGCACTTTGAGAGGCCGAGGCGGGCGGATCACAAGGTCAGGAGATAGAGACCATCCTGGCTAACACGGTGAAACCCCGTCTCTACTAAAAGTACAAAGACAAAATTAGCCGGGCGTGGTGGCAGGCGCCTATAGTCCCAGCTACCTGGGAGGCTGAGCCAGGAGAATGGCGTGAACCCGGGAGGCGGAGCTTGCAGTGAGCCGAGATCGCACCATTGCACTCCAGCCTGGGCGACAGAGGGAGACTCCGTCTCAAAAAAAAAAAAAAAGCTCCTTCCTTCCTCCGTCCCTCCCTCCCTTTCTCTCTCTCTCTCTCTTTCTTTTTTTTCAGACAGGGTCTCATTCAAGCAATTCTCCTATCTCAGCCTCCTAAGTAGCTGGGACTACAGGTGTGTGCCACCACACCCGACTAATTTTTAAAAATTTTTTGTAGAGATGAGGTCTCACTATGTTGCCCAGGCTGATCTCCCACTCCTAAGCTCAAGCAATCCTCTTGCCTCAGCCTCCCAAAGCACTGGGATAACAGATGTGAGCCACTGCCCAGCCAAGATATATTCCTAAGTGACAAAAGCAATTTACAAAACAATATCATCTCATTATCCCACTTTTATATTTTAAAAATATATATACTTGGCCAGGTGAGGTGGCTTATGCCTGTAATCCCAGAACTTTGAAAGGCTGAGGCAGACAGATCACCTGAGGTCAGGAGTTCGAGACCAGCCTGGGCAACGTGGTGAAACCCCTTCTCTACTAAAAATATAAAAATTAACCGGGCATGGTGGTGCATGCCTGTAATCCCAGCTATTTGGGAGGCTGAGGCAGGAGAATTGCTTGAACCCAGGAGGCAGAGGTTGCAGTGAGCCAAGATCGCGCCGCTGCCCTCCAGCGTGGGCGACAGAGTCAGACTCTGTCTCAACAATAAATAAATAAATAAATAAATAAACTTTTAAAATATACATACCATATAGTCTAAAAATATTTAGTCTAAAGTTAATCCTCACCACGTTTGAGTAGAGGAGTATGCCCCCAAAAATGAACAATAAACATTATTTTTATTATAATAATCTGAGAGTAAAACTTTTCTTAAAACAAAAATTCTTAGACAAATGAGAGCAGGTAGCAGATGATCAAATTTAAGGAAAGGAAATGAGTGTCCTTGCCGCCGACTTGAATTTCTCTCCCCATGAATTTTCTGTAAGAAATGGCATTTCTCTCCACTTCCTGCCTTAAATTGCGCTGTAGCCTGTGCAGCTGCTGAGCGGCTGTCTCGTCCTGCTCTGACACAGAGGTGGCTGTGAGTACCTACTGGGTAGGCTGCGGGCTTTGTATGTCACGTGGAAGGAACAGGATGAGTCGGGGTGGCCTCGATTCCACAAAACATGGACAGACTCCCAGGCAGTGGCCACAGCTCAGCATCCTTTTTGAGGCACGAATCCCTGCTGTTCCTCTTCATCAGACCTTGTCATCCTTATTGTGGAAATAATAATACCATTTATTAAGACTTGCCCGCATGCCTGGCAACGTGCCAGCACTTTACACATAGCTCATTTGTCTCTCACAACAATCGCATGAGGTTATATACAATTATCCCTGTTTGATAGACAGGAAACGGGTCTTTGCAGAACTTTGTGAATATACTGTACTAAGAACGACTGACCTGTATACTTTATATGAGTGAATTTTATGGTATGTGAATACTCTCTCAATAAAGCTTTTTTTGTTTAAAAAGACAGAAAGAAAAAACCCACTAAAGTCTGGCTGGGCACAGTGGCTCATGCTTGTAATCCCAGAGCTTCGGGAGGTCGAGGCAGGAGGATTTCTTGAGTCCAAGAATTTGAGACCAGCCTTGGCAACATAGTGAGACCCTGTCTGTATAAAAATTTTAAAAATTAGCCAGACATGGTGGTATGCACCTGTAGTCTTAGCTAGTTGGGAAGCTGAGGCAGGGAGATCGCTTGAGGCCAGGAGGTCAAGGCTGCAGTGAGCCATGATTGCACCACTGCACTCCAGCCTAGATGACAGAGCAAGACCCTGTCTCTGAAAAACAGCAAACAAATAGAAATCCCACAAAATTATGGCCGGGCACGGTGGCTCATGCCTGTAATCCCAGCACTTTGGGAGGCCAAGGCAGGTGGATCACTTGAAGTCAGGAGTTCGAGACCAGCCTGGCCAACATGGTGAAACCCTGTCTCTACTAAAAATACAAAAATTAGCTGGGCATGGTGGCAGGTGCCTGTAATCCCAGCTACTCGGGAGGCTGAGGCAGGAGAATCGCTTGAACCCGGGAGGCAGAGGTTGCAGTGAGCTGAGATTGCACCACTGCACTCCAGCCTGAGCAACAGAGTGAGACTGCGTCCCAAAAACAAAGAAACAAACAAACAAAAATCCCACAAAATTGAAGTCCATAAAGATCACAAGAGCTGCCCAAGGTTACGGTTAGAAAGCCCCAGGATTTTGTTAGTAAGAAGGAGGCAGGGGGTGGACAGCAGGTAGTGTCTGTGATCCCAGTACCTCCCGACAGTGCACTGCACACCCTGGTGCACGGAGTCACTGACAACCTCAGTTCTTGGGGATGGTGAGGGCTCTGGGGTGGGCAAGCCCTTCAGGCAGTCCCTTCCAGCTGTGTAAGAGCATTTGGTCCTCAGAGAGGGGCCCAATCAGTGTGGGGATGGAGAGGAGGTGGTATGAGAGGGAGTGAGGAAAATGGGGACAGCTGGCACTGGAAGCCCCATGCCCCAGCACTAGGTCAGTAGCTGCTGCAAATGGGTTTGGCACAGGTGGAGATGAAGGGGCTGGAGGAAATACTGGGGTGTTAGGGAGCCCAAGTGGGGAGAGTGGGCCGTGAGCAGGCTGGGCTGGAGAAGCAGCACCAGGCTGGGGCCTGGGTGACAGAGCGAGACCCCCATCTCAAAATAAAGAGGTAATTTCAACTGCTGTAAAATTGTGAAGAGTGGGAAAAATTGTGGCTTTTTTGTTGTTGTTGTTTTTTGTTTGTTAGTTTTTTGGGTTTTTTTTTGAGACGGAGTTTCGCTCTTGTTGCCCAGGCTGGAGTGCATAGACGCAATCTCTGCTCACTGCAACCTCCGCCTCTCGGGTTCAAGCGACTCTCCTGTCTCAGGCTCCCGAGTAGCTGGGATTACAGGCACCTGCCACCACGCCTGGCTAATTTTTCTATCTTTAGTAGAGATGGGGTTTCATCATATTGGTCAGGCTGGTCTCAAACTCCTGACCTCAGGTGATCCGCCCGCCTCAGCCTCCCAAAGTGCTGGTATTACAGGCTTGAGCCACCACACCTGGCCGGGGAAAAATTGTTTTTAAATGTTTCTTTCCTATTTAGTCCAAATTGCTCATTGATGGCAGTTATCAAGAACTTGAATAGATCATCATTCAAAAATCTTCACTGGTGATTATTTATAGCCATTTCAAGCATATGAAAAAAGAATGTTTAAAAAAGCCCGTGTCTGTGCTACCTTTGCCATCCTCGCTGCAGAGCAGTGCCTCCTATCAGGCAGCCCCTGGCCACATGTGGCCGCAGAGCATTTGAAATGTGGCTACTCCAAATTGGAAAGTGCTGGGTATGTAAAACGCACACCAGATTTCGAAGACGTAGTAAGAAAGCAAGAATGTAAAATAGCTCATTCATAATTTTATATTGATGACAGGTTGAAGTCATAATAGTGTGGATATATTAGTTTAAATAAAATCCATTATAAAAAAATTTTTAAGTTATGTTCATAGAAGCAAGCTCAGGTTTCTCATTAAAATTTTGAAAATATTTTATTTGGAAAATTTCATACAAATTCAGTATGTAATATGTTCTCTAATTACATTATTTTCATTTTTATAATTCTTTACTCTAAAGAAAACATAATCACTTTTTCCATCAAGCTCCACATAGACGTCCCCAGGTCCCTCCCCCAACCCCTCCAGTTTACTTAAGTGTGTCATTAAAAAATGGACATTTCTTATGAGTGTGATGACATGAAATAGTTTCCAGAAAGGTATTTTTGAGCATCTTTATGATTTGGAAAGGCATTTTTGAGCATCTATTCATCCTGGGTGACCTGCTGGATTGTGGGAATACAGAGTTGTATATATTGTATATTGTGTTGTATGTGTATCAATAATTATGCAGACAGGTGTGGTGGCTCATGCCTGTAATCCCAGCACTTTGGGAGGCTGAGGTGGGCGGATCACTTGAGGTCAGGAGTTTGAGACGAGCCTGGCCAACATGGTGAAACCCCATCTCTACCTAAAAATACAAAAATTAGCTGGGGGTCGTGGCATACGCCTGTAATCTCAGCTACTCAGGAGGCTGAGGCAGGAGAATTGCTTGAACCTGGGAGGCAGAAGTGCAGTGAGTTGAGATCCCGCCACTGCACTCCAGCCTAGGTGACAAAGCGAGACTCCATCTCGAAAATATATATATGCAAGGGAACTCTTGGTTGTTCCACTAAGGAGCTCCCAGCAACCTGCTCTGTGCGCTGCAGAATTTGTGGGTATCCCTGGGAGGCCTGGACCAGCCACAGAGCAGCAGCAGGCCAGGAGGTGTCAGTCTTAACAGAGTGACTTCTAGGAGAGGCAGGGCCCTTTGCTTTTTTTGAGATTGTATTTAAGTAGGGCCCTTTTCTGGCTCCTTATTGAATGTTTCCACTCTACTGGATTTTCTCTCTATTGTCCCGTAAACTCCCGAAGGCCTTGCTCAGCTACCAACATCTGTTTCGGGTTTCCTATAATCCATATGCCTGAGGCAAGGCGTGTCCAGAAAGCAGAGGCTGTGCTACCCGGGTGCTTGTAAACTCGATTATTGTTTATATGTATGACTTTGGCAACCCATTTAGTCCTCGTTACGGGCAAGCCTAAGGCCAAGACTGACTTTCTGTTTCCAACTTCACACTTCTGGGCTGAATCCTGCACACTCCATAAACAGCCTCTGCACATGGGAAGCCACCTGCGTGTGCCCCTCCTTCACATAATTCAAGAGTTGCTGGCATTTTTTCAGCTCTTCTGGAATCAGGAACTCAGTCTTGTGGAGCCCAGGAGACTGTCCATTTGGAAAATCATCAGGGAGCTCTGAAGGGGACAGATGTCAACATCAGGTCCCAGGCTATGGGATCACTTTCTGGACATGCAAATACACGATATGAAATCTGTTCAGGCCAGGCGTAGTGGCTCATGCCTGTAATCCCAGCATTTTGGGAGGCCAAGGCAGGCAAATCACTTGAGGCCAATTCGAGACCAGCCTAGGCAACGTGGTGAAATCCTGTCTCTACTAAAAATACAAAAATTAGTTGGGTGTGGTGGCGTGTGCCTGTAATCCCAGCTACTTGGAAGGCTGAGGTGGGAGAATTGCTTGAACCCGGGAGGTAGAGGTTGCAGGGAGCGGAGATCACACCATTGCACTCTAGCCTGGGTGACAGAGCAAGACTCTGTCTCAAAAAGACAAACAAACAAACAAAAAACCAAAAAAAACAAAAAAAAATGTGATCTGTTCAGATTAATATTGTTTTTTCAAATTCTGTGTGGATTTGGGCCTGCTCTGTGATGTAATTTTGTGATGTAATTATTCATCTTTGCCCAAAAATACCTACATAATTGTGCCTGAAGCAACCGGTATACAAGGGTAAATGGAATACATTGCTATAAAAACTATGTTTATGTGTGAGCTGGGCACAGTGGTGAATGTCTGTAGTCCCAGCTACTCTGGAGTCTGAGACTGGGGGATCCTTTGAGTCCAGGAGTTCGAGGTCAGCCTGGGCAACATAGCAAGACCCTGTCTCAAAAAAATCTCCAAACTGTGTCTGTGTGTGGATGTACAGTGGAAGGATTGTACTTAGTTACGAAAAGTATTGTATTGAGATGACAGAGGTCATGAGTGTTATTTACTGTTGAGTTGTTTAAATATTAAATATTCAAACCTTAAAAACTGTTCAGTTATTTAAAATGTATGCTTAAAATGTTTAAAGGGATAAACTGACAAAGTCCTTTGAAGAAAGCCTGTTAAAAGAATTTCTGCCATTAAAATGTCCAACAATAGCGGCCAGGCGTGATGGTTCATGCCTATAATCCCAGCATTTTGGGAGGCCGAAGCATGTGGATCACTTGAGCTCAGGAGTTCAAGACCAGCCTGGGCAACCTAGTGAAACCCCATCTCTACCAAAAATACAAAAATTAGCCGGGCGTGGGGGTGCACATCTGTGGGCCCAACTACTCAGGAGGCTGAGGTGGGAGGATCACTTGAGCTGGGGAGGTGGAGGTTGCAGCAAGCTGAGATCATGCTACTGCATTCCAGCCTGGGTGACAGAGTGAGACTCCATCTCAAAAAAAATAAAATAAAATAAAAGTCCAACAATAGGAGAATGACGAAGTAGATTACATTATTAATGCATTATCATTTATTGTACACTTACTCTGTACTAGGTACAGGCTAACTACTAGGCTAAGTGTTTTGTTTTGTTTTTTTTTTTTGAGACCGAGTCTCGCTCTGTGGCCCAAGCTGGAGTGCAGTGGCGCGATCTCGGCTCACTGCAACCTCTGCCTCCTGGGTTCAAGCAATTCTCCTGTCTTGCCCTCCCGAGTAGCTGGGACTACAGGCACGTGCCACCACACCCAGCTGCTATTTTTTATTTTTAGTAGAGACGGGGTTTCACCATGTTAGCCAGGACGGTCCCGATCTCCTGACCTTGTGATCCGCCTGCCTCGGCCTCCCAAAGTGTTGGGATTACAGGTGTGAGCCATGGCGCCCGGCAGTGTTTTGTTTTTTAATTTTTTTTTTTTTTTTTTGAGACAGGGTCTCGTTCTGTCACCCAGGCTGGAATGCAGTGGCATAATCACAGCTCACTGCAGCCACCACCTCCTGGACTCAAGCAATCCTCCCACCTCAGCCTCCCAAGTAGCTGGGACTACAGGCACGTGTCACCACACCCAGCTAATTTTTGTATTTTTTTGTAGAGATGGGGTTTCACCATGTTGCCCAGGCTGGTCTTGAACTCCTGGGCTCAAGCAATATGCCTGCCTTGGCCTTCCAAACTGCTCAGATTACAGGCATGAGCCACCGCGCCTGGCCAGTCTACGTATCTTATATGCATTATTTCATTTTTTTAATGTTCAAAATAACCCCAAAGAATATAACTATTGTCATTATCATTTTCATTTTATTGATATGAAAACTAGGGCATAGAGACATTAAGTAACTCAGTAAAGACCTCATAGCTAGCTAGTGGCAGAGATGGGATTTGAACCCAAGATTATTTGGGTCCTACACCCAAGTGTTAACCACTAGGTTACCAAGCCACACACTACCACACAGCCACGGGAGGTTTTCATAGCCATGAACACTATCGGTGGAGCTATGATGGTTAGAACTTTAAAAGGAAGGCGATTTGCACACAATTAAAAATGCACATACAAGGCTAGGCACGGTGGCTCAGCACTTTTGGAGTCTGAGGTGGAAGGATCACTTGAGCCCAGGAGTTTATGACCACCCTGGACAACATAGTGAGACATCATCTCTATCTTTATAAAAAATAAACAAAATTAGTCAAGTGTGGTGGTGCACACCTGTAGTCTCAGCTACTTGGGAGTCTGAGGTGGGAGGATCACTTGAGCCTAGGAAGTTGAGGCTGCAGTAAGCTGAGATTAAGCCACTGCACTCCAGCCTGGGCAACAGAGTGAGACCCTGTCTCAAAAAATAAATAAAATGCACATACCAATTATCACACAAGTTCACTTCTAGGACACTGTGATGGTTAATTTCATGTGTTAATTTGACTGGGCTAAGGGATGTCCAGCTAGCTGGTTAAACGTGACTTCTGAGTGTGTCTTTGAGGGCGTTTCCACAAGAGATGAGCATTTGATTCAATGGCCTAACTAAAGAAGATCCACCGTCACCAATGTGGATGGGCATCATCCAATCCACCGAGGGCCCAGAGGAAACAAAAAGGTGGAGGGAGAGTGAATTCATTCTGGTTCCTGGTGCTGGGACATCCATCTTCTCTTGCCCTTGGACATCAGAACACCTGGTTCTTGGGCCATCAGACTCTGGGACTTACACCAATGGGGCCTCTTCCACTTCTTGCTCAGGGCTTTGGCCTTGGACTGGGAGTTTCACCATTAGTTCCCCTGGTTTTCAGGCTCCCACACTGAGACTGAGCTATGCCACCTGCTTTCCTGGGTCTCCAGCTGCAGACAGCAGATGGTGGGACTCCTTGGCCTCCATAATCAAGTGAGCCAATTCCCATCACACATCTCCTCTTTTATCTATATCTGTAGCTCCTATCGGTTCTCCTTCTGTGGAGAACCCTAACTAATACAGGCACTATCCAAGAGAAATGACTCTATAGATGCAATATTTGGCAGCTCTTTCTCTTTTTTTTTTTTTTCTCACTCTGTCACACAAGCTGGAGCCCAGTGGCCCGATCTTGGTTCACTGCAGCTGAAGCGATCCACCCACCTCAACATCCCGAGTAGCTGGGATTACAGGTGTGCGCCACCACACCAAGCTAATTTTTTTTTCTTTTTTTTTTTTTATAGAGACAGGGTCTCATCCTGTTGCCCAGGCTGGTCTCAAACTCCTGACCTCAAGTGATCCGCCTGCCTTAGCCTCCCAAAGTGCTAGGATTACAGGTGTGAGCCCCGCACCCGGCCTTGGCAGGTTTCTTAAAGTGCAGTGGATCCCTATGTACTGATAAGAAAATTGCTCCAAGATATACGGAAAAGCTAGTTGTAGAACTTTTTTTTAATTTTTTTTTGAGACGGAGCCTTACTCTGTCGCCAAGGCTAGAGTGCAGTGGTGTGATCTCGACATCTCTGCTCACTGCAACCTCCGCCTCCCTGGTTCAAGTGATTCTCCTGCCTCAGTCTCCCGAGTAGCTGGGATTACAGGCGCCGGCCATCACGCCCGGCTAATTTTTGTATTTTTAGTAGAGACGGGGTTTCGCCAGTTTGGCCAGCCTGTTCTCAAATTCCTGACTTCAGGTGATCCACCCACCTCGGCCTCCCAAAGTGCTGGGATTACAGGTGTGAGTCACCGTGCCTGGCCAGAACCATTTTTAAAAGCTGTTTTGTATGAGTATAGAGAAAGGTCTGCGGCCAGGCACAGTGGCTTATGCCTGTAATCCCAACACTTTGGGAGGCCTAGGCGGGGGGATCAGTTGAGGTCAGGAGTTTGAGACCGGCCTGGCCGCCATGACGAAACCCTGTCTCTACTAAAAATATAAAAATTAGCCTGACATTGTGGTGCACACCTGTAATACCAGCTACTCAGGAGGTTGAGGCAGGAGAATTGCTTGAACCCGGGAGGCGGAGGTTGTAGTGAGCTGAGATCCGGCCACTGCACTGTAGCCTGAGCGAGGGAGCGATATTTCATCTCAAAAAAAAAAAAAAAAAAAAAAGATCTGCAAGGATAAAAACTAAACTGTTCAAAGAACTGTTAAAAGTGGTTCTCCCTGAGGCATGAGGGGAAAAAGAATTAAAGTGAAAAATTTTCCTTTTTTCTTTACATATTTCTGAATTTTTTTAGTAGTAAGTATGTATTACTTTTATAATAAAAAAGGAATATGGAAAACAATGTTTTCAACCAATTTTAATGATATGGGCAAGTACTCTAACAGGTGAAAAAAATTAGAGCATGAAATAATGTGTACAGTATGAGCTCAGCTACAGAAAAATGCATTTAAAATCCAGGTAGGAAATATATCAAAATGTTAATAGGGATTGCCTCTGGGTGGCAGGATTATAGGTGGGTTTTTTTTTCTGCTTTTACTTTTCTATACTTTCTAAATGTGCCTTATTATTTGTATAATTAGGAAAAAATTAAGTTGATCTGCCAAAGGTTCACGGCAGGTTGTAAAACACAGGCAGCTGAGGCCAGTTTCAACTGCAGGTCATTGCTCCCCACACCGGGGGACGTGACGGCCCAATATTGTTAACCAGCAAAGGAAAATTTCCTAATTGCAATTTTCCTAATTGCAGGTGAGGAGAAAACATGGTTTGTCTCCATTTTGCTTTTCTGATTAGATTGCAAGAGAAGACAGGGGAGAGAGATGCCAAGGGAACAAAGTTCTCCTGGTAAAGAGGAGCAGAATCAGGAGTCTCTGGGCTAAGGGATGTCCAGATGTACTCTCCTATCTATTTTTTTTTTTTTTTTTTTGAGATGGAGTCTGGCTCTGTTGCCCAGGCTGGAGTGCAGTGGCGCAATCTCAGCTCACTGCAACCTCCACCTCCTGGGTTCAAGCAATTCTCCTACCTCAGCCTCCTGAGTAGCTGGGATTATAGGCACCCACCACCACGCCTGGCTAATTTTTGTATTTTTAGTAGAGTCAGGGTTTCACCATCTCGGCTGGCTGGTCTTGAACTCCTGGCCTCATGATCCACCCATCTTGGTCTCCCAAAGTGTTGGGATTACAGGCATGAGCCACCACGCCTGGCCTCTCCTAGGTATTTTGAAATATATGATACACTATTATTGGCAATAGTCAGTCTACTGTGCAACAGATCTCAAAAATTATTCCTCTTGTCAAATTGAAACATATAAGTGAAATCATGCAGTAGTGGTCTTTCTGTGCCTGGTTTATTTCACTTTGCGTGCTGTCCTCCAGGATTCATCCATATTGTCACAAATGACAGGATTTCCTTCTTTTTTTAGGGCTGAATGATGTTCCATTGCATATACACTCTAGCATCCTTTAATAGCTTAGAGGCAGTTGTCCTCTGCAGCACCACCACTAAGAAAGAGGCATAACACTAAGTGGAACTCTATGGTTCTTAGCGGCAACATAATTTCACATTTACGTACACTGTTTTGACACATTTGTTGAGCAGGGAAACCAGCTATCCGGTGGTGGGGTGACTAACTCCTTTATTATGGTATCTAGAATTGTCATGCTTGAGAATTTACTTATTTAAATACATTTTATCTTTATTTTAAACAAATTATTCGTTTCCCCTTTATTATGCAGTTAGGAATAGAGATAGAGAGATGGATAAATAGATCTTAAAATTTATGTATGTAGTTAGGATGTTTTACCTCTGAATTTCATTCAGAGTAGTAAAGGGGATATTACAAAATATTTGTTTTACAAAGAGGCTTTGGGGTGGGAATAGAAATCCTGGACCAGAAGTGGATGTGGCACTAATGAGACTCCAGGTTACTTCCCTTTGCAGGTAATGCATACACTTTCTGTTTGTTTGTTTTTTTGTTGTTGTTGGTTTTTTTTTGAGCTGGAGTCTCGCTCTGTCACCCAGGCTGGAGTGCAATGGTGCGATCTCGGCTCACTGCAACCTTTGCCTCCCAGGTTCAAGTGATTCCCCTGCCTCAGCCTCCCAAGTAGCTGGAATTACAGGCATGCGCCACCATGCCTGGCTAATTTTTGTGTTTTTAGTAGAGATGGGGTTTCACATGTTGGCCAGGCTGGTCTCGAACTCCTGACCTCAGGTGATTAGCTTACCTCAGCCTCCCAAAGTGCTGGGATTACAGGTGTGAGCCACCATGCCCAGCCCACTTCTGATTATACAAAGGATTATATCTTTGTATCAGCGACAACATTTTCATTTTTGAAGTATGAAAATGGGGAGAATTTTTTTCATTGCCAAGCAGCCGGAGATGTGGGCTCTGGTGAGCATCTGTCATTCTTCTCATTACTCAGCTCCTGAACACCCCATATCTGGCTCCTGGGCATTCCTTGCCTCATGAGTCTCAGGACAGGCAGAGACTGCCTTCCCAGAAGCTAGAAGGTCCAGACGCTGCCTTCCCAGCCTCCCGGGAGCTGGGTGTGGACTCCTGTCCTGGGCACACGCAGAGAAGATGCTCCTGCCCTGGACTTTGAGTGAGGATCTGATTGCCCTTCCCTGGGTAAGGGGGGAACTCCTTACTGAGCAGGTGATATTTCAGCTGAGCTTTGAAGGAGAAGTAGAAACTCCAAGTTGGGAGGTTGGAGTGAGCAGTAGGTGGGTTAGAGGGTTGGGTGGGTGGGCAGGTATTCCAGGTGTGGCAAAGGAATAAGTATAAATATATTTTAAAGTAGGCAAAATGCTATTAATTTTACTCATGGATATTGGGGTCTAAGGACCCTGAAAAAGGATCAGATTTAGGTTCTTTGTATGACCTTGGGCAAGTTTCTCAACCTCTGGGCTTAGTTTCCTTACCTGTAAAAAGGAACTACTCCCAGTGATGTGCCAACCTCACAAAGTTTTTGTGGGATCAAATGAAAATGAAAGTAAAAATACTTTTTTTTTTTTTTTTTGAGATGGAGTCTCACTCTGTCACCCAGGCTGGAGTGCAACGGCGCGATCTTGGCTCACCGCAAGCTTCGCCTAATGGGTTCACGCCATTCTCCTGCCTCAGCCTCCTGAGTAGCTGGGACTACAGGCACCCATCACCACACCTGGCTAATTTTTTCTATTTTTAGTAGAGACCGGGTTTCACTGTGTTAGCCAGGATGGTCTCGATCTCCTGACCTCAAGATCCACCAGCCTCAGCCTCCCAAAGTGCTGGGATTACAGGCGTGAGCCACTGTGCCTGGCCAAAAGTAAAAATACTTTTAAATGAAAAAGCCTATTAGCCGGGCATGGTGTGTGCCTGTAATCCCAGGTACTCAGGAGGCTGAGATAGGAGGATGGCTTGAACCCAGCAGGTTGAGACTGCAGTGAGCCAAGACTGTGCCACTGCACTCCAACCTGGGTGACAGAGTGAGACCCCCATCTCAAAAAAAAAAAAAAAAAAAAGAAAGAAAAAAGAAAAAAGAAACAGCCTGAACAAAAATCAATAACTATGAATAATTGGCATGGGGTTGTGAGAGCAAAAACAAAATAGAGGGCGCAAAGTCCAGGCTGAGAGAGGTTGGAAGAGAATTAAGAGTTTGGGAAGGAATTTGTCAGATAAAAAAACTACTTTTCTGGAAAGCAGAAAGTATGGGCCCCAGAGGGTCAGGGTAGGTTGGGGGAGGTGGTCAGGAAGCTTTTCACACCTAGCCAGCCGGCAGGTGTCAGAAGGAGCAGAGAGATGCAGCTAGAGAAGGGAGGTGCCTGGGCTGGGCACGGTAGCTCATGCCTGTAATCCCAGCACTTTGGGAAGCTGAGGCGGGCGGATGGTCTGAGCTCAGGAGTTTGAGATGAGCCTGGACGACATGGCAAAACCCCGTCCCTACTAAAAATACAAAAAAAATCAGCTGGGCGTGGTGGTGCGTGCCTGGTAGTCCCAGCCACTCGGGAGGCTGAGGCAGGAGAATTGCTTGAACCCAGGAGGTGAAGGTTGCAATGAGCCGAGATTGCACCACCGCACTCCAGCCTGGGTGACAGAGCAAGACTGTCTCGAAATTTTAAAAAATTAAAAATTAAGAGGGAAGAGCCTCATGCTTCCTCTCTCCTGAGGCAGGATTCATCCTACATGTCCCCACAGTTCTTGTGCAGTCACCCCAACTGCTTTGTGGGGTGGTCCTAACCTTTCAGTCACTCTTGCTACAAATGCCTTTTGTTATTTGTTTTCTCTATCTAGCCAATGTCTTCTCTCACATTTTGAGTCTAAATTTTCATCTCAGAAAGTAATTCTAACTTCATCTGGGGGAGCTCTGCCAACTCTCCCATGCAGAATGTGACATATGGCCGTAAATGACCTGTCAGCCTTGTGCAGACAAGGAGCTTAATGCAGCTCCTGCAAATATTGTCACTTAGGTGCTCCTCAGGACCCTCAAGGTCAACAGGTCCAAAGAGAAGTCATCACTTTTGTTCATTAACACTCCGCCTTTGTCTCTCTGTCTTGGGCGCCATCTTCCTACTTACCTGGGCTCAAAATCAGAACTCATATTTGACACCACCTTCCTGTTTGTGTCCCAACCCAAACTTGTGACTGCGAGTAATTTGAAAGTCTTTGCCCTCAGGCATTTGGGGTACTGCAGAGGCCTGGCAGGAACGTGTGCTTCAGGCATCCAGGTTGCTGACAGGGAAATGAATCGTTTAGCAAGGGAGCGTCGACCGCCCGCAGCACCTTCAGCCCAATGGGTGATGCTCTTAAAGCCGGGGATTCCTGAAGGTCTGCAAAAGTGCTCCTCATGGATGACAAGGACCCATTCCATTGCTTCTACAATGTCTCTGGGGCTCCTGTGCTGTTTGCTCCCCAGGCCCGTTGGCGTGCTCATCTTCACTTGGGCTCTGGCAGTGATTTCCCCATTTCTTCCTGTCCCCATAAATATGGCCTCCATCATGAAGGTCCTCTCTCACACACACACCTGGCCACGCCCTTCTCAGACCTTTGGGAGGGACTGCATCCCACAGAATCAGGGTTGAGCCCTTCACCTGGCCCTCCAAGCCATCACAGCCAGGCCACAGCCCTTTCTCCAGTATTCCCTTCCATCCAGCTTTTCTTCTTCATTGCTGCCTCTCCTGCTGCAACCAAATTCACCTGTGCGGCTACTCTGCGATGAAAGAACCAGCCCATGTCACATGCTCTGTCAATTTGATCAGTGTTGTCATTGTCCTGGGTCATCATACTGTTACTCTCACTACCATTCCAAACTATAAATAGTCTGCTAAGAAGAGCAAGACCAGGCCAGGCATGGTAGCTCATGCCTGTAATCCCAACACTTTGGGAGGCTGAGGCAGGTAGATCACTTGACGTCAGAAGTTCAAGACCAGCCTGGCCAACATGGTGAAACCCCGTCTCTACTAAAAATACAGAAATTAGCTGGGCGTGGTGGCAGACGCCTGTAATCCCAGCTACTCCAGAGGCTGAGGCACGAGAATTGCTTGAACTTGAGAGGCAGAGGTTGCAGCCAAGATTGTGCCATTGCACTCCAGCCTGGGTGACAAGAGCGAAACTCCATCTCAAAAAGAAAAGAATAGCAAGCCCGTAAATGCTGAAAACAGAGCTGATGATTCAAGTTGCATAAATTAATTGTATAAGTGAGAGAAAGGTCAGGGACCTGGTGACAGCATGTGGCCCTGGGCTGAAAGACGGCCTGCTCATCCCAGGAGGGCCCGGGGAGCTGGGAAGATGTGGGTAACGGCACGCCCCTGCCATGCTCCTGGGCCTTGTCCCCAGCCAAGCCACCCCACTGAGGCTGCCAGATCCACAATGTGAGGAGACACAACTTCACATGGAGTTTTCACACCTTGTGGCTGGAAAAAGTTCTGGATGCAAATACATTCTCCCCAGAGCTCTGGTGGATTCGAGCAGGCACTGATGTGAGAGGACGGGAAATGGAGGAAACTAAATAGGTCACAGCCTTGATCTCGTCCCAGGCCTGGCCTCTCCGTGAACCCAGGCTTAGCCTTTGGGCTTTAGGGGAAAGGGTAGAAGAGGCAGGAGCTTGGCCGGGTGCGGTGGCTCATGCCTGTAATCCCAGCACTTTGAGAGGCCAAGGCGGGTGGATCACAAGGTCAGGAGATCGAGAGCATCCTGGATAACACGGTGAAACCCCATCTCTACTAAAAATACAAAAAATTAGCCGGGCATGGTGGTGGGTGCCTGTAGTCCCAGCTACTCGGGAGGCTGAGGCAGGAGAATGGCGTGAACCCAGGAGGCGGAGCTTGCAGTGAGCCAAGATCATGCCACTGCACTCCAGCCTGGGCGACAGAGCCAGACTCCGTCTCAAAAAAAAAAAAAAAAAAAAAAGAAGAGGCAGGAGCTAGAGAAAGGGGGAGAAAAGGCCACTCACCCTAATGTAAGAGGCAGACAGGTGACGCGCAGGACGCCCCCTGTAAATGGGAGAGGGGACAGCTTCAATGAGAGTGGCCCACTTTGGCCCTCCTCATCCCTCTCTCCTATGGCTTAAAATGAACCTGGGGCTTTGTTTTTCAAAGAGAGCAACAGCGCAGGGGATAACTGCCTTTGAAAAAGTAGTTTGTTACTCACAGTTCCCATGAGGAAGGGGCACACCACACCACACAGGCTCACACAGGGCAGCACCAGGGTTGGTCAGGAGGCAGAGGCGGTAAGAGGGGAACATGGGCTGGAGCATTTATGGGCTGAAGGGTTTATGGGGTGGAAACACGGGCCGGAGTTTTGTGGGAAATCATGCACAAGGTGGGGTATGCAAGCTGAGCAGGCTCTGGATGAGATAGTTTGAATAATTTTGGTGGGCTCCAGGGGTGGTCCCTAGTTGTCTGCTACCTGGTCTTGGGGTGATTCAGACCAGGGGATAATGTGCTGGACTGCAGGAGCCAGTCCTGATCAAAGGACACAGATCAAGAGTGTAGACTCAGAAGGAGCTGGTCTGGGCCGGGCTCAGTGGCTCACACCTGGAATCCCAACACTTTGGGAGGCCAAGGCAGGAGGATTGCTTGAGCCCAGGAGTTTGAGACCAGCCTGGGTAACATAGCAAGACCTTATCTCTACTAAAAATTTTAAAAATTAGCCAAGCATGGTGGTGTACACCTGCAGTCCCAGCTACTCAGGAGGCTGAGGTGGGAAGGTGGCTTGAGCCCAAGCAGCCAAGCCTGTAGTGAGCCATGATCGTGGCACTGCCACTCGAGCCTGCGTGACAGGGTGAAGAGGTGGCTGGTTTGCATATGAAAGTCAGGCTTCTAGGTGAGTTGTCTGCTATTTCTAGGCATTAACTAGCCCTGGCATAAGAGCAGTCTCTCTCCAGGTTCACAAGGCCCCCAAGATGTCAAGCATCACAAAATACAGAAGATAAAAAACATGAGTAATATCTGCCAGAATATGGCAAAGCATCAGTGAATCTCTGCAGGATCTGCAACTTCTCTGTAAGCCCCACCCAATGATGTAGGGCCCAAGAGCCAAAATGGCAAAGTCACAGCAAGATGCTCCAGGTTCCCTCAACTCTAATGTCAGCTGGTGGAAACTTACACTGTCACCCTCTCCCAGGCTTCAATTTCACTTATCAGTGACCTTGGACTCCTCTGTGACCTTGGACAGGTTACTTCTTCCCTAGGGTTATTGGGAGAATTAAAGAAATCTGTGTACAGAAGCTTCTCTACCCAGGCTTCTTGCTCTGAGCTGCATAACTCCTGCCTGAGATCCCTCTGGAGCTGACTAGGAAGGTCCTGACTCTACCAGAGACCTTCATATGACCTGTGCCTGGGCCACATTCAATTAACTGTGGTTACATCGTGAGGCCAAGAGAAGTGACTTTTTTTTTTTTTTTTTTTTTTTTTGGGACAGAGTCTTGCTCTGTTGCCCAGGCTGGAGTGCAGTGGTGCAATCTCAGCTCACTTCAACCTCCACCTCTCTGGTTCAAGGATTCTTGAGCTTCAGCCTCCTGAGTAGCTGGGGCTACAGGTGCACGCCACCAGGCCCAGCTAATTTTTCTTTTTTTGCTTTTTTGAGACAGGGTCTTGCTCTGTCACCCAGGTTGGAGTGCAATGGCACCATCTCGGCTCACTGCAACCTCTGCCTCCTAAGTTTAAGCGATTCTCATGCCTTAGCCTCCCAAGTAGCTGGGTCTACAGGTATGCACCACCATGCCAGGCTAATTTTTGTATTTTGAATAGAGACGGGATTTTGCCATGCTAGCCAGGCTGGTCTCGAACTCCTGGCCTCAAGTGATCTGCCCACCTTGGCCTGCCAAAGTGCTGGGATTACAGGCGAGAGCCACCATGTCTGGCCCTTAATTTTTATTTTTTTATTTTTAGTCGAGATGGGGTTTCGCCATGTTAGCCAGACTGGTCTTGAACTCCTGGCCTCAACTGATCCACCCGCCTCAGCCTCCCAAAGTACTGGGATTTCAGGGGTGAGCCACTGTGCCCGGCCAGAAGTGACTGCCTTAAGGAGACATTTCAGAGAAGAACAGGCAGATACGGGGGCAATGTCAAATCACCCCAAACAGGTGAAAATGAACACCATTAACTGGGAGGGCTGGCTGGGCTAGGCAGTCATCACGAAGGACTGGAAGGGGGCTCTGAGGGCCTAGGACACAGAGCTCACCCCGGAGTGTGAGGTTTTTCCGGTGCCACATGCAGAAGGCTGGCATCCCTCAGCTGGTCCACAGATCTGCTGTAGCCCTAATACTGAAATTAGGCATATACAGTAAACATAACAACAAAGACAACATTTTTAGCTCTGTTAGGCCCAGGATGAGAAATAAATTCACAACCTCAAAGGAAAATGGAAATGTCACATCCTTTTCAAGTTCCTGGTAGTACCTGTACATTCCAAACTGGAGAACAGACTATTCATTTACTTTGAAAATGGACTTTTTTTTTTTTTTTTTTTTTTTCCTGAGATGGAGTCTTGCTCTGTCGCCCAGGCTGGAGTGCAGTGGCTTGACCTTGGCTCACTGCAACCTCCACCTCCCAGGTTCAAGCGATTCTCCTGCCTCAGCCTCCCGAGTAGCTGGAATTACAGGCGCCCGCTACCACGCCTGACTAATTTTTATATTTTAGAGACGGGGTTTCGCCATATTGGCCAGGATGGTCTTGATCTCCTGACCTCATGATCCGACTGTCTTGGCGTCCCAAAGTGCTGGGATTACAGGTATGAGCCACTGTGCCCGGCAGAGAATGGGCCTTTTAAATTTTTTTTATATTTTTATTTACATTTTTGAGACAAAGTCTCACTCTGTTGCCCAAACTGGGGTGCAGTGGTGTGATCTCTGCTCACTGCAACCTCCACCTCCCGGGTTCAAGCGATTCTCCTGCCTCAGCCTCCTGAGTAGCTGGGACTACAGGCGTGTGCCACCATGCCCGGCTAATTTTTTTATTTTTAGTAGAGACGGGGTTTCACTATGTTGGCCAGGCTGGTCTTGAACTCCTGACCTCAGGTGATCCACTGCCTCGGCCTCCCAAAGTGCTGGAATTACAGGCGTGAGCCACCGCACCTGGCCTGAATGGACCTTTTTAAATGTAAGATTGTTTCTCCTAGTCTTCTTGTATTTACAAATTCCATGAAGACTAAAATTTAGAGTTCATCTCCGCAAATACTCCTCAATCCCACCTCCTCTCAACACAAAGATCTCTCTATATAATTCCTGATAAGAGAGCAACCTTTCGCTGAAGAGATTTCACAGAATTCTGTAGCCAACACTCTTTGTCATCCCATGTCCCAGCCAGCACTGTGACTGTGGAACCACCCAGACCTTAGACCCCAGGGTACCCCCGTACCCCTGTTTTCTAAAATGCCTGACTCATCCTGCCCAGGCTTTCATGAAGAAAGCGAAGTGAAAGCCTCCCACACGCCTTTAAAAATGTCTCCTCTAAATTCCAGTTGTCGTAGTAACATCTTCACGCTGCCTTGGTGCCTTTATATATTTTGGTGCTGATGGACCCTCCGTTACCATGAGAACAGAAGTAGATTTAAACAAAGAGAATTTTGTGGCACTTATCTTAATGTCTTATGGAAAACAAAACCCATGCCCACGGCGACCGCCTCAGAAGAGTTCAGAGGGTTTAACAATGGAATGGCAAGAAGTCCTGAGTTCCTGGGACCTAGAACGCCACTGGAGTTCCATTTCATTTGTTCTTCGAATTTTATTTTGAGGAAAATGTGCATCGTTGTTGTTTTTAAGATTCTGTTGCACCATTGCCATTCTGAAGTGAGCAGATCTGTTGTAAACGCATATTCTTACCTTCAGCTTTGAGGACAAACTTATCACTCCTACCACAAAATTGTAACCATTTCCTGAGCTGTGCTTCACTCTACCCCCACACCCCAGCCCCACAGCCCCTTGTGACAGGGCAGTGCCAGCTGAACTGATGTTCCCTGCTATTTCAGACTCAAGGTCTGTGCATCTATTCTTTCTTTCAAAGCTAAATGTTTGAAAAATGGAAGGTCTTTGAGCTCAAGGACATTAACGCACACTTCTTCAGCACTCTCTGCATAGTCCTAATTGTCAGTTTGTTCGACTTTTTTTTTTTTTTTTTTTTTTTTTTGAGACGTTGTTTTGCTCTTGTTGCCCAGGCTGGAGTCCAATGGCACAATCTCGGCTCACTGCAACATTCACCTCCCGGGTTCAAGCAATTCTCCTGCTTCAGCCTCCCAAGTAGCTGGAATTTCAGGCATCTGCCCCCACAACCGGCTAATTTTTGTATTTTTAGTAGAGATGGGGTTTCACCATGTTGACCAGGCTGGTCTCAAACTCCTGACCTCGGGTGATCCACCTGCCTCAGCCTCCCAAAGTGCTGGGATTACAGGTGTGAGCCACCATGCCTGGCTTTGACTTTAAACTTTCCATTCTGATGTACAGAATTAAGTTTCTGTTGAGAATTTTAAATAGTTAACTTCACAGGATTTGTATGTGGGAACAAACTTGAAGGTAGGAAGAAAGCAAACCCACAGTCTGAATAGCAGGCTGTGTCAGTGACACATTCCTTAATTAGTCCTTGAGAACACTAACATGTATTGTGTATTTACCACATGCTAGGCACTATGCTAACCACATAGCCTGTTGTCTTCATCTGTTTTCTGTAGCTATAACAAAATCCATATACTGGATAATTTATAAAGATAAGAAACTATTTCTTACAGTTTTGGAGGCTGGGAGTCTGAGTGCATGGCGCCGGCATGTTTCAAGGGCCTTCTTGCTGCTTTGTAACACTGTGAAGGGCATCGCATGGTGAAAGGGCAAGAGACTGTGTCAAGTTAGGTCTCTCTTCCTTGTTTTTTTTTTTTTTTTTTTTTTTTTGAGACGGAACTTGCTCTGTTGCCCAGACTGGAGTGCAATGGTGCAATCTCGGCTCACTGCAACCCTCCGCCTCCCAGATTCAAGCAATTCTTCTGCCTCAGCCTCCTGAGTAGCTGGGACTACAGGCCCGCGCCATCATGCCTAATTTTTGTATTTTTTTTTTTTTTAGTAGAGACAGGGTTTCACCATATTGGCCAGGCTGGTCTCGAACTCCTGACACTGTGATCCGCCCGCCTTGGCCCCCCGAAGTGCTGGGATTACAAGTGTGAGCCACCGCGCCTGGCCAGAGGAGGGAGATTTCATTCCCAGGCCTCTTCTCTTGGCTTGTAGGTGGCCGCCATTTTGCTGTGTTCACGTGACCCCTTCTTCGTGTGTACACGTGGAGAGAGAGGGCAAGCTCTCTGGTGCCTGTTCTTAAAGGGACTGTGAGGCCTCTGAGCCCAAGCTAAGCCATCATATCCCCTGTGACCTGCACGTATACATCCAGATGGCCTGAAGTAACTGAAGAATCATAGAAGAAGTGAAAATGGCCTGTTCTTGGCCAGGCGTGGTGGCTCATGCCTGTACTCCTAGCACTTTGGGAGGCCGAGGCGGGCAGATCACAAGGTCAGGAGATCGAGACCATCCTGGTTAACACAGTGAAGTGAAACCCTGCCTCTACTAAAAATACAAAAAAACTAGCCGGGCGTGGTGGCGGGTGTCTGCAGTTCCAGCTACTCAGAAGGCTGAGGCAGGAGAATGGTGTGAACCCGGGATGCGGAGCTTGTAGTGAGCCAAGGTTGCGCCACTGCACTCCAGCCTGGGCGACAGAGCGAGACTCCGTCTGGGGGTGGGCGGGGGAGAAAGGCCTGTTCCTGCCTTAACTGATGACATTCCACCACAAAAGAAGTGAAAATGGCCAGTCCCTGCCTTAACTGATGACATTACCTTGTGAAATTCCTTCTCCTGGCTCATCGTGGCTCAAAAGCTCCCCCACTGAGCCCTTGTGACCCCTGCCCCTGCCTGCCAGAGAACAACCCCCTTTGACTGTAATTTTCCACTACCCACCCAAATCTTACAAAACGGCCCCCACCCCTATCTCCCTTCACTGACTCTCCTTTTTCGGACTCAGCCCGCCTGCACCCAGGTGAAATAAACAGCCTTGTTGCTCACACAAAGCCTGTTTGGTGGTCTCTTTACGCAAGTGAAAGGGACACTAATCCCATCATGGGGATTCCACACTTGCGTTAGGGTTCTTCAGGGAGACAGAACCAATAAGATACATGTATATACGAAAGGGAGTTTATTAGGGAGAACTGGCTCACACGATTACATGGCCAAGTCCCACGATAGGCTGTCTGAAAGCTAGGGAAAGAGAGAAGCCGGTAGTGGCTCAGTTCGAGTCTGAAAGCCTCAAAACCAGGGAAGCCGTCAGTGCACCCTCCAGTCTGCAGCTGAAGGCCTGAGAGCCCCTGGGAAGTCACTGGTACAAGTCCCAGAGTCCAAAGGCCAAAGAACCTGGAGTCTGCTGTCCGAGGGCAGGAGGTGGGGAAGCAAGCATCCAGCACTAGAAGGAAAAATAGAGCCAGAAGACTCAGCCAGCAAAGCTATCCCTCTTCTTCCGCCTGCTTTGTTCTAGCTGCCCTGGCAGCCGACTGGATGGTGCCCACCCACAATGAGGGTGCGTCTTCCTCTCCCAGTCCTCAACTCCAATATCAATCTCCTCTGGCGACATCTTCACAGACACACCCAGGAGGGTACTTTACCAGCCATCTAGGCATTCCTCAATGCAGTCACCCAATATTCACCGTCACAACCCTCGTGACCTCATCTAACCCTAATTACCTCCCAAAGGCCCCGCCTCCAAATACCATTACATTTGGAGTTAGGGGTTCAACAAATGAACTGAAGAGGGAAGGAACAAAAACATTCAGCTCTTAACAGGCGGTTCTTGCCCCCATCTTCTGTACATGGTGGCAGCTGGAGACATTCTGGGTGGACTGGCTGCAGGAGCCATGGTGGCCGCCCAAGGTGGAGCTGGAGAAGGCACTCGACCTTCCTTGTCCGTCCGTGGAGCCTACAGAGGGCTGAGGTCAACTTACCGGCACTGGGGAGACAGAGACTGCAGTAGAGCCCATGAATGGAGGGCTCTGGGTAAAATGCAAAGATCTGGGGTACAGGGGCAGATGCCTCTGACTGGGCACCGTGGTGAGCCAGACTTGTCATTCAAGGGAAGGACCTGTCAGCAGGCTGCTGCATTTTGACCAGAGGCCTAAACCAGGAGAACCTCAGCTGACCCATCCATCAAAGCAAAGCTGGGCCAAGGGATTCTCTCCACCACAGCAACCTAGGGGCCCGTCCCTCCCACACCCTGCGCCGCCCTTTCATCGCCTCTCAAGATCAACATTAGCCACACCTTCAAACTCTTCTGTCCTCCATCTGAGCTCACTTGGTGGTGGTGTGGACACACACAACACACACGCACACAGTGTACACATGCACTCAGAGTGTGCACGCACGCACACAGACACACGCACACATGCATATGGACATACACAGAGTGTACGCATGCACACGGGCACACGCACATGCATGCACACAGACACACGCACACAAGCACACGGATGCACGCACATGGACACACACACAGAGTGTGCACACACGCACACACAGCCTGGCTGTACGGCGGCCTCAAGCTGCGGCGTTGCCATATGGGCTCTTGGAGGCTGAATTTAGCAGGGCAGATGGAGCTCAACCACGTCCCGGAACAGATTCCCTCAGGCTGCACACACCCGGCACCACACTGTCAAAGAGGTCAAGGGTGAAGGACACAGAGAGAAGCGGTCAAGTGGTGCTGACGATTCAACTCCAAGGTCAAGGCGTGGGCCCTATTGGGTGGACACTGCTGTTTATAGCTCCCCTTGTGAAGCGTTTTTGGCAAATACGATGACAGTCCGCATGACAGTGACTGGGGACACATGAGTGAGCCCCTGAGCTCGCAGCCGCAGTTTGCATGGCCTCCCCGAGTCTGCACTCTGAGGCTCTGCCTCCAGCCTGACGTCTCATCACAGCTTCTCTACCTCCTAGTCTATATCCTACCTTCTATATCCTAGTCAGGGAGAGAACACACAAAATTGAAATAACTGCAGACGGCTGTTCACCGCATGACAGATCCAAGGTGCGAATAAGGAAATGTAGATTCCAGCTGGGTGTGTCAGGAGCGGTGAAGGGCGAGCAGGCAGGTGTGGACTGTTTTCTGTGGGAGGTGGGTTCGAGGCCTCAGAGGGTAAAGGAGTGGGGTGGGCCAGGTGACTAGTAGCCCAGGTGTGGCCTTGAGACTGGGGGGCAAGGTGTGCAGGGGCAGAGGGAGGATTGGCTTCTCTGCGCCGCGAGGGGAGAGAAGGCTTCGAGCAAAGGACTGGGGTGGTGGCCGGTCCTTCTGAGAAAGCCTCTCCCTTCTATCTGCCACCCACCCCACCCTGCCCCCACGCAGAGAGAAAGCCTCGGGGCATGGGGGCCTCTGCCCTGCATCTGCTGTCCCTCCGCCGCCACCTCTCTCAGAGACCTGGAACAAAAAGGGAGAAGCCTTGATTTTATTTTGTATTTTGTATTGTTGTAAAATATACATAAAATTTACCATTTTAACCATGCTTAAGTGTATAAATTAGCAGCATTAAGACCCTTCACAATGTTGTGTAACAATCACTGACATGCATTTAGAACCTTTTCATCATCCCAAACAAATGCTCTAAACAATAACTTCCCAGCCAGGTGTGGTGACACACCCTGCAGTCCCAGTCCCAGCTACTTGGGAGGCTGAGGCCTGAGGATTACTTGAGCCTTGGGAGGTGGAGGTTTCAGTGAGGCACGATTGTGCCACTGCATTCCAGCCTGGGTGACAGAGCGAGACTCTGTCTCAAAAAAAAACAAAAACAAAAACAAACAATAATGAGTTTCCATTCCAGCCCCTCCTCAGCAACACCCCCCTCCCACACACCACCACCACCACCACCACCACCACCACCACCACCACCACCAGCACTATTCTACATTGTGTCAATGAACTCACCTATTCTAAATTACTCATCTAGGTGAGTCATAGAATATTTGTCCTTTTGGGTCTGGCTTATTTCACTCAGCAGAATGTTTTCAAGGTTCATCACTGTTGTAGCATGTGTCAGGATTTCCTTCCTCTTTAGGGCTGAATATTGAGTGAACGCATCACATCTGTTTATCCATTTGTCTGCTCATGGACGCTTGGTTTGATTCCACCTTTTGGTCATTGTGAATAATGTTGCAATGGAAATTGCGGACAAGTATCTGTTTGGCTCCCTGCTTTCATTTCTCTTAAGTATACCCCTAGAAGGGGAATTGCTGGGTCATGTTCTATGTTTAACTTTTTGAGGAATATCCCAAACTGTTTTCCACAGTGGCTGCACTGAACCTTGATCTATTTTTTAAATTTTTTATGTTTTTTTTTTTTTTTTTGAGACAGAATCTCACTCTGTTACCCAGGCTGAAGGGCAGTGGCATGATCTCGGCTCACTGCAACCTCCACCTCTTGGATTCAAGTTATTCTCCTGCCTCAGCCTGCCAAGTAGCTGAGATTACAGGTGCCCACCACCACACCCAGCTAATTTTTTGTGATTTTAGTAGAGACGGGGTTTTGCCATGTTGGTCTGACCTCGAACTCCTGACCTCAGTTGATCCGCCTGCCTCAGGCTCCCAAAGTGCTGGGATTACAGGCCTGAGCCACCACGTTGGCTTTTTTTTTTTTTTTTTTTTTTTGAGATACAAGGTCTCACTCTGTCACCTAGGCTGGGGTGCAGTGGTGCAATCTCAGCTCACTGGAGCCTCGAACTCCTGGGCTCAAGCAATTCTCCCGCCTCAGCCTCTCAAGTAGCTGGGACTAGGGGCATGACCCACCACATCTGGCTAATTTTTTAATTTGTTTGTAGAGACAGGGTCTCTCTCTGTTGGCCAGGCTGGTCTTGCACTCCTGGCCTCAAGTGATCCTCCTGCCTCATCCTCGCGAAATGCTGGAATTACAGGCATGAGCCACCATGCCTGGCCACTTTGATCTATTTTAAAGGAAAAATGAATCTATTCTAAAAGCCTCATGCTTGGCAGGGAGGGATGGTCTACCAGCCAGATTTCAGGAGCCCAGAACCTCACTGCACTATGAAATCACATAACCAACTGTGGAGGTCCCATCTTAGCTAGAGGCACAATGACAAACTGGCTGCATCCAAAAGAGGGCGACCTAAGAGGGGGTCATGTCAAGTAAAAAGCGTCTGAAGGGATTGGGTGTCTGAGGCATCCCTCTTCACAAAGAACTGCCCCCAGGGTTATGAAAGGCCACTTTGCAGCAGGGTGGATAGACCTGCCTGCAGCCATAGAGGCAGGACCCGGGGTCTGGGTTGGGCCTGTGTGCGAGCTTCCAGGGACCAACTTTGGCTGCACACTGCTCTGAGGGCTGGAGGGTAATCTCCAAGGCTCCATGACTCTGCCAGGGCAGGAGAAGAAGACATCACAGAAGACATCATGCTCCGTGAGATTCTCTTGTTGTTAATTCTGCTTTGAACAAATGGGAAGGCTGAACTCCTAAGAATTTTTGCAATTGAAAAAAATCTTCCACTTTCTTTTTCTTTTTCTTTGAGATGGAATCTCACTCTGTCGCCCAGTCTGGAGTGCAGTGGTGCCATCTCAGCTCACTGCAACCTCTGCCTCCTGGGCTCAAGCGATTCTCCTGCCTCAGCCTCCCGAATAGCTGGGATTACAGGCATCCAACACCACAACCGGCTAATTTTTGTATTTTTAGTAGAGACGAGGCTTCGCCGTGTTGGCCAGGCTGGTCTTGAACCCCTGACTTCAGGTGATCTGCCCACCTCAGCCTCCCAAAGTGCTGAGATTACAGGCATGAGCCACCATGCCTGGCCTCCACTTTTTTTTTTCACACAAGAAATCAGGAAGCACACTGTCTCAACACAAATAATAGTGTAAATGCTGAATTATGAATTGCATTTTGATAAATGTAAGCACTAATCAAAAGAAAATATTTCACGACCGACATCTTATTTCAACAATTTCTCTAGGAGTTGGAGGTGCAGAAACAAATGCGATCAGAGATTAAGAAGAGTTTTGAGACTTGAAGCTCCGTGCTTTGTTCAGGCATCCCAAAGGCTTTGGACACCTCTACAGGCGGCTGGAGAAATTAAACACAGTGCACAGAAACAGCAAGTTGAGGAATAAGTACCAATCATGCCACCTCTTCTTCCACCCAGCTCCTGATGCCAGCTGTCTCTCAGCCTTGTGCTTTTTTAAATTGTTTTCTGAATTTTAAAAAATTCATTACAGGCTGGGTGCGGTGGTTCATGCCTATAATCCCAGCAGTTTGGGAGGCCGAGGCAGGTGGATCACTTGAGGTCAGGAGTTCGAGACTAGCCTGGCCAACATGGTGAAACCCCGTCTCTACTAAAAATACAAAAAAAATTAGCTGGGCATGGTAGGGTTACCTATAACCCCAGCTACTCAGGAGGCTGAGCCAGGAGAATCACTTGAACTGGGGAGGGGAGGTTGTGGTGAGCCAAGATCATGCCATTGCACTCCAGCCTGGGCAACAAGAGCAAAACTCCATTCAAAAAAAGAAAAAAAATTCATTACAAAAGTGGCGCCTGTCTGAGGGAGTGAGTGCTGTCCAGCCGCTATTTCTGGTTCTCCTCTGGGGCCTGTTGTGTCATCATTTTTCCCTGCTCCCTGAAAGCGAAGTGCGGCTATGTGATGTGCTTTGGCCAACAAAACAAGAGAAGTGGCACCTGTCACTTAAACTTCCCCTCCAGGTGAGAACTGTAAGAGTCTGTGGGCTGGGCGCAGTGCCTCACACCTGTAATCCCAGCACTTTCGGAGGCCGAGGTGGGCAGACCACAAGGCCAAGAGATCGAGATCATCCTGGCCAACATGGTGAAACCCCGTCTCTACTAAAAGTACAAAAATTAGCTGGGCGTGGTGGTGGGCACCTGTAGTCCCAGCTACTCGGGAGGCTAAGGCAGGAGAATCGCTTGAACCTGGGAGGTGGAGGTTGCAGTGAGCCAAGATCATGCCACTGCACTCCAGCCTGGGCGACAGAGCGAGACTCCATCGCAAAAAAAGAAAAATAAAATAAGAAGAGTCTGTGTGCAATTTATACTTCTGAGGAGGGTGACAGAGAGCAGCCTCCCCCATCTACCCTCAATGGGTGCAAAGCCTATACAAGAAATAAACCTTGGTTGCATTAAGCTGCTGAGGTTTGGGGGTTACTTGTTACTGTAATATAACTTGTTATAAAAATCTTCCATAAATATTTACTTATGTGTCAAGGTGCTGGCAATATAGCTGGGAACAAGAAAGCCATCAATAAGCTGACAAGCTCTCCTCTCAGAGAGCTACACGCTAGCAGGGAAGAGAGCCATAAACAACCCATTGTACAATTCACCATTTTGTTGTAAAGTATGGAGAGGCTGGGCGTGGTGGTTCATGCTTGTAATCCCAGCACTTTGGGAGGATGAGATGGGAGGATCACTTGAGGCCAGGAGTTGGAGACCAGACCGGGCAACAGAGCAAGACCCCTGTCTCTACAAAAAAAAAAAAAAAATTAGCCAGGTGTGGTGGCATGCACTTGTAGTCCCAGCGACTGGGGAGGCTGAGGTGGGAGGATCGCTTGAGCCCAGGAGGTCGAGGCTGCAGTGAGTGGTGACCATGCTGCTGCATTCTAGCCTGGGTGACAGGGAAAAACCCTATCTCCAAAAAAAGTATGAGGAAATGCAGGGCACTGAAGAGTGTAGGTAGCCAGGTGACCTGCCTGCCAGGGCTCGGGGAGGGCTGCTCTTGGAGGACAGAAAGCTGAGCTGGAGGATGAACGGGAGTTAGGCAGAGGGAAGGGAGACCAGTGTGGTGGGCAGAGGCAGAAGGGAGCTTGGGTGACTGGACTGCGAGGAGGAGGGTGAGGAAGGGCTAGCGGGGTGGGGGCTGGGCAGGGCCAGGCCACTCAGGACTTGTGGGCCCATGTCTCATCCCAAGAGCAACGGGATGGGCGTCATGGAAGTGTTGAGGCAGGGGAACAGTGTGCCTCTCCCCAACCCCCACTGTTGCTTTTAAAGACCAATGGCCAACGGGGATTGTGTGTGATAAGAAACATCAGGTGAAGAGAAATCAAAACCACGTCCACTCTGTCCATCTGACAGGACAGGCCGCACTCCCACTAGCCCAGCAGCAGTGGCTCTGCCTGCACTTCTGCCCAGTCTCCAGGAGCAGCAGCCACTCCAGGGACGCTGCTTCAAACTGGCTGCATCTCTAGGTTCTGACGGCCACTCAGGACACCCCTGCATCCTCCCGAGGCCCAGAGAGGGGGCACGCACTGGCCATGCCTGCTTCAGCACAGCTCAGGCCAGCATTCAGAGACCAGGAGGTGTCTGTGCCCTCATTATTATTATTATTATTATTATTATTATTATTGGCACCGGCTGAAGGTCCTGGTTCTTCCTTTCCACATTTACTCTCAGCTCCTATTTTTCAGCAGAGCCTGATGAGGACCCTTGTCCTTGTCCCCGTCCCTCATCCTCCCTGGCGTCTCTGCAATGTGCGTGGCCCCGCAGACCCTCCTTTTCTTCCACAAATGCCTCTCCAGGCTCCTCACCCTTCCCAGCTCCTCCCACAACTTTCACAGCTCCTCCTCTTCCTTCTGCCCCTAAAGGAAGGGAGGTTGTTCCCGCGGTTCCTAACTCCTTTTTTTTTTTAAAAAAATTATGTATGTATGTATTTTGAGACGGAGTCCCACTCTGTTGCCCAGGCCCAAGTGCAGTGGTGCAATCTTGGCTCACTGCAGCCTCCACCTCCAGGGCTCAAGGGATTCTTGTGCCTCAGCCTCCTGAGGAGCTAGGATTACAGGTGCCCACCACCACACCCGGGTAATTTTTGTATTTTCAGTAGAGACAGGGTTTTACCATGTTGGCCAGGCTGGTCTTGAACTCCTGGGCTCAAGCGATCCTCCCGCCTCAGCCTCCCAAAGTGCTGGGATTACAGGCGAGAGCCACTGTGCCTGGCCTCTAACTCCTTTCTTATCTCTACACTACCCTTCCCAGTTCTTGGATCCAACCATGACCTACAGTTGACAGTGCCTAAATCTACCCCCCAGCCAACACCTCTCTTCTGAGCCCTAGTCCCAAATTCTCCACTCCCCAAATCAGGCAGGACATCTCCCTGATTTTCCACAGCCATCTTCATGGCTCCAGAGAGAAAGTCTGGTTCATCCAGCTGTGGTTGTATAGCCCATGATCCCACCCTGGTCCCATCTGCACAGGCCAGTGAAGGGTTGGGGGAAGAGGTACAGAGCACAGCCGAGGTAGGGGGGCCACAGGGAGACCAACACATCAGTGGAGACCACAGGAAGAGAAGAAGCAAAAGGATGTAGAGGAACAGTCAGAGACAGGAGGAGAGCCAGAGAGAAGGTGTCAAAGCAACCAAGAGAGGACAGAGTTGCAAGACGGGAGTGAGTGAAAACAGGGGATTCGCCTTGGCAATTACCAAATTTCATCCATTCGAAGACCTCCTTTCACACTTGAACACGATGTCTCGATGTCTCACACCACAGATGGCACTTCATTGTTAAACAGAGTTAGGAACCGCAGGAATGACCTCCCTTCCTTTAGGGGCAGAAGGAAGAGGAGGAGCTAAGTTGTGGGAGGAGCTGAGAAGGGTGAAATGGGGTGAAAAACACCGTTGGGGTGTTTTTCTTCCTTCTCTCTTAGTGGTACATAAAGTGACGGAATGGCTTAAAAGCCATGGACTCTTAGAACTGATGGAACAAAGGCAGCTATGAAGCTGCTCCACTGGAGCAGTGGGGGCAGATGTCCAAATGCAATGGGTTGAAAAGGCAGAGGAGCAGCCGGGCGCAGTGGCTCACATCTGTAATCCCAGCACTTTGGGAGGCTGAGACAGGCAGATCACGAGATCAAGAGATGGAGACCAACCTGGCCAACTTGGTGAAACCTTGTCTCAACTAAAAATACAAAAATTAGCTGGGCGTGGTGGCAGGCACCTGTAGTCCCAGCTACTTGGGAGGCTGAGGCAGGAGAGTCACTTGAACCCGGGAGGCGGAGGTTGCAGTGAGCTGAGATGGTGCCACTGCACTCCAGCCTGGCAACACAGTGAGACTCTGTCTCAAAAAAAAAAAAAAAAAAGGCGGGGGGAGCAGAGGAACATTCCACAAAACAACCGGGCCAAGACTTCTCAGAAAAGTCAATGTTGGCAGGGCATGGAGGCCCATGCTTGTAATCCCAGCATTTTGGGAGGCCCAGGTGGGAGGATCGCTTGAACTCAGGAGTTTGAGACCAGCCTGGCCAACATAGTGAAACCCCATCTCTACAAAAAATACAAAAAAATTAGCTGGGTGTGGTGGCACATGCCTGTGGTCACAGCTGAAATGGGAGGATGGCTTCTGCCCAGGAGGTTGAGGCTGCAGTGAGCCATGATTGCGCCACTGCTCCAGCCTGGGCAACAGAGGGAGCCAAAAAAAAAAGAAAAAGAAAAAGAAAAAAAAAAAGGTCAATGTCATAAAAGACTCCTCCCCCCACAAAAAGGAGGGAACTGTTTCAGATTACCAGATACTAAAGAGACATAACAGCTAAATGCAATATGATCCTTGACTGGATCATCTGGATCATTGATCAAAAAATCCATTAAAAACATTATTGGGATAATTAGGAAAAAGTGAATAGTGAATACAGAGTATACATTAAATAATACTGCATGGATGCAAATTTCTTCATGTAAATGTTTTCTGTGTATATATACATATATGCATTTGTATGATATCTACATATAATATATACGTATATGAAGAGTGTGTATAAATAAATGTCACAAAATGTTAATTCATAAAGCCAGATCAATGGCTCTCAACGGGGGCAATTTTGCCTGGAGGGGACATCTGGCAATGTCTGTTTGGTTGTCATAGCCAAGGGGGTGCTAGCAGCGGGAGGCTATAGCATCCTCACTGAGGAAGCTGCTAAACATCCTATAATTCACCAGACTCCCCCAGCACAAAGAAGTATCCAGCCCAAACCATCCAGGGTGCTGGGGTTGAGAGCCTTCATCTATGTGAAAAGTCTGGGTGTTCACTGTACTTTCTTTCAACCTTCCTGTGGATTTTTAATTTTTTATTTTATTTAATTTTTTTGAGACAGAGTCTCTCTGTCACCCAGGCTGGAGTGCAATGGTGTGATCTTGGCTCACTGCAACCTCTGCCTCCTGGGTTCAAGCGATTCTCCTGCCTCAGCCTCCCGAGTAGCTGGGACTACAAGGCATGTGCCACTGGACCTGGCCAATTTTTAATTTTTTTAAATACAAAGTTGGGGCCGGGCACGTTGGCTCACACCTGTAATCCCAGCACTTTGGGAGGCCAAGGTGGGCGGATCACCCACTGACTTCCACTCGAAGTCAGGACTTTGAGACCAGCCTGGCCAACATGGTGAAACCCCGTCTTTACTAAAAATACAAAAATCAGCCAAGTGTGGTGGCGCGCCCCTGTAGCCCCAGCTACTCAGGAGGCTAAGGTGGGAGAATCACTTGAACCCAGGAGGCTGAGGTTGCAGTGAGCCAAGATTGTGCCACTGCACTCCAGCCTGGGTGACAGAGCAAGACTCTGTCTCAAAATAAATAAATAAAATACAAAGGTGGTAACCAAAAAAAAGTGAGAGGAAAAAAATGTGTGACAGAAAGGTGAGGAAGTAAAGGAAAAAGACCAAAGAGTAAGCAAGTTCTTCCCAGGATCTTTACTCTAAAGGGATAGACTTCAGCCTGAGGGAGAGACAAAGAGACAGAAGCAAACCCTCATGCAATCTGTGGTCTCCATGCCCCAACCCCAAGGCAGATTCCTGGGTGGGTATTTTGCAGGTCCTGACCGTTGCCACCCTCAGGCATAGCTGATGGGGGTGGGAAGCCCCGGACCCCCACAGCTCATTCAGTGGCTGCCACGACACAGCCTGGCCCCGAAAGACAAGGGTGGTCAATCAGACTCTTGCTCCTGTCAAACCCTGAGAATAAGGCATTTAGGAGAGGAAGCTGGAGCTCAACGCAAGCAAAGACAGAGACCAGAAAGTAAAGCAGGAGTCACAGGGGATCCCGGAGGATCACAACAAGCTGTGGTGGTAGAGACGCTGAAACCGACAGAAGGCAGAACTCACAGGGGGAGAAAGCGGTGCAGAGCCAAGAGGACCAGGCAGCCGCTGCTCGCGGAGTCTGCCCTCTCACTACAGCAGCTCAGGAACGAGGAGTCACCACGCTGCTGCTGCTGTCCTTGGTGCCGGCTGGGATCCTGGAGCCACCAGGCTGGCCTGAAGGGGTCTACTGGGATTTCACAAGGTTCTCGTCGCCCCCTCCCCCAGTCACTGCTCTGTTCAGTCCCTTCGCTCTGCCACGCTCCCTTCTTCGTGCCTTTGCACGTGCTCTGGCCCTGTCTAACTTAGTCCAGGGGCAGAGCCAGGTTTTGTGGGGCCTAGAGCTTGGGGACTTTCTTTAAGAAAAAGAACACAACAGCATGACACAAAACGGCCACGGCTTTGCTGGCTTCGTGGTAAATCCCTCTCCAGCTCTCAACTCCAACATCCCTTCCTCAGTAACATCTTCCTGCCTCTCTCCCCCTCCCCAACTGTGTCAGAGCATTTCCGCAGGTAGCTCTGCGCTGTCTGATACAATAGCCGCTAGCCACATGCGGCTACTTAAATTTGAATGAATTACAATTAAACCATATGAGACATTCAGATCTTCAGTCGCACTGACCACATGTCATGCTCAGCAGCCCCACGTGTTCGAGCCTGTGATGGACCGTGCAACATAGAACATCTCCATTATCAGAGATGATTCTCCTGGACAGTGCTGGTACACCAAGCAGCACCAACTGATACCTACTCACCTTCAGCTCCGCGTAGACTGCAGCCTCAGGAGAACAGGACCATATGTCTCTTGGCCTCATGTCTGTCGCCCAGTACCTGGCACACACAGGCCCTTGATAAACACTCATTTAATGAATGTGCAATTCTTACTGGTCCACAGGTCTTTGGACCACCCTCACTCCTAACTTCAATGAGCCCCAGATTCTTGCATTAAAAAGTGGGGAAAAGAGTCTCTCTTTTCCAGGCTATGAGGAAGGAGCTGGCAGGGAGGAAGAGCTCGAAAATGCAGAAGACAGACTTGCCCTAGAATAAAAATGTGTACCCTCGTGTACATGGAGATACACTCATACCAGCACGTAGAAAACAGCCTGAGTATACACCAAATGTGACAAATGGCTGACAGAACTTAGCTGTAGATGGGCGGGACTTGGGGTGATTCTAATTGTCTTATTTGTGGTTCTTGTTTTTCCCAAGTGTTCCCTGTGTACTTTTTTTTTTTTTTTTTTCCTGAGATGGACTCTTGCTCTGTCACCCAGGCTGGAGTGCAGTAGTGTGATCTCAGCTCACTGCAACCTCTGCCTCCTGAGTTCAAGCAATTCTCCTTCCTCAGCCTCCTGAGTAGCTAGGATTGCAGGTGTGTGCCACCATGCCTGGCTAATTTTTGTATTTTTAGTACAGACGGGGTTTCACCATGTTGGCCAGGCTGGTCTCGATCTCCTGACCTCGTGATCCGCCTGCCTCGGCCTCCCAAAGTGCTGGGATTACAGGTGTGAGCCACCATGCCTGGCATTTTTTTTTTTCTTGAGACACGGTCTCAGTCTGTCACCCAGGCTGGAGTGCAGTGGTGCAGTCTCAGCTCATTGCAACTTCCACCTCCTGGGTTCAAGTGATTCTCCTGCCTCAGCCTCCCAAGTAGCTGGGATTACAGGCATGCACCACCACGCCCAGCTAATTTTTGTATTTTTAGTAGAGACGGTGTTTTACCATGTTGGTCAGGCTGGTCTCGAACTCCTGACCTCAGCTGATCTGCCCACCTTGGCCCCCCAAAGTGCTGGGATTACAGGCGAGAGCCACTGTGCCCCAGCTCCTGTGTATATTTTTAAAGGGCTAATCAGGGAAGTAGGCTCTACATCCTGAAATGAGGGAGAAAGGATTCCAAAGCCAAGTGGAAGTCAGTTCAAAAACAGAGTCTTCCTGGAGACCATGTGAGGGTGGAAGCAGGCAGAGTGGAGGGGACCTATTCAGTCCTGAGAGCCTCCAATTTCCCTGTGAAGAGGAAGAGGAGGGGAAGCATCAGGCTGGATAAGTGGCCAGGGACCAGAGCCGTCTCTCTCTTCTAACCCTCAGCCCAGCACCTGCCAGATGGGAGGTGCTGAGAACACGTAAGTTGAAGGATAAAGCAAAGAATTAAAAGGATGGAGAAAAGCCCACTGGACCGAAAACCAGGAAGTCACTGGTGACTTGAGAAAAGTTTTGGTGAAGTGAAGGAATAGAAGCACAGATACCAAGGGATTTGGGGTGGTTTGGGGAAGGCAGGTGCTATGGTTTGAATGTGTCCCCTCCAAAAACCTGGCATTGCCAATGTGATAGTATTAAGATGTGGGGCCTTTAAGAGGTGATTAGAACTTGAGGGTTCCTCCCACGGGATGGATTAAGGTCCTTATAAAAGAGGCTTCATGTGGCGGGGCATGGTGGCTCACACCTGTAATCCCAGCACTTTGCAAGGACAAGGCGGGTGGATCACGAGGTCAGGAGTTCAAGACCAGCTTGGCCAAGATGCTGAAACCTCGTCTCTACTAAAAATACAAAAAATTAGCAGGCGTGGTGGCACGCACCTGTAATACCAGCTATTCGGGAGGCTGAGGCAGAGAATTTCATAAAGCTGGGAGGTGGAGTTTGCAGTGAGCCGATTTCACACCACTGCACTCCAGCCTGGGCACAGAGTGAGACTCTGTCTCAAAAAAAAAAAAAAAAAAAAAAAAAAGAGGCTTCATGTAGCATTTGGCCACTTGCCCTTCTACCTTCCTCCATATGAGGACATAGCATTTCTCCACTCCAAAGAATGCAGCAATAAGGTGACATCTTGAAAGCAGAGAGCAGCCCTCACCAGATACTGAACCTGCTGGCACCTTGACCTTGGGCTTCACAGCTGCCAGAACTGTGAGAAGTAAATTTCTGTTTTGATCCGTTATCCAGGCCCAGGTATTATGTCATAGCAGCGGGAAGGGACTAAGACAGTGGGCCTGACCATGAGAAGATGTTGCCGAGGAAGTGACCTTGGAGTTGAGACCTGCAGAGGGATTTACCATGAAGCCAGTGAAGCCCTGGTGATTTTGTATTCAGGGAATATGGCAAACAAGGAAAACGAGAACAAAAAGAGAGGACAGAATGGGAGCAGAATGGAGGTGGGAGACAGGGCCATGCCCAGACTTGTCAAAACAGAGGTCGCTGGAGGGTATTGGGGGAGAGGAGAAGGGTGTAGCAAGAGTGGAAACCACATCTCTCCCAGCAAGGTGGGCCCTTGACAGACAGCCACAGAGTAACAATCACAGCAGGAACATGCCTGGAGTTAGAGTGCAAAGCTACCTGTTTAAAATATCAAAGAGGCCAGGTGCAGTGGCTCACACCTGTAATCCTAGCACTTTGGGAGGCCGAAGGGGGCAGATCATGAGGTCAGGAGATCAAGACCATCCTGGCTAACACGGTGAAATCCCGTCTGTGCTAAAAATACAAAAAATTAGCCGGGCATGGTGGCACGCGCCTGTGGTCCCAGCTACTCAGGAGGCTGAGGCAGGAGAATCGCCTGAACCTGGGAGGCAGAGGTTGTGGTGAGCTGAGATCACGCCCCTGGACTGCAGCCTGGGTGACAGAGCGAGACCCTGTCTCAAAACTAATAATAATAATAATAATCATCATCATCATCATCAAGGATACTGATGTATTCCAGGATAAAATGGCACATTTTAAAAAGTTTGATTGGCTTTATTACTAATGAATTAAATAAATAAATAAGGGATAAACTAAAAGAATAAAACAAAATATAAGAAGTTGTTGGAGGCCTGGGTGTGGTAGCTCATGCCTATGATCCCAGCATTTTGGGAGCCTGAGGCAGGAGGATCGCTCAAGCCCAGGAGTTCAAGACCAGCCTGGGCATCATAGTGAGAGCTCGTCTCTCTAAAAAAAATAATAATAAACAAAATTAGCCAGGCGTGGTGGTACATGCCTATAGTCCCAGCTACTCAGAGGCTGAAGTGGGAAGTCTGCTTGAGCCTGGGAGGTCAAGGCTACAGTGAGCCATGATCACACCACTGCATTCCAGCCTGGGTGACAGAGTGATACCTTGACTCAAAAAAAAGTTGTTAGAGATGGAATTTATTGTAGTCCTTTTTTTTTTTGAGATGGAGTCTCACTCGGTCACCCAGGCTGGAGTGCAGTGGCATGATCCCAGCTCACCACAACCTCTACCTTCCGGGTTCAAGCAATTCTCCTGTCTCAGCCTCTCGAGCAGCTAGGATTACAGACGCCCACCACCACACTTGGATCATTTTTGTATTTTTAGTAGAGATGGGGTTTCACCACGTTGGCTAGGCTGGACTCAAACTCCTGACCTCAAGTGATTTGCCCACCTCAGTCCCCCAAAGTGCTGAGATTACAGGTGTGAGCCACCGTGCCCGGCCTTTTTTTTTTTTTTTCTTTTAAGATGAGTTCAGCCCTGGCAGGAACATCGTCAGTCCTCCCTCAGGTCTGCAGACACCTTGGGTCTGTGGTCCCTCCTGCCACAGCTCCCAAGTTTCTCTGTCCCAGGATCTGGCTGCAGGGGTCTGACCGGGCCCTGTTCCCTCTTCCGTGGCCTCGTCTCTGTTGGGGCCACCTGCTCTGGTATCTGGGACTTGCCTCCTCTTTCTCTCTCAGTCTTGTTGGACCTTTTCTAGTTGTCATCAGCTTGAGACATGATTCACATACCATCAAATTCACCCTTTTAAATGTACAGCTTAGTGGTTTTTAGTATAGTCACAAGGTTATGCAACCGTCACTACTATTGAATTCCAGAACATGTTTACCACGCAAAAAAGGACCCAAAGGTTAAAGACCCATTAGCAGCCACTACTTCTCATTTCCCCCTGGCACTCACTAATCCACGTCCTGTCTCTAGGGCTTTGTCTGTGTGAGTATTTCATCTAAATGGAATCACACAATATGTGGCCTCTGTATCTGGCGTCTTTCACTTAGCACGGTGTTTTCAAGGTTCATCTATGCGGTGTAGCACATATCACCATTTCATTCCTTTTTATGTTTAAATAATATTCCATTGTATGGAGAGACCCCATTTTATCTGTTGTTGATGGGCATTTGGGTTGTTTTCACTTTTTGGCTATTATGAAGAATGCTGTAATAAACATTTGTATGTAAGTTTTGCTTTGTTTTTTTGGTATCTTTGAGACAGGGTCTTGCTGTGTTATTCAGGCTGGCCTCGAACTCCTGGGTTCAAGATACCCTCTGGCCTCAGCCTCCTGAGTAGCTGGGACTATAGGCGAGCACCACTGTGCTTGGCTTATGTACAAGATGTTGTGTGACCGTGTGTTCAGTTCTCTGGGCGTGTACCTGGGAGTAGAATTGCTGAGCTGTATGGTAACTCTACTTAGTTCTGAGTGGCTGCCAAACTGTCTTCCACAGCGGCTCCATTTTATATCCCCACCAGCAACGCATGAGGGTTGCAATTTTTCCCACCCTCGCTGACACTTGTCACTGTCTCTTTGGATTCTATCATCAGATTTGTAATGGAAAATTCCCCATCCACATGTGACTGCCATGTCCTCCTTCCTCCTCTGTGGACATTTTTTCTATTCCTGCAGTCACCGTTCCCTTCTCTCCCACTTTCTAACCATCAAGCCCCATATCCATCCTCACCCTTGCATAGAGCCTTCCTCATAAAAAGCCCCCATAGCTTCACAGCAAGGCCTTCACTTCAGCTGTTGCCTCCTCCAGGTAGCCCTCATGACCTGTATGTGGACGTACCTATCACTGCTTATATTTGTCCCTGCCCAAATCTCATGTGGAATTGTAATCCCCAGTGTTGGAGGTGCGGCCTGGTGGAGGTGTTTGGGTCATGGGGATGGATCCTGCATGGATTGGTGCTGTTCTCGAGATAGTGAGTTCTTTCCAGATCTAGTTGTTTAAAAGTATGTGGCACTGGCTGGGCGCGGTGGCTCACGCCTGTAATCGCAGCACTTTGGGAGGCTGAGGTGGGCGGATCACGAGGTCAGGAGATCGAGACCATCCTGGCTAACACGGTGAAACCCCGTCTCTACTAAAAATGCAAAAACATTAGCCGGGCGTGGTGGCGGGCGCCTGTAGTCCCAGCTACTCGGGAGGCTGAGGCAGGAGAATGGCGTGAACCCGGGAGGCAGAGCTTGCAGTGAGCCGAGATGGCGCCACTGCACTCCAGCCTGGGCGACAGAGCGAGACTTCCTCTCAAAAAAAAAAAAAAAAAAAAAAGTATGTGGCACCTCCCCACACTCCTCTCTCTTTTGCTCCTGCTCTAGGCATGTGGTGTGCCTGCACCCTTTTGCCAAAAGTAAAAGCTCCTGAAGGCCTCCCCAGAAGCCCAGCAGATGCTGGTGTCATGCTTGTACAGCCTGCAGAACTGTGAGCCAATTAAACCTCTTTTCTTTATCAATTACCCAGGCTCAGGTTGTTTTTTGTTTTGTTTTGTTTTTGAGACAGAGTCTTACTCTGTTGCCCAGGCTGGAGTGCAGTGGTGCGATCTCATCTCACTGCAACCTCTCCCTCCCTGGTTCAAGCGATTCTCCTGACTCAGCCTCTTGAGTAGCTGGGACTACAGACACACACCACCATGCCTGGCTAATTTTTGTATTTTTGGTAGAGATGGGGTTTCACCAAGTTGGCCAGGCTGGTCTCAAACTCCTGGCTTCAAGTGATCCGCCTGCCTTGGCCTCAGGTATTTCTTTTTTTTTTTTTTTTTTTGAGATAGACTCTCGCTCTGTCACCAAGGCTGGAGTGCAGTGGCGCCATCTTGGCTCACTGCATGCTCTGCCTCCCAGGTTCACGCCATTCTCCTGCCTCAGCCTCCCAAGTAGCTGGGATTACAGGCGCCCACCACCACGCCCGGCTAATTTTTGTATTTTTAGTAGAGACGGGGTTTCACCATGTTAGCCAGGATGGTCTCTACCTCCTGACCTTGTGACCCGCCCGCCTTGGCCTCCCAAAGTGCTGGGATTACAGGCGTGAGCCACCGCTCCCGGCCAACCTCAGGTATTTCTTTATAGCAATGCAAAATGACCTAATACACTGTGCCTTTCACAAGCTCCTCTTTGAATCTTTAAAAGCAGCAAGAATCAGGATTCTTGCCAATTTGAGTTTAGGGGAAGTAAAAACAGCAGGGTTCAAGTATATATTTTATCATCAGATATCCTCCGGATGTCCTCCAGAGGTCTTAATCCCACCCTCCTCTTAATCACCTTCATAAATTGCATCATGAATGTACTTTATCAAAGTTGAAATAGAAACTTAGTTGCCCTCTGTTAATCTGGGTAGTAGCCTTCTTGACCAGACTGGAAGCTCCTTGAGGGTAAGTGTATTTGTCTGTTCTCATGCTGCTGATAAAGACACACCCAAGACTAGGTAACTTATAAAGAAAAAGAGGTTTAACAGACTCACAGTTCCACGTGGCTGGGGAGGCCTCACAATCACAGTGGAAGGTGAAAGGCACATCTCCCACGGCCACAGCAGCAGACAAAACAGAATGAGAGCCAAGTGAAAGGGGAAACCCCTTATAAAACCATCAGATCTCGTGAGACTTATTCACTACCATGAGAACAGTATGGGGAAAACTGCCGCCGTGATTCAATTATCTCCCACAAAACCCTCCCACAACACGTGGAAATTACAGGAGCTACAATTCAATATGAGATTTGGCCGGGGACACAGCCAAATCTTATCAGTAGGGATTCTGTCTTGCTGTCTTTGTGCCAAGCACAGTAGATGCTCAATTAATGTATTGAAATAGCTTTTGTTGAAAAAAGTTTTTAGCGTTTCACCAAAATAAAAAAAAAATTCTCAAAAAGTAAAATGCATCATAACCTTTATATAGCGTGTGTGTAATGTTTATGACTTTATGTATATGTGGTAACACTAGAGCATGGCTATTAGAACCCAAAATTTCTTATGGCTTCTCTCAGAACCCCAGGGGTCCAGTGAGCACAATACTGAGACAGCCTCAGGCAGTCTGCTAAACTGGGGTGAGCCTTGAGTCACGGTGCCCCGGCCAATCAGACCAGTGCTTCCCCCATCCCAGCACTCACAGTCCTGGCTCATCATTTCATCATCTCAAAAGAAAAGAGCATGACCACTTTCAGACCTTGTTAGCCTGTAAATGCCTGTATCTGTGCTACAGATGAGCAGCATTTCAAGTCGTCTGGAGTAAAGTCTGTGCTGCTGGCAATAGCTGTGTTATCCTGACTTTTCTTCCCCAAGCCCTGTTCTCTGTAACAGAGACGTGTTGTGAAATGCTGTCACTTGCTTCTCCCTTTCCCTTGGGAGCACCCGGCCAATGGAAGCCTTGCAGGTGCGGGCAGTCAGGGATCAAAAGGAAGCTTTGCAGCTGCCTTCTCCCCAAACTTCCAATAACCAGCTACTCAAATACACGCTCCTGAACCCAGGTGAGGCAGGAAAGGACATTACACATCCCACAGGTTCGGATTCCACTAAGCCTTTTAGCTTCTGGGTAGGCAGCATTAACTGGAGCGGCAGCTCTCTACCTGTGTGGCTGGGCAGCACCAGCATAACCTGCCAGCGTACCAGAAACGCAAATCCCTGAGCCCCATCCTTCCTGCGAGGGTAGGGCCCAGCAATCTGCACTTGGCCAAGTGTTCTAGGTGACCGAGAGGCACACTCAAGTGTGAGAACTGCTGAACTGGAGTTAGTGAGTTCAGCAGTCCTTAACAGGGTGGGAAGGTGCTCCCCGTCTCCAAAACCAGAAAACACAGCAGAGGAGACCTCCCTTCAGATTCACCCAAGTGAGGGCTCCTCTGGCAACTGGCCAAGGGCTTCTATGGAAACTGCACAGATGGTGCAGGTAAACAGTATTGTTCCCAACAGGCTCACGTGGGTCATGGGCACCCCACTTCTCTAGCACAGAGATTCATGGAGCTTCCTTTTTTTCTCTGATGTGTATGAAATCCTGAGTCCTGAGTTGCAGCTTCCCTTAGCAAACCTCATGAATCCTTGCGATCCTCACAAGGCCACCTGGAGCATAATTATAATTCCAACAAACTAGAACATCCCCGGAGGTGCTGCCTACAGTGTGTCAGCTTTGGGCTCAGAACCATGAATGGAGACAACGGTGCAGGGGCTGAGGAGGGGCAGGAAGAGCCAGGAAGACAGAGCAGGAGGCAAGGATGGAGTGCTCAGGGAGTCAAAGACGGCGTCCGCACTTGCAAAACGCTGGCTTTCACATCTGGAGAATTTAGGCCTCTGGGCCGAGGAGAAAGAACTATAGTTTCACCTCTTAGGCGTCTCCTTACAGGGCTAGGGAGATCTAGAATATCAGCCGAATGCCCAGGGCAAGTAAGTGCCTGGCACCAATTCTATAACTCGGGGCCAGCCAAGTTTTAACAAAGTAGGCAGAAGGTGGGACGAAATAGAGTGTGGAGGGAAGGAGGGAGAAGAGTCAGGTGAAATATGGAAAAAAGAGGGATGGCCAGGTGCGATGGCTTTCACCTGTAATAAAACACTTTAGGAGGCTGAGGCAGGTGCAGTGGCTCATGCCTGTAATCCCAGCACTTTGGGAGACTGAGGCGGGTGCAGTGGCTCACGCCTATAATCCCATCACTTTGGGAGACCGAGGCGGGCAGATCACCTGAGGTCAGGAGTTTAAGACCAGCCTGGCCAACACGGTGAAACCCCATCTCTACTAAAAATAAAAAAATTAGCCTGGGCTGGTGGCGTGCGCCTATAATCCCAGCTACTTGGGAGCCTGAGGCAGGAGAATCGCTTGAAACCGGGAGGCAGAGGTTGCAGTGAACTGAGATTTCGCCACTGCACTCCAGCCTGGGCAACAGAGTGAGACTCCGTCTTAAAAGAAAAAAGAAAGGGATGGGCAGATTTGCCCCCTTTGCCCTGCATCCAGCCATTTCACACTGTCAGCCACTTCTCACCATCTGCTTGCAAGACTGGCAGGGTCAGAGCATTCGTGACCATCTTAGCATCCGTGGAGCCTGTGGCTAATTCAAATCAAACAGAGTCAGACTGCTGAGAAGAAAATTATAGAAACAAAGTATTTATTATTTTCCATTAAAAAAAAAAAAGGAAATGGTGCCCAAGAGAGGAATGTTCCTAAGGAAACCCAGTGTTTCTTGCCGTGTCTTCTCTAAATGACAAACGCTCTTTGGCAAAAGAAAACAATTAATGCAACTAGAACTGCCTTCTGAGAGCAAAGTTTAATCCTGACCCAGAATTATAATAATTTCTGAAAGTTCTATTAATTTCAGCACACTGTGTAGGAATTACTCAGGCTTTTCCCATCCTATAGCTCCTAAAAAACCAAAGTGGCTAACCATATCTGGCATAACAGAGGAAGTAAGGTGCATTTCCTGATCTTCCACCATCACAGAAAAGCACACTTAATTTGCATCTCAAGTCGTCTGGAGTAAAGTCTATGTTGCTGGCAACAGTTGTGTTATCCTGACTTCTCTTCCCCAGGTCCTGTTGTCTGTAACAGAGATGTGTTGTGAAATGCTGTCACTTGCTTCTCCCTTTCTTTCCTTTGGGAGCACCCGGCCAATGGAAGCCTCGCAGATGCAGGCAGTCAGCGACGTTGTGGGCGATGTAGTAGAGGTTCAGCATGGCCGCGGGGCTGAGAATGTCCACTTCTGGTTTCTTCTGTTTCTTCCCATGAGACTTGCCCTGGCCTTTTCCTTTTTTCCCTTTAGCTGGCTTTCAAAGACAAATATAAATATGGGAGGAGGGAAGTTAGTTTTTTGGTTTTTGTTTTTTTTGAGACAGGGTTTCACTCCCAACACCCAGGCTGGAGTGTAGTGACATGCTCTTGGCTCACTACAACCTCCACCTCCCGTGCTCAAGTGATCCTCCTGCCTCGGCCTCCCAAGTAGCTGGGATTACAAGGTGTGCCCCATCACTCCCGGCTAATTTTTGTACTTTTAGTAGAGACAGGGTTTCACCATGTTGGGTAGGCTGCTCACAAACTCCTGACCTCAAGTGATCTGCCCACCTCAGACTCCCAAAGTGCTGGGATTACAGGTGTGAGCCATCTTGCCAGGCCGAGTTAGTTTTTATAAACTTGGTATCATTTTCAGTATTTCTGTATTGAACAAGGAAAAAAAATTCCTAAAAGGAAATAAGTCAAAATAGCAGCCACAACAAACAGTTTGCATCGTCCTGTCTTCTCTAAATGACAAACCCCCTTTGGCAAACGAAAACAATTAATGCAACTAGAACTGCCTTTTGAGAGCAAAGTTTAATTCTGACCCAGAATTATAATAATTTCTGAAAGTCACACGCAATCTAATTTGACAAATGTTTATTAAGCACCCTGATTAAAAGAGACCCAACGTAATGCAAGCTGTGGCCCTTGTTTGCATTCTTATTTGAACAAGCTGCAAAAAGATGTCTTTGAGTTAATCAGGGAAATCTGATCATGTCAAGGAATTATTAGTAATTCTATTAGGTCTGACAATGGCAGCAAATCACAGAAGAAGAAGTCCACACGTTTCTGAAGTGCACACTGAAATCTGTAGGGATGAAATGAAAGAAGGCCTGAGGTTTGCTTTAAAACACTCAGCTCCCCCGCTGCCCCCGACCCAGAAAAAACAGATAAAGCAAATGTGGCAAAATCCTAATTATTTCTGAATCTGAGAAATGGCTATATGAGGATTTAGTTTATGATTTTATTTTCATTTATGTTTGGAAATTTTCATAATACACATTAAATTTAAAACAAGTTTGATAATCAGGATGCAAATATGTATGTTGGCACTTGTTTTACAAGTAATCTCTACCTCATTAAGCAGTCATGAGGTTTAAGTGAGATACAAATATAAGATACTTAGCATAGGCTGGGCGCGGTGGCTCACGCCTGTAATCCCAGCACTTGGGAAGGCCAAGGCGGGTGGATCACCTGAGGTCAGGAAGTTCGAGACCAGCCTGGCCAATAAGGTGAAACCCCGTCTCTACTAAAAATACAAAAACTAGCTGGGCATGGTGGCAAGCGCCTGTAATCCCAGCTGCTCAGGAGGCTGAGGTAGAAGAATCGCCTGAACCCAGGAGCCAGAGGTTGCAGTGAGCCGAGATCACGCCACTGCATTCCAGCCTGGGGGACAGAGCGAGACTCTGCCTCCCCCCGCCTCCCCGCAAAAAAAAAAAGACACTTAGCACCATGTCTGATGTGAGACAAATACTCAATAAATGATGACTGTCATCACCTTCCTTTTTTTTGGAGACAGGGTCTTGCTGTGTCACCCAGGCTGGAGTGCAGTGGCACAAACTCAGCTTACTGTAACCCTGACCTTCCAGGCTCAAGCGATCCTCTCACCTCAGCCGCCCAAGTAGCTGGGACCACAGGCATTAGCCACCATTTCTGGCTAATTTATTTTTGGTAGAGACAGTCTCGCTATGTTGCCTAGGCTGGTCTTAAACTCCTGGTCTCAAACGAGCTTCCCATCTTGGCCTCCCAAAGTGCTGGGATTACAGGCTTGAGCCACTGTGCCCGGCCTGTGCCATCATCTTTAACACCACCAACACTCAGAGCTGTATTTCTATGTATTATTCCTGCCTTCAAAATGGAAATGTAGGGGCTCAGTTAGGCTACCCAGCATGCAGAAACCAGTGTCCACCAGGCTCGGTGTCTATTCTCTTTCCATGACTACCCCATAAGGTCAGTGTTCTCTGGGAAAATAAATGGATACCATCCTAATCTGGAAATAAACTATTACATTTTGAGCTTGTCAACCTGTTTTTCATGGATTGTGCTTTTGTCATACCCAAGAAATCTTTGCCTAACCCAAGTAACAAGCATCTTCTATATTTTCTTCTAGAAGGGTTATAGTTTTTGGTTTTACATTTATATTTGCTAGAACTGCACAAAACTGAGTTGAACTTCTCTATGTCCTCTGACCCACACATACAGAAAATAACCAATGGAAGTATATTATTAAAAAATGTCTCTTGTAGGCAAGGGAGAGGAGAGGAAGGTATAAACGTTCAAGGACACCTGCAAGGGGTAAGCATTTATATAAAATAGATGTCCTATTCACAGCATTGCGGTCAAAAAATGTCCCAAGCTAGACAAAGAGGAACATAGTTCATGTGTTACAACTACTAAAATAGGCCGGGCGCGCTGGCTCACGCCTGTAATCCCAGCACTTTGGGAGGCTGAGGCGGGCAGATCACAAGGTCAGGAGTTCGAGATCAGCCTGGCCAACATGGTGAAACCCCGTCTCTACTAAAAATACAAAAATTAGCCAGGTGTGGTGGCGTGCACCTGTAATCCCAGCTACTTAGGAGGCTGAGGCAGGAAAATCTCTTGAACCCGGAAGACGGAGGTTGCAGTGAGTCGAGATCACGCCACTGCACTCCAGCCTGGTGACAGAGTGAGACTCCGTCTAAAAAAAAAAAACTGCTGAAATACATTTTTGCTAGGTGAAATAGAGTACATTCCTAGATACAAAACCCGGGAATGAAGATGAGACGTATCTTGCAATGCAGTGGCCTGGCTTCTCTGAGAGAATCCACATGAAAATCCTATGTAACTGCATTCTCCTGGTAAAACAGCCCCATGAGGTACGGGATGTACATTTTACCAGAAGCTCTTAAAGACTTTGGGTCTTGATTTTCTTTCTTTTTTATTTTTTGAAACGGAGTCTTGCTCTTGTTGCCCAGGCTGGAGTGCAATGGCATGATATTGGCTCACTGCAACCTCTGCCTCCCAGGTTCAAGTGATTCTCCTGCCTCAGCCTCCCGAATAGCTGGCATTATAGGCACTTGCCACCACGCCTGGCTAATTTTTGTATTTTTAGTAGAGACGGGGTTTCGCCATGTTGGCCAGGCTGGTCTTCAACTCCTGACCTCGTGATCTGCCTGCCTCGGCCTCCCAAAGTGCTGGGATTATAGGCGTGAGCCACCACACCTGGCCTGGGTCTCAATTTCTTTATGTCTTTGTACTTTTTTGCATGCCAAACACACTTGACTTAATGTATGTGTTTTAATCTTTAAAATGGTTTGGGACCTAAAATTCACATAAAAGTCTGACATTTTTATTTGAAGTTCTCATCTTATTGTAAAAAATTGGCAAACTGATTCTAAAATTCATATGGAAACACAAAGGATGGGAGATAAAGGTTTGACACTGTTTTCAAAGTTCTCATCTTTTTGTAGAAGATTCCAAAATTCACATGGAAAAGCGGACTTAGGAAAAAAGAACCGGCTGTGTGCAATGGCTCACGCCTGTAATCCTCACACTCTGGGAGACTGAGGCAGGTGGATCACCTGAGGTCAGGAGTTTGAGACCAGCCTGGCCACTACAGTGAAACCCGGTCTCTATTAAAAAAATACAACAATTAGCCGAGTGTGGTGGCGGGCACCAGTAATTCCAGCTACTCGGGAGGCTGAGGCAGGAGAATCGCTTGAACCCGGAAGGCAGAGGTTGCAGTGAGCTGAGATTGCGCCACTGCACTCCAGCCTGGGTGAGAGAACAAGATCCTGTCTCAAAAAAGAAAGAAAAAGAAAAGAACAAAATTGGTAGACTAATACTACCTTATTTCAAGAATTATTATAAAGCTACCATAACAAGATGGTGTGATAGTGGTGTCAAGATAGGCAACTAGAACAATGGGACAGAATAGAGTCCAGAAATAGATCCACATTTGATCAGCTAATTTTCAACAAAGGTATTGGTGAAGCAAAGATAATCTTGTTCAACATATGGTGCTGGTATAATGAATATCCATTTACAAAAAAATGAACCTCAACCCATAGTCTCACCATATATAAAAATTAACTCAAAATAGATAATAGAAATAAATATAAAACCAAAAACTACAATACTTCTACAAGAAAATAGAGAAGACACTTTTGTTACCTTGGATTATTAGGCAAATATTTCTTGGATATGACATTAAAAGCACAACTCATGAAAACAACTTGATAAACTCACCATCAACATTTAAAACTTTTGTTCTTCAAAAGATATTATTAAGAGAATGAAAAGACAAGCCTCAGACTGGGGGAAATATCTACAAATCATGTATCTCATAAAGGCCTATATGGAGAACAAACAACTCTCAAAACGCCACAGTAAGAAAACCACTCAATAAAACATGTTCAAAGGTTGAATAGACCCTTCCCCAAAAAAGATATACAGATGGCAAATAAGCACATGAAAAGATACTCAACATTAAGTCATTAGTGAAATGCAATGAAAACCAGGAGATACCACCACATATATTTTGGAATGGCTCAAGTCAAAAAGACTGATCCTACCAAGTATTAGTGAAGATGTAAAGAAACTGAAACTCTCATACAACTCTGATGGAAATCTAAAATGACAGAACCACTTTGAAAAACAGTTTGCAGCCTCTTTAAAAAGTTAAACACATGTCTACCATATGACCCAGTCCATTCCACTCCTAAGGTGGAAATGAAAGCATATGTTCATTCAAAGACTTTTACATGAATGTTCATAGTAGCTTTATTTGTAATAGCTAAAAACTGGAAACAGGCTGGGTACAGTGGCTCATGCCTGTCATCTCAGCACTTTGGGAGGCCAAGGTAGGAAGATCGCTTGAGCCCAGGAGTTCAAGATCAGCCCCGGCAACAAAATGGGACCCCATATCTATATTAAAAAAAAAAATTGGCTGGGCACAGTGGCTCACGCCTATAATCCCAGCACTTTGGGAGTCCGAGGTGGGCGGATCACAAAGTCAGGAGATCGAGACCGTCCTGGCTAACATGGTGAAACCCTGTCTCTACTATAAATACAAAAAATTAGCTGGGCATGGTGGTGGGCGCCTGTAGTCCCAGCTACTAGGGAGGCTGAGGCAGGAGAATGGTGTGAACCCAGGAGGCGGAGCTTGCAGTGAGCGCAGATTGAGCCACTGCTCTCCAGCCTGGGCAACAGAGTGAGACTCCATCTCAAAAAAAAAAAAAAATTAGTCAGATGTGGTGGTGGTATGCATCTGTAGTCCCAGTTAAGGTGGGAGGATCACCTGAGCCCAGGGAAGTTAAGGCTGTGGTGAGCCACGATCAAGTTGCTGCATTCCAGCCTGGGTGAGAAAATGAGACCCTGTCAAAAAAAAAAAAAAAGAAAAGAAAGAAAGAAAACCTAAAAGCCCATCAGCAGGCGAATGGATAGACCATGGTATAACCATACAATGGAACACTACTCAGCACTAAAAAGGAATAATTACTGATAAATGATATAACATGGATGAATTTCCAAATAATTACTCAAGTAAAAAAAGTCAGTAAAAAAAAAAAAAAACATAATGTATGACTGCATATATATAAAATCTCAGAAACGATAAACTAATCTAGAGAGAGGGCAGACCAGCCATTGCCTGGGAGGGTTGGGAGGGAGTAGGGGTACAGAGAGGGGCAAGAGAGAAAGGTGGATTACAAAAAAATGGGTGATGGCTGTATTTACAATCTTGATTGTGGTGATGGCTTAATGAATGCACACATTTGCCAAACCTATCAAAGTGTGCATTTTATTTTTTATTTATTTTTTGAAACAGGTCTCACTCTGTTGCCCAGGCTGGAGTACAGTGGCACGATCATGGCTCACTGCAGTCTCGATCTCCCAGACTCAAGCGATCCTCCCACCTCAGCCTCCTGAGTAACTGGGACTACAGATTTGCACCACCATGTCCAACTAATTTTTTCTACTTTTTATAGAGATGAGGGTCTCATTATGGTGCCCAAGCAGGTCTCGAACTCCTGAGCTCAAGCTATCCTCTCGCCTCAGCCTCCCAAAATTCTGGGTTTACAGGCATGAGCTACCATGCCTAAAGCATGCATTTTAAACATGTAAAATTTATTGTATATACATTCCACCTCAATAAATCTGTTAAGAAATTATTACATGGGAATAATAAAGGTTTTGTTTCTGGGCCCATCCATTCCTTGGATTGGTTCAATACAACTTTGTGGCTCTTGGCTTTTCCTGGTCTCAGAACATGCAGCTCCCAACTTAAAACCCTCCAAACTCCTTAAGGAAAACCACTTGACTCCAGCCACACTGGACTTTCTTCTAGTTCCCAACACTCCGAGCTTCTCCCTGGGCAATGCTTGCTCTTCCTGCAGACCTTCTAATTGAAGGGGCAGAATTCGTTGCTTCTCTTTACGCTAGCCTCTGCTCAAATATCACCTCTTTAGAAAAACCTCCTTGACAGGCTGGGCATGGTGGCTCACAGTGGCTCAGCACTTTGGGAGGCCGAGGCCGGTGGATCATCTGAGGTCAGGAGTTCAAGACCAGCCTGGACAACATGGTAAAACCCCATCTCTACTAAAAATACAAAAAAAATTAGCCAGGCACGGTGGCGGGTGCCTGTAATCCCAGCTACTCAGGAGGCTGAGGCAGGAGAATTGCTTGAACCGGGGAGGCGGAGGTTGCAGTGAACCGAGATCGCGCCATTGCACTCCAGCCTGGGCGACAAGAGTGAAACTCTGTCTCAAAAAAAAAAAAGAGAAAAAGAGAAAAAGAAAGACCTCCCTGACACCATGTCTATATTCTGTCTGTAACTGGAGTGACCATATAATTTATTGCCCAAATCAAGATACTTCAACAAATATAAACAAACATAAACTGAGACTGTCCCAGGCTAGGGACAGGGGGAAGTACAGTGGTCTGTCTTTAACAGTCTCCCAGCAACCCCAGTAGAGTCACTGTCCATCTCCTTCCCCGCACCACTTTTCACTAGTTAATAGTAATTGTTGTTTATGTTTATTGTTTGTTTCCCTCACCAGAGATTCTGTCTATAAATTTACCACTGAATTCCCCAGCCTACACCAATATCTGCCACACTGCAAGGATGCATAAATATCTGCTGAGTGAATGAATACATCACAACTGAGATGCAATGCAATAACAGGATTTAGAAAGCAAATGTGGATTTCTGCTTTTCTGAATTTTAAGATGCCTCCTTCATTCATTCAACAAGTATTTAACAAAAATCTACTGTGTCCCAGGCCCTGTATTAGATGGGGAGCAAAGGAGATCTCACGATGCTTACAGTCCAGTGAGGTCTGAGGAAGACACTAGTCACCTAATCACAAATGCATTTACTCACGACCCATGCTGTGAAGAAAGGGCCCTATTGGCCAGGCATGGTGGTTCACACCTGTAATCCCGGCACTCTGGGAGGCCGAGGCAGGTGGATCACTTGCACCCAGTTTGAGACCAGTCTGGGAAAGATGGCAAAATCCGGTCTCTACAAAAATTTAAAAAATTAGCTGGGCTCAGTGGCACACACCTGTAGTCCCCAGTACTCAGGCTGCTGAGGTGGGAGGACCCCTTGAGCCCAGGAATTCAAGGCCAAAGTGAGCTATGTATGATGCCATCGCACTCCAGCCTGGGCAACAAAGCAAAACCCTATCTCTAAAAAAAAAAAAACAAAAACAAAGAAATTAATAAAGAAAGACCCTATAATGCCTATAACACATGGAATTATAATAGCACAAGATGGGCAAGGGCTGACCTCATCTGGGCCATCAAAGGAAGGGCTCCCTAAGCGTGGCCTGTGGGCCGAGAGTAGGGAATTCCAAGACCAACAGCCTATGCAAAGTCTCTGAAGCCGGAGAGAAGGTGCACAAAGAGACGGAAACCCAAAAAAGGCCAACATGGCCAGCCCACAGGCAGCCAAGGGGGCCAGTGAGAGCAGCTAAGGAAGGAAAGGTAGGCAAGGTTCCGCTCTGGCTTGCAGGCTCTGTGCACTAATGTGTTTGACCCTCATTCAAGGAGCATGAATTAACTGGCATTTGCTTCAATGGCTATGTACAGCATTCTGCCTCAGTTCCCTGGGCCCTGAAAGAAATGGCAGTTGGCTGGGCACAGTGGCTCACACCTGTAATCCCAGCAATTTGAGAGGCCAAGGCGGGCGGATCCCTTGAGCCCAGGCGTTTGAGACCAGCCTGGGCAACATGGCGAAACCCTGTCTCTACTAAAAATACAGAGATTAGCCAGGCATGGTGATGCCTGCCTACGGTCCGAGCTACTTGGGAGGCTGAGGCGGGAGGATCACTTGAGCCTCAGAGATGGAGGCTGCAGTCAGCTGTGATCACACCACTGTACTCCAGCCTGTGTGACAAAGTAAGACCCTGTCAAAAAAAAAAAAAAAAAAGGTAATAGCTCTTTACCTTTAATAGCTCATGGAATGACTCTCAAACCAAGAAATTTTTACTTAATCCTTTTACACGAAACAAACTGGAAAGAACACAGAAACTTAATGATTTCTACACTAGAGTCTAATGAGGAATAAGGCTTTCCAAGGAAAAACAGGCAAAGCACCAGAGGTGAGGTGCAAAGGGCTGTGGGCGCTGAAGGAGCGATGGGGAAGCAGGAGGCAGGGTCCTTCTGATCCAAGCCTCAAAGAAAACGGATCAAGACAGGGAAGGCGCAAGGGGCTTCCAGAAGAACGCGGGTTTAGTGTGGGATGCAGGGTTTTTGTTCGTTTTGTTTGTTGTTGTTTAGCAGAGAAGATATGGCAGAGAAAGCTCGAGGTTGAGGCCCCTTTAGCAAGGGCTCTGTGCGCCCAGCTCAAGCGTGCAGTACTTAGTTTAGCAGACAATGATGCCTCCCTGAGGACTTGGGGCAGGGGCTGGAAGGTCACAGCCCTTCTGGAAAGAGCAGCGAGGGTTGGAAGGAGGTCGTAAGTGACTGGATGAGGGCTGAGAACAGGAATGCTGTTGACAGCAAGGTGGTGGTACCAGGCTCACTCTCTGCTTCCTGAGTCTGCAGAGCAGTGGAGAATCCCGCGCGGGCACCCAGGGTGGCTACGGCAGCTAACAGCTCGGACCCGTCACTGTGGGCATGGCCTGGCGCCCTGACGTGCCACACCACGGTGCCACCCTCCCTTTATTTTCCACATCAACCGTCTGGGTGTGGGGGCTGCTCAACAGGACCACGACCTAAAACCTGGAAAGACGGCTGGCCTGACTCCGCGGCTGCTGCGCCCCCAGCAGGCGCGGACCGCCGGGCACCCCTTGTCCCTCCATCTTTTCGCCACGCGTTGAGGTCGACCCCAGGGAGAGGCGGTGACCTCGGCGCCCGCGCCTCTCCGGGACAGCCTGGGGCTCCACGGCGCGCGCCCTGGCCCCGGGTACTTTAGGGAGACGGGGATTACCATGGCGATTCTCAGCCGAGCAGGCAGGCGTGGTGGACTCTCCCGATCCCGAAGCCCTTAGCATCCACCGGGGCCGCTGCCCCCAGCGCCCGTTCCCCTAGCACCCCCGGCCCCTTCTCGGCCCTCCTCAGGGAACCGCCACGGGCCCAGCCTCACTACGCCTCCCCGCCACGCCTCGCTGGGAGGAGCGCGGCCGGCTCGGGAGGCAGCCAGCCGCGGAGCCGCCTGGACGCGAGGCACCTGCTTGCCCCACGCGGCACCTAGGCCGCCGCAGCTGTGGGCGCTGGGCCGGCGTGCGCCTCGGGGGCGGGGCCGCGCGCACAATCACCGGGCGTGGGGCAGGGCCTCGCCGTGGTTACCGTTGCCAGGGCAAAGCGGCAGCGCGCGGAGGGTGAGCGGAGCGGGGTTCCGGGCTTGCGCGCGCGGGATGGGCCGTCACCTAGTACGAGGCCGACCGCGGCCTCCAGCGCCCGGAAACCCAGTTCGGCGCTTTAGCGTCTGGGTTTGGGCTGCCGGAGCGGCGGGCGCGGGGCGAGGGGGCGGGCGCGGGGCGAGGGGGCGGGCGCGGGGCGAGGGGGCGGGCGCGGGCGGCGCTCCCACTGGGGTGGCACTGGGGTGAGAGCGCAGGCTAGGCCCGCTCACTCGGCCAACCTGGGAGAGATCATCGGAGAAGCTCTTTTGGGAAACGAGCATAAGGACTGTGACGGTGAAGGGAGAATATCATGGGAAATGTTTGCAAAAGAGCCGGATAAAGAGAGTAAGGGCCCGAGAGACTAAAGGGGTGGGGAGGGAGTTCATGTGCAGGTAGGATTGGGCGAGAAAGGTACAGTAGGTACAGTTTTGCCTCCAACCTTGCCAGTTCCAGCCTCCCTCCCTGCAGGTGAAGTCTACACTTCGGGTGGTACGACTCATTCTTTTTTATGACTGGTCATTCCTTTTTTTTTTTTTTGAGACCGAGTCTCTCTCTGTCGCCCAGGTTGGAGTGCAGTGGCGCCATCTCGGTTCACTGCAACCTCCGCCTCCCAAGTTTAAACCATTCTCCTGCCTCAGCCTCTTGAGTAGCTGGGATTACAGATGCGTACCACTATGCCCGGCTAATTTTTGTATTTTTAGTAGAGATGGGGTTTCGCCATGTTGGTCACGCTGGTCTCGAACTTCTGACCTCAGGTGATCTGCCCGCCTCAGCCTCCCAAAGTGCTGGGATTACAGACGTGAGCCACTGCCCGGCCTATCATTCCTTTTTATTCAACAGTTATTGAGCATCTGCCACGTGCCTGACACTCTTCCAGGCCCTGGAAATTGAGCTCTGAATGAGGCAAAGTCCTTGTTCTTTTAAGGGGTGATTTGGGGGAGGTGGTCGTGGCTGAAATGGAGGGCCTGGCAGACATTAAAAGTGATAGGGACAGTATGGCATATTGCATTAAATTGATGTGACCACTGGGTGCTCTTTTAGATTGGTGACTGGGGAAGGCCTCTCTGAGGAGGTGACGTTAAAACAGATCTGGATGACAAGGAGCAGTCAATTATGCCAAAATTAGGGACAGGGGGAGGAGGCTAGACCAAGAAGCAGGAGTAGGGTCCTGGAAGGCTCTGCAAGGATGTGGTGTTTTGTTTGCTTTCTCTTGAAAGACAAACTGGCTTCCAAAGAGGACTGTTTATGTTCTAGGTTCTCTTACATATGCTTTCCCTAATCCTTCATTAACAGAGCAAACCCAACTTCCAGCTACTTTTAATATGTCTGTGAGTTTTTCTTATGAGTCCATATGCCCTGGATATGGCAAATTCTCCTGCCCTCCACCTGCACTTTCTTCTCTTCTTGCGCCTGTCTTCATCCCTGGATGGGGCTGGCCCACCCCAGCCGCTTACACTTCTCTGGGTTATCTCAGCTCTCCCAAGGTTACCCCTATGGGATCACTCCCAAATCTGTTCCAGCCCTGCTTTTCCTGAGCTCCAGATCAGAGATCCAGAGCCCTGCTACAAGGTTGTTTTGTTTTCTTTCTTTTCTTTTCTTTTCTTTTTCTTTTCTTTTCTTTTTTTTTTTTTTTTGAGATGGAGTCTTGCTCTGTTGCCCAGGCTGGAGTGCAATGGCACGATCACTGCTCACTGCAACCTCTGCCCCTTGGGTTCAAGCAATTCTCCTGCCTCAGCCTCCCAAGTAGCTGGGATTACAAAGCATGCGCTATCACGCCCGGCTAATTTTTGTATTTTTAGTAGAGACAGGGGCCAGGCTGGTCTTGAACTCCTGACCTCAGGTGATCCGCCTGCCTCGGCCTCCCACTGGGATTACAGGCGTGAGCCACTGCTCTGGCCTCCTGCTACAAGTTTTAAAACTCAGCTGTCTTGAAAGTAGATCAGTGGTCGAGGTGTGCCATGGGTGGGGGAGGATTGACTCTGCGGTGGGCTAAGAGGAAAATTCCTGAGTGATGGAAATACTCTCTATCCTGATTGTGGCAGTAGCTACACAGGTGCAGGGCTGGCTGCATTATTTGCATGGCTTAGTGCAAAATGAAAACAGGAAGAAGCAGGGAAAAGTGCCACTAAAGGTACTAAATTAGAAAGCTTTCCTTTTCTCTGTGGTCTCTATCAACCTGTTATGCTGTTTTTGTTTACTGTTTAATGTGTTTCCTTGGGTACGGGAACACTCCCCTTCCTAGCTATCGTCCCATAGCAGATGGGTGGCCCTCGAGGGATTGCACCCTCTGTGCCAGGATGTGCTTGGTGTCATGACTGTGGTGGACAGGATGCTCGCGTGTCTCACTCTGAATGTACGGGGGTATTGCCATGCCCTGCCCTAGATGGGGTTGGGGGTTGGGTAGGGTGAAGGTGGGGATTGGGGGTAGTGGGGGGTGACAAGAGGTGAGACTCAGCAGCAGCTAAGGCACCAACCCCCTTCCCCCAGCAGCCTCCATTTTCCCGTCAGATTTCATTGACAAAACAAAAATTCAAAGGTAAAATTACTAAGAAATTTTCACACTGTGAAACTCAGAGCACTAAACCCCGAGCCTATGGCCCTTCTAAGAGTAGGACTCGGCCAGGCGCGGTGACTCATGTCTGTGATCCCAGCACTTTGAGAGGCCAAGGCGGGTGGATTACCTGCGGTCAGGAGTTCAAGACCAGCCTGACCAACACGGTGAAACCCCATCTCTACTAAAAAATACAAAAATTAGCCAGGCATGGTGGTGGGCACCTGTAATCCCAGCTACTAGGATGCTGAGGCAGAAGAATTGCTTGAACCCGGGAGGCAGAGGTTGCAGTGAGCCGAGATTGTACCACTGCACTCCAGCCTAGGTGACAGAGCAAGACTCCTTCTCAAAAAAAAAAAAAAAAAAAAAAAAAAAAGGAGTAGGACTCTGTGTGACCACTGGGGGGTCAAACAGCCCATGAACCTGGCCCTGCACAGGTATATACATTTGTCAGAATTAATTAAATTATATACTTCAAATGAGTGCAGTTTACAATATATGAATTATAGCTTGATAAAGTTGATTTTGAAACTTCAACTCAGGAACCTTACCCTACCGCATCTAAAATCAAACATGGCTGGGCGCGGTGGCTCACACCTGCAATACTAGCACTTTGGGAGGCTGAGGCAGGTGGATCGCTTGAACTCAGGAGTTCAAGACCAGCCTGGGCAACATGGTGAAACCCCATCTATGCAAAAAAAAAAAAAAAAAAATACAAAATTTACCGGGCATGGTGGCACGCATTTGTGGTTCTGGCTACTTGGGAGGCTGAGGCGGGAAGATCGCTTGAGCCCAGGGAGTCAAGATTGCAGTGAACAGTGATTGCACCACTGCATTCCAGCCTGGGCGACAGAGCAAGACCCTGCCTCTAAATCAATAAAATCAAACACTTCTCTTAGCCAATGTGTATCTCCTTCTGTTTTGGATGATGGCCTCAGCAGCCATCTAGGTACCCACGCTAGGAACTTGTCACCTTTGATCCCTCTCTCTCTCCTTGTATCTAGAACACTCTCATCTGCACCTACTTGAGGCTGCCTCCTGACTTGTTGTTTTTTTTTTTCTTTTTTTGAGATGGAGTTTTGCTCTTTCACCCAGACTGGAGTGAAGTGGCACAATCTCAGCTCACTGCAGCTGCTGCCCCCCGGGTTCAAGCAATTCTCCTGCCTCAGACTCCAGAGTAGCTGGGATTACAGGCGTGTGCTACCACACCTGGTTAATTTTTGTATTTTTAGTACAGACAGGGTTTCACCATTGTTGGCCAGGCTGGTCTTGAACTCCTGACCTCAGGTGATCCGCCTGCCTTGGCCTCCCAAAGTGCTAGGATTACAGGCATGAGCCACTGCGCCCAGCTGACTTTCTTTTCTTTTCTTTTCTTTTCTTTTTTTTCAATTTTTTTTTTTTCTTTAATAGAGATAGGGTCTCCCTATGTTTCCCAGGCTGGTCTTGAACTCCTGGGCTCAAGGGATCCTTTTGCCTCAGCCTCTGAAAGTGCTCAGATTATAGCCATGAGCCACCACACCTGACCCTCACCTTTTTAAGTCTGTGGATGGTGCCACCTGCTCCCAATCACCCAGCTGCAAGCCTCTCAGTGTGCCCTCCTGCATTGCTTGCCAAGCCCTGTCTCTCTGGGGGACCGCCCTTCCCCACCCTGCTCTTCCTCAGATCACCACCCTGCTCAGGCCTGTGCTGTCTCTGGCCTGGGCTGCTACAGAAGTCTCCTGACCAGCCCTGCTGCCTCCTGAGGCTTCTGCACTCCATCTGGTATTCTTTCTAAAGCACAGATTTAATCATGTCTCATCCATTTTCAAAAACTGTTGATGACTATTTCCTACAAAGAACTCCTTGGTATGGTATGAATATGTGTCATCTTTCCGAATCTCGCCTCCATCTGCTTGTCTAGTTTTACTTACCCTTGCTGGCCCCTCATGCCTTATTTTGGCCACTCTCCTCTGTCTCTGGGATTTGTGGTGCTCCACACCTCCCAGCCTCTACTTATGTGTTCTCCTTTAGCTGGAGTGTTTTCTCCTCCTTGCTTATCATCAGAAGCCTGTTCAACCTTCAAGGCCCAGCACAAACTGTGAGTTCATTAATCACTAGCAACACTTTGTGCCCATTAAACTCAGCCTCGGCCTCTGGCATTGCATGAATCTGTACTTTAGTTAGAGAGAGGTTTCCTTGTCTCCTCCACAGTGAGCAGCCTCTTTTAGGCTCCTCACTTTATGCCACAGCAGTAATGATAGAAGTTAATGGAACAATTTTCATGGTTCATTGGGAAGTATTATTGCCTTTATTCTGCCAAGCCCAGAGACTTCATTCTCATTGACCTCTGAGCCTAAGTGAAGGCTGCTAGCCTCCCCTCCTTTAAGTCCCCCACTTGTTTCTGGGGCATGCTTTCTGCTCCTTGCTCATCCCAGCCCGCATCGTCATTACATGCCTATCTGCCTCCTGCTGCACTCCAAGTGGGGGATGATCTCAAAGTCCACTCCTCAGCCCTGTGCGCTTCTCCCTCAGTGTCCCCTCCCCTGCTGGCTCAGGGAGTCATGTCAGTGCCTACCACTCTCATGATGACACAGTCTCTGTGGTGAAAAATGGCTGCCCTCTGAGCTCTGGCCCTTAGCCCCCATCATTCCCTGCACTTTGGGCATCTCCCCTTGTCCTGCCTCATCTGGTCCCCACTGGCTGCACCGTTCTCCCAAGCTCTTGCCCTTCGTCTCCTCTAGCTCATCTTCATCCATCTAGAATGATAAGTTCATTGGTCAGGCCTGAGTGTCCTTTGGAAATGCTCTTGTATCAATCCCTGCCTTGATATCCATATCATTTTATCCTTTTCTTGCTGCAAATTGTAGCCAACACTGAAGGGACGTTTGCACACATATTGCATTTTCACTTCACTATAACCAGTGTGGTCGTTTCTATTATGTTCTCCACTTTGTACACGAGGTCAGAAAGTAAGTAACTTTCCCAGGTTCACAGTCAGAGTCAAAGCCCGCTCTGTCTGTCTGTCGAGCCTGTGCTGTTAACCGCTATAATTATTCAGAAAGGTGCCCTGGACTTGAGGCCAGAAGATGTGAGTTCACGCCTTGGCCTCACTACTTATTAGTTGGGCAATTCTCTGAGCTTCACTTTTTCCCCTTGGGTTACTGTGAAGGCAATATGATAGAATAACTGTGAAAGTACTATGTGAATTAATTAATTATTATTATTTATTTATTTTGAGACAGAATCTTACTCTATTGCCCAGGCTGGAGTATAGTGATACAATCATAGCTCACTGCAGCCTCGAATTCCTGGGCTCAAGTGATCCTCCCACCTGAGCCTCCCTAGTAGCTGGGACCACAGGCTAGCACCACCACACCAGGCTAATTTTTTTTATTTTTAATTTTTTTGTAGAGACAGGGTCTCCCTATGTTGCTCAGTCTGGTCTCGAACTCTTGAGCTCAAGTGATCCTCCCTTGGCCTCCCACAAGTGCTGGAATTACAGGCATGAGCCACTGCACCTGGCCTGCTGTGTGAATTTAAAGTGTTTCCAAGAAGCCTTACTTTAAAAGATATAAAGTACAAGAAAGCATGTTTTGCCAGTGGACAGGCAGGATATAAAATGGTCTAGTGATGATTGAAACAATTTCAGTGGCAGGACTGTTTTCTATCAACCAAATGGATCTTCAGCCTTTGCACGGAAGAAAGCCTTAGCATTGATCTGCAGGGAGATAAGGAGAGCTGCTGAGGTGGGTGGCTGGATGGTAGACTTTGTTATAGCACATAGTTCAGATTCTTGCTAGTATCAGAACATCATTGATTACATATGCATTTGTCTTAAATGCCAGTTTACTTAAGAATCACTTAATGTTTAGGACCTTAGATGTTTATTCCACAAGAACTGAACAAATCTTCCTGTGTAAAGTGGAAGATGTTAAATTTAGATAACTATTCATTCTCACATCAGAATAGCACTAGTTAATTTTATCTATTTATGAATACACATCCTTATGTCTTCTTTATAAATAGTAATGCTAACTGTGCTGTTCTTTTTAAAAATTACCAGAATTGAAGCATGCATTCTTAGAATATCCAAACTTAGAATATTCTATCACTATCTTTCTTAGAAGTTACACTTAAAAATTCCTATTTCCTCTTTTCTACTCTGGTGACATCTTCTTTCTGTCCTTCCTTTATTTTTTCTTTCTCTTTTTTTGTTTCATTAAGTGCAATAGTATATCACTGGATTCATTTCATGATAGCCCCACCCTTGATAGTCCTTATATTAAAGAAGAAGTTACAGAAAAAATAAACCGTTCTTTGTAGGTCATTTCCTCTGTTCACCCACTAGGGTCCTAGCAGTGAGAATGCAAGACCTTGGGATACAAGGCCAGCTGGGGCAGACTTAGGAGAGGAGTCATTCATATCCAGGACAGAGGTCAGCAAACTCTGTGAAGGGCCAGAGAGTAAATATTTTAGACTTTGTGGGCCCCGTGTCCTCTTTTTTTTTTGAGATGGAGTCTCACTCTGTCACCCAGGCTGGAATGCAATGGCATGATCTCGGCTCACTGCAACCTCCGCCTCCTGGGTTCAAGCGATTCTCCTGCCTCAGCCTCCTGAGTAGCTGGGACTACAGATGCCCCCCACCATGCCTGGCTAATTTTTGTATTTTTAGTAGAGATGGGGTTTCACCATGTTGGCCAGGTTGGGCTCAAACTCCTGACCTCGTGATCTACCTGCCTCGGCCTCCCAAAGTGCTGGGATTTCAGGTGTGAGCCACCTCGCCCGGCCCTGTGTCCTCTTTTACAACTACTAAACTGTGCTGGTGTAGCATAAAAGCAGTTACAGGCTATGCAGCGCATAACAGCATGTTGGTTAATGGTGGACCACATATACAACAGTGATCCCATAAGATTATAATGGGACTGAAAAATTCCCATCACCCAGTGATGTCTTCATGATCCTGACCCTGTGTAGGCCTAGGTTAATGTATTTGTTTCTGACTTAGTTTTTAACAAAAAAGTTTAAAAACTAAAAAAAATTAAACATAGAAAAAGCTTAGAGAATAAGGATATAAGGAAAGAAAATATTTTTGTACATCTGCACAATGTGTGCGTGTTTTAAGCTAAGTGTTATTACAGAAGAGTCAAAAAGTTTAAAAATATTAAAAAGTTTATAAAGTAAGTTACAGTGAGCAAAGGTTAATTTGTTATTGAATAAAAAAATTTAAATACATTTAGTGTAGCTTAAGTGTAGAGTGTTCATAAAGTCTGCAGGAGTATATAACAATGTCCTACACCTTCACATTCACACACCACTCAATTTCAGCCCTGCAGTCTCCATTGATGATAAGTGCCCTATACAGGTCTACTATTTTTACTGTATTTTACTTTATTTTTACTGTACCTTTTCTATGTTTAGATACACAAATACTCATTCTTGTGTTACAATTGCTTGCAGTATTCAGTACAGTAACATGCTGTGCAGGTTTGTAGCCTAGGAGCCATAGGTTATACCATATAGCCCAGGTGTGCAGTAGGCTATACCATCTAGGTTTGTGTAACTACACTCTATGGTGTTTGCACGAGGACAAAATTGCCTTATGATGCATTTCTCAGAAAGTATCCCCATCACTAAGCAACGCATGACTGTACAAACCACACGTAAACAAATGAGCACATCTGTGTTCATTTTCATGTGTCAGAACATATTTTTCTTCTTTGGATTTTCCCCAACCATTTAAAAACGTAAAAAAAAATTCTTAGCTCATGGGCTGTATAAAAACTGGTAGTAAGCTGGAGTTGGCCCACGGGCTGTTAATTTGCCAATCCCTGATCTAGAGAGTTAAAATGCTATTTATTATTCTTGCTGGGGGATTGAGAGGGAGGGGAATGAGGTAGGAAAAATAATAGCAATTATTGGGCACTCATATTTAGTAAGCATTCTCCTAAGCACTATATATAAAAATCATGTATACTCATTTAATACAACCATAGAAGGTAAGTAGTAATATTAGCCCCACTTTACAGATGGGGAGTCTGAAGCATAGAGAGACTAAATCATCTGTCGCATATCACACAGCTAATAGAGGCAGAGCATGATACAATAGCTCACCAAGTTGGGTCTAGCACCCTCTATCTGAGCCATTATGCTGTACTGCCTTTCTGGGTAAAATGTTATCTTCTGGTAAAGACATACTTTCACAGGCATCCACATGGAAGATCTTTGTCCTGCCAGCTCCATTAAGCATTTGAACAAAAAGTTACAGAATGTTTGAAGTAATGTTTCCATTTGGAGGCAAGGGGACAGATGGCACTGTCTTATTTAGTAAAGAAGTCACTTTCCCTGAAGGTGTTTGAGCAGAGGTGGGATGACTTTTGTAGTCTTGCGGTTCCCTAGAAAGACTTTGGTTATTTTCTTTTCTATAAAATAAAAGTAAAAATTTAAAATTCTTGATTTTTGAAATTTAAATCTGGCTAATTACTACAGGAGCAAACAGCCTGAACACCTCCCCATAGCACACTCGGGCACCATCTCATTACATTTACAGGATTTGGGAGTCTGAATAACCAGAACTGCTGGGAGGAAATGATACGTCAGACTGTTTTGACCTATTGCTATGGGAACTGAGTGAATCTCCCTTAACCCCATCCCCACCACCACACACACACACACACACACACACACACACACACACACACACACATGCTACACATGATTCTTCCCATCTATACCCTTCTTAGGTGAAAAGTATTTGAAGGTGGTGTTAGGGAAGACTTATTTATTAAGTAATTAAAATCATATATTATTAAATGAGTATAATAATTTATAGTCATATGAGAGAATATTAATATGGAAAGATATCCAAGACAAATGGTAAAGACATAGAACAGCATGTCTTGTGTTCCCAATTGTGTAAAAAAAAATGTTGGTAGGGAGGAGATGGATGAGTACTGTGGAAGTTTTCTGAAAGGATAAAAAAATATTGATACTCATTACTTCTGGGGAACAAGATAGGGATCTGGATGGGAGGAAATTACATTTTTCATTGTGTACTCTTGTATCCTCTGAATTTTTAACCTGTATATTCTTAATTAAAATACCAATAAATGCAGAAATGTGTTATTCAACTGGATACCTGCTTCTTCATGACATATACCCTACCCAAGCCAGAAAATCTTTCTTGAATCTCCTTTGACTACATTTGCAGTTGCAAGCATTTTTCAATTAAAAATAACCTCTCCTGGGACTTGCCTTACACTACTAATGATGACAGAGAGGGAGTAAATGAATCATTGTTGCTATTTGTTAGATTTTTGATGAGTGTTAGTGGGTAAAGTGGGTTGAATGGTGGCTCCAAAAAAGATTTGTCCACATGTGAATCCCAGGAAACTGTGACTATTACCTTATACGGCCAAAGATGTGATTGGGTTCAGGATCTTTAGAGGAGGATCATCCGAGGGGGCCCCAAATGCAATCACATGTATCCTTATGAGAGAGAAGCAGAGGGAGTTGAGGGAGAAGGGGAGGAAGAATTGTGACCACAGAGGCAGAGACTGGAGTGATGCACCACAAGCCCAGGAATTCCCAGAGCCCCCAGAAGCTGGAAGAGGCAGGGAACAGATTCTCCCATCTGAACCTTTTGAGGGAGCACCTTCCTAGTGACACCTGACTTCAGGCACCTGGCTTCCACACTGTGAGAGAGAATAAGTTGGCCAGCCGCAGTGGCTCATGCCTGTAATCCCAACACTTTGGGAGGCCAAGGTGGGTGAATCACGAGGTCAAGAGTTCAAGACCAGCCTGGCCAACATGGTGAAACCCTGTCTCTACTAAAAATAGAAAAAATTAGTTGGGTGTAGTGGCAGGCACCTGTAATCCCAGCTACTCGCGAGGCTGAGGCAGGAGAATTGCTTGAAGCCGGGAGGCGGAGGTTGCGGTGAGCCGAGATTGTGCCACTGCATTCCAGCCTGGGCGACAGAGTGAGACTCTGTCTCAAAAAAAAAAAAAAGAGAGAGAATAAGTTTCTATTGTTTTGTTTTTTTGTTGTTGTTGCTGTTGTTTTTTGAGATGTAACTCATGTGTTTTCCAAACATCACCTATTGGGACTTACCTATACCAACATTTCCAGAAATAATTTGCATGTTGTTACAATGCTTCACCAATATCAATAGAGCTTTGATCTCTTTGTTCTACTCTATTTTATAGATTACACATTTCCTTATATTGTTAAACCACCACCATATAAACAATCTGTGTTGAGTGGTGAGATAAGGGAGGTAAATTATTCTCTTCATTCTTTTTGTTTTTTTTTTTTTTGGTTCAGAGAAAATGGGAAAGGAGGAGACTCAGAGGCAGATAAAGTTTATATTTAATGTATAGATAATAAAATCATACTGTAGCCATTTTTACTCTCAAATGTCTTTTTGAGGTCTCTAATGTTGAAAAACATCATATAAAATATGTGCTATGGCCGGGTGTTGTGGTGCATGCTTGTAATCCCAGCTACTCGGGAGGCTGAGGCAGGAGAATTGCTTGAATCTGGGAGGCAGAGGTTGCAGTGAGCCGAGGTCACACCATTGTACTCCAGCCTAGGGGACAACAGTGAAACTCTGTCTCAAAAAAAAAAAAAAAAAGTGCTATGGTTTGAATGTGTCTCCCAAAGTTTGTGTGTTGGAAGCATAATTCCCAATGCAATCATGTTGAGAAGTGGGACCTTTAAGAAGTCATTAGATCATGAAGACTCTGCAATCATGAAGGGATTGATGGAGTTATTGTGGGAATAGGTTGATTATCTCAGGAGTGGGTTCTTGAAAAAGGATGAGTTTAGCCCTCTTTTCCTAGTTCTCTCTAGTGTGCTATCTTGCCTTTCTGCCTTCTGCCATGGGATGATGCAGCATAAAGGCCTTCGCCAGATACCAGCGCCATGCTCTTGGACTTCTCAACCTCCAGAACTGTAAACCATATACATTTATATTGTTTATATAAAATTATCCAATTTCTGGTAGTCTTATAACAGAAAACAGACTAAGACAATATAGTTGTCCCTCAGTATCTGGAGGGATTGGTTCCAGGACCTCCTAAGGATACCAAAATCCTTGGATGCTCAAGTCCTTGATATAAAATGGGGTAGTATTTGCATATAACTATGTGCATCTTCCTGTATATTTTAAATAATCTCTAGATTACTTATAATACCTAATATTAGGTAAATGCTATGTAAATAGTTGTTTTACTGTATTGTTTAGGGAATAATGACAAGAAAAAAAAGACTACATGTTCAGTACACAAGCAACTTTTCTTTTTTTTTTTTTTTGAGACGGAGTCTCACTCTGTCGCCCAGGCTGGAGTGCAGTGGTATGATCTTGGCTCACTGCAACCTCCGTCTCCAGGCGATTCTCATGCCTCAGACTCTACAGTAGCTGGGATTACAGGCATGAGCCACCAGGCCTGGCTAATTTTTGTATTTTTAGTAGAGACAGAGTTTCACCATATTGGCCAGGCTGGTCTTGAACTCCTGACCTCAGTTGATCTGCCCATCTTGGCCTCCCAAAGTGTTGGGATTACAGGCATGAGCCACCACGCCTGGCCTCACAAGCAATTTTTAAAAATATTTTTGATCCACCATGGTTGAATCCATGGTTGTGGAACCCACGGACGTGGAAGGCCAACTGTGTGTTAGCATTAACCACAAGTCAGAATAGTACCAGCTGCTAAAGAATCTACTGGGTGTTTCACAAATGTTTTTAGCAAATTCTGTATTTTGTAAAACATTCTTTTACTACAGAAAACATTCTATCACACTTACACTATTATCAAAAAGTCTGACCTGGACCTATTATTGTAGGTAAAGCAGATGTTAATTGGTGTGCCTAGGATTTCTGAAATCATGTCAAGACTTTCTTTGCCCCTGCAAACCACCCTAAACACATACTTATCACCTATGTTCCCAGAGTCCCAGTGTGGCAAGTTTTATACTTCACATAGGTTTATACTTCATGTAGCCTGGGTATCAAAGTGACACAAATTTTATATAATTAAGGAATACAACTTGTTTTGATATATGTATACATTGTGAAATGACCACCACAATGCATTAACTGTAAAATTATCAAAATGGAGTCACTAATGTCAAATCTAACAAACAAAACGGAGCTGAGGCCATGGAGGAGGGGCCCTCATTCGAGTATGCCTATGATGGGAACTATGCAAAAAATTCCTCAAAACCACAGTATTCCAGATAAGTCACTTACACAAGGATACTCAACTAACAATGAATGTCTCCACCCATGAGCTATTGCCAACTCTGCAACAAGCCCCTGTAACCAATGGTCTTTGTTCCAAAACAGTTTACGTGGACTTCTTTTTGTTTTTAAAAGCTTCCCCTTTGCCACAACTCCTTTGGATGAGCCTGTGGTCTGCCATAGCATGCATATCCCAGATTGCAATCCCCTGCTATTCCCAAATAAACTCTGCTTTGGAGAGTTGGTCTCTGTTGTTCATTTTAGGTAGATATATCTTGTTGTTTAAGTTAACAAGTCACAGGATCAAGAAACACTTCATCTACACCTTCATCTAGATGAGATCCTAGAATTTAGGTCTCACATGACTGGATAAGATTTTTGGTCTTCCTTGAGGAGGGGCTGTGTGTTGTGTGTAATATAGGAGCAGATATTCATGACCAATTCACTTTCCCTACTTATGAGAGTATTATACCATCCATGTTTGCCACTCTGTAGGTAGAGTATGCTTCTCCAGTCTCATGTTAGGCTTGTCCATGTGATTTGCTTTGGTCAATGGTATATGAACAATTTGATTTACACCATATTCAAGCAGGAGTCTGAATGTGCTTGCATGGTATGGTTTGTCTCTTGCTCCTGCTCTTCACTATAAAAAGTGTATGTCCCAAGTAGGAACTATTCCATCAGTCTAGTGCCAGAGAAAGAAGACTGTGGAACAGAGCCAAGCCAAGCAAGCCAAGGTGAGTCGAGCAGAGCTGCGGCTAACTCCTAGACCCATGAACAAGAAACGTTTGTCAAAAGTCACTAAGATCTGGAGTTTATTGCTTGTATTAGTCTATTCTCAGGGAACACTCTGGGGGTAAAATAATATTTTATATATTAACTTTATTATATCCTTCTTTGTTTTTGAGACGGAGTTTCGTTCTTGTTGCCCAGGCTGGAGTGCAGTGGCGCGATCTTGGCTCACTGCAACCACCACCTCCTGGGTTGAAGCGATTCTCCTGCCTCAGCCTCCCAGTAGCTGGGATAACAGGCATGCACCATCACACCCGGCTAATTTTGTATTTTTAGTAGAGACGGGGTTTTCACCATGTTGGTCAGGCTGGTCTCGAACTCCTGACATCAGGTGATCTGCCTGCCTCGGCCTCCCAGAGTGCTGGGATTACAGGTGTGAGCCACTGCGCCCGGCCTATATCCTTCCTTTCTATATGACTTTGAGTTTCTCTTGTGTTGAAGAATTTAAACACCAAATTTCTAATTCCAGCTCATTTTATTTTTATTAAAGTGCTTCAGTAGATGAACAGTGTTATCAACAATCAACACAAACTTTACTGAAATATTCACAAATAAAAATCCTCTGTAAGTCACTAAAATGTTTTTCTATGTAGTAAAAGTAATCACCATTGGAGACTGGTGAATTTGAATTTATTCCTAACCACATACATGGTTTATATATTAACTTTATTATATCCTTCTTTGTTTTTGAGACGGAGTTTCGTTCTTGTTGCCCAGGATGGAGTGCAGTGGCATGATCTCGGCTCACTGCAACCCATACATGGGTTCTCAAATTGGAAGATTCAACCTGGTTACCTTAATATATGGGGCTGGCTGTCAATACCTGAAAGCTAGTCCCAGCAAGTCTGTGGAAAAAAATGATGTGATTGGAAACTAATCATTTATCCTTAGTGCTTCAGTTTCTCCATCTGCACTGAGAAGTAACCTTCCCTTAGAAAAGGGTTGTAAATAAATACAAAATGTTAAAGCTTAGCATACTTCTGTGCCTCAAAAAGCATTCACGTACATGCTTTTAAAAGGGCAATTTCTTTGTTCTTGACATAAATTGAATACTATCTGGCTTTATAATAAATTGATGGATGATTACTCTTTCCTTGAAAATTATCTTTTTACTCAAATCATATTAAAATCATACTAGCCTGACTGTAGATTAATTTACAGGAGTTGTGCTCAGTAAATTATTTTGATTGCAGTAAGGACTACTGTCCTACTTAGGTAAAATTTACAAATTATTTTAAAAAGTTTCATCCATTACTTAACATTCTCCAAGACCTATCCATAGAGACAGAAATCCTGGTACTTTAAAGCACAAAGAGGCAAAATCCAAAATTTACTTGTTAGATTTTGGTATAGCTCCTTTGGATACTGTCAAGTATTTTATTCATGTCCTTGAAATGATACTGTGGTTGACGAGGGGCAGAGTAAATAAGCAAATTTTGACTATATCACCCAGCATAAAGTGACCTGGTGCCATCATAAAAAATTCAGTAGTGCCTAAGTTGGGGGAGAGGGGCAACATGTATAGTAAAAAAGCTTGAAGAGGCTGGGCATGGTGGCTCACACCTGTAATCCCAGCACCCTGGGAGGTGGAGGCGGGCGGATCACCTGAGGTCAGGAGTTTGAGGTCAGCCTGGCTAACATGGTGAAACCCTGTTTCTACTAAAAATACAAAAAATTAGCCAGGCATGGTGGTGCGTGCCTGTAATCCCAGCTCCTTGGGAGGCTGAGGCAGGAGAATCGCTTGAACCCGGGAGGCGGAGGTTGCAGTGAGCCGAGATCGTGCCATTGCACTCCAGCTTGGGCAACAAGAGCGAAACTCTGTCTCAAAAAAAAAAAAAAAAAAAAAAAAAAAAAAAAAAGCATATGATCCTAACTAAATCAGAAACTTTTTTAAAAACCTTGTTTATCTTGAGAAGTATGTGATTCTGCTGTAAAAGAGAAATATAAAGAGGCTGGTATATCAACTCTCACATTTTCAATGAAATGTGCAATACTTTTAAGTAGAGACAGTATTGCTAAATCTCCACATGACACTTTGAAACTGCTAGCAATAAACGGGAAAAAAATCATTAATCAACACTGCAGAAAAAGAAAAATGGTAAGCTGTGATGCTTTTACTTTTCAATTAGAAAAATATATTGATCACGACCACAAGTGGACATACCATCTGAATAAATAAAGCCTCCTGTAGTTAACTTGTCATTTAAAAAATGAATTAGATGAAAAGGATAATTTTCTGCAGTATGCTCAGCCATTTGAAGACTGGAGTCATTTAAGAAAAACATGAAACATCCTTAGAGAGGACCTAATTATTTCATATTGGTTGTGGCTCTTTAAAAATGGCAGAGCATTCCATGCCCTATACAGAGTACACAAGGAAATAATTTTCACATTGAATATAGATCTCTTACAGAATGAGGAAAAAAACACTTTACACAACACACTTTTCGATAACATGCAGTATTGAGGGAATAGTAAATCATCATCCTTCACAAAGAAGGTGCAGGTGCTCTAAAATAATCTTAGAGCTAATGATTTCAGAAAGAGGCTTCCAAATTTGAAATTTAAAATGCAAACTTAATTTCAAAGTTGGTTTTTCCAAATCTCTGATAAGTCCTAGGAATCCAGTGTGAGCAAGAAGAAAACTTTCTCCCTATTTTATGACTTGTACCTCCCACTATCTGTGATGAATGCCATGGGTCAAATGCCATAACAAATTTCCTCTTTTAGAGCCAGCAAAGTCTAGCCTGGTTGTAGCCAAGACTAAAGCAGGAAAAGGTCCTACCAAAGAGCTTGTCTAGAATTGATCCACCAAAAGATTTCCAAGGCCAACTGGGCACCCAACTGACCCCAGGGCAAGTTGATCATTTTATTGTGATTCAGGATCCCACCCTTGCACCATCTTTAGGCCCAAGAGCCCCCAGAAGAGCCCTGAACTGGTAACAGCGCCTGTATGGACAGGGTAGGCAGAGCACAGTTTATTGGAGCTGACCTCTATCTATTGATGCTTGTTGACAAGAACTTAGTCAGTGATTCTGGAGCAGCTCCTCCCAACAGATGGGCTGTGAAAACACCTCTCTCTCGAGCCAGAGCTCATATGAATAGTGGAAATCTTCAGGCAGATCCAACCTCTGCCCCAGTACGCTCTGCAAGCAGTTATCCACAGGTGAAAACTCAGAGTCCTGGGGTCTGTCATAGCGACGGCTGTTAAAAGCCTCAATGTTGGCCCTCAAGGTACATTCTTCTGCTTGGAAGTCCCATGGTCTGGCATCGATGTCTGTGTTGGAAAGAGAGGAAGAAGAAGACATACAATGCAAGACACTGCTCCTCTTATCACAGAGCATGGTCTATGGGATTCCAAAAATGGAACTGCTCAGAAATTCTTTTTTTTTTTTTTTTTGTAAAGAGCAATGTATGAAGTTAGTATACAGCATGCTGACACTTAGGTTTAAAAAATACACATATGCCCACATGCATAAGCTTGTATATGCAGAAATTATCTTTGGAAGGGTAGTCTAGAAACTGGTAATAGTGGTTACCTATGAGAAAGGAAATGAGGGCCCAGAGGGAGGTGGACTTCTTCTATTGTATTTCCTTTTTATTATTTCACTTTCTTATTAGCTTTATGTATTACTAGTTATATGTATTATGTTTCCCAAAAGGGTAATTAAATTCCTTTTATGCAGCTTTCCTTAGGGGATGAGTGTCCCATCTGAATGGAATAGCCAGCTTTCAAGGAATAGGAAGGGGCAAGAGGGGTATAACATGGAGAATCAGAATGGACCAATTACCGAAGATTTTCCTGATTCCCTGGAATCTCCTCCAGCACATGATAAATCTATATGTCAGCTTATTTTAAGATGATGAGGTGACGGCTTCAATGAAGGTAAAAACAGAAAACAGATAATCTGTTTCGCTTCTATTCACTTAGACACTTATTTCAGGGCTGAAGATACAAATCTCCCAGATCTCTCATGTTCTACATGCAAGGGTTTATCATAAGGAAGTGTAGTGTGAGTTTGGGCTCATAATGGCAGCAACAACAGATGTGCCATTTGCAGGATAAAACATTTTTGTGTTTTAAAAATTTACAAGAATTTAATAGATAATTGTGCTTTATGTCTTATAGCAGAAGTTGCATCCTGGCTTGTTATGTGCCTATCATATGTTTCCTTTAGTTCTCTAAACCCTTTTTTAGTGAAAAGACAGTCCCTCAGCACCACAAATTATGCAGTTGAGTTTCCCACATTTAGGGGAATAGCAGGGGTCAGCATATCTGGAGTAAAATGGATAAGACTTGTCCTGGGAAAACCATCTTCATGATCATGGTATTTTCCCTGCCAGGTAAGTAAGTAGAGTTATCTGAACTCTTTACTGCATCATCCTTTAAAATTCAAGCAGGTTACAAACACAGCAAAGACAAGTCATTACCAAAAATTCTCAAATACAATTATGGAAATAATGGTCAAATACAAAACAATAAAAAAGCTCTCCAAAATAAATTTTTCCAAACTCTGATCAATCTTACAAGTTCTGGTAGTTTAACCAAATATCTTGCCTTCTGATGTGAGGCAATGTACAGTTCCCAAGATTACCTAGGACATACTGCAGCCAAAAAGGTTTAAATTGAATTCATCAAACCTTTAGATTTAACTTCAAGTTTACAGGTAATACCATAGATAGACGAATAAAGTAGATAACACCACAAAGAAGAAAACAGACAAATCCAGAATGTGAGTATTTTGCAGGACAACTGGCCTAGTTCTTCAATTAGTTAGCATTAATGGTGGAGGTGGGGAGACTGCTTAGAGGCCAAGCACGGTGGCTTACACCTGTAATCCCAGCACTTTGGGAGGCCAGGGCAGGAGGATCCCTTGAGCCCAGGAGTTCAAGACCAGCCTGGGCAACACAGGGAGAGACTCCATCTCTACAAAAAAATTTGAAAAATTAGCCGGGTGTAGTGGTGGTATGCATCTGTAGTCCCAGCTACTTGGCAGCTGGGAGGATCACTTGAGCCCAGGAAGTCGAGGCTGCAGTGAGCCATTATCATGTCACTGCTTTCCAGCCTGGGTGACAGAGCGACCCTCTCAAAAAAACAAACAAACAAAAAACAGAAAACAAAAATAATTAACATATATATAACAACTGGATGCAACCTGTGGTCCTGGATTGGATTCTGACTTGGAAAAATAGCTATGAAGAACATTTTGGGACAACTCGAAAATTGTGAATATGAACTTTATTAGATGAAATGAAAATGTACTGACATGAAAAGGTAGAGATAATGTTAAAAGAGAAAATTACAAAATAGCATACATAACTTGCTTTCATTTTGATAAAATATGCATGTATATGCATAGAAAAAGATCTGGAGGAATATACAATAAGATGTTAATGGTGGCAATTTCTGCATAGTACAAATATGGCATAAATATAATATAGTAAAATGTTTGTTTACTTGTATTTTCTATCTTTTTTTCTAACTGCTTTGTAATAATAAAAAGTTGTTTTAATTTAAATCTTTTGGAGAAAGCTGTCATTTAAAAGAATGTTTTGGAAAGGCAATTAATTATCTCTCAATTTACTTGTTTTATAAAACGGATTTTCATAGTTTACATAGGACAAGGGTACATACTAGAATTTGAGGCATAACCTTAAAGTTTGGTGTATCAGCGCCTGACCTATAATCACATATTTTTTCATCTAAAATATGTAACAATTCATGCCAAAAGAGGAGTGATAAATATTTATTTAGTTTTGTCTAAACCCCAGGAAACTCCAGGAAGTCAAGAGCTTTGGGAAGACTCACCATTCCCGTAAGCCCAGTCATCGTTCATGCGGTGACGCACTTTCTGGTAAATGGCTGACATGGTTTTCATGTTGCTTTTCCTCCATTGGCGCCCCAGGTACTTGGTCTGTAACTTTAGTAGCTTTAGGACATAAAGTTGCAGCATGGCCTGTTTGACCTTGAGGGCCCGCTTTAAGATTGGTGCCGATTTAAACACTACCAGCATCTGTTCATTGAAAGAGGGGTGGGGTAAAGATCTAACGTTTCTTGGAATTTCCAGTTTACAGACAAATTAAACCAAACCTAGCTAGCCTCAGAAATTCCTGGGGAGCTTTCAGGAATCTATGGTCCAGGCTCTACTTAGATTTAATCTTCAAGAATATAGAGGGGGGCTGGGCAAGGTGGCTCATGTCTGTAATCCCAGCACTTTGGGAGGCCGAAGCCAGTGGATCACGTAAGGTCAGGAGTTTGAGACCACCCTGGCCAACATGATGAAACCCCATCTCTACTAAAAATACAAAAATTAGCCAGGCGTGGTGGCATGGGCCTGTAATCCCAGCTACTAAGGAGGCTGAGGCACATGAATTGCTTGAACCCAGGAGGCGGAGGTTGCAGTGAGCTGAGATCATGCCACTGCACTACAGCCTGAGTGACAGAGCAAGACTCCGTCTCAAAAAAAAAAAAAAAAAATATATATATATATATATATATAGAGAGAGAGAGAGAGAGAGAGAACTATTCCATTCATATTTTATTGTTCAAAGTTTTCAATATTCAAAGCATATGGTATAAAGTGAAAAGAAAATTTTGTCAGCCACACATATCATTTCCACTGTCACAGTATTTTTGTTTATTTTCTGGAGATAATTCTATGTATGCATATATTACTTTTATTTTTTTGTTTTGTTTTGTTTTTAAGATGGAGTCTTACTCTGTCGCCCAGGCTGGAGTGCAGTGGTGCAGTCTCGATTCACTGCAACCTCAACCTCCTGGGTTCAAGTGATTCTCCTGCCTCAGCCTCCCCTGAGTAGAGGCGCCCGCCACCACACCCAGCTAATTTTTAGTAGAGATGGGGTTTCATCATGTTGGTCAGGCTGGTCTCAAACTCCTGACCTCAAGTGATCCTCCCACCTTGGCCTTCCGAAGTGCTGGAATTACAGGTGTGGGCCACCACACCCAGCCTACTTTTGTTTTTTAACACAAATGGTAGCCAACTACATATCCTGCCACACTGTTCTATACCTGGTTTTTTTTATTGAATATATCTTGAAAACCATTCCATATCAGTACAGAACTGCCTCATTCTTTTACTTTTTTTAATAGAGATGGGGTCTTATCATGTTGCCCAGGCTGGTCTCAAACTCCTGGGCTCAGGCAATCCTTCTGCCTCAGCCTCCCAAAGTGCTGGGATTACAGGCATGCACCACTGAGCCCGGCTGCTCATTCTTTTTAATGATTGCATAATATTCTATTATAAGGACATACCATCATTTATTTAACCAGTTGGTCCTGCTTAATGAGCATTTAGCTTGTTTCCAGGCTTTCATTATTATTATTATTATTATTATTTTGAGACGGAGTCTCACTCCGTTGCCCACGCTGGAGTGCAGTGGCATGATCTCGGCTCACTGAAACCTCTGCCTCCCAGGTTCAAATGATTCTCCTGCCTCAGCCTCCCGAGTAGCTGGGACTATAGGTGCCTGCCACCTTTCCCAGCTAATTTTTGTATTTTTAGTAGAGATGGAGTTTCACCATGTTGGTCAGGCTGGTCTCGAACTCCTGACCTTGTTATCTGCCCGCCTCGGCTTCCCAAAGTGCTGGGATTACAGGCATGAGCTACGGAGCCCAGACAAGCTTTCATTATTATAAACAATGTTGCAATGATAAACCTTGCACTTGCATCATTTGGGAATGTATGTAATCCAAACAACATTGCTAGCTTCCCTGCTAGAGTTGCCCTGAGGGAGGGTTTGAGATTCAGCCCCCTGAAAAGAAATGGACTGATAAGTAATCATCTAATATAGAATAAGTGCCCAGAATTATGAGGTGCTAAATCTTATGTAGCATTCAGTGTCTATATACGGAGATCACAAACCAGGTAGCACACAAATATTTACTAGTGATCTTTTAAAAATTCAGTCAGATGGACAACTCCATGATGTAAAAAACCACACTCACCATGGTCCGGGAATGTTTCCATTTGGTCAGTTTATTGAGCAGCCTCAGGAGGTTGATGCAGGAAAAGAGGTTCCTCCAGCAGAACTGGCTGTTGTCTCCAGCTTCCTATAGTAGGGAACATCCATCATTATCTTAATACCTACAAGGCTTTAATTCCCACAGAAGCCTGGAAGTCAATGTTGGTCAGTTTAGGTGAGGCCTTCCTGTATGAAATAATACCTCCTCACCTTCCTGTTTCTTAACACACTGAAGTCTCCAAAGCCCATGGTTTAAAAACCCCCTCAGCTGCCAATCCTGGAAGACTCTACCTACAGCATGTGTTGGTTAGAAAGATGATACATGAGCACAGGAACCTGATTCAGGCAAGTTTTCTTGTGTAGCTTATTGCTCTAGGATCAGAAAAGAGATGAGAGAATTTTACCCCCATATACAGGTACTTTGCGCTTATATAAACTATGTTTGTAATTGTTAGGATTAGGTCTAATTCTGGTAGATTTTAAACTATGTTGGATGGATCTGATATCAACTATGGTTGAATTTTTTTTTATCTTATCAACCTTCACCCTCCTTTATCAAACCATATTACAGTTAGATGCTTAATTCTTCAGCATGGAAGGAAAAATGGCAGATGGTTTCTTCTAATCAGATATTTTTCTTATATATTTCTTGATAGTTTGTGAACACCTAACCAGAGACAACAGATGGATGTCAGATTAAAAGCAGGTATCTACTCATAGAAAGATTTTTCAGAAATAAAAATGTGAGTCCTTATGTGAATTTGGGGCTTGCAAATACATACTGGTGTCAGAAGCTATATAACTCAATGAGCACACGTGACAGCCAAACTAACATCTTGGAAATTCCTCACATCTACAATGTGATAGGAGAATGTAGGAGTAGATGACATGTAGAAGTGAGCTGCTGTCTGGTGAATGGAAAATTACCTCCTCCTCCCTCAAATTAATTTGAAGCAAGACAGGCATATATCTAATGTGGAATGAACATCCAAAGTTTTTGAGGGTATTAGGCTTTCCTAATACCTAATACCAAGAGCCAAAAAGTTTCAGGGAAATTTCTTATTTAGAAATATTATTTATAGGTCGGTTGTGGTAGCTCACACTGGTAATCCTAGCACTTTGGGAGGCCGAGGCAGGCAGATGACCTGAGTTCAGGAGTTCGAGACCAGCTTGGCCAACATGGTGAAACTCCATTTCTACTAAAAAAATTAAAAAATTAGCTGGGCATGGTGGCAGGAGCCTGTAATCCCAGCTACTTGGGAGGCTGAGGCAGGAGAATCACTTGAACCCAGGAGGCAGAGGTTGCAGTGAGCCAAGACCACGCCATTGAACTCTAGCCTGGGCAACAAGAGAGAAACTCCATCTCAAAAAAAAAAAAAAAGAAACATTATTTATAAATAATATTCTCCATCATACAGTAAATGTTCAATATTGTCCCAGGAGAACCATCTGTCTGCTTCTAAGGAAAACTTCTATGGGACTTTCTACTGTAGTGCATCAGGTAGTCTGGCTTGCCCCAAATAGACCAAGTTCTACAGACGTTATATCTTGTGTGGTTAATAGAGACAGGGAGACTTTTACATTTTTTTTTTTTTTTTGAGACAGAGTTTTGCTTTTGTTGCCCAGACTTGAGTGCAGTGGGGTGATCTTGGCTCACTGCAACCTCTGCCTCCCAGGTTCAAGCAATTCTCCTGCCTCAGTCTCCTGAGTAGCTGGGATTATAGGAATGCACCGCCACGCCTAGCTAATTTTGTATTTTTGGTAGAGATGGGGTTTCTCCATGTTGGTCAGGCTGGTCTTGAACTCCCAACCTCAGGTGATCCACCTCCCTCAGCCTCCCAAAGTGCTGGGATTATAGGCATGAGCCACCGCGCCCGAACAGACTTTTAAATTTTTAAGACGCAAGGGAAACACAAAACATATGGGATAAGTAAGTGTATTTCTACTGTGAGCTTCCTTCATCCTGATTTTCAATACGGTAGAGGCATAAAAAGCCTTGCAGTCCTCAGTATCTCAAAGAATAATATGGGAGAGAAGGCATCCCCTTGTAGAAGCAGCATTGGAATAGATACCAGAATACTTGGATTATGGCCTCATCCCTGACTGTATGATCTTAGGTAAATCATTTTCCTTGTTTCCTGTAGAAGGTTGAACTAGCTAATCTTTAAGATCACTTCAGGTCTGAGCATTCTATAATTCCGTGATTTACATGGACTTTCTCCAGTTGAAAAGAACTGCCTCGTTCTTTTTAATAATGGTTACCTAATATTGTATTGCAAGTATGTACCATAATTTATTTAACCAGTTGGCCCTATATTAGTGGTCATTTAGGTTACTGCCAATCTTTCAATTTTTCTTTTTCTGAGATGGAGTCTGACACTGTCACCCAGGCTGGAGTGCAGTGGTGCCATCTCGGCTCACAGCAACTTCTGCCTCCCGGGTTCAAGCGATTCTCCTGCCTCAGCCTCCCAAGTAGCTGGGATTACAGGTGCCCGCCACCACACCCAGCTAATTTTTGTATTTTTAGTAGAGATGGGGTTTCACCATGTTGGCCAGGCTGGTCTTGAACTCCTGACCTCAGGTGATCCACCTGCCTCGGCCTCCCAAAGTGCTAGGATTATAGGCGTGAGCCACTGTGCCCGGCCTAACAAAAAGTTTTTAATATAAAAAGTCCAACATAAAAATGTACATGACCTAATTTTTACATCATAGTAAAACAGGCTCTTTGGAGAGGGGACGTGGAATTTCTCTGCTGAACAGCCATTATTTATTCTTGTTCCAAGGTTTCTAACATGATGATACTATTTCTTCGTATCACCACCATTCCAATATTCTTCTGTTGCCCGCTGGTTGCCATCTCCACACACTTATCTATCACAAGATTCATTAAGGGATCAAATCCCCACAATATTCCTTGGACATGTCTGCCACCATTTAATTTCAATGATAACTTCTTGTCTATAAATTTTTTCAACTCAGGAGGGTGAGCTTTGCTCATGGTGTCTACATGGGCTCACAGATGCCTTGAGATGGAATGCATGGCTTCTCTCTTGCTCCTGTGGTAGGCCCAGCAGTCTTGCATCTGGCATCACCCACCTCATTAGCCAATCAATTGTTGGCATGTTTTTTCTATTTTAGATTTTCTTTACCAACACCATTATAGAATAATTCTCTTATCATATGGGTTTTTGATAAATTACTGCTAGATTAAGGACATAGATCTGGATAGCTTAAAAGAGAGTAATGGTTCTCAAGTGAAATAAGTGGATAAGGAGGAAGGAGAAAAAAAAATTTCAAGATTGTTTGGGAAACTTTAACAAACTACAAGTGCCCCAGTAAGGGGCACTAACATACCTGGGTATGTGAGTTTGAAAAATCATCCTGGAGATTCTAATCTCCCCAAGAACCCATTATAGAAATAGTGACCAACAGGAAAATTGATATAATGCTAAAAAAATTTTATCCATGGTCCTTCCTTTGTATAAATACCTCATGGAAAGTGGATATATACTTTATGGTATGTTTACAGTATATCTCTGAAATACATGTATGTTTACTGATAAATGCATAGTTTTAAATAACATTGTAGGAATGTACTCATAAGTACGGAAAGTAAAAAAGATATCAATAGCCCTCTCCCTCTCCCCACAGTCTCCCTCCCCCTCCCCCTCCCCCTCCCTCTCCCCACGGTCTCCCTCTCCCTCTTTCCACGGTCTCCCTCTGATGCCGAGCGGAAGCTGGACTGTACTGCTGCCATCTCCGCTCACTGCAACCTCCCTGCCTGATTCTCCTGCCTCAGCCTGCCGAGTGCCTGCGATTGCAGGCGCGCGCCGCCACGCCTGACTGGTTTTCGTATTTTTTTGGTGGAGACGGGGTTTCGCTGTGTTGGCCGGGCTGGTCTCCAGCTCCTAACCGCGAGTGATCTGCCAGCCTCGGTCTCCCGAGGTGCCGGGATTGCAGACGGAGTCTCGTTCACTCAGTGCTCAATGTTGCCCAGGCTGGAGTGCAGTGGCGTGATCTCGGCTAGCTACAACCTCCACCTCCCAGCCGCCTGCCTTGGCCTCCCAAAGTGCCGAGATTGCAGCCTCTGCCCGGCCGCCACCCCGTCTGGGAAGTGAAGAGCGTCTCTGCCCGGCTGCCCATCGTCTGGGATGCAAGGAGCCCCTCTGCCCGGCTGCCCAGTCTGGGAAGTGAGGAGTGCCTCTTCCCGGCCGCCATCCAGTCTAGGAAGTGAGGAGCGTCTCTGCCCGGCCGCCCATCGTGAGATGTGGGGAGCACCTCTGCCCCTCCGCCCCGTCTGGGATGTGAGGAGTGCCTCTGCCCGGCCGCGACCCTGTCTGGGAGCTGAGGAGCGTCTCTGCCTGGCCGCCCCATCTGAGAAGTGAGGAGCCCCTCCGCCCGGCAGCCGCCCCATCTGAGAAGTGAGGAGCCCCTCCGCCCGGCAGCCGCCCCGTCTGAGAAGTGAGGAGCCCCTCCGCCCGGCAGCCGCCCCGTCTGAGAAGTGAGGAGCCCCTCCGCCCGGCAGCCGCCCCGTCTGAGAAGTGAGGAGCCCCTCCGCCCGGCAGCCGCCGCATCTGGGAAGTGAGGAGCGTCTCTGCCCGGCAGCCGCCCCGCCCGGGAGGGAGGTGGGGGGCAGCCCCCGCCCGGCCAGCCGCCCCGTCCGGGAGGGAGGTGGGGGGCAGCCCCCGCCCGGCCAGCCGCCCCGTCCGGGAGGAGGGGGGCACCTCTGCCTGGCCACCCCTTCTGGGAAGTGGGGAGCCCCTCTGCCCGGCCGCCACCCCCTCTGGGAGGTGTACCCAACAGCTCATTGGGAGCGGGCCATGACGACGATGGCGGTTTTGTCCAATAGAGAGGGGGGAAATGTGGGGAAAAGATGGGGAAATCAGATTGTTGCTGTGTCTGTGTAGAAAGAGGCGGGCATGGGAGACTCCATTTCGTTCTGTACTAGGAGAAATTCTTCTGCCTTGGGATGCTGTTGATCTATGACCTTGCCCCCAACCCGGTGCTCTCTGAAACATGTGCTGTGTCCACTCAGGGTTAAATGGATTAAGGGCGGTGCAAGATGTGCTTTGTTAAACAGATGCTTGAAGGCAGCATGCTCGTTAAGAGTCATCACCACTCCCTAATCTCAAGTACCCAGGGACACAAACACTGCGGTAGGCCGCAGGGTCCTCTGCCTAGGAAAACCAGAGACCTTTGTTCACTTGTTTATCTGCTGAACTTCCCTCCACTATTGTCCTATGACCCTGCCAAATCCCCCTATGCGAGAAACACCCAAGAATGATCAATAAAAAAAAATAAAAAGAAAAAAAAAAAAAAGAAAAAAAAAGAGTCATCACCACTCCCTAATCTCAAGTACCCAGGGATACAAACACTGCGGAAGGCCCCAGGGTCCTCTGCCTAGAAAACCAGAGACCTTTGTTCACTTGTTTGTCTGCTGACCTTCCCTCCACTGTTGTCCTGTGACCCTGCCAAATCCCCCTCTGCGAGAAACACCCAAGAATGATCAATAAAAAAAATAAATAAAAAATAAAAAAATAAAAAGATATCAATATAATACATATAAAATATTTAATATTTTCCATCCCCCAAAGCATTTCCTTGCACAGCCTACATTTCATACCACTGCTCTCAACAACCATTCAGATGCTAAGCATTGCAAAATACATACTGAGCCCACATCCACTGCCTTCTCCAGCAACCTCCTTTCAAAGACCACACTTAACTTCCACATAATCATACGTTCACCATCCTTCATTTAAGTTTGGAATTTTATTTCAATTTTTTCCTAGTTTAGTGGATTGAATATGAATACCGACATTTGGAGATACACAAATTTTTAAACTTCCTGTACCAGGTGGGAGGGGAAACTACTTAGTATATTGGTGAAGATGGCCTATCTAAGAGCTAATTAGTTTGACAAAATGGGAATACTTCAGAAATTAATATGCCATTAGCTCACCTTTATTTCATGTTCATCATGCTGTTTAGAGTTTCATATAAAGTTGAAATGAATTCAGTTCAAATTCAGAAAACTGAAAAAATATAAATCAAGACTACCTCAGCCCAGCGGTGGCTCAGGCCTATAATCCCAGCACTTTGGGAGGCTGAGGCAGGTGGATCATTTGTGGTCAGGAGTTCAAGACCAGCCTGGCCAACATGGTGAAACTCTGCTTCCACTAAAAAGTACAAAAATTAGCTGGGCAGTAATGGCACACACCTGTAATCCCAGCTACTTGGGAGGTTGAGGCAGGAGAATCGCTTGAACCTGGGAGGTGGAGGCTGCAGTGAGCAGAGATTGCGCCACTGCACTCCAGTCTGGGCGACTGTCTCAAAAAAAAAGACTACTTCAGCCCAATAATTCCACTTCTAGGAATCTAAAGGAAATAATCAAAGATTCATGTGCAGCTGGGCATTGTGGCTCACACCTGTAATCCCAGCACTTTGAGAGGCCAAGGCAGGAGGATCACTAAGCCCAAGAATTTGAGACCAGTCTGGACAAAATAGGGAGATTCTGTCTCTAGGGAGATTTTATCTCTAAAAAAATTTTTTTTTAATTTAAAAATTAGCCAAGCATAGTGGCATGTGCCTGTAGTCCTAGCTACTTGGGTGGCTGAGGTGGAAGGATCATTTGACCCTGGGAGGTCAAGACTGCAGTGAGCTGTGATCACACCACTGCACTCAAGCCTGAGCAACTTCGAGACCCTGTCTCAAAAAAAAAAAATAAAAGATTTGCATGCAAGGATGTTTGTTTTGGAGTTACACAAGGAAAACATAAATAAATGTCAACAGCACAGAATCCTTTTTGAAACTAAATAGTGGAATATTATGTGTAACTATTAAAAATTATGTCCTGGGCTGCGTGCAGTGGCTCACGCCTGTAATCCCAACACTTTGGGAGGCTGAGGTGGGCGGATCACCAGGTCAGGAAATTGAGACCATCCTGGCTAACACAGTACAACACTGTCTCTACTAAAAATACAAAAAATTAGCCAGGCGTGGTGGCATGTGCCTGTAATCCCAGCTACTCGGAAGGCTGAGGCAGAAGAATCGCTTGAACCCGGGAGGCAGAGGTTGCAGTGAGCCAAGATGGCGCCACTGCACTCCAGCCTGGCCGACAGAGCGAGACTCCATCTCAAAAAAAATAAATAAATAAAAATAAAAAATAAATAAAAAATTTAAAGAAATTAAAATTATGTCCTCAGCTGGGCATGGTGGCTGACACCTGTAATCCCAGCAATTTGGGAGGCCAAGGAGGGCAGATTGCTTGAGCCCAGGAGTTCAAGATCAGCTTGGGCAACACAAAGACCCCGTCTCTACAAAAAATACAAAAATTAGCCTGGCATGGTAGCATGTCTGTGGTCCCACCTACACCCAGCTACTTGGGAAGGTGGGAGGATCACTTCAGCCCAGGAGCTTGAGGCTGCGATGGGCCGTGCTTCAGGCCGAGTGCACTGCACTCCAGCCTGGGTGACAAAGCAAGACCCTGTCTTCAAAAAAGAAAGAAAAAAATTGTCCTCTAGAATGTTTAATAAAATGATATTGTGAACATTTAAATTTTGCTGTCAAATGAAATATCTATGTATAAAGTCTTAGTTTTGTTAATGTGTTTATATATGAGTGAATATATATATAATTGCAGCAAAATATTAACAGTGGCTATATGTAGGTGGCATAAGAGTATTTTTCTTCCTCATACTTTTCTGTTTCTCCAGTTTTCTGCAATACGTATATTTATTTTAATATCAGGAAAAAAACTTCAAAAGTTACTTAAAGAAAATCCTATAGCCATTCGTTGTGGCTCATGCCTATAATCCCAGCACTTTGGGAGGCTGAGGCAGGTGGATCATCTGAGACCAGGAGTTCGAGACCAGCCTGGCCAACATGATGAAAGCCTGTCTCTACTAAAAATACAAAAATTAGCTGGGCATGGTGGCACGTGCCTGTAGTCCCCGCTACTCAGAAGGCTGAGGCAGGAAAATCACTTGGACTCACGAGGCAGAGGTTTCAGTGAGCTGAGATCACACCACTGCATTCCAGCCTGGGTGACAGCACAAGACTCTGTCTCAAAAAAAAAAAAAAAAAAAAAAAAAAAAGGAAAAGAAAAGAAAATTCTATATATTCAAATAGCCAGTACATTTTCTGTGCTTGCAATTTGTTAAGCCTGAAAAAAACAGATATATCTTACTCATATGAACATTAGTGTTTTTCTGAGCACAGAAGTCACCAGTTTAGATAAACCATACTGAGGACCTATGTGGAATAGACTCACTAGTTATTGCAGCCCATGACTGGGCTCATTCAAAATTCAAGCAAAACAAAAAGTCTGTGGTTACTAAATGAAACCACCAGGTGCCACTATTGCTTCACACAAAGTAGTAAAATACTTAGCATGACTATTTTTCAGGAAGAATAAATACATGCTTTCACTCTGAATAATATTAAAATCTTCTTAGAAAACATAATAAATTATTATGTTCACTTCATTTCAGTAATTTTATGCACATATCCCAAAGGTCAATTGGGAGAGATGTGAAAGTGTGGTTCCTATCAATTCCTATATATGAACCAATGGGGTTGGAACTGAAAATAAAAAACACATTATAGGAAGAAATAAATTCAGGCCATAAAAGTTGACTTTATCTTCTGAAATGCCCTACTAATAGCAGAATTTTAATGCTACTGTGTACCACTGTTTCTGTGGAAAATGTATTCTTCATTCCAACTCTGAATGGCAGGGGATACATGTCTCTCTACCCTGACTTCCACTTTCAACTGGTAGCTATTTAACTTCTCCATCTATAAAATAGTAATACTAACCTCATAGAGTTGTTTTAACGATTTAATAGCTACATCTCTGTAGTGTGGGTAAAAAAAATTTTTTTTAATAAAAAACTTGAAAAAAGACTGAATAGCATCATAAATAACATAGAGAGGGTTAGACAATTTATTACTTCTCTGTAGGAATAAAAAGCTTCCAACTTCTTTGGCTGCTGAGGCCACATCTAAATAAGACCAGGGAATCTCTCTATCCCAGTGGTAAAAAAGGGTGCTAGGTTGGTGTCTCAGGACATGGGTCTTTTGACTCATGTCTGATTCAGGCTCTGTCACCTATGAGGAGTAAACCATGACAAGTCACTTCATTCACTGGGCCTTCAGGTTTCTCATCTTTGAAATAAGGGGGTTGGATCAAATGGCTCTTAAGTCCCCTCCAGCCAAGAATCCCATGGTTCTATAAAACCTGTACCACAGAGATTGTCATTCTATTTTTGCATAATATACTTTTCTGACTCAACATTTTGCAGGAATTACAATTGGAGGACAAAGGGTTGTAGTAACCATTGGTGCATGCCATGATTCAATCATTTGACATTTATTGAGCTCTTCAATGTACCAGACAAAGTGCTAGACTCTAAGGATATAAAAATGATTATACTACCTCTTCATTCAAGGATTCTACAGTCAAATTAAGAAACAGACACAAATGCATAATTACAATGCAACAGGCTGGAGGTATGGATTGTGGCTTATCTAAGGAGCTATGGCAATACATGATGAGGTAGATACCTCATCTTCAGTATGGCTGTTGTTCAGTCAGTTTCATGGAATTAAGAATAACCGTGAGTGACTTTTCTGATTTGCCTAGAGCTGTTTTCAAGATGAGAAACTTTCTGGGCTATCCTTTTGTGGCTATATAGACTTTTGCCTCCGAGAGACTTAGACAAAGTATTTTCTCAAGTACACATTGCTTGCTAGGTTTTATTACCTATATGAAAATAAGAAGTGAACTCCCTGTAGCACAGCAGAAAGAAGACAGATAATTATTTGTGCTAGACCAGAAGAGATTGTCCTGCATTTAGCATAGATATTCACGCTCAATTTCGGTCCCATTATGTTTCTAAATTCCTTTTCCTCCTTAGTGTTTTTCACTGGCTGTTTCCTCTTCTCTGAAAAATGCTACGCTAAACTTTTCCAAATCTTTCTCAACTGGGTCAGCAACTCTAAACCCCTGCTGCATCTCTGCTCTTGCCAATATACCTTCATTGATCTGAGACTCTCAAACCAGGGCATTAAGGGGTTGGAGAAGAAATGAAAGAGCAAATGCCAACCTGTGCTACCTAGCAATTTCAAAGGCTACCAAATCCCCATCTGCTTACCAGACTTTCAGTAGTAAGCTCCGGCAAATCCTGGATGGTACAGCAAGGATAATCCAGGACTGAGATGCTGTAAGATGCAGAGATAAGGACAGGCTTTAGGTAAATGGCAACAGCAGGAATTGGCTGTATCTGGAAAGGGCAGGAGTTATTTCTCTCCAGCAGCCCCTATCCATTTCCCAAATTGCTTAGTGACCTCAGCTGAAATGAGGGCTCTGGTGCCAGGCAACTCTAGCTCCAGTCTCCTTTCCTGTCATGAGAGGAACCAATGAGTTCTTTGAGGCTGGCACCCATCTGGTAGATGCAAAAGAAAGCAGAAAGAGAGCCTCTTTTCTTAGCACTCCTTGCTTCTTTAAAGGAACATGTAAACTTGAGTGCATTTGTGTTTCTGCATTTAACTGTATGTGTGAATATAACTGCTCCCACAGACACTGCCCAAACCCATCCCACTGGATAACAATCTGAGGATGGGAGGATGAAATGATCCTCCTGTGTCTCTCACCAGATCTTTCTGAAAGCTGGGAGCTCTGGGGAATGATTACAGAAGCCACTCCTAAAGGAAGCTTGAGACAGGGGCAGTTTCCTATAGAAAGGCTAATCTAGTAACTCAAGAATGGTAATAGCTGACAGTGGGGGACTGCAAGCTACAGCTCTGTAGTGAGCCCAGGGAAGCAGGCATGAGTTAGGAGGGGAAATAAGGCATTGCATTATGACAAGGACATAGTTACAAAATAAATGACAGCTGTCTCTTTCCTCTTCTCCCTTCTTCACTGACACAATACAGAATCTGGACTAGCTAATCTCTAATGCCCCTTCTGGTTCTGATGTTCCATGAGGTTTTGAACACCAACCTATCTGAACTAGTGCAGCTGGAAATGGATAAAGGATGTTGGCAAAGCAGTGGCTTTGACGACGACAAGTTCACACTGCTATAATGAACCTGTCTCTACATTTTAAAAGTCAAAACTTCTATACAAGTAAAAGGCAACAATTTATTTGGCCAGAAATGTTTACCTTTGTCCAAGATAACCTGGGGGACCAGGGTAGGAGAGGAGAAGGGTCAGCTTGGGAGAGGGCAGTGTCAAACTACCTGTAATGTTGTTCATCATCTTGATTCACTCTATTGGATTTTCCCAGGGTTGCCAGTTCTGTACTGCTCCATTAGGATGAACATTCTTGGCTGGCTCATCCACCTATCCACCCACCTCCCACTGACAAAGCCCTATGGCAAAGTAGTTGCCGGCGACCAGGAAATGGGGGTGGGAAATCAAAGATAGATTTGTTCCATTCTCTTAGTGAATTGAAATCTAGCCTAAGGGGGCATAAAATTAATTTACAAGTATCTAGAACATCTAGATTGTTAAGAGCCATGAGAAAATTCTGCAATAATGAGCTGTGATCTCCAAGTTCTCAGAGATCATTCAAAAGTAAAACTTACAGATGGTGCATAAGAGGATCATCTTGTTCAGGCCAACCTTAGCAAAAGGTGTAGTCTGTTGCTACCACTCTTCCAACTCCAAACTGAACCAAATGGACATCTATTGAATTGTCTGTACCTCCCATTCTAGGTCCATGGGTGCAGAAGGAACATTCAATTTCTGTATACCACTCCCCTAGCCACAGTTGATCTAGGAGTGAACCTCTAACCCAGGGAATCTGGAATAGGGATTGAAGAGTCAATTCAGTCTCTGAGGTGGGGCATGTTTAGCTCATATAGACGTATTTCACTATGCGGCCTGAGAAGCAAACAATGCAGACTGATAAATTTGTCAGTGAGAGAGGAAACTGGAGTGGAAATACAGAGGCCTGGTGTCTTACAGATAGACGTGAAAGGCTTTCTGGGCTCCCCACACTACAGGCCAACCCTGAGGTCCAGAGCTGCATTGCTGTCCTAGGTTCCTCAGGATGACACGTCATTTCATTCTGACAAAGTCGCTATTCTGCATGAGTGTAGTCCAGCTAGTTTTGGTTACTTTTAACCAAGAGTGTTGACTGATACACAGAGGTGCCTGCATGCAGTTGTGGCCCTGACACAGCCTGACCTGTACTTTCATTTTCCCTGGTAACTCAAGTAGCACATCTGAAGTGCCAGTTTTAAAGGGGCCAGTGCACAGGTCTCCGTATTGTTAGGAAAAACCCATCCTCCAATGCTTACCCCCAAGGGAAAGTGTTTAAAGCAATCTTACATATACCAATATTAACTAATGCTTATAAAAGTTCTATGATATAGTCAGAAAAGCTATCCTTATTTTAAAGATGAAAATACTGTGGTTCAGAGAAACAGTTTCTTGCTTGAGATTACATAACTAGTAAGTGGCAGATCCAGGTCACGAATCCAGGTCTCATGACTTCAGGCTCCATAGGGTGTGTGTGTGTTTTAAGCTACATATAAGTAGGCTCCTTCTCCATGGTGGAATTTCAGGCAGTACTGACAAACTAGTGTGGCAATATCTCTAGTCACCCCAAGTATGAGATTAGCCCTCTTACTTCTACTTTAGGAATTTTGCCTCTGGTAAACTCTACTGATTAACATATTTCCAGTTCTTGTGAAAGTAGAATATTAAGGAACAAGGATCTACTCTGTAATCCCCAAGTCCCTGCTTGGCTGGAGGAATGGAAAGCAATTTGTATTCACAGGGAAGCCTGTGTTCTGATCCTGCCTCTGATGCTTACTTAAGGGGTCTCACCAGCATGTTAATTTTGTTAATATCTCTGAATTTGTTTCCTAATTGGAAAAATGAGAATAAAACTTATAACAACTCTTAGCATTGCTGAGGAGATTAAATAATGAATGTGAAATACCTTATTTTTTTAAACTACAAATTGATGTACCTCAGTAAATTCGATTATGTAACTTCAGTTACAAATTTTGTATAATACATTACAGTTTATGAAACAGTATAACTGTTCCAATTGCTCCAACTTATGATTTATACTAAAATAACGCCTGGCCAGACAAGCAGGTTGTTTCACAAAAAACAACCCCTGGATCCACCTGACACAGAGCTAAAAATTCATCATTGCCACTTCATTTCTTTAAGTCATGACATTTTTCAGTGTTTAAAACTATTAAAATATAAATACTTCCCTAAAGAAGTAAAACTATACACTCCATCAGCTAACACTTCAAGGAAATTAAATTTAACAGTGACAGCTCTAAGACAGGAGGGACTAGGGACACCAGGAAAACTGAAAGGCTCCGAGATGATGTAATTTTCTCAACCACCCCAAAATAGCCCCTTGAAATAAACCTGTCCAGAGTTCATACCTGTTTTTGGCAGTGATGTATGACAAGATATTTTGATTGAAGAACTTCAGGATCAAGGGGATGCAGTTGGCAAATACCAAATGTTGCGATACATATTCAAACTGAATTAAAAATCAAAGCAGAAAGGGCTGCTTATTTGGAGGAGAATGGAAAGTATGTTTGAAAAAAAGAGAGGAAATACAAATCTAATATCCATTCCTGAGAATATCTACTATCCACTTGTGTTATCAGTCTTCCTGTCTGGGAAATGGGAAGAATCATCTTCAGCCAGCCCATCCTACATGGAGGGGGATAATCTGCAGTATATGTCACAAGCACAAAACAAAGAAGCCAGAAAATAAAATCCCACTCCAATACATAGAAAGAATTGCTGTGAGATTTGTTCCTAAGCCCAACAGGAAAGGAAGGCTCCCCGAGGGAGTCGTTTTCCATGCCAAACCTCTGGCTCATAATGTTTCAACTGTGATTGATATAGCAGGGACAGCTGCAGCTTACTCTTGGCAACTGCTGGCATCACTCAGTCAGGATGGTGACAGCACATAATAACCAAATGGACCACTGGGCTCCAGCTCCAGTATGTCTGGTGTACCATATTATCCTTAGTATTTAGAATATCAGTAAGTATACTGGCCGCTTGGAGTATGGGGGAAAGGGGGAAAGAATATTAGTAAATGTTTTAATAAATGAATGAACAAGAGCCCTTCAGCCAACAGATACTGCACTGAGAAGTCTAAGGTGTCTTTGATAGGCTTAATACCAGAATGTGGAGACTCCATTCTGCTCTCCCAAATCCAGATGTGGTCTGTATATAGGACAACCCAGTGGGACAGGTGGCCATAAGAGCAGTGTCATGGGGGTTATGTTACCCATGATACACTAAGGAGTGTCAAACACAGTTTATCTCCAGATCCAGAACCTAGTATTCTAGTATAGAAATGGGGTTGAAAAAGCAGAGAACTATGGTGTTTTAAATCCTCAGCTCTCTGATCACCAACAAGTAGCCAAGCAGCAAGCTAAGCTGCCTAATGGCCCTGGGTATGTAGTTAGAGCAGTGGAGTCAGTTTATGCCAAGACTACTTCTCTCTTCTGTTCAAAATTTTCTCCCTGGAAGGTTATTTATTTTATTTGTAAAATCCAGGGTATTTTCCAAAGCCCCAGACAAAAGAGCCAACACATATCCAGTATCATCTGATGGAAAACTTTTTTCAGTTTGAGATGTGCCTGTGGCCCTTCAGGATTCACTGACACACTGGCATGGCCCATCAAGCCATCCACCTGTCTGGCTGTGAATCCACATACTTCCCACCAAGAAAAGCAGAAGTAAACACACATCTACAGTTCTCTGTTCTCTTTCCACTAGAAACACTATCTCCTACCTACCACTACTCCTCCCAGCCCTGCTGCTGCTCAGCAAACACTGGCAAAAGTGGGAGCACTCAGGGCAATGAAACATACCCAAAGATGTCTTCGAATGTATGAAAGTGGAAAAATACCCTGGTTGATAGGGCCATGGACATAGACCCTACAGAAGCCTCTCTGTACTCTGAGGACCTGCTCTTCTACCAGCAAGCTTGATTCTGACTTCTTAGGAGGAAAATGGGGTAGAGCCTCTGGGCAAAAATGAGAAGCATTCCTTTTTTCCCTGTGGTCTCCTCACAGACAGGAGCATCCATTTGCTGTCCCCATCTTGTCCCTATATCTTGGCAATGCCCATGAAACCAAGTCCAAACTCCTTAGCATGGCAAACAATGTTTTACGGGAAAGCAGCTTCTTAATTTTTCTTAGCTTCGATTTCATCATGTATAAAAGAGGTATTAAATAAGACTACTTCATAGGGTGGAGATAATTAAATGAGGGCCTAGACAAACTTAACAGGGTGCTGGGCACAGGATAGGTGCCCAGTAATTGTGTGTTAGCATATAGATTATGATTTGCTCCTTGCCGATTCCTCCAGCTTCCTGTGTCACCAGACCATGCCCATCTTTCCCCGCCCCAGGCAGAACTCCAGCAACATTTAATTACGGTTTTTAAAGGTACTTTGCTCTCTCTCTTCCCCCTCTGGACTTTTGCATATTAGCTTTTCTGCTTGAAATGCCTCCTGTCCTCCTTCCCTAACAATTCCCATATCCTGGCTAACATCTGTTTTTTTAGGACTCAGGTTAGGAGTCATTTCTTCTCCACCTCAAGCTGGATTAGATGTTTCCATAGCAACCAGTGCTTATCAGTATCAGTGCACTTATCTCTCTATAATTGGCTACTTATATATCTGTATCCTTTATAAGGTTTCAAGGCCCTGAAGAGCCAGAACTGTGCCCTATTCTCAGAATTATATCTCAAATGTTGGAAAAGTGCTTCACATATAGAAAACTACGGTCAACATACTCCCCCCACCCCCCCATTTTTGTGAAATGCTTACATTCTCTCTTGCATTGTTTAAAAACTGGCTGGGCATATTCCTGAGAAGCTAGAGATTCCTACCCACAACTCTGGGATAACTTACAAGGGACACAGACATCTGCACCTTTCTAGGACAGTTCCCACTCCATAACCCTACCTCAAGCTCATGCAATGGGTGGCTGGATTCCCTGAGAGAGGACAAAGAAAAGGCTGAAAGATGCTCATCAGGATTAAAAGGGACTTTGCATCCTTCCTTTGAGAGATAGGGCCTGGCAAACACCCAAGACCTGTGGAGAAGTGCTCCTAGCTGCTCACCTGGTAGATATGGTTGAGTTTGAAGTGTTTGAGGAGTAGCAGAAGCAGGGTAGAGATACTCTTTACAATAATCTCCTTGTGCCTGTTCACATCGATGCCCAGCTTCATGCTCTGGAGAACAGTGATGCTACAATGGGGAGAGAAGGTATTAGTGCAGAGAGTGGCCTTAAAGGGAGCCCTGTAGGGATCCAGGTATTTGGGTCTGATACAATATACACAAGAGAGCCAGAACTTGGGAAACTTGAACTTCTGTGCCAGGGAAACCTCCAGAGTTCCCACTTATGAGCCTATCTGAAGAAATGCTCCACTGATCTCTTTGTTTCCGTCTCTCTTTTGGCAAGCTCATCCCTTGGCAATGTTCACCCAAATACCTGGGCAGCCAGTCGCTGGCACTGGTGTCACCCTCCAGATCCAGAGTTCTGAGCTAAAAAGAGCCAAGCAGAAAGCCCTGTACGGGAAAGGGGGTACTGGTGGGCAGAGACGGGGAGATCTCTTTGGAGACAATCTCTGTAAGTGTTAACAAGGTGAGTGGGGACTAGAGAGAGCCTGCAGATAAGACAGCTAGTATCCAGCAGCTGCCCCCGTTGAAGCACTCACGGCATCTCCTCAGGTAGGACATCTGCCAGGATATTGATAGAGTCTGTCTTAGCCTTAGAGGTGGGAGCTGCAGCCAGCAGAATCTTAAGCAGAGCGATCTGAGAAGTAGAAAATAAAGAAATTTACCACTGTCAAACCCACTCAGCAAGGAAGTGATTCTTCCACACCCTAACCGCCCTATAAAAAGTGTTTTAAAGCCATTCTGTAAGTTCTTCCCTCAATGACCATATCTCCCCAGCATCCAGAAAAGCAAACAGGTGCCCAGTCCTGACAGGCCTGCCTGTGAGGCTAGGGAGAAAGCCAGAGGGAGTGCATTGGCTGTTATGCTTCAAGACTGTTCTTTCCAGGGCCTGGCATGGTGGCTGATGTCTGTAATCCCAGCACTTTTGGAGGCCGAGACAGGCAGATCACTTGAGGTTGGAAGTTCAAGATCAGCCTGGCCAACATGGTAAAACTCCATCTCTACTAAAAATACAAAAACTAGCTGGCGTGGTGGCATGTGCCTGTAATCCCAGCTATTCGGGAGGCTGAGGCAGGAGAATCACTTGAACCTGGGAGGTGGAGGTTGCAGTGGGCCAAGATCGTGCCACTGCACTCCAGCCTGGGCGACAGAGTGAGACTCCACTTCAAAAAAAAAAAAAAGACTGTTCTTTTCAAAGGGGAAGATGGAAGGAACAGAGTGGGAGGGACAGTGTGTAGAAATAAGGTGGGCGGCATAAACCCAACTTCTCCCACTCTTTTCTTTCCTCTAACCTGAACCATTGGCATCTTCCCCACTCCCAGCCTGAGGCTATCTAGGACATGACAGACCACAGCAGATCTCAGAGGGACTACAGTACTTATCTCGGAGGAGGGTCCCCAGTGTATCCTGTAGAGACCCCAACTTATTCCCCACCCTTCCCAAAGAAGGACTAGGGAGAACAGCACCATCAGAGGAGCACTGAGGAAAGCTCAGAATTTGCATGTGTCAGAGAATGCCTTGCCAAAGGGGCAAAGGCTCAGGAAACAAGCTCAAGTGTTGGACAGGTCCACTTGAAATGGTTTTTAGCTGTCTGTTCCTTGCAGCAGAGAAGGGCAGCTCTGGCCTAGCCATCTCCTTACCATATACTGCGGAAGGCTGTACAGCATTCCCTGGTAGAGGATTTCACATGGCGTCTCTGGTACCACCTCTTCCCCCTATGGCAAGAAATACATGGTTTGGCAATGCCACTTTCCAGGTGACCAAAGGCTTTTTTTTCTTGGTTGTGAGGGGTGACCTGAAAAGAGCACTAAGCTGGGAGTCAGATCTAGGTTTCTACCCTAGCTGTGTTAATGACTCACTGTGTGACCTTGGTTAAGTCACATTCCTTTTCTGAGTCCTAGTTTTCTCTTTAATAGGACCATCAGGTTGGCCTGGATGACCTTTCAGTACCTGGGATACTGGAACAGATGCTACAGAAGCACTTCCTATGGTGTGGATCTGAGGCTGAAAACTCTAGAACGTTCTGTAAGCCTGGAAGGAGAGGTAGGTGGCTCAATAGTGTGGGTTTAAAAGGAAGTTGGGTAACCTATGGACTGGAGAAACAGGAAGGAATATTAGCAAAGAAGCTTTTAAGTGGATGGAAATGATTTTCTTCCCCTCTCCATTAGCCCCTACATCACTTTCTCCTTTCTGACCAGCTCCCTCATATACAACTATCTCTGTCCTGTTGATGACATTAACTAAGCCTTTTATCAGAGTGGGGAGGCTGGGGTCTCAGGGACCCAATAAGCTGCTCAGGCCACTGTCATCTTTGACCAATGCAGTTCCCTTCCTCCTACAAGGTCCCTCTATTACAGGGCAAGGGGCCACTGCCATGAGACCCTGAGGCAGGGAAGAATAACCCGCCTCCCTCTGTCCCACACAACTAATCTGCTGCTTAAATGGACGTAAGTCCTAAATGGACATTCAACAGAGCCTGGCAATCCTGGCATGTTTGCCTTCCTGCTCTCCAAAAGGCTGATTTCATACCATCTTCTCTCTCCTCAAACCAACTCCTTTGCCCACCATCCCTAAACAGTTGCTGACCCTGCCTCACGCTTCATGGAGAAAACAGAAGCAATCAGACAGGCACACACTCATCTTCTCAACACCAAATCTACCAAGAGTCTTCTTCCTTCCTTCTTGACATGAAGGATGAACCGCCTGTGCTTCTAACAAAGGCCAGTCTCCTACTTGTGCTCAGGATCCCACACCCATTTGCTTTGTTGAATGCCTCAGTCCTGCAATTATCCCCTCTCTTGGATCACTTATTTTAGGAAACAAAAAATGCTCTAGTATCTCTCAGCTATAAAACATCCTCCCCTTGACCTCACATTTTCCTTCAGCTACCATCCACTTTCTCTCCTCTTCACAAAACTTTTATATCATCTACCTCCTTTTTTGACATTCCCTTCAATACACTCCAATTAGGCTTTCAGTCCCACTACTTCACTTAGAGTTGTTCTTATCAAGGTCACTATCTTCATGTTGCCAAATCCAATGGGCACCTTGGTTCTTACCATAATGCCACTTATTAGTAGCATTTTACCCAGCAGATCACTCCTTTTTTCTTGAAAGACTTTCTTAGCTTTTATGATGATATCATAATCTCCTGGATTTCCAGCCACTTCACTGTCTTTCATATTCTTCTGGCTCCTTTCCTGACACATCCCCCCCTCAACATACTGGTGTGCCCCAGGGCTTTGTCCTGCCTTCCATTCTCTTCTTTGTCTCTACTCCCTCCCTGGGTTATCTCAGCCAGTTCTACGGCCTTTAACACTGCCTATAAGTGTTACAAACAACTCCCGAATTTATTTCTCAAAGTCAGCCCTCTCTGTAGAATTCTAGACTTTATTTCCAATTGCCTGCAGCTCCACATGGGTATCTAATGGGCATCTAAAACTTAGTATGACCAAAACAGAACTCTTGATATTCCCCCCACATCCTGGCAAATGGTACTTATTCTTGATTCCTTTCTTTGCCTCTCTATCCACATCCAAATGCACTGCAAGTCTTGTCAGCTACATCTCCAAATCCAGGTCGGCATCATCTCTCACCTTGACTATTTCAAGGGTTTTCTAACTAATCTCCGTAGAGTGCGTCTATGCTTTTCTGGTCCAATCTTTACACAGAAGCTAATGTTTTTAGAAACATAAATCAGATCATATCACTCCCCTGCTTCAAATCTCCAAAGGCTGCCTTCCCTTTGACTGCGAGTCAACTTCAAGCTCTCTACCTTTGCTTACAGGTCCTCGGCAAAGTGGCCTCAGGCCACCTCTCTGACTCCATCTCTAGGATCCCAGCCCTCGGCCCTGTGCTCTAGCCACAACAGCCTTCCTTCACTACCTCTGACACTCTTAAGCCTGCTTTCCCCTTGCTAAGGCTGTTCTCTCTGTTTGGAATGCTCTTTCCTCTGATGCTCCTATGGCTGGATCCCTGTCCCTCAGATCTTGGCTTAAATGTCACCTTCTCAGAGGTCTACCTACTCCAACTGCCCAATCTTAAGTAGTCTACTGATGCTTCTTTCATGTCATCCTGTTTAAATTTTCTTCATTGTATTTACCATTCTCTGATAGTTTGGTTTACTTAACTTTTTATTTTTTATCTTTCTTCCCCAACTTCAATATATCATGAAAGTAGGGACCTTGTCTTGCCTGGAACACAGTTACAGCCTAATATGCTGAATGAATGCATGCACACATGCTCTGTGACAACACTGAAGACAGGTTTTCTTCTACTCTCCTCCTGTGTAGGGCTTCCTTGGCTCACCAAAGACATAGGGCACTTCTCCAGCTCCTCTTCATTCTTGATCTGCACATCTGCGATGGAGATATACTTGTGCTGACAAAGATAAGAAGACATCAACAAGGGCTGAGGGCCTCATTCACATGTGTACCAGTCTCTTACTTAAATTCCCCAAAAGCAAGGAAATGTTCTGCTTATGGGTTTGTTACCCCACATAGACATGAACTCTTTCAAGGAAGGAGTCTTAATCACCTCTGCATCATCAGCACCAGTCAAAGTGCTTTGTGCACAGTGTTTTTTTAAAATTCTGTTTCTACATTTGCTGAAGAGCAGCAAATACCTAAGCATTTATCTTCAAATAAAGTGCAAGGGGAAGTCAGAAACAGGCCCCTGCCCCTGGACCACTGCCCTGAGAATTTTGATGCGTGTGCACGTATGCATGGAGTGATGACTCCATGCATACAATGGATATAGAGCAGGCTCCTACTCAATCCTGGGCCTTTGGAAGTTAGTAGACTTATGGACAGAGAGAAGTGAAAGAAAAAGAAGCAAGGAATGGGAAGAGAGAGAGAAGAATGGGAAGAGGAAAAAGAAATGAGAGGAAGAAAGGAGAATTTTAAAATCTACCTGAATATAGGAAACTGAGTAAGTAAAGAGAGACCTAATTTTTCCTATTTGGCCAAAGGACTGCAGGAGGAATGCAGAAGGTCCAGAAAGAGTCTGGTATAAAAGCCCCACCCAGTATCCAGGAGCCTGGTAATCTGACCTGCTTTGATGGCTCCCTATCCCTGAAGACTGAGAGCCCACCCCAGTCACCTGCTTTAGGGTCTTCACACTCTCATGGATGGGCCTGGGTAATCCAACCAATGTATCTGTGTCCCTGTAAAAGGCCAGACATACCAGATCATAAGCTTCCAAAGTACGAGAACTACTGATACCCCAATACCCCCCTAGAGTCAACAGACCATGCTACTTTCAACAACATCTACCCCCAGTACCCTAGACCTTCCTCTGCAAGCTCGTAGGTCCCACATCAGTGCTTCAGGACACAAAAATAATAATGGTACACAGAAATGTTTCTGGAAATCAGGAGATTTTTATAGTCTTTTGGGTACTCACTTGGTGTAGGAGTGGTAGGTTCCTACTTAAAAGGGTATATAGCCCAATGACACCTTGACTATGAAACTCCACTAATAAGGACTCAATTTTCAAGAGGCCAGTGGGAAGGATTCATGAGGCTGGGGAATGGGGGAAGACTGGATCCGTTCTGACCATGTCTCTTGTTCACAGAATTTTAGCCCATTAGAGCAGGAAGGGCCCACAGAAACCATCTAACCCAACAACCTCAGGAAAAAATTAAGCCCGAAAGAGAAATGACTTGTTGCTCAAAGTCCTACAGTTGGCTAAAAACACAAAAGTTCTTTGAGGAAAAGTGGAAGAAACTCAAGGAAAAAAGAAATCCATAGAAAGAACCCAAAGTAGTCACTGGGAGTTGTCCATGGCCTAGGGGCTCTAGGTTACATTATGACCACCAGGCACCATCCCTCATTCCAAGCTACCTGCTCCTCTGGCCCCCTAGGAACCACTCTGTAGCCAGTTCCAGCCATTCAGTCACTTACTGCCCCAGGGTGAATCCGATGAACTTGTTCCTGCTCATCTCCAAGAAGTGCTCAATGTCCTTCTGTCTGAGAGGATGGTGGAAAGACCAATCCCAGAGAAGGGAAGAAAAGCAAACTTTGAGAGAGAAAAACTTTCCGGGCTCCTATCCCTCCAATCAGAGGACTGGAGCAGTGGAAAAAGGCAGCAATCAACAGAAGGAATTTCAAACCCAGGAGTTCTGACTGCCAGACCAACTTAACGAGCCTTGAATACATAGACTACCCCATCTTGGGCCTTTGGAGACTGAAACCCCGAAGCATAGGGGTCCCTGATGCTATCAAACCTACCTGACCTTTGGGGCCCAGGGCAGGCCCTTGGGAAAAGCCACCCGCTCAGCAGAGAGGGGTGCCTGTGAGGGTGGAGGTGGCACCAGAGGGTCCTGCTCTAGCAGGTCTAGCTCTCCATCCAAGGTTCGTTCTCCATCACCAGCAGACTCCTCTTCCTCCTCTGTGGCGGGCTCCTCAGTCTTGAAGAGATCCCTTTCATTGTAGATGTCCAGGCTGTCCTGCTTAGTGAGGAGTTGCTGGAGGGGAAAGAAGGGAGGGTAGGCATGCAGAGATCTCACTCTGGGCATCCTTGTCTGAGGCCACCCCATATCCACAGGCCTCCACATTTCAGGGAACATGGAATCTGAACACAGCCCTTGCGAAAACATCCAATTCCCCACCTTAACCTACTGTCCCCACCCGGCCCAATAACAGGACAAGAAGTTCTCAGGTAACCCTGCCATTAGCCAGGGAACATAGCATAGATAATCCCAAAGTCACAATTACTTAGCTTTCAGAAAGCAGTGATGCCTTTTTTTGCCAGCACTTTCCTTCCTAATTATGCTCTGCTTAGGTGAACATTCAATTAGTTTGCCTTCTGTGAGCATACACCAGCTGGCTGACTGAGGAAGAGGAGGACAGAAGCTTGCTGCTAGGCAGAGGGAAGCAAGTTTGGAATTTTAAATCTTGTGACAAAGAAAAAAAGATTGGACAGAAATAGGCCAAAAAGTTAACAGTGACTGTCTCTGGTTGTTAAGATTGTGGGTGATTTTTCTTTTCTCCCTTCATCACATTTTTATATTTGTTCCAAATTTTCTACAATGAGTAAGCATTACTTTATAAAACAAAAATAAAGTTAAAAAATTTTATTGCAGATAATGGAGACTGGATTACTGAGCACTACTATCTAGCCCTGTTGATAAACTGAAGTGGGTCAGGCAGGGGAGTTTGTAAGAACATAGTCAGATCTCAGTATAACTTTTCATTCTGACCTTTTCAGGACAGCAGACTATAGTCATGTGCTGCACAACGATGCTTCAGTCAACAATGGACTGCATATGTAATTGTGGACCCATAAGATTATAATACTGTATTTTTATTGGCCTTTTCTAGGTTGAGATACACAAACACCATTGGGTTACAATTGCATATGGTGTTCGGTATAGTAACCTGCTGTACAGGTTTGTAGTCTAGGAACAATAGGCTATATGCCTAGGTGTGCAGTAGGCTATACCATCTGGGTTTGTGTAAGTACACTCTATGATGTTTGCTCAGTGACAAAATTGCATAATGACACATTTTTCAGATTGTATCCCTGTCGTTTAGTGTCACATGGTTATATACATAGACCCCTACCCAGTCATCTCTTAAATGTAAGCCTTTGGTTCCAGGGCCAGTTAAGAGTGTGGCTGGCTGACAGTAAAACTTCCTGGTGCTTCAAAATAGTAAAATGCCTTACCCCAGAAAAATGGATTTGCTTGGAGACCTGTTCCGGTATCCTGGGTCCCTATCCCCAGGATTATACCCTTAATTGTTATTCAGAATGTAAGGAACTCCAGGCACTGAGGTCCAGGCCAATGATTCTGTAGCAAGACATGGCTATATATGACATGATATCACAGTGTCACATCACAACAGCGCAGGGGGCTGTCAGGGCTGGGGGACAGAGGCCAAACTAGAGACCCTAAGATTTCAGGTTGGTCATAGGGCCAACCTGGGCAGGATGAGCCGGGTCATTTACTGCTTTTTCCTACCACACCCAGAGTAACTTAGAATCTTGATTTTTGGCCAGTCGGTGTCCCAATACCATTGTCTGCTTCAGTCCATACCCTTCGAGAGCCACGGCGGCCTCGCAGCTTGGAGGGTGGGGGTGCCAGCTGAGACTCTCCCAGGTCAAGAGTGTAAGAGGGCGGGGAGGCAGCACGCATGCTCTTCACCACCTGGATACTGTCTTCAGCCAGTGGAGGCAGGCCCAATTCTGCCCGCTTCTGTACTTTGAGAGTCTGCAGATGCTCAAATCCACCGAGGGTAAACTAAGGAAGAAACAGGAAAGGGGCAGAGAGAGAGGAAGGAAGGGAAGTAAGAGAGAGCCAAGGTCAGGGAAACATGGATGAAAAGAAAGGGCCACAACCTCCAGTCCCTTCAGACCTTTTCCTTAATAAGGAGGTAGTAAAACATAAAGAGGCAAATATGATTACCATCCCCACGGCAACTGAGGAGCTCAGGGGTCAGGATAAGGCATTATTTACTGCCCCAGTATGGGAAATATCACAGAATTTAGGAAAGGAATTCCTGCGGGCCTCCTCAAAAAAAAAAAAAAAGAAAAAAAAGAAACTATCGACTTTTTTAAGGAACACCATCCAGGTGCTATAAACCCCCAGAGTCACTCAATTTCCTCTGCAGTCAAGAGGCAGTTCCCCCTATTAGGCCTGCCTTGTGAGATGGGAGCCAAAAATGAAGGATCAGGTTGAATAACTAGTAACAGAAATGTAACCACATATTTATAAGAACTTCATTATTTTTTAAAAAGCAAATCCTGGCCAGGCACAATGGCTCATGCCTGTAATCCCAACATTTTGGGAAGCCAAGGTGAAAGGATTGCTTGAGACCAGGAGTTCAAGACCAGCCCAGGCAACACAGGGAGGCCTGTCTGTAAGAAAAAATTATTTTTATTAAAAAAAAAATACAAAACCTCTGTTTATCTGGAGGGAGGGCAGGCACTCACCCCAACCTTTTACAGCTAGAGAAATTGAGGCACAGAGAGTTGCCCAAAGTTTCTCAGTATCAGCAAAGCCCAGATCTACCAACTTTCAACCAGTGTTCTCTCCATCAAACATTGGCTTTAATAAGAGAAGGTACCACTGACATCCCCAATTTATGGAGTGGCATCTCCCATCCATCCAATAGAAACATGAAACCCATTCTAACATAGAACATCTGATGTCTCTAGGACAGCCTTGTTGCCCCTCCATATTAGCAGTTGGCTAAGGGCTGCCTGTTCTGCTCCCTGGATCCAGCCTCCTGGAATGAGACTAGAAGAAACTGAGGTGGCATAGGGCATTGCTGATCTGATAATGTGGGAGTGGGGAGAATTACTCACCATGACCACCTTCCAGAGCAGGAGCAGGACCTTCTTTATGGGGAAGTGAGGAGCCAGGCCACTGCAGAACTTGGTAACCATGGAGAAGAGTAAAAGGGCAAAAGGCTCCTCATTATGCATGGAGAAGCCTAGGGGTGAGGAGAGAGGGGAGTGAGAAAGTGAGGATGAGGCAGCTAAAACCTTTTTCATGTAACCCTGATTCTGGACACACACAGGAAGGCACTCACCTCCCCTGAAGAATACCAGAGTACTTGGTCCTGAGAAGGAGGCTTAGCCCCCAGAAGGAAGCCCCTCAAGGGCAGGAAGGGACGCCATGGAATTAAAATGGCATAGGCCCCAGAGCTTAGGGTGACGCTTTGGGGTTGGATGCCAAACTAGAAGTAACAATAATGAAGACATTGCTTTCTGGCTAAAGGACTCAATGTCATTCACTTTTCCACATCAATAAATATATTTTTAAAATCCCATAGTCCTTCATATCCTATCCCTGTCAGATGACAACACCAACTTACATTTGAACAGAACTCAGTTTTCAAGGTGATTCAACTCATTTTTTCATGTGGGACTCGTGATAGAGTGGGAGAGGAATGGCTATCCCCACTTATAACCAAGGAAACCAAGGCATAGAGAAGTTACATGGCTGGTCTTAGCTCATAGATACAGGGCGGCAATCAAGCCCAGCCCTTGTGCCTGCCATGCAGTATCTGTGTCCTAAAAGAAAGGACATTAATTTTAAAAAAGAAAACAAAAGAAAAAACGACTGTCTGCCTCTCCTAGGCAGATGCTCTGCTTCCCCTCTCCCATTAGCACCCCATCCACACCTTCCTCAAGTGCCATTTCTTACTTAATTCAGTGCGGAAGGTCTCCCGGGCTGTTCTCCACCCACAGGGGTCTGTCTCTCGCTCCAGGCGAATATTTTCCACCATTAGGTACATAACACTCAGCAGCACCCTGGGGTTACAGAAGAGTCACAAGAGGTTCCCAAGGCAATTCCCAGCCCATAGTCACAGACCTCAGAGATGGTCTCTGTGGGAAGCCCAACCCAGTGAGATTAGCTACAGGGCAACTTCCTAATGGTCTGAGTCATCTGGGATTTGGGGAAAAGGTAACCCAGGTGCTAATCATCTGCCCTGTTCCAAGCCCATAGTTAGCCCCACTCACCTGAGCTCTGTGCTATCAGCTATGGAGACAGCTGGTTTCCGAAGGGCACTGCTACAGGCCTGGCTGTTGCTGCCAGGGGAGGAGAAAAAGAACAGGAATGCATAAGACTTCTTTTCTCTCTGTGCTCTTACTTATCACTCACACAAATATGAGTGCTTGCCATTCCCTGGCTAGGCAGCCACTAATGAAACTGGTCTAGAGTAAAGGAGCTGACAGAATTCCCCTGCCACCTCAGCAAACTCTCATCTATGGTGAAGACAAGGCAAGGGCAGGATCTGTGGTATCCACTCCTCTTGCATTCCCCACTATGCTTAGAACTGTGCTGGACATAAAACAGATGCTAAGAAACACCTGATGAATAATAAGCAGATTGCACCCTATCTCAAACTCCTGGGTGATGGGCATGAGACAAAACAAGGGGTCACTGTAGTGGTAGCAGCAAATAAGGCCACCTCTAGAACTATAGCCCATGAGGGAAAGAATTGGGCACAATGACAGGAATTGATTTCCTGTCTTTCTTGGGTCATGCATTCAAAATAGTTTCCCTCTTGAATTCCAGAGTTAGGCTGAGCTAAGAAAGTCCTTGAATAAAAAGAGAACCCACTCAGGATAGGCCCCTGAAGCCCAGGATTAAAGCTGTAAGTGAGGCAGAAGCTGCAGATGTATCCAACCTCAGGGAGGGAGAACAGAATATCAGAGAACATGGCTGGATGGAGGGGAACTGTCAATGAGCTTTGGGCTGAGGTGTGAGTAGACCCAGTTCCTCACAGGGGGTCTCTATAGTGAGGGAAGCAGCATAGAACATGAGGCCCCTTTAAGGAATGGGGGTTATGTAGGCCAGCCCTTCCCCTAAGGCTTCTCACTCAATTTCCATGTGGAGTAGCTCCAGGAAGGTGGAGAAGGTCCCCATCTGATACAGCAGGAAGCAGTTGTACCTGGACCAGTGTAGCACATCGACCTCTGAATCACATTCCCCAAAAGTACCTAAAGGACCAGACAGTTGTTACAGGGGTTGAGGGGTGGCAGTATCCCAGTTCTTTCCACCCTGCCCCATGATCTTAAGATTTTCCTATAATACTCTGCCTAATAATTAGGCTGACATAGGTATGACAGGGGCCCCAAGAACTTCCTGGAATGAGTCAGGGGAGAGGAGAGGTAGTCTCCAGGGTTAGGTCCAATGTGCTCATCAATGGCCTATCGTCTTAAGGGTGAGTTCTCCCAGAAGCAGATCCTGAGGTAAGTAAGGATTCCAGTGCAAGTAGCTTATTTGGGAATCATTCCCAGGAATCATCAGTAGAGATAGGGAAGAAAAGGAAGCCCAAAGAGTTCACTCAGGGGATAATTTGGAAACAGTATAAAACACACAACTCACAGTTATTCTATCCAAGAGGGGTGAGACAGTCAGGCTATCCATCCACTAACTCCTGTTAGTCATTGGATGAGGGTGCTAAACTAAAGGAGCACACTGATTCCCTACACTTCCTGGATGCCCTGTATGGGCTGCAGAGAAGGCCCTTGAGCAGAAGCTGAGCATGGTGGCACATGCCTATAATCCTAGCTACTTAGGAGGCTGGAGCAGGAGGATAGCTCGAGCCTATGAGTTCAAGACCAGCCAGGGAAACACAGTGAGACTTTCTTTTAAAAAACTTAGATAAATAAAGTCCTTGGGCAAACATATGAAGGTACTGGCAGTTGGAAGTTGGCCAGAGCACCAGACCCAAGAGATACAGGAGGGCACAGTCCTATTTGCTAGTCTTCTCTTCACCTAATGTCCACCCTTTCCCCTCTTCATTTATTATTTTTTTATTTTACAATTTTTTTTTTAGCTCCCAACTGGTTGGTTCTGTTAACACGCCTTATATTTATGATCGTAGGCTTATTTTCACTCCAGCTAGGCTATCTCATTTCCCTTTCCAACACCTGGCTAACAGGTTTCTTCTGAGCAGCTTTCCCCAATTACTCTATTTAGTTCTGATCATCTCCAAATTACTCACAGCATCCACTCCCGCAGTTATGTTGGCTTGAACTTTCAAAATGCCAATGAGAAACAATGCAAGGGGTCCATGTGTATCTGTGACACTCTCCTATTTCTCCTCAGTTTTGGGGCCAGGCCACAGTTGATGTCTTGTCTCCATGATCAGCTGGTGGTACATATCAGCTCTGGCCACACCTCTTGCTAGTATTCACATATGATTATAGTACAGGGTAGGGAAAAGAAGAACCCTATAAAAAATTCTGACATACCTGGTAAGATAAAGGCAGATCCCGAGGGATCTAGAACAGCACTCAACACTATCTCATCTTCCTCATAAGCACAGGTTACTCCTAGCACATGACAAGATCTGTCCTTGAGAGGCAAGAAACCTTGCTTTCCCAGCACAGCCTGCGTCATCTCAGTCCTGATAATGCCCACTTCCCTCTCAAGCCTCCACCCCTCTAAAGCTAGCAAGGGTGGTCACTCACCTTGGGCCAGGTAGAGAACAGCCCGGGCCACCTTCAGCCGCCGTTCCCTACTGACCACCTCTAGCCGGTCCAAGAGTCCCATTATATAGGCCTTTTGGGCATCTTCTTCCAACTCCAGCCATTCCTTGCCCTGCACTGGGAATAAAAGGCCATATACATCCAGTGTCAGCTATTGCCACCCTTCCTGGAAAGGCTCCTCATAGCATATCCACCTCTGATCTCAGCTCCCCTGCCAAAATTATTTTCTCCAAAAGCTTTCCTTATTTCACTGAGAAAGAATAAGGTATGGGAAAAGGACCCAAAATGTTCTGGCCTGAACCCAGTCTATAGCCTCACCTTCAACATCCCCTCTGTCCTCCACACACAGCCCATACTGTCCTGTCTTTCTGCCTTTCCTCAAGGAGTTCCCTCTGTCTCCCTACATATTCAATTCCTAGTCATCCTTACAGGCACAATACAAAATGACCTCTTTCCCAGTCTTACATGCCCAATATAAAAGGACCTTTCTCGGCCGGGTGCGGTGGCTCACGCCTGTAATCCCAGCACTTTGGGAGGCCGAGGCGGGCGGATCACGAGGTCAGGAGATTGAGACCATCCCGGCTAAAAAAACGGTGAAACCCCGTCTCTACTAAAAATACAAAAAATTAGCCGGGCGTAGTGGCGGGCGCCTGTAGTCCCAGCTACTTGGGAGGCTGAGGCAGGAGAATGGCGTGAACCCGGGAGGCGGAGCTTGCAGTGAGCCGAGATCCCGCCACTGCACTCCAGCCTGGGCGACAGAGCGAGACTCCGTCTCAAAAAAAAAAAAAAAAAAAAAAAAAAAAAAAAAAAAGGACCTTTCTCACTAATGCTGTGGCCAAATACTCTGCTTCCATAACACTTTTAAAACTTTTCTGACACAGCATTTTTCTCTTGGATGAGGGGTGCTAAACTAGAGGAACACACTGATTCCCTACAATTCCTGGCTGCCCTGTATAGGCTGCAGAGAAGGCCCTTGGGCAGAAGCTGGGCATAGTGGCACATGCCTGTAATCCTAGCTACTTGGGAGGCTGGGGCAGGAGGATTGTTTGAGCCTCAGCTAGTTTTGTGATGTGCACATGATTCCCCTGCTCTCAAACTCTAACTTCTTTGTAAAAGCTGCTTCTCACTCCTGCCTCCAGTATCTGACACAGAATAGATACTCACCACACATTTGTTGAACTGAAAATTGAATTGCCACTGACCAAGTAAGGAAATGGATGAGAATGTCTGAGAATGTCACAGTGTGGGCACATGAAATTACTATTGAGAGTAGGGCAAAGTTGAAGATGGGATGAAACATTAAGGTCAAGGGTTCTATCAGGCAGCACAGCACCAGCTTCTCATGCTTCTACTCCATTGCTCTCCACTTGAGATACAGAGAACCCTGTATCCCCTAAGCAAGAAGGAAAGGCTACATGGTTATGGAGGGTGTGAAGGTTAATATATATATATTTCCTATTAGTTCTATCCCTCTAAGAGAACCCTGACTAATACAGATTTGGGTACCAGGAGTGGTTCTAGAGGAACAGAATATTAAGGATGGAGTTCTTTCAGTGGTTTTGAGATTTCTGGAGTTGGCTGCTTAATATGATTAGATCCAAAAATGCTAAGAAATCTACTTCTAATAGTATAGAGAACACTGATAGTCCTTGGTGGAAACTGTTTAGAGAGTTATGCAAAATAAATGCATTTGACATTCCTGATTCACCACTCATGAGAGGCAAGGAGTTTAGTGACTATACATAATACCTTTGACCATATGTGGAGAACCAAGGAACATAAGGAAGCTGGTTGGTTGCTCCGAAGTTCAGTGGACAAAGTGATGAAAGAAAATGATGAACTCAGGGATTCTGTCTCCCAGCTTCAGAAGCAGATACTGAGCCTCAAATCTGCTAAGATTGCCCTGAGTGAGAGTCTTATCTCCTGCAGAGAAAGAGCTGAAATTGTGGAAAAACAGACACAAGCTTTTGTCATGTGAATGGCTGAACTGCAATGAAAGATGCATTTACAGCCTTGTCAGGTGTCTACTGTTAAAGTGAGGGCATTTATTGGAAAAGAATGGGACCCTGAAACTTGGAATGGGGACATGTGGGAGGACCCTGGTGAAGCTGGGCACACTGAGTTTGTAAACTCTGATGAACCTTTTTTGCCAGGAGGAACAGTTTCCCCATCCCCAGTAGTGGCAATATCTCCTCCCTGACCCATGCTGCCATCAGCCTTTCCACCTTTGTCTGAGGAGATAAACCCTGCACTGCCTGAAGCAACAGTGATGGCAGTTGCCCTGAAACAGTTGCCAGGCAAGATAATATTGCTTCTCCTCAGAAGCTACCCTCAACACCTTTGTTTGGTTCTAGACCTATAACTAGACGAAAGTCCTGGCAGGCCCCTAGAGGTGAGGTTGAGAGTGTGACCCATGAGGAGGTGTGCTACACTCAAAAAGAACTATTTGAGTCCTCTAATTTATATAAACAGCAATCTGGAGAACAGGCATGGGAATGGATATTAAGGGTATGGGATGATGGAGGAAGGAACACAGAGTTGGATCAGGCTCAATTTATTGATTTAGGCCCACTAAGTAGGGGCTCTGCGTTCAATGTTGCAGCTTGGGGAGTTAAAAAAGGTTCTAATAGTTTATTTGGTCAGCTGAATTATGGATTAAAAGATGGCCCACTCTGAGTGAGCTGGAAATGCCTGCTCTCCCTTGGTTTAATGTAGAGGAAGGGATCCAAAGGCTTAGGGAGATTGGGATGGTGGAGTGGATTAGTCACTTTAGATCTACTCATCCCAGCTGGGAGGGTCCAGCAGATACACCCTTGACCAATGCATTATAAAATAGATTTATGAAGGCAGCAACTGCATCTTTGAAGAGTCCTGTAATTGCTTTTCTCCTTATGCCAGAGCTAATGGTGGGAACCACAGTCACTCAACTACAAAATTTAAATACAATGGGAATAATTGGATCCCGAGGTGGCAGGGGCCAAGTGGAAGCACTCGACCATCAAAGGCAAGGTGAGCATAGCTACCATAATGGATGGCAGAGGCAAAGGAGCAATCAGAATAGTCTGACTCATGTAGAGCTGTGGCATTGGCTAATTAATCACAGTGTTTCTAGAAGTGAAACTGATAGGAAGCCTACTATATTCCTACTTTATACAAGCAGAAAACTTGTAGGTCGAATGGACGAAAGACTAATTTGAATTATAAAAACAGAGAATCATGGCCTCTCAATTTCCAGACTTGAGCCAGTTAATAGACCTGGAACCCCCTGAATGAAGGGGAGGCCGGGTTCCCTTGAGGAAGGACCCCACTACATTACCAACAATTTATGCAGTGAATTTTTCTCCCATCCTTCCCCAAGAAGACCTCTGGCCTTTTACTAGGGTAACTGTGCACTGGGGAAAGGGAAATGATCAGACATTTCGGGGACTACTGGACACTGGCTCTGAGCTGATATTGATTCCAGGGCACCCAAAATGTCATTGTGGTCCTCCAGTTAAAGTAGGGGCTTATGGAGGTCAGGTAACTAATGAAGTTTTAGCTCAGGCCTGACTTACAGTGGGCCCCCAGACTCATCCTGTGGTCACTTCCCCAGTGCCAGAATGCATAATTGGCATAGACATACTTAGTAGCTGGCAGAACCCCCACAGTGGCTCCCTGACTGGTAGGGTGAGCGTTACTATGGTGGGAAAGGACAAATGGAAGCCATTAGAGCTGCCTCTACCTAGAAAAATAGTAAGTCAAAAACAATATCACATCCCTGGAGGGATTGTGGAGATCAGTGCCATCATCAAGGACTTGAAAGACAAAGGAGTGGTGATTCCCACCACAACCCTGTTCAACTCTCGCATTTGACCTGTGCAGAAGACAGATGAATCTTGGAGAATGTCAGTGGATTATCGTAAGCTTAACCAAGTGGTGACTCCAATTGCAGCTGCTGTACTAGATGTGGTTTCATTGCTCGAGCAAATTAACACATCTTCTGGTACCTGGTACGTGGTCATTGACTTGGCAAGTGCCTTTTTCTCCATTCCTGTCCATAAGGCCCGCCAGAAGCAATTTGCCTGCAGCTGGCTGGGACAGCAATATACCTTTACTGTCCTACCCCAGAGGTATATCTATTCTCTGGCTTTGAGTCATAATCTTATTCGGAGAGACCTTGATCGCTTTTTGCTTCCACAAGATATCACATTGGTCCATTACATTGATGACATTATGCTGATTGGATCCAGTGAGCAAGAAGTAGCAAATGCAGTGGACTTATTGGTGAGACATTTGTGTGCCAGAGGACGGGAAATAAATCTGATTAAAATTCAGGGAACTTCTACCTCAGTAAAATTCCAAGGATCCAGTGCTGTGGGACCTGTTGAGATATTCCTTCTTAGGTGAAGGATAAGTTGCTTCATTTGGCCCCTCCTACAACCAAGAAGCACAATGCCTAGTGGGTCTATTTGGATTTTGGAGGCAACACATTCCTCATTTGGGTGTGTTATTCCTGCCCATTTATCTGGACCCCACCCAGTTTTTAGTGGGGTCCAGAACAAGAGAAGGCTCTGCAACAGGCCCAGGCTGTTGTGCAAGCTGCTCTGCCACTTGGGCCATATGACCCAGCAGATCCAATGGTGCTTGAGGTGTCAGCGGCAGATGGGGATGCTGTTTGGTGCCTTTGGCAGGCTCCCAGAGATGAATCACAGTGGAGGCCTTTAGGATTTTGGAGCAAGGCCCTGCCATCTTCTGCAGATAACTACTTTACTTTTGAGAGACAGCTCTTGGCCTGTTACTGGTCTTTGGTGGAAACTGAACGTTTGACTATGGGTCATCAAGTCACCATGCGACCTCAACTGCCTATCATGAACTGAGTGCTTTCTGACCCATCAAGCCATAAAGTGGGTCGTGCACAGCAGCATTCCATCATCAAATGGAAGTGGTATATACGTGATCGGGCTCAAGCAGGTCCTGAAGGCACAAGTAAGTTACATGAGGAAGTGGCTCAAATGCCCATGGTCTCCAGTCCTGCCACCCTGGCTTCTTTCCCCCAGCCTGCACTGATGGCCTCATGGGGAGCTCCCTATAAGTTGACAGAGGAAGAGAAGACCAGGGCCTGGTTTACAGATGGTTCTGCACGATATGCAGGCACCACCTGAAAGTGGATGGCTGCAGCACTACAGCCCCTTTCTAGGACATCCCTGAAGGACAGCAGTGAAGGGAAATCTTCCCAGTGGGCAGAACTTTGAGCAGTGCACCTGGCTGTGTACTTTGCATGGAAGGATAAATGGTAAGATGTGCGATTAAATACTGATTCATGGGCTATAGCCAATGATTTGGCTGGATGGTCAGGGACTTGGAAGAAGCATGATTGGAAAATTGGTGACAAAAAAATTGGGGAAAGAAGTATGTGGATGGACCTCTCTGAGTGGTCAAAAACTATGAAGATATTTGTACTCCATGTGAGTGTTCACCAGTGGGTGACCAAAGCAGAGAAGGAGTTTAATAATCAAGTGGATAGGATGACCCGTTCTGTGGACACCAATCAGCCTCTTTCCCCAGCACCTCTGTCATTGTCCAATGGGCCCATGAGCAAAGTGGCCACTGTGGCAGGGACGGAAGTTACGCATGGGCTCAGTAACATGGACTTCCACTCACCAAGGTTGACCTGGCTACGGCCACTGCTGAGTGCCCAATTTGCTAGCAGCAGAGACCAACACTGAGCCCTGGATAAGGCACCATTCCTCAGGGTGATCAGCCAGCTACCTGGTGGCAGGTTGATTGTATTGGACCTCTTCTGTCATGGAAAGGGCAGAGGTTTGTCCTCACTAGAATAGACACTTACTCCAGATAAGGGTTTGCCTATCCTGCAAGCAATGCTTCTGCCAAGACTACCATCCATGGACTCATGGAATGCCTCATCCACCGTCATGGTATTCCACAAAGCATTGCCTCTGACCAAGGCACTCATTTCATGGCTAAAGAAGTGTGGCAGTGGGCTCATGCTCATGGTCTTACCATGTTCCCCATCATCCTGAAGCAGCTGGATTGATAGAACGGTGAAATGGCCTTTTGAAGTCACAATTACAATGCCAACTAGGTGACAATACTTTGCAGGGCTGGGGCAAAGTTCTCCAGAAGGCCGTGTATGCTCTGAATCAGCATCCAACATATGGTACTGTTTTTCCCATAGTCAGGATTCACCGGTCCAGGAATCAAGGGGTGGAAGTGGCACCACTCACCATCACCCCTAGTGATCTAGTAGCAAAATTTTTGCTTCCTGTTCCCGTGACATTACGTTCTGCTGGCCTAGAGGTTTTAGCTCCAGAGGGAGGAAACTGCCACCAGGAGACACAACAATGATTCCATTAAACTGGAAGTTAAGATTGCCACCTGGACACTTTGGGGTCCTCCTACCTTTAAGTCAACAGGCTAAGAAGGGAGTTACAGTGTTGGCTGGGGTGACTGACCCAGACTATCAAGATGAAATCAGTCTACTACTCCACAACGGAGGTAAGGAAGAGTATGCATGGAATACAGGAGATCCATTAGGGCGTCTCTTAGTATTACTATGCCCTGTGATTAAGGTCGATGGGAAACTACAACACCCCAATCCAGGCAGGACTACAAATGACCCAGACCCCTCAGGAATGAAGGTTTGGATTACTCCACCAGGAAAAAAACCACGACCTGCCAAGCTGCTTGCTGAATGCAAAGGGAATACAGAATGGGTAGTAGAAGAAGGTAGTCATCAATACCAGCTACGACCACGTGACCAGCTGGTCATGAGTATTTCCTTCTTCTTTTGTTAAAAACATGTTTGTGCGTGTATACACTTGTATTAATATCTTCATTTTATTTTCTTTCTCCTTTATCATGTGACATAAGATTTATTGACTTCATATCAGCATTTAAGTATTGTTAACTTTATATAATAGTATTTGGGTTGGGGATTGGTGAGTTTCCAGTTGTACAAAGGATATTTATGTTATCCTTTGTACAATTATGTTAGGCATAACTATGCCCTTATTATTGTCTTTAATTGAAGATTATGTATGATCTCAGGAGATGTGTATGAGTTCGAGCTGACAAGGGGTGGACTTGCGATGGTTAATACTGTGAGTCAACTTGATTGGATTGAAGGATACAAAGTATTGATCCTGGGTATATCTGTGAGGATGTTGCCAGAAGAGATTAACATTTGAGTCAGCCGGCTGGGGAAGGCAGATCCACCCTTAATCTGGTGGGCACAATCTAATTAGCTGCCAGCAAATATAAAACAGGCAGAAAAACATGAAAAGGAGAGATGGGCCTAGCCTTTCAGCCTACATCTTTCTCCTGTGCTGGATAGTTCCTGCCCTCGAATATCGGACTCCAAGTTCTTCAGTTTTGGGACTCAGACTGGCTCTCCTTGCTCCTCAGCTTGCAGACAGCCTATTATGGGACCTTGTGATTGTGTAAGTTAATACTTAATAAACTCCCCTTTATATATATCTATCTATTTATCATATTAGTTCTATCCCTCTAAGAGAACCCTAACTAATACAGAGGGGATGAAGGATCGCACTTTGTTTTAGTCTTTTACTAGATCAGGCTGGTATATCATAAAAGGAAAAAGCAGGTCTCTATGAGTAAAGATCTGGAATTACCTTGAGTCTTGAAATCTTCTTCAAAGCACCTCCTGTTATTGGTGAATTCCAGGTTCTCAGTGTAACTATACAATTCTGTGGCAGGAAAGACAGAACAGTCACATTCGGGAGATCCTTAAAGAAGAGGCCCAAAGTAGAGAGGGTGGCATGAAAGAGCTGAAGCTTCCAACACATTCCTGTGTCCAATGAATCCAAAGCTAGCTTCCTCCTTTTCAGAGCAACGTTAAAAATAGCCACTTGTGTCCCTGGGAGATTAAACCATCAAACCTGTCCTCTTCCTGCCAGCTGGCTGCTGCAGCAGAGAAGGCAGCCTTCAACATTTGGTGAGGGCCAAGAGGAGGACTGCAGCACAGAGAGCTTAATCTCATCACTCCTGTTTCTCAGGGCTGCAACTCCTGCTTTGTCAACCCAACCAGGAACTATCCCATCTCTAAGAGAAGAGGAGGGCAACACAACTCCTGAAACTTAGAGGAAAGATCCTTGTGCTGGATCAGGAAACCATGGCAAGGGCTGAAAAGTAAGTGCTAGATGGTTCTTCAGGGTTGGAACCAGTTCATTCTCTCCCTGCTAAGTTTCCTCAAAGGGTATAGAAGTTTAGATTCCTGCCCACAGCCACAAAGCAGAGGCTGCAAAAAAAACTCTAGAGAACAGCTATGGTTGTCAAAGGGCTGCTGTGCCCAGGAAAATCTAACTTTGCTAACAGCAGCCTCTCAATACAAAATGCAAAAAGCTTATGAGAAATAAAAATGCCAGCCACGTGTGATGGCTCAGACCTATAGGATTGTAATCCCAGCACTTTGAGAGGCTGAGGCAGGAGAATTGCTTGAGGCCAGGAGTTTGAGTCTAGCCTGGGCAACATAGCATGACCCTATCTCTACAAAAAATTTAAACATTAGCCAGGTGTAGTGGCACATGACTGTAGTCCTAGCTACTTAGGAGGCTGAGGTGGAGGATCGTTTGAGCTTAGGAGTTTGAGGCTTTAGTGAGCTATGATCATGTCACTGCACTCCAGCCTGGGGTAACAGAATAAGACTCTGTCTCTTAAAAAAAAAAAAAAGAAAGAAAGAAGAAAAGAAATAAAAATGCCCTTTCCTACTCTCTCTATCTCTCTCCAGAACATTGTATATGTACCCTCATCTTACAGAAGATGAAGAACTGAAATACAGAAGTCAACAGATGATAGAACAGATTTCCTTTAAATCTCTGCTCCCTACCTGAGACCCTTCCTGGAAATTTAACCAGGTCACAGGTAATTCACAAAGCAAGAGAAATTCACTTATGTTCCAGCCAGCTGTCTAATGGTTGAGAAACACCTTGTCTGGGAGTCAGGGCTTTTGAGTCTTAAGTTCCAGAATCTAGGAGTGACCAGAAGCAAATCCCATCACTGAATCTTAAATTCTTCAGTCATTAGTGGAGAGGTGAATATATATATTTTTAAGATTAAAGCACCAAAAACCAAATCAGAAAAGTGGGCAAGGCTCTTAGGTACTGAACTTTAGTCTTGGTCTTTTTATTTTTAAATTTTAGATTATGAATTTTTATATACAGGTAAGAACAGAATAGTACATTTAAGACACCTGTGTATTATCTTCTACCCAGGTCAAACAAATGTTAGCATTTGTTATATTTGCTTCAGACTGCTCCCCAGTCTATCTTATTCCCTTCTCCAGAGGCAACTGCTATAATGAAATTGGTGTGTATCCTTCACAAGCCTATTTTTCTACTTTTGCTATATGCACATATGCCTGTAAACATATGATATTGCTCTGTTTAAAAACTTTTTTATCCAAGCAGTATCCTATTGTATAAATTCCTTTGTTACTGATCCTTTGTCCCAATTTTATCTTTAGCATTTATTATTATTATTATTATTTGAGATGGAGTCTCACTTTGTCACCCAGGCTGGAGTGCAGTGGCGTGATCTTGGCTCACTGCAACCTCTGCCTCCCAGGTTCAGGCAATTCTCCTGTCTCAGCCTCCCCAGTAGCTGGGACTACAGGTGCATGCCACGATGCCCAGCTAATTTTTGTATTTTTACTAGAGACAAGGTTTCACCATATTGGTCAGGCTGGTCTCGAACTCCTGACAGGTGATCTACCCACTTCGGCCTCCCAAAGTGCTGGGATTACAAGATGTGAGCTACCGTACCTGGCCAAGCATTTATTGATACTGAAACATGTTGAGGCCAGGTGTGGTGGCTCACACCTGTAGTCCCAGCACTTTGGAGGGCCAAGGCAGGAGGATCACTTGAGCCCAGGAGTTCAGGACCAGCCTTGGCAACATGGTGAGACTCTGTTTCTACAAAAGATAAACAAAATTAGCTGGACATGGTGGCACAAAATTAGCTGGACATGGTGGCACAAAATTAGCTGGGCATGGTAGGGCATGCCTATGACCATAGGCATAGCTACTTGAGAGGCTGGGGTGGGAGGATCACTTGAGCCCAGGAGCTCAAGGCTGTAGTGAGCTGAGAGTGTGCCACTCAAGCGTAAGCAACAGAGCCAGACTCTGTCTCAAAAATAAAAAAATAAAAAATAAATATATTGATTTAGATCAATTATTATTTTAATGGCTATTCAATAGCCTACTGCACTAATATGCTATAGTTTATCCATTTCCCTACTGATGAGCATTGTAGGTTGTTTCCAACTTTTTACACTGATAAACAAGGCTGCAATAAACATCTTTGTACATTTTCTTGTGCCCAAGTGTAATTTTCTTTAGAGTGGATATCTAGGAGTAGACTTGTTGGGTCACAATATGTGCACATCTTCAACTTTGCAAGATATAAGCAAAATGCTTTTCAATTTTATACTCTGCTCCCCCCATGTCTAGCAGTGCATAAAAGTACTAATTTCTCTGCACCCTCACCAACCCCAGGCTTTTAAGTTTTGCACTCTGATGATTGTGAAATAATATTTTATTATTTTAATTTGCTTTTCCCCATATACTAATAAAGTTCAATATCTTCTCATATATTTATTGACCATTTGGCTTTTTCTTCTATAAATTCCCATTTATATTCTTTGCCCATTTCTTTGTTGGGTTGCTCATCTCTCTCCTCTCTTTAAAATATATATATATTTATATCATATTCCTATTATGAATTCTAATCCTTTGTTGGTTATTAAACTTAGCTCTCTATTTCTCTGTCACTCATCACAAAATTTATTCTCTGTGCTCATGCACAAGAACGTCTTTAAAATTGTTTGTCTCTTTTCTCTGAAAAAGCATGCCTCAAAGTATCACTTCCATGTGACAGAATATTTAAATTTCACACATCTCCACCCAAAGCTTGTTTATTAATAACTGGCATTCATAGCACATGTAACATGGAGGCCCTTAATGTGAGGAGATCACATTTACCCTAAGCTAAAAATCCAGACAGAGACAAGCAGGCCAGCACTGAAAGAAGAATGGAATTACTTAACCCCAGCTCATAAACATCCAAGCAGAACTCTACTATGATGGATGCAGGTGACATGTCCAGCCTTGCTCAGCTGGCCAGTTGACTATAGTTTTTCCTCGGACTTTGCTGAGATTTTAATAAGGGGCAGTTGCGAGAGGAAGAAGGAAAAGATGGAGGTAGAGGAGACAAAGGAAAAAGAGATGGCATGGGATAGAAAGAGGGCAGCAGAAAGAAGTAGGCAGGCAAAGATATGGGTGACAGGAAGAGAAAAAGAGAAGGAATATGGAGAAGATGGAGAGAAAACTGATTTGAGAGTGCACCAAATCAGTTATTTTCAAAGAGAATAAAGAAGAGTGAGCAGGAAAGAGTGATAGAATGACAGAATGAAGAATACCATAGCCAAGGAGAATCACAGAAGGAAATGTGAAGACAAACAAAGAGATATTTACCACTTGGATGGAGAGGAAAAGGAATGTGGAGAACAGCCTTTGTTCAACAGCCACTTGGTGAGAACAGACAAGCTTCCAGGGAGATCACAGGCCCCTTCCCTCTCCTCCTGGCCATTCTTCCACTAGCTACTGACCCATCTACCTCATACCTGACAACTCGGCTGCATGCCCATCTGCATCTCCATACTCAAACTCCAGAGTGGGACAGTCCACAGAGCCCTGTAACAGAGAAATTTTGTTGGTAACTGGGATAACTTGGAAAAAGGGGTTGCCAAGGGAAGACTGTACCCTTATTTATCTTCTTCCCCTCATGGAGGCCAAGGTTAGATCAGGGAGACAGTTAGGAGAGTCCTATTTGGGTCTTTCATCTCAGAGGTACCCTACGCCAAGCCAAAACTTGAGTCTCAGTGTGGGGAGGGGCTGAGGATTCCTATACAAAATCGGAAAGTCTGAATAAAGGGCCAGGATCTCAAACATATATGAAAGCTATGGTCTGTGTCCATATCTAATCTACATGAACACAGACCAGAGGAGCATCTAGCTGATTTATATAAAATTGAGACAGACAGAAACAAAGAGAACTGGATTCTAGCTTCAGTTCTGTCATCAACCCACTGTATGATATAGATCAAGTCTCATGCTGTGGATCATAGTTCCTTATTTTTAAAGAGGTTCTTTAGCTCTAATATTCTGCAACTTTAGGATTGTCAAATGATGCAACATCTCCACTCCAAGTTGTAGTAAAGATTACATTTCCCATGACGTTGTATGTATAAATTTATAATCCTAGTAAATATGTTTTAATATAATCCCATCTTCTAACTTAAACATTTTGGGATATTTCCTTCCTGTATATGTTCATACATATGAATTTTTAAAATTTTCAATCTCAGCTCTGTCACATACTATTTGATCTTGGACAAGTTAACCTCTCTGTGCCTCAGCGTGACATAAAAAATATACTGTTCTTTGCCCCTGGTTCCTGGTACAGAGCTCCTGAAACTCTTAGAAGTTCCTGAGTGATAGGAGTGTCAGTTATTCATAATGAGTCACTGTCAGCTTTACCAGAATTTATGCTCATGAGGTGACTTATGTTAGGAAAGACGGAGCACATGATTAGAGGGTTTAACTTTCAGCACCACCCCCACATCCAGGGAGGGGAGGGGTACTACAGATTAAGTTCAGTCATGTGGCCAATAGTTTAATTATGTCTAGGTAATGAAACACCATAGGAAAACCCAGAAACAACTAGGTTCAGGCAGCTTTTGGGTTGGGGAACAAACAGATGTGCTAGGAGAGTGCTGCCCAGGGAAGATAAGGAAACTCTGCATCACCCCAAACCCATACTTCGTCCTTCGCATCTCTTCCATTTAGCTGTTTCTGAGTCATATCCTTTATAATAAAATTATAATTCTAAGTACATGCTTTCCTGAATCCTGTGAGTTATTCTAGCAAATTATGGAACCTGAAAGGAAGATCATGATAACCGCTTAATTTGTAGTTGGCCAGGCTGAAGTGTAGATAGCTTGGGGATCCCACCTATGGCTGGTGTCTAACGTAGGGCCTTGTAGGACTGAGCCCTTAACTTGGGGGTCTGTGCTAATTCTAGGTAGTTAGTGTCAGAATCGAATTGAACTGTAGGACATCCAGTTGGTGTCAGCGAATTGTTGGAAAATGACCTGCTCAGTTTTCCCATCTGTAAAATGAGGATAATAACAGGACTTACTTCATAGGGTTATTTTAAGGACTAAATGAGTTAATATAGGAAAGGCACACGGCCTAGCACTTCGTAGCACTATGTGAGTGGTCACTCTATGATTTTAATATTATACTATAAAGGCATTCTTCTCACATTATTATGACTATTAGTTTAAATGGTTGTATAAATGGATGTACATTTATTTGTTTACTTAACTAGTTCCTTATTGAATATTTAAATGGTTTTTAATTTTCCTTTATTATATGCAACAAACTGTAATAGACTTACACTTTTTTCTATATTTAGGATATTTCCTAAGCATAGATTTTTATAAAGAAAATTAATGAATCAAATCTTATGAACATTTTAAAGTCTCTTTGTATATAAGTTGCTCCCCCAAAACATTATGCCAATTTATACTGTCAACAAAGCAAATTGGCCGGGCGCAGTGGCTCACGCCTGTAATCCCAACACTTTGGGAGGCCGAGGTGGGCGGATTACGAGGTCAGGAGATCGAGACCATCCTGGCTAACACGGTGAAACCCCGTCTCCACTAAAAATACAAAAAATTAGCCGAGCATGGTGGCGGACGCCTGTAGTCCCAGCTACTCGGGAGGCTGAGGCAGGAGAATGGCGTGAACCCGGGAGGCAGAGCTTGCAGTGAGCCGAGTTTGCGCCACTGCACTCCAGCCTGGGTGACAGAGTGAGACTCTGTCAAAAAAAAAAAAAACAAAAAAAAACAAGGCGAATCATGTTTTAATCCACTATAGCAAAGATTTCCAAACTTTTGGATTAAAAGGAACAGTAGGGAAAAAGAAAAAGGTGGAGAGTGGCAAATGACATAGGGTTGTTGCTGTTTTATTCTGATAGGTAAGGACTTTAAAAACTTTAAAAAATTCAAAAAATGAAAGACAGAATCTCAGAATAAAGAACAGCCATTAAAAATTGTTTTTCAAACTTTTTGGAAAAATGATACCTTTTACATTACGTCCCAGCACACACACACACACACACAAACTGGAACAAAAGTTTAACAAAATATTTACCTTTACTGCATGTGATGCAGTGATATTTTCTATTATTCTCTTTCTTTTCTTTTTTTTTTTAAGACAGGGTCTTCCTCTCACCCAGGCTGGAGTGCAGTGGCATGATCACAGCTCACTGCGGCCTCAACCTCCTAGACTTAAGTGATTCAGCCTCCTGAGCAGCTGGGACAACAGGCGCGCACCATCATGCCTGGCTAAATCTTTTTTATTTTTTATTTATTTGTAGAGATGGGGTCTGCCTACATTTCCCAGGCTTGTCTCGAATTCCTGGCTGAAGCTACCCACCTGCCTCAGTCTCCCAAAGTGCTGGGATAATAGGCATGAGCCATCATGCTGGCTTTATTTCTTAAAATAAAAATTTTAGCCTCAATTAACAGGTTGCCCCCTATAGCAGTTTGAAAAACACTGTTTTAAATTGTATACATTCTTAAATTTAATATATTGAACTAAATTTTTAGAAAAACTCACTTCGATGACCTGAATTTTCCTCATTTTACCACAGACCAGTTAAAACTTTGTCAAGGAGTTTGAGATCAATAAACCAGATCTGGCTAAAAGAGGTCTGAGGTGAATCCTTTTATTAGGTTAAGACTCTTCTTATTAAGCAAACAATTATTCTTTAGCTTCCTTTTTAGGTTGGGATGTTCACACACTAAGCCAGTGGGAGAAGGTAGGTCAACAGTGCTTCCATAAACAGTGATACACGATGAGGCTCTCTTGACTTGTGCCACAGTAATTCTCTTCTAGTGATTTTCTAAAAGCCCTAGAGAGGAAAAAAATCCCATCTCCTCTAAGGACTGCCTTCCACAGGAAAGCAAAAAGAGGGAGAGAAGAAAAGCAGATCTGGCACCTGGGTACTGTGGTAATAGGGGATGTACTGGCAGGTAAAAGGAGTCCTGCTGCAGCAGAAGGTAGAGGAAAGCTAATCTTTCCAGCCAGGCTTTTGGCAGGCAATGAGCCCAGATAGAGATGATCGCAGCAGTTGTTCATTTCCAGGCATGAAGAGTGCAGCTGCAGACAATCAGCAGGTAAACCGCGGTGCAGGTGGAAAGCTTTCGAGTCTCTGGACACTGCAAAGTACTGGCAAAAGCAAAGGACTGTACTCTCAGAGCCTTTGCCTGAAGAAGACTTGACAGGTGGGGAACAGATTGCAACTTTAGAAGGGAGACCCAGGCAGAGACTTTTATTCCCCCCATAGAACATATCATTCTGAAATTATTTTATTTATTTACTCACAATTTGTCTCCCCATGGGCGAAGACCCTATCTTGTTCACTGATATATCCCTGGCACCTAAAACAGTGGCTGGCAGAAAGTCCTCGATAAATAATTGTTGAATTAATGAATGGCTCATCTCCCCAAAAAAACATTTGAACGAGAACAATGTCTCTGTGGGGGAAGGAGGTACAGGGTGCCCTAAAAGACCAGACTCATCTTGAAGTAGGGAGGGAGATGATGTGGCGGGTATCATCTAGCAAGACAGGAGGGCTGAGCTCTCTGCCTCTGCAAGGTGGTGACTTTGGGCCAGTCTTTTCATCTCCATTTCTACCTTGAAAAAAAATGAATGGATTCCTCCTACTCTACCTACATCAAAATGTAAAGCATACATGAAATCACTTTGGAAACTGAAATGCTATTCAAATGGTAAGGCAAGGTCTGGGATGCCAAAAACCTGGTTTCTAGTACCAGCTCTGCCACTTGATGATGATGATGATGATGATGATAGCAATATACTAAGAGTTACTATGTACTGACTAATTACATGCATTGTGCCTGCACTGTGCCAAACATTTTATAGTCAATTATCTCATTTTGACTTTATCACAACCTTCTGAGGTAGGCAGTGTTAATCTCATCTTACAGATGAAGAAACTGGAGCTCAGAGAGGTTCCGTAATGTGCCGAAAATCACACAGGTAGTAAATGATAGGGCTAGGAGTCAAAACCTGGTCTGACTACTCCAAAGTCTGGTGTTCTTGACCACCAACTATGCCAGATGTCTGATCTTGGGCAAGTCACTCCTCTTTTTTTTAGGTCTGTAAAATGAAAGGGTTATACCAGATGATATCTGCAGACCCTGCCACATCTGATATTTTGTCGTCTATTCTGATCCCCGCTCAGATCCAACTGATGGGAACTGCCTCAATGAGGGGATAGGGAAGTGATAATAATTCAACGCTTTCATCTTCATAGATAGGGTTTCTTTTTTCAGGAGAGGAGGAAGAGATCGAAATATTCACACTCCTATCTGTATCCTGCGACTGCTCCCTCCAGATAGCCACTCCAGGACTGCCCCTGCCTGAATCCCGTCTCGCTCAGCCCTCACAGGCAGGGGCCTGATGTCCGCGGAAGGCGCTCCCGAAACGGCCTAAGACTTACGGGGGGAAGGGGACGGGCAGGGAACGGGCAGAAGTCCCTCGGCTGGCCCAGGGGCCCGCCGCAGGCAGCCTGGGAGGGGGACTGCGGTTGCCCCACTCGCCAATCCTGCTTTCCTGCGGCTGAGCTCCAGCCTCCCACCCCTCAAGCCAGTCACTTAACCTCTCCGCTCCTGTTCCCCCGTCTATAAACTGGGATCGGAATTTCTGCTTCAGGGGGCTGCAGCGATTAAGTGAGATAAATATTTGGAAAGTATCTGGTCCGCTCAATACCGCGCTCATCTTCGCGCAGCGGGGGAAAGCCAGAGGGCTAGAAAGCCCCCAACCCGCGGCAGGAGACGGGCGGACACTGGTCCGGGCCAAAGAGCCCAGAGTTCAGCCGCTAGGACCCCGCAGGCGCCCACTGCGCGGGGCTGATCGAGCGCGCCGAGGGCTCCGGGGCCGAGGCCGAATCACCTCAGCCGCCGCTTCCCGCCGGCGGGCGTCTCCGGGCCCCAGCCGAAGCTTTCCGGGCTCCTCACCTCTGACTCCCGCCGCTGGCTTCGGAACGCTTCGCGGCCCTTGGGCGCCGCCTGCTTCCCTTTGCCGCCGCCGTTGCCATTGCCATTTGCGGGCGGGCCCCCGGTCCCAGGCGCGGCGGGGTCCTCCATGCTGCTGGTCAGCGGCTCCCCTCAGGGTTCAGCTCGCTTTGCCGGAGGCGACCCTACCGCCGCGCGCCGGGAGCCAGGCCCCGCCCCCTCCACCTCTATTGGTTACGGCAGCTCGCCGCAACCCCGCCCCGCGAGGCGATTGGCTGCTCGACCGGCCGGAGCGGGACTCGAGGAGGTGGGGGCTCAATGAAGAGATTTTTGAGGGGATCTTTTTAGTCCTGCGGCATTGCTGGCGGACGGAGACTCCTAGGTTAGCTACAGGCTCCACACCTCGCGAAAGCTGGGCCTTGAGATCAGGCGGGTTATCTCTGTGCTCCTCACTCGGTGTCTCTCAGCTCTCACCCCCGTCCCTGTAGCGACCTTTTCCGGAGCTCTAGTCTCCGCCTACTGCTCCACAGCAGTCTCCGTTTCCCTGTTACCACCGACCCGGCCCCCCATATCCCGGCTCCTGCACACGTCCCATATCCCGCTTAGTCTCAGGGGAGGGATGGCACCGCCAGGTGGCCAGGGACATCGCCCGAAACGAGGGACTCGCTGTCTCTGGAAGCTGAGAATTCTCAGCGTTTTTCTGAAGAGAACGCATCTCGCCCGGAGCTAGGGCTTGGCTGGGAGACTGGAGGTCTAAGGGTGGGATGGGGGAGTTTTTCCATCACTGAAATTGGTGGTGCCCTCGAGGGCTGCTCCTGTCATCTGCCCTTCTCTGCTGTAGGGGGCCTCTTCCTCATGGTGTGTAAATGTTGAGGGTAGAGCAAGCCCCCACCCTCACCTGCTCGCCAGTCCTTTCTTTCCTTCCTCTCTCTTAGATGCTTCCTAAGGGCTCATTGTTACTGGGGGCAAAAGAGGCTGTTTGATCTGCCCTCTCCTGAATTTAAAAAGTAGCTTGTAGTAAATATTTAGACAGTCTGGCTTGGTAATAGAAGCCCCAAAGACGTAGGCTCAGGGGAACAGGTGGGACCAAATCGCTGTCCCCAGCCTGGTTGCTTTAGGAAGGGTCTGGGGGATTGTTGAACTGAGCTTGGTGCCAGGCACTGCAGTAAGCGCTTTCCAAATATCACATCATACCTCTCCCCGACAGGGTGTTTTTACGAATCCAATGTTACTGATGAAGAAACCGGCACTTGCAGATTCCTCCCTGCGGTTTCCAAGGTATCATATTCTATCTTGTCTCAGGGTCTTGCCTATGCTGTTCTCTGGAGGAGACTGTCTTCTGTTCTCCTGGTTGATTCCTTTTCTCTCATAAAGATTCTAGTTAGTTGTCACCTCCTCCTCCTCCACAAAGCTTTCCTTTTAGCCCTCAACTCATTCAGGTTGTGTTGGTGTCAAACCAGTTCTGCCTAGATCCAAAATCCTAACATTTTCCACGATATACCCAAAGCAAAGGGCCTAGAGGAATTACTCCACCTTCCCATACCTTAGGGACAACCCTGTCCCTTTCTTAACATCTCTCTCTCTCTCTCACTTTTCCCTTTGCCAGTTCATAGGCGACAGAACAAGGCAAGTTTGAGAGCACTCTTTGGAGCTTTTTGGGTTTTCTCACCCTGGTCCAATATCTCCTTACTGTACCTTCACATCTTCCTTTTCCTCTTCCAGTCCCACTCCTCTCCCCACCCACATATAGGCTCCTAGCGAGTAAGACCAAATTTAGCTCATTTTTGTATGCCCCTAATTTATGTACGTTTAACGCAGCGTTTCACAGTCTCTGTACTATTGACAATTGGGGCTGAATATTTATTGTAGGGGGCTGTCCTGTGCATCGTAGGATGCTTAGCAGAATACCTGGCCTCTCTTCACTAGATGCCAGTAGTATCCTCCCGCTAGTGCGACAACCAAAAATGTCTCGGGGCGGGGGGCTGGGTGTGGGGGGTGGGGAGTGTGGCGTTTACAGAACTGAATTGATATGAATTTCCAAGAAAGTCCCTGGCTCAAGGCCTGAACTACTTGACTTTGGATTTTTTTCAGGGTATAATTTGTTAAACTCTTAAAAATTTACACCCTGCTTTAAAGTTCACAACCCACGCCTTGCTCATCACTGCTTCAGTGTGGTAAACCTGCCACAGCACAGCCCATTGGGATTTCTTAATAGAAAGAATTCATTATTCTATCTCTCTTCTTCCCAGTACTTCTCCTCCTAAGTAGTCAGAGCCCTAAGGTTAACAGGCCCAGAACTTCATATTCTTTTGTGAGCCTAATCAATCGGCAGGATCCCAACAGTGGTAGCAGACAGGAGTGGCCAGTTTTGATGCTTTATTCTTTTCCTGCCTATTCCTAGGGGAAAGGGCAGACTGATCTTGGGAGTAGGATAGAGGACAGCTTGCAAGTCCCCTCTGGTGGCTATCTAAAGCCACTTGCTAAGCCTAGAGGCTCCATCTGGCTTTAATTTCAGAGAAGGAATGTGTAAAACTGGTGCTATGAAGATTGCATAGAGTCAACACGAGGAGAGACCTCAATCCATGATCTTTTCCACATCTCAGCGAAATAGAATACCTTTACTAAGATCAGACACCTATGTGCTCACTATAGGCCCAGACGTTCAAAATTTCTAATAAGGAGGAAGATATCTGGAAACAACTGGAAGATGTAACAAGAAACCACAGAGTAACTGAAAACTTTGAAACTACAGGCCATGGAATTGGCACACATTCAATTTATTTTAGCTTATTTGTCAACAAAGGCATCATAGTCATCAATACCATTCACCACAGAGGCACCCATACCTGGGAGCTAGTCAAGGCTGGTCAAGTCTCTCCATCTTGCAGAGATGGCTCCAATGCTGTTATATTTGACGTTATTAAAAAACCTACATTACCAATTTCCCTTGTCCCAAAACTCAGGCTGCCAGCAGAGGGTTGGAGGTATAAATAGGTGTAGTTACAAGAATCACATATACCCTTTTCCCCATATAAGCACTCCACTTTAATCCACAGAGGTCAGATACTTGACTAAATGGATAGCACCTGGCACTGAGAAAGCTTAATAAGACGCAGTAAGTTTTAAAGTACCTGCTTTTTGAGGCTATCAGGCAGTTAGGATAATTTAGTAAAAAAAGGATAGAACACCCTCCTCTCTCCATAAAGGGCAGGTGTGGGTGTAATGATGCAACAGAGGTTGTAGGGCTCTAGATTGAGACAAGGAATGATGTGTATGCAGTCAGCAGTGCGTGCCAGGCTCTGTAAATAAGCAGCACTTTTTATATATCGCTTCATTAAATCCTTATCCTAGGAGATAAGCAGTATCCATTTCACAGGCAAGAAAATTGAGGCTGTGAGTGGTTATGTAATTTGACTAAGTTACATAACTTGTAAATGGCAGAGCTGGGATTCAAACCCAAGCTAGCCTGCTTTAAAGTTCAAGTTTTTTTGCACAATATTGTGAGGTGGAGAAACTTGTGCAGCAGTGGATAGCTTGGGCTTACCCTATGATTCTGAAATAAAGACCCAGGCACCCAAGGTTCCATCCTTCACAAATGAGGAGTCAAGCCCTACTGCAGGGGAGCAAATCCTTTGAGCTGACCGGCTTCATTGCTAGCTGCTGCATTCTCCTCCTCTTAACTGGAATGGCACTAATTTTGAGGATTACTGACTGCCCAGACGATTCTAGCCCTGTGTCCCTTAATCTAAATAATCAGAAGCCAAAGTGGCAGAAGATTCTGCTATGAAAAGAAAACATCTTGCATACAGGATGCAGAACTAGTTTAGGTAGTCAACTAAAGAAGGTGGCTATCAGAAAGCTACCCAAAGATGGTTACCCTACTGGCAGTTGAGAAAGAATAGGCAATTGGATTATCCTTTGGTTAAATCAGGCAACTTGATTTAGAGACAAATCTCTGCCTGATGCACTTCTTTCTTCCCTTTGGCTGGATATAATCAGGTCCTAGTTATCAAGGTCCTTTGGTCCCAAACTGGGGGATGCTGATTTCCTGCATTTTTCAACTAAAAGGGAGTCAGGGACCTAGAACTATGGTTTAGTTTCTCTGAGTTAAGCCTACAGTCCTCGACTCCCCAGGGTGGTGGTTCTGAGAAGACAGGTTCTTTACACACACAGCCAGGATGCGCGTGTATGCTGGCTGGTAGGAGGGGAACATGATATTTATTAACTAAGGTCAAACATGCCTATTGGTAACATTTTCACATCCTAAGGTCAAACATGCCCATTGGTAACATTTTCACATCCTTGCCCTACAGCAGGATCTCTAGTTTGTTGCCCAGAGATCTCTCTCATCTCTGAATTTCTAGTTCACAGAAACAAGAAATACCCTTAAGAGTCCATGTTAAGAATATTTTATTTGTTTTTTGAGATTACATAGTCATTATTGCTGATCTAATACAATCACTTAGACATAAAGATTTCCAAGAACTTCTCAGAAATGGTGATCTTTAGAAGTGTTATTCCTTTCAGTAAGATGACAGAACTAGATGATTACGTATATAGATATATAGATATATATATATATATGTATATATAGAGTTTAGAACCTGTCCACATATAATTTGCTGGTGTTGCCTATTTTCCTTCCGTAATTTTCCTTTATTGAAAAAGCTTAATGCAACAATGCATTTTGATTCCTTTTTAAAAACCACGGCAAAGTTAATTTTGAGAAAACCACAGGAGCAGCAATATCAGATCTGTTTAGAGAAAAGCGAAGCAGCATAAAAGCTTTGCAGGAGTATGTGGCCATGGGGAGCCGTGCTCATATGGGCAAGTAGGATAGGGAGGGAGGAGAGCAGAGGGAAGGTAGAGTAGATACATTTTTTTTCTTTGTTTAAATGAAAAAAAGAAAACTGAATATCTCCATTAAGAAGGCAAAAAAGTGCCAGGCACGGTAGCACACACCTGTGGTTCCAGCTACTCAGGAAGCTGAGGCAGGAGGATTGCTTGAGCCCAGGAGTTTGAGACCAGCCTGGGCAACATAGTGAAACCCTGTCTCTAAGGGTGAAAAGAAAAGAAAGAAAGAAGGCAAAATATTAGCACAGATTCATTGTAGAGAAAATGTTATGTATCCTCACAGACTGGAGCCACATACAAAGAGATAAGTAGCCTTCTTTCCCATGCTTCCAGATAACCAGGATGCATCTAAGGTAAGAGGTTGGAGGAAAGAAGACACATTGCTCTGATTCCAAGGGTAGAGGGAATAATGACCAGATTTCAACCCTAAGATAGAACCCAAATACTTGGGAGGCTTGTGGTTCTTTCTTCTTAATGGTTGATAACACAGTGTCCCTACAGAGAGGTCATCTGAAACTCAGAGGCAAATAACTCATCATGGGCAGCAACACTGGCAACCTAACTTAGAAGCCCCGTGTGGCCCCTTTTTTATTTGGAGTGGGTCTCTTCACTACAGCAAGGCAGAATGTACTCTTTAAGTACCAGCACATAGTAAGCTCCAGAGAGCAAGGCTTTGCTGAGAAACAGCAGGTTATGATTTTTGGTCTAAGAATACAATAGGCTAGAGACCATCTATCTGCCAAATGGAATCTGCTCTGGATATAAGATAAGGTACAAAGATCTGAATCCCTTGCTAAAGGGAACCAATTAATACAAAAATCAGGACTAGGTAGGCAAAAGGAAGAACTGAATGGCTTAGTGGAATTTTTAGCATTTATGATCTTCCTTACAAAAAAAGAATATAACCAGTACTTGCTGAGACATATGGCCTCTGAAGAACTGTAGTCTATGGGCTGAGCCTGTATACTATTAAATGAGGCAAACAGTCATTTACCAAAGTTCCACTTCCCTACTTCCGAAAGTAAGGTCACTTTCAGACTAGCTTTGAGAGTATATGTGAAGACCAGGAGAAGTTGGAGAGGGTAGAGGTAGAAGAAGAGAATCAGGATGGGAAGGTTTTGGTGATCATGCGTGGTCTGGTGTTATCTTGAGTCACCTTGGTCTTGAGACTTTGAGGCAGACCAGCATAGGAAAAAAGTGGGAAACAAACAAACCTGAGAGTGTTAAAAAGGATCGGTAAGGGGAAGAGGCTTATTTAATTCAAGTTTCCTAGGGCCAGTCCAGACTAACTCTTAGAACCAATCTGGTCCTAATGAAATGCCTGAGACCAACAGATCAGTCTCCAAAAGGAATCCAATTTTTGGGTGGGACATAAAATGTCACGCTGCCCACACCACATTACTAATTCTTTTTGTAGCACTGGAGTTACTCAAGAAACTGACTCTGAAATACAGAATCATCAAATGGAAGAGGTTAAATCATAAAAGATATGCCAGCAGAGAAGTCCACAGATCAGACTGCAGATCTCGGTTTCATCCATGGCAATGGCCAAAGGAATGAATGTCTGACGAGGTTCAAACTAGTCAAATTAGCTTTGATAATCTGGATACAGTTTACAATTTCATCTCTGTATCCCTCAGCCAGTCAAACTGCAATGGCCTTCCTGGGAAACAAATAAATATACTCTGCTTTGTTAGGGTATCAAGCTGTGAGTCTGAAAGACCTGTCCCATTTCCAAAGCCTATCCCCCTAAGTCCCTGGAAAAGTATGCCTTTCCCTACTCAGTTTCAGACGTAGCTTTAGGCAATAGCAGGAAGTTTCAGGAAGCAGTGTTTCACAACAAGCTCTCCTTTTCTGAGATAGTGCCAATCTGGAGGGGCTTCCTTGGAAACTATCCAATCAAATGACAAGGAAGTAAAACTATGGGTCCCAGTGGAGCTGGCCCCACTTCCTGAGCAGACGTTGGCTGGATTAGAAAGACAGCAGAACAAATGTCTGACAAATACCAAAACTGTGGAGGAAATAATGGAGGCACATCCCTCTTGCAACCAGGAAGTGTTAAAATGGACATAAATATTCAAGGAGAAGAAAGGAGTCCTGGGTAAGAAAGGAGACCCCTGGTAGGCACAGCACAGCTGAGTTCTTGATGTAGCTTGGCAAAGCCATAAATAACACTCCTTCCTTATTAGCCTTTATATAAAGAAGGCAGTGATAGTGATGGTCAAGATTGGGAACCCAATCTTGTGTGAAACACTGGCCATGTTAATTCCAAACGGCCTCACCCGGGGAAGGGCCAAGCTGAGAAAAGCAGGTGCTGAAAATTTATTCCAGAAAACTCCAGGGAATAGGGAGTATGGAATCCCTGGACTAACTCGTGAGCCTGGACAAGAGGAAAAACGGCCACTGCTGAGGATTCAGTCAATGGGGAATGATGCAAATGATGCACTGGGAGCAGTAACCCCATTTCTTTCCTTCCTCAGCCCATCCTCTGTGGCTTTCATGGCCCTCAGGGCAGTAACCACACTCTGGGCCAACACTACAGGCACAGGATTCTTGATTTTAATAAATAAATAACCTAACACACAGGGTGAGCACGGCAGGCAGCTTTGATTGGAGAAGCAGCTTGCTGAATTCTTTCTTGTATAGTAGTGGAGAAAAGGCTTGGAGTTCTATTCCTTAAAAATTCTGGTTTGAGTTACAGGAACTTAATACCTGGAGGGAAAAAGAAAGATGAGACTGTGATGTTATCAGCTAATGGGGATGCTGGGACATGAAGAGCCTGCCTAAAGGTGTAACAGGGAGGCAGAGACTTTTCTGGAGTGTACAGTGACAGGAAATAACTGTGTTTCCTTTTCACATCATTGAAAAAGGCCAATATTTCTCCATAAAGAGATAAAAATCATAGCAACAAGATGAAATGGGGAAAGGAATTGAGGAAGGGGAACTTTATTTAATGAGGCAAATAGCCACTTACCCAAACTCCACCTCTCTATCTCCAAAAGGCAAATTCAGGAAGGGGAATACTATTTAAGGCCTTGAAGAGTCTTTTGAAGGTGGCAGTGAGGGGAAGTGGGTTCATTTTTCTGAGTTCATGTAAGCATATGTGGTTGGGGATGCAAAGACCAATTCCAGTGCAGGAAGCTCATCACTGCCCAGGTGTCCCTGATTTCTGGGGAGCCCAAGGCACCTGTAGTAATTAGGCTTGAAGGGCCCATTCTTGTTGAGTCCCAGATACTTGGCCTGTTCATCTGTCAGCTCTGTCAAGTGGGCATCAAAGGTAGGCAGGTGTAGGCTGGCCACATACTCATCTGGAACAGACCACAGAAGCCCTGGTATAAGCATTCATGCCTTTTATCTGATGGCTATTGTCCCCAAGCTAGGCCTTAAAAAGTTCAAAGACACCTTCTAATTCCTGGAGCTGAATGAAAAATGTTCAACCTTCGCTCACTGGTCCTCAATTCTAAGGAATAGCTGCCTTCAGCTTCAAGCCCAGTGCTTTCCAAAGCCTTAATAATTCATCCTTACTAACTCAGCTTTGAACCCTGCCTTCCAGAAAAGTGCAGGAGAGATGAAAGAAACAACAGGCATTAAGATTTAAAAGAAGGAATAGGATAATGTGGGAACTAAATAATGGGAAGCTCCAACTTGAGTTTTGCCTTGGACTCCATACTTTGGGTCATTTAAAACAACTAATGCCTGGGGAAACTTGAATGGAAAAACTAAGAAGGATACTAAATGGGATAAATGAACTGTTTGCTTTGCTTTTAGTACTCTTAATTCTTATGGGTTTCTGTTCACATTCTATTATCTGACTACATAGTACTTATTCATAATCTTATGTCATTTCCTATGTATTTGTTTGGTCTCCCAACTTCATTATACATTCTGTCAGAATATGGACTGTGCTGTTGCTTTTATATCCTTCTAAAGTGTCTACTAAAGGGAAAATGTATCAACTTTTAACAGTTGTTATATACCTAGTGCTAAGGCAAAACAAAACCAGAAGCTTATTTATTACCTGATCTTTGCCTGAGGAGTTTATAAACACACTGTATCAGTTCAGGTGCTTGAGGCAGGCTCTTTAAAAATTTAAGACAGGTTAATGTTTCTCTTATACAAAACACCCACATAACTAAATAGCTCCTATTCCACATCTCTCCTTTGGCCTGAAGCACTGGGATTGGTGTTGGAAGGTGTAGTAAGAAAGTCTTGTGTCGTCTGAGAAAAGTTTGGTAGGGGCTATTTGGCAGCCTAGAATTGGAGTAAGTCAGATGTCACAAGGTAGGAGATGATTCTTCTCTTTTAAGGGAAGATTTTTTTTTTCTCCTTTGAGATTCCCACATAAAGATACTTTAAGAAAAAAAAAATCCTTAAAATTCACAGGCAGGTAAAATAAATCACAGCATAATATCACAACTTCGCTAGGGCAACACATGTAGAAAATGGGATAAATAAATGGGAATGGCACCTAGGAATCCTAATTCCTACTTTACAAGATGAAGGTACCTTTTTTCCCCCATCCTTAAGTAAGTTAATGCCCCCAAACTTCCTTTAACCTCAGACTCTGAACTACTTTGGTAAGGATGGAGATGGAAGAGTAAATACTTACCCATCTTCTTGGGCAACAGGTAGACATCCTGCTTATAGCGACCCTCAGGAGCATTGTAAAGCTCTATCAAGGCAAGAGCCTAGAAAAGCAGAGAGATGGATGCTGATGTGCCATTCATGGCAATCTACCCAAGCAAGTGAAACCTGGTGGGTCTGAGGACCTTCTCCAGACTACTGCTATCCCACTCTGGAAGCCTTACCTGAGTAGTAGCAGTGATTGAGAGCACAAATGTAGGCACTGTGGAGCAGCTAAGGTTCAGCAGGCGGCCCTAGTGATCAAAGGTGAAGACACAAATGGATTAGGACAAAGTCGCTGGCCTTTGAGAAGTGAGGGAAGAGAAGCATGACCACCATTTTCCAAACACTTCCTGACTAACACTGCTGGAAAAAAAGCAGCTATTCAATATATAAGAACTAACTGACTGACATTTAAATGAAACCACTAAAATTCTGGAAAATCTGATGAAACTAATAGCTAAAAGATTTCTGGAATTATTTAAAAAGGAATACAGATGGTCATATGACACTGAGGCTTATGCCAAATATCAGTGTACTTCTCTTGAATTTTCCACTCTCTATAGCAAAATATCCTCCTTCTGAGGATCGGCATTTCTTTTAAAGACTGTCTTGAAATAAACAATGATCAGTCAAATCCAGGGACAATCTCTCCAGGTTGTGAGGGGAGGTATATTTGGACTTAGGAAGCTGTGATGATTGATTGATTGATTGATTGATTGATTGATTAGATGGAGTCTCCCTCTGTTGCCCAGGCTGGAGTTCCATGGCATGATCTTGACTCACTGTAACCTCTGCCCCCTGGGTTCAAGTGATTCTCCTGCCTCAGCCTCCAGAGTAACTGGGATCACAGGTGTGCGCCACCATGCCCGGCTAACTTTTGTATTTTTTTTTTTTTTTTTGTAGAGACAGGGTTTCACCATAGCTGTGATGATTTTTGTGCTTCTCCTTCAGTTTGCTTCTCCTGAATTCAAAGACAGCATTGTCAGCCTTGTATTTTGAGTTGGTGATTCAGACAGTAGAAGAACTAGAAATTGCCCCCAATGCCACCCTTTCCTATTTTGTTTCCTATGAAGCCTGACCACCTTTTTGCTCAACCATCTAGCCAAAAACACCCATGGTACTTGCTTTTGTCACCAAAATTACCAGGTGGGACCTCCTAGGGCAGCTAGAAACAAGTCATCAGTCAGCAGACTGACATCAAAGCTATTAATGCATATTTGGCAATCTGCCCATCTCCTCCTCATATATACTCCTTCCTTGTGAAGAAATAGTTCAGTCCCTTTACAAATGCCCTGAAGTATCTGAGAAGATGAGATAAAGTGAGGAAAATGTGAAGAAAACAGTAAGGACACTAAAAACTCCTAACTTATGGGCCCCTAGATAAAGACAATGTATATTTTACATTTTCATATTCAGGTTCTTTAATATAAAAAAAGAAAAAAAACCAACTGAAAATCAAAATTGAGAAAAGTATTATTATCCTCCTTGATATTTTGGTATCTTTCTCTGAAGAAGAGAAAGCTTCAAGGTAAGAATAGAAGGCATCTAATATTATAGCTGTCAGGAATCCAGGACTAGGGAAGAGGAGCTTTTAAGAAAGGAAAAGTGGTCAAACACTGACATGGAAGCCAATAAAATGAAAGTCAATAGTGTCAATGTGAGCTAGGAGCTAGGATGGGGAAATATCAATTGAGCAATTGATATCTAGGTAGGTACCTACTACTCATCTGGCTCAATTCAAGGGAATGGACCTTCAAAAACAGGGAATCTATCAGTAAAAACATACATTCCCAGAACTTGCCTAAGATAGTCCTGGTTACAGTCGGGCATATCTACTTTGTGCTTAGTGATTAAAACATCCCACAAGTGACATTATCTCTTTGTATGCATCACTCAAAGTGGCACTGGTTCTATCTGTGAATTCCTTCTATAGTAATAATTATCTAACTCAACCTGTGGATTGACGTGGAGAGACAGGATAATTGGTGAAAAGTGGGGAACCAAAATAGTTTCTTAATTGCTGAATGAAAAGATCTTTCACAATTAGAAGTAAAATCCATTGGGAAAGTAGTCAAACTTGTGCTTAACAGAGGAGTTGAAAGTATTCGAGAACATGAGGAGGAGGGGACCTGGGTATTGCAGTCTCTCCTGTTGTGGGGGAGTATTTTTGCCAGTCTCAGCCTTACCTCTGCCAGCAGTACTATCCTCTTGCCATCAGGCCATATCACATGGTCAACTTGAGATCTCACTCGCTCCCAGGTCAGTTCTGGTGTCCGCAGACTCGCCTGGAACACATACAGCAAGTACAGCATTAGCCATAGCAAGCCCCACTGTGGGAACAGAAAGATGTTGAAGGGAGCCATTTCAAATAGCAGGTTGAAAGGAGCAACCAACATGCCAGATGGAGAATACCTGTCCTGTGTTGGTTAGGACTGTTCCATTTCAGGGAATTTAATCTGAGGCCCAGCCAGGGAGGGATCACTCAGGATGTCATTCCACAACATATACTGTGTGCCCACTCTCACAGTAAAAGGTGCTATGGGAAATACAAAAGAAACCAAAGACATGGTTTCTGCCTTCAAAAAGCTTGTACTTTAGCCAGGGACACAAAACAATATATATGTGAGAGGAAAAAAATGCCCTTAAAATACTTACAAAGCAACATGCAAACAAGTGCAAATTAATACAGTGCAAACTGAATATATAAGTGCTGAAGAAACAAAGAAAAAAAGGAGGAACATAGCTGAGTGGGTTTAGTAAGAGGCCAAATGTCCTAAACATAGCATGCTGGGGCCCAAGGTTCTGCCCTCATATCCGAAGGTCCCAGGTTCCACCTTTTCAATGATGGTGGTTCACCCTAGTTACAGAAGCTTTGTGACCTAAGTGCAAATGTGAGGTAGCCTTTAAAGAAATGCTTAATGGTAGAGTAAAGCTCCCAATGGCTCACCCTCCTTCCATTTCTGTATATTGTATATTCAGAGAAAATGAGAAAAAAGGTTATGTTTTTTTAACAGCAGCAATCAAATAACAGCCACGGGGTGTAGACTTAAGACAACACCTTCTTTCTTCCAACAGGCAATGCCTAAAATAGAAAGTGAGTTCATATTCCAAAACTACCCATTGGCTCATTTGATAAAATTAAGAAGTTCTGCCAAATAGTTTTTAGACAAATAAAAAGAAACGCTTTTAGTTATACAATAATGATTTACAGGGTACATACCATATTCTAGTCATTGTAGTAAAGAGCATGAATATAGATAAGACTGTGGATTCCTTTACTGGGCTGTGAGCCACTTATGGACAAAGACAGTACTTTCTTTTCATTTTTGTATTTCAAGGTTTATTTAAGCAAACAATGGGATGCTAAAGTTTAGAAATTCATGATTCCTATCCCCAAGGAAGTACCAATCTAGTGGGAAAGACATATACAATTATATTTCAGTGCATTCAGAACTATATTAATGGTGTGGACCGTTTCTTTATTAGGTAGATGGGAAACACATACAATTTCTTGAAATGTCAAGTTTCATAAATTGGTTCAACCTTTCTGGAGGACAATTTGGCAGCAGCTAGCAAAATTTTATATGTACCTAATCTTTGACCAATCAGTTTCACTTTTTTAGGGCTCTATCCAATAAAAACACTTGCTCAAGTTCAGAAATATAAGTGCCCAAGAATGTTCAATCCAGGCTTATTTGTAATAGTGAAAAATGTAAATAAATAAGGGAATGGTTAAGTAAATCAGGGCAGTTCCATATAATGGAATATTATACAACTCTTTTTTAAAAAGGTACTACAGCAAGGAGCTCCAAAAAAAAGACAGACATATATGTGTTAACGTGAAAACCATTCACTATTCTTTTTTTTTTTTTTGAGATGGAGTCTCACTCTGTCACCCAGGCTGCAGTGCAATGGCATGATCTTAGCTCACTGCAACCTCTGCCTCCTGGGTTCAAGCGATTCTCCTGCCTCAGCCTCCCGAATAGCTGGGATTATAGGCACCTGCCATCATGCCCAGCTAATTTTTATATTTTTTAGTAGAGATGGGGTTTCACCATGTTGACCAGGCTGGTCTCGAACCCCTGACTTCAGGTGATCTGCCTGCCTCAGCTTCCCAAAGGGCTAGGATTACAGGCGTGAGCCACCGCACCCAGCCCACTCACTATCAAGTTGCAGAACAATATAGTGTAATCTCAATTATGGAAGTTTTTTGCTTATTTTAAGCATATTTGTAGTGTTTGCATTTTTAAACTAAGCAAGTATTACTTTAAAATTGGAATTTTAAAAAATAAATGTTATAAATAAATACTGTAAATTTAAGGGTTAAAAAGAACTTAAGAGAAAGGCACAGTGGTTCATGCCTGTAATCCCAACACTTTGGGAGGCCAAGGTGGGAAGATCCCTTGAGCCCAGGAGTTCAACACCAGCTTGGGCAACATAGTGAGACCTTGTCTCTACAAAAAAAAAAAAGAACAGAATTAGCTGGGCATGTTGGCGTGCGCCTGTAGTTTCAGCTACTCAGGAGGCTGAGGTGGGAGGAATGCTTGAGCCCAGGAAGTCGAGTCTGCAGTGAGCTGAGATTGTGCCACTGCACTCCAGTCTGGGTGGTAACAGTGAGATCTTGTCTCAAAAAAAAAAAAAAAAAAAGAATTTAAGCAAACAGACCATTTTGAGAAGTTAAGGATATACAAAGTAGAATCCATTAGCCTTTAGAGCTTAGTGCCATGGAGGTTAATAACCACAAAGAGTCAAGAGATACTCTTGGTGACAATGGCAGTTTTTATTGAGATGACAGGAGTTTAAAGTATTTCAGGTTCTTAGTGTTTCACACCCCTAATTTTCCAGAGGCCAAGCAATCTTGGTGATTGGGAGCTAAGAGCTAAAACCCATCTTTGGAAGTATTCCTTGGGAAGAAAGGTATGGCAGAATCAAGGAAAGGACACTTCTTATAAACATAAGAAAATAACCAGTGCTTAGTAGAGGCAGTTTACTAAAGCACTGGAATGGCTATGCTGTAGGTGAAAGCCTGACAGTAAGTTTAAAAAGGGGTTTGAAGAGAAACTTGGTTAACTTATCTCTACCACTGTCCAGGAAGCTCCAATAACCTGCCTATTAAGGCCTAGTCAGCAGTCACATTCCTCAAGAGCAGAAGGGTTTCCTACCTTACGGCTGGCACAACTTGACAAGAATCTCTCTTAAAAACATCCAGTTGTCTTTGCTGTGGACCTATAATCACTAAACAACCTACCGGGAAAAGGGATTCCTGTGCAGACTACCTTCCCAAACCAGGTGTACATCCCACCATAAACTGGCCACTCATTATGCTTGCACAAATTGGTCTTATATAATTCTGAACAGTGCATATCCGGTTTTTTTTTGTTTTTTTTTTTTCAGGGAGAACAACTGTAGTTCTAGTCCTGTAAAGCACAAAGTCTCAGGTTAAATCGTTCTTCGGCTGGAAAAAATGTTTAAAGCCTATGTACTTACTGGTTTGACCACCTGAATTGTGAAGCTTACAATTACACAGGCCTTCTATGTGATACACATGGGTAAGCAGGTCTGCTTTTTTCTGAGACGGAGTCTCACTCTGTCATCCAGGCTAGAGTGCAGTGGCGTGATCTTGGCTCACTGCAACCTCCGCCTCCCGGGTTCAGGCGATTCTCCTGCCTCAGCCTCCTGAGTAGCTGGGATTACAGGCACACGCCACCATGCCCAGCTAATTTTTGTATTTTTAGTAGATATGGCGTTTCACCATGTTGGTCAGGCTGGTCTTGAACTCCTGACCTCATGATCCGCCTGCCTCAGCCTCCCAAAGTGCTGGGATTACAGGCGTGAGCCACCACACCTGGCTGCAGGTCTGCTTTTAAGACAAAGCAAACATATAAAAGAAAGATACGGCCAAAAGACAGTGGAGAGCATAATCCCTATCCCAGATCCTTCAGTATTCACAGCATTCATATTTCTCAGAAAAAAAATGCAGCTTTCTAAATGACCAACTCTTTTGATGAGCTACTCCTTCTTAAATATGCAACAGGCAACATCTCAAGGTTAAACTATGAATTCCTACCAAAAAAGGAAAAAAAACTCTTTAAAAATTTTGATTACTAAAAATATCTCGATACTTACCAAATCATTCTCCCACAGTTTCACTGAGTTGACTGGTACTGATTTCCCTCTTTTTCTCATAGTGTGCATCCAATCCATTTAGCAAATTCCATTGGTCACAATGTATCACTTCTTATCACCTCTACCACTTGTCCATCTAATCCAAGCCACCACTTTCTACAGTCAGAAATACTGAAAGAACCTGCTGTTATCCCTATCATTAGTCAAGCTCCAGAGGGTTTTCTTTATACAAAAGCCAGAGTAATTTTATTTTTAGAGACAGGATCTCACTATGTTGCCCAGGCTGACTTCTAACTTCCAGGCTCAAGCAATCCTCCCACCTCAGCCTCCTCAATAGCTGGGGACTACAGGCATGAGCCACCACACCTGGCCTCCAGAGTAATTTTTAAAAACCTAAGTCGGCTGGGCGCGGTGGCTCATGCCTGTAATCCCAGCATTTCGGGAGGCCGAGGCTGGTGGGTCACGAAGTCAGGAGATCGAGACCAGCCTGGCCAAAATGGTGAAACCCCGACTCTACTAAAAACACAAAAAATCTGCCAGGCGTGGTGGCGGGCGCCTGTAGTCCCAGCTACTCAGGAGGCTGAGGCAAGAGAATTGCTTAAACCAAAGAGGCGGAGGTTGCAGTGAGCCGAGATTGCACCACTGCACTCCAGCCTGGGCAACAGAGCGAGACTCTGTCTCAAAAAAATAAAAAATAAAAATAAATAAATAAATAAATAAAAACCTAAGTCAGATTTTGTCACTCATCTATTCAAAACCTCCCAATGGCTTCTTTCAGAATAAAATCTAAAGTCCTTAACATGACCTGTAAAGCTCTACATAGCCTATACCTCCTTGAGTTAACTCTTCTCCTCACCCCCTTGCCCAATGTTCCTGCTACAGTGACTTCTTTTCTTTTCCTCAAACACATCAAGCAGGTGTCTCCCTCAGGGTCTTTTACCTGCCATTCTCTCTGAACAGAATGCTCGGATGGCTTGCTCCTTTATTTCATTCAGGTTTTTTAAAGTGTTATCTCCTCAAAGAGACTTCCTTGACTACCCTAACTAAAATGGAATCCCCAATACCCTTATCTTGCTATTTGTCTTCAACACTAACAATAACAATCTATTTCTTTATTATTTGTCTCCCACATTAGAATATATGCTCCCTGAGAGACGGGATATTGTTCACTGTCATTTGTTTAGTAAATTGGTATCTGGCACAGAGCAGGTATTCAATATAAATTTGCTAAACACTGAATAAAAATTCGGTTTCAATTACTAGTTGAGTTTGATATTTCCTTGAATTTCATTTTACATGCCCTGTGACACTATCACCAAAGGTTGAATAATTTAACTTTTCAAAAGTTCCTCTGAGCATCTCCTTTTCTGGACCATTTAGCTTAGCTATATATCTTCCGCCAAGAAGAACACAAAGAGAAGTGAGAGATGGCCCTTGGCTCATGTGACTGGTAGATATGGGGGCCACCTGGCAATACTTGCAAAACTTGGTCTAGTCTCAACACAGCAACCAGGGCAATTCTTTTAAAATAAAAGCCATCCTTTAAAAACGTAAGTCAGATTATAAACCCTCAACAGCTCCCTAGTTCTCTCAGGATATAATCAGGAGTTCTTACAATGGGCTATGAGGCCCTCTAAGATCTGGCCTGTTACCCCTCTGACCTCATCTTCCACTCTTCCTTGTCCTACGCTCATTCTCCTCCAAGCACACTGGCCTCCTTGTTGTTCCTCAAACAGACTAAGCACACTCCTGCCTGAGGGCATGTGTACTGGCCTTTCTCTCTTCTTGAAATGCTGTTTACATAAAAATCCACATGGCAAATTCCTTCCAGTCTGCCTCAAATATCATCTTTTTTTAAAAAATTTTTTTTGCCGGAGTCAGGGTCTCACTCTGTCACCCAGGCTGGTGCGCACTGGCACGATTTTGGCTCACTACAACCTCTGCCTCCCAGGCTCCAGTGATTCTGCCTCAGCCTCCCAAATAGCTGGTACTACAGGTGCAAGCCACCACACCCAACTAATTTTGTTTTGTTTTTTTATTTTTTGTAGAGATGAGGTCTCACTATGTTGCCTAGGCTGGCCTCGAACTCCTGGGCTCAAGTAATCATCCTGCCTTGGTCTCCCAAAGTGCTGGGATTACAGGCGCCCACCACCACACATCGTCTCAAACATCATATTCTTTTTCTTTTTTTTATTTTTGAGATGGAATTTCGCTCTTGTCACCCAGGCTGGAGTGCAATGGTGCGATCTTGGCTCACTGCAATCTCCGCCTCTCGGGTTCAAGCAATTCTTCTGCCTCAGCCTCCTGAGTAGCTGGGATTACAGGCGCCCACCACCACGCCCAGCTATTTTTTTTGGATTTTTAGTAGAGACAGGGTTTCACCATGTTAGCCAGGCTGGTCTTGAACTCCTGACCTCAGGTGATCCACCCGTCTCGGCCTCTCAAAGTGCTGGGATTACAGGCGTGAGCCACTGGGCCCGGCTCATCATATTCTTAATAAGGGTCACAGCCTGATCTATTTCAAATTATAATCCAGTGCTCAATTCTCCCACCATGCTCTACTTTTTCTTTTTTCTGTGGTGCTTTTGCCTTCTAACATAGTATAAATTTTACATATTTATTATGTTTATTTTCTTCTCACTATGATATAAGCTCCATGAGGGTAGAAATATTTGCTTGTTTTGTTCACTGTCTCCAAGCATTTAGAACAACAGCTGGCATATAGCAATCATACAAAAAATATTTGTAATTGAAGGTGAAGAGTCTTCTGGTCTTTATCCTAGGAGGTTACTTATGTCTGGGCTGCCTCTGAAGGAGAGATTACCATCATGATTTGAAGTTAATCCACAAGTCATGAGGAGATAATAAATACAACACACAGGAAAACAAAACAAAGAAAACTAGACTAGGAGTAAAAAAAAAACCCTGGATTTTGTGCACTGGTTTCTTTTTTCTTTTTGAGATGGAGTTTCGCTCTTGTCGCCCAGGCTGGAGTGCAATGGCGTGATCGCGGCTCACTGTAACCTCAGCCTCCCGGGTTCCAGCAATTCTCCTGCCTCAGCCTCTGGAGTAGCTGGGATTACAGTTGTGTGCCACCAAGCCCAACTAATCTCTGTATTTTTAGTAGAGACAGGGTTTCATCATGTTGGCCAGGCTGGTACTACAGGTGCAAGCCACCACACCCAACTAATTTTGTTTTTTTTTATTTTTTATAGAGATGAGGTCTCACTATGTTGCCTAGACTGGTCTCGAACTCCTGGGCTCAAGTAATCATCCCGCCTTGGCCTCCCAAAGTGCTGGGATTACAGGTGTGAGCCACCACACATGGTCTCAAACATCATATTCTTTTTCTTTTTTTTTTTTTTGAGATGGAGTTTTGAACTCCCGACCTCAGGTGATCCACCTGCCTCAGCCTCCCAAAGTGCTGGGATTACAGGTGTGAGCCACCGTGCCTGGCCTGTGCACCAGTTTCATCTTGAATCAATTATATGCCTGACAAGGTAGTTAACTTCTTAGTTTCCCAACTGAAAATTAAGAATAAGAATAATGCCTCATGGAGTCGTCAAAAAGATGAAATGAGATAAAGTAAAAATACAAAAGGTACATCACTGCATTTGGAATTATTTTTATTTCAGAGCTTCTTGAGGGTTTAGGAAGGAAAATTCCTTCCCCTTCCCTTCCTCTGAAGATTTCCCATTAGGGCCCAGGGCATGACATGAATACTTCCCTTTAGGCCTTTCCCCTTTGGGGGCTCTAGAAGCAAAGTCATCCAGGAAATGAGAATCATTTGCTGGATCATTTTAGAAATACTAATATCCTTGATCATTCAGCAAAGAGGCAGTATAGCACATAAATGAAACTTAAGCAAAAGAAAACTAAAGAACCAACTACCAACTAAATTGTTCATTGTAAGCAAAATATCATGGTAAGAGAGAGTAATAAGGCCATACCACTCAGACACCCCAGGGTAGAAAGGGGCTTTGGTAGGTTGTTCTGCCAGCTATTTTTAATAATGGAAGAATAGAGCACAGAATTTAAAAGGGAAACCATATATAATAAATATTATCCAATAAGCTCTCAGTACATCAGCTGGTCCTTACCTGGCAATGCTGAAGCTCAATCAGAGCAGCCCTCAGTGGAGATGAAAGCATACTTTGCTTAAGCCAGTTACCCAGAGAGAAATACAAGCGTGCCATAAAAATGCCAGAAAAATTTAAAACCAGAGTAAAAGTCACACTGAGAGATACTTTGGTAAGTCTGAAAAGAAATAAACAACACTTGGCTGGGTGTGGTGGCTCATGCCTGTAATCCCAGCACTTTGGGAGGCAGAGGTGGGCAGATCACAAGGTCAGGAGTTTGAGACCAGCCTAGCCAATATGGTGAAACTCTGCCTCTACTAAAAACATAAAAATTAGCCAGGCATGGTAGCGAGCACCTGTAGTCCCAGCTACTCTGGAGGCTGAGAAAGGAGAATCGCTTGAACCCAGGAGGCAGAGGTTGCAGTAAGCCGAGACCGCGCCACTGCACTCCAGCCTGGGCGACAGAGTGAGACTCCGTCTCAAAAAAAAAAAAAAAAAAGAAACAACATTTCTATTAACTATTACTTGGGCAACTTATTAGTACCAAGTGCTATTTTGGATTGGAAAATTTTAGGGTGAATATAACCAAATTAGAGAATCAAAGTGATATATTTTCCAGGTTTGAAGAACACATGCTACTACACAATGGTGCTGAATTGATTATGACACCTGCAGACACAATTACTACAGTTTGGAAAACATGTGAGGGGTGACCTCGCCCAATAAAAGAGAGGGATAAAAGAAGAAACCGCAGTATTTGATACACACAGTCAATCCTAAGCAACATAATCATCCCAGCCCATAGATTTCTCTCCCTTATTTCCTTGGACCAACCTACTTATCTCATCTTTATGGTAAAACCAAACACCCCCAAAATACTGACTACCATACTGATTCACATTCATTGTATCACTTAGCTCTGAGTTTCTATCATTCATTGTAGTTTTGAGTTTATCTTGCTCTCAATCCTAAACATACAGATAAGGCTTATGGTGTAAACAGGCATCGAGCTTGAATAGAAGATGACAATCATTTAGAATTATTAAATTGAGATGAAGAAACTTTATAGTCTCCAAAAACACAGGCTATAGGGCTAGTAAGTGAAAAGATGTGGACAACTCTGCCAGGATAGTCATGTTTAGGATGGCTTGTGACCCTGCTCTCTCATTTTCCAGTTTGCTTCTTGTGAAGGAGAGAAAAAAGCCCCCAATAATGAGCTACTTGATCTTACCACGTCAATCTCTGTGTTGGAATGTCCCATGTTACAAACGATGCAGCTATTCTTCATACGGTCCAAGTGCTCTCTGGTTACCACATTCTTGTTACCTTAAAAACAGAAGAGAGGTCTGAGCAGCAGTGGAGAAAGATAATCCACAGAATGAGAAAATAAATGTGCAAATCATATAACTGATGAGGGACTTGTTATAAGGAATTCTTACAACCCAATAAGAAGAAGACAACTTAAAAATAAGCAGGCCAGGCCAGGCGCGGTGGCTCATGCCTGTAATTCCAGCACTTTCGGAGGCTGAGACGGGCGGATCACAAGGTCAGGAGATCGAAACCATCCTGGCTAACACGGTGAAACCCCATCTCTACTAAAAATACAAAAAATTAGCTGGGTGTGGTGGCGGGTGCCTTTAGTCCCAGCTACTTAGGAGGCTGAGGCAGGAGAATGGCATGAACCCGGGAGGTGGAGCTTGCAGTGAGCCGAGATCGTGCCACCACACTCCAGCCTGGGTGACAGAGCAAGACTCTTTCTCAAAAAAAAAAAAAAAGCAGGCCAGGCATGCTCACTCATGCCTGTTATCCCAGCACTTTGGGAGGCTGAGGCAGAATCAATAACTTGAGCCCTGGAGTTTGAGACCAGCCTGGGCAACATGGCAAAGTCCCATTTCTACAAAAAAAATACAAAAATAAGCTGGGTGTGGTGGCATGTGCCTGTAGTCCCAGCTACTAGGGAGGCTAAGGTGGGAGGATTGATTGAGCCCCATAGGTCGGGGCTGCAGTGAGCTGTGACTGCATCACTACACTGTAGCCTGGGTGACAGAGTGAGACCCTGTCTCCAAAAGAAAAAAAAGAAAAGGATCTGAATCGACATTTCTTCAGAGAAGATGTACAAATGGCCAATAAACACATGAAAAGATGCTCATCATCATTAGTCATCAGGGAAAATGGAAATCAAAACCACAATGAGGTACCACTCTACGCTCACTAGGATGGCAATATCAAAAAGACTGACAATAACAAGTGTTGGTGAAGATATGGAGAAATTAGAAGGCACATGTATTGTTGATGGATTGTAAAATGGTGCAGTCACTTTTAAAAAGTTTGGCAATTCCAGCCAGGCGCAGTGGCTCATGACTGTAATCCTAACACTTCGGGAGGCTGAGGGGGGTGGATTGCCTGAGCTCAGGAGTTTGAGACCAGCCTGGGCAACATGGTGAAACCCTGTCTCTACTAAAATACAAAAAATTAGCCGGGTGTGGTGGTGTGCGCCTGTAGTCCCAGCTACTTGGCAGGCTGAGGCAGGAGAATCCCTTGCACACGGGAGGTGGAAGTTGCAGTGAGCCAGTATCGCGCCACTGCACTCCAGCTTGGGTGTCTCGAAAAAAAAAAAAAAAAGTTTGGCAATTCCTAAAAATGTTGTTTTTTTGTTTTAAATCACTCAAGTGATTCTCCACTTCAGCTCCTCGAGTATCTGGGACCACACCCAGCTAAGTTTTGTATTTTTTTTGGTAGAGACAGAGTTTTGCCATGTTGCCCAGGCTGGTCTGAACTCCTGGGCTCAAGTGCTCTGCCTACTTCGGCCTTCCAAAGTGCTGGGATTACAGGTGTGAGCCACCACACCCAGCCTGAAAATGTTAAAAACAAAGTTACTATATGATCCAGCAATTCTACTCTTACTATACACCCAAGGGAACTGAAAAAATATGTCCACATAAAAACTTGTATTCAATGTTCATAGCAGCATTATTCCTAATAGCCAAAAAGTGAAAACAACCCAAATGTCTACCAGTTAATGAATGGGTAAATAAAATACAGTATAACCATACAATGATACATTACTCAGCAATAAAAAGGAATAAGGTACTGATATATGCCATCACATGGGGAGGCCCTGAAAACATCATATTGAATGATTCCTTTTTTTTTTTTTTTTGAGAAGGAGTTTCACTCTTGTTGCCCAGGCTGGAGTGCAATGGCACAATCTTGGCTCACTGCAACCTCCACCTTCCAGGTTCAAGCAATTCTCCTGCCTCACACTCCTGTAGCTGAGACTACAGGCACCTGCCATCACATCTGGCTAATTTTTTGTATTTTTAGTAGAGACGGGGTTTCACCATGTTGGCCAGGCTGGTCTCGAACTCCTGACCTCAGGTGGTCCACCCATCTTGGCCTCTTGAAGTGCTGGGATTACAGGCGTGAGCCACCGTGCCCAGCCATAAATGATTCCTTTTTAAAAAAAATTATTATTTTTTCCCCTTCTTTTCACAGGTGTTGCTATGATTCCATTTATATGAAATGTCCAGAATAGGGAAATGGTGGTTGCCTAGGCCTGGCGGATGATGGAGGATGGAATAAGGAGTGACTGCTAATGATATGGGGTTTCTTTTTGGGGTGATAAAAATTCGATAATTGGGATGTTCTACAACTTTACTAAAAGCCATTGAACTGCATACTTTAAAAGCGTGAACATTACAATGTGAATTACAACTCAGTAAAAACATTAGATTGTGGTGATGGTTGTACAAACTCTGTGAATTACTAAAAAACAGTGAACAATTTAAATGTGTGAAATGTGCAGTGAATGAATTACAGATCACAAAAAAGCAATTAAAAAAAAAAAAAGGTCCAGGCTGGGCAGGGTGGCTCACACCTATAATCCCATCACTTTGGGAAGCAGAGGTGGGAGAACCACGCTGAGGCCAGGAGTTTGAGACCAGCCTGGAGACTGAGACCTCATCTCTATTTAAAACAACAAAAGAGATCCAGGGGATTGATATGAACCAAGAACAGCTTCTTATGGTCCCTCTTCTCTGCCCCTATTTCTTCCTGAGGCTACAACTACAATTTTTTTTTATTCTGTCTGATTTCCCCCTCTAAAATAGAATTAGAAAACCAGTGTTCCTGTAGTTTATGGTTCCACATAAAAATAAGTATCTTACCCTAGAGGAAACTAGCCATTTCTGCATATTCTTTAAAACTCAAAATCTACCTCTTTGGGAATTAACAGAATAACCTCGTCTACTTTCTCTAACTATGAAGAATTTCTCTCTAGCCTTGCCTTAATTACATACTAGAGAGAAACATACATCACTTTTGGAGGTAAAATAAAAAATCAAGTGTACATTTAAGATCTGGCTTCCCGGGGAAGGGGCTAGGTCGGCTTGAAAAGAGATTATGACTGTACCTTTTAACTCTGTAGCTGGAACACAAGAAGTGTTTGTTTAATGAATGACGTACACATTTAAGATCTGTTTGGACGCTGAGGATAATCCTGTGAATTGCTAATAGTTCACTGGGTTTGGCCCTTAGTGTTGACTTCAGTATGCTGAGACGGAAACCAACACGCCTAGAGCTAAAGCTTGATGACATTGAAGAGTTTGAGAACATTCGAAAGGACCTGGAGACCCGTAAGAAACAGAAGGAAGATGTGGAAGTTGTAGGAGGCAGTGATGGAGAAGGAGCCATTGGGCTTAGCAGTGATCCCAAGAGCCGGGAACAAATGATCAATGATCGGATTGGTTATAAACCCCAACCCAAGCCCAATAATCGTTCATCTCAATTTGGAAGTCTTGAATTTTAGAGATGGATTATCTTGCATGCCAGAGCGCTGGAATGGAATAAAATGATGGCAGAAGTACAAACCAGATTTAGAGAATTGAGTGCTTGCAGTCAAGCAGAATGTACCTCCTGCAGAGACAAATCTTCTGCATGAGATTACTGATGCTTCACTTGCACTCTAAGCTGGAATCCAAACTCTGGTTTGTCTCTTGAAAATTTGACTCTATAAAACTGATCTGATTTTCTGTTTTTAAAAATAAATATATTTTTGGAAAAAAAAAATATCTGGCTTCCCAAATAAAACTTTATAAGTGAATCTCATCTCTAGCTATCTCCTAGGATGAATGGAGATATAACAGTTGTCTTCAAGGGTGAAGAGAAACATTTTTACATAGGAATAACCTAATCGTATACCTTTGGTCGGAGCTCTAAAGAATTAGGAAGAATGTGAAAGACTGGCTGGCTTTGTGGGCTACTATCTCTCTCTAGCTTTTAGAGTTTGGTTTTTCAGAATATTTCCAATCATCTTGCACCTGCTCCATAAAAACATTCCCAAGTGCCACCCCATTTAAAATGTCATTATCATACCTGTACAGGTAATAACAATGTCCACTTGTCGGATGACCTCATTTAATTTCACCAGTCGAAATCCATCCATACTGTTGAAATAAAGCATGACCCATTAACCTAAACAGGCAGCTGGGGAGCCTTTTAACACAGGACTTCAAAAGCTAATATCAAGTTGCTGTCATTTCTTGAGATAGCTGAACTATTCTTAGAAGTGAAAAATCCAAACAATTTCCTTAGTTCATACAAGACAGAAATAAAAGGTTCGTTTGCATCACGGAACTTATTTCTTCCTGATAATAGGGAGCCAGGGGCTACCATGAGATTCCCTGACCAAATTTCTAGAAACTGTAGAAAGTGCCACTTAGCCATTTAACCAACTACCCCATTGAAACTGCTCTCTCCAAGATCATCAGTGATCCCCCGAAGGCCAAACCCAAGATTTCTTAGACTCTTAACTGTGTGTGTTTTTTTTTTTTTAGAGATGGGATCTCACTATGCTGCCCAGGCTGGAGTGCAGTAGCTAGTCACAGGCATAATCATAGTGCACTACAGCCTCTAACTCTTGGCCTCAAGCAATCCTCCTGCCTCAGCCTCCTGAGTAGCCAGGACTATTGGCATACACCACCATGCCCAACTTCTTAGACTCTTATATTATTTGATTTCTTCTACTACATTAAACATTATTTGCCTTCTTAAAACTCTATACCCCTTGGACTCCATGATACATCTCTCCTGGTTTTCCTCTTACTTCTCTTAATTGCCTCTCCTCAACTTCAGCCAACCTTTGGATATTGGTGCTCTGCAGGGTTATGCCTTTATTCTTTTCTCTATTCTTTCAGTATAGAGAACCATACTCTTCCTTTGGCTGCAAATGACTGCTGATAGATGGCTGATTTTTACATTTGTAACTTTAGCTTAGATCTCTCTGAAGCTTCATAGCCAAGGATCAAATTAGCCACTGGATAGCACCTCATCAATGTCCCAGAAGGATCTCAAACTTACTGTGTTTGAAAATAAACTTATTATTTTCTCTGCACCCATAATCTCATCTATTTCTTCTTCTATATTTTCTATCTTGATCAATAGCATCACTGTTCATCCAACTGAATGAGCCATATAAACAAGAATGTCCTTGCTGCCTCTCCTGAATTGAAGTTGTCACCAAATCTGGGTGACTCTTTTTCTTTAATTCCATAAACGTCTCTTTCATCTCTCTACTCTTCTCTAATACATACTGGCCTTGCTTAAGTTTAGGTCTTATTACTTCTTGCCTAGATTACTATAGTAACCCCTGGCCCAATCTCATTGCCTCTAGGTTTACATCTTTCTAAATCATTTGGCAGAGTGATTTTCCTAAATGCAATTTGGATCATGTCGCTTCCTTTCCTTAAAATACTTCAGTGAGACTGCCTGTTCTTAAGGATAAGACAGGATAAGAGTAAGACCCAAATACTTACAGTGATATGTGATTATATTGACATATGACTCCCATGACTCCTACCTTAGATAGTACCACTCCCCCAAATGTATTTCATCTGCCAACTACATTAAAATATTTCTAGCTTCTTAAATCTGCCATGCTATCTCCTTCCTTGGAGACAACACACATGTTCCCAGTACCTGGAATATACTTCCAAACTAAGAAAACACCTATACAAATGTCAAGACTCAGCTCTGCTGACATCTCTTTCTACCCTGCTCCCTTGCTCTTCAGTAAGCAATTTCTCCTTTATGCTCCTACAGAAGCATGTGCCGTTTAACTCCATGACAGCACTTACTTTGCTGCACAGTGGTTATCTGTCTGTGTGCTTCTAAAAGCAGGACCTTATCTCATTTATATATTCATCTTATTCATTCTCAGCACATAGCACAGTATCTAATGCATAGTAAGTGATCAATTCGTGTCTACAGGATAATCTGAACAGGATAATCTGAACTGTTCAGTATCTGAACAGTATCAATTTGTATTAAAATATGTTCAGGTTCCTAAACTCTTAGTGTACCAGAAGGATGATGGTTCCCCTAGGCTACAGACACTTGGACTCTGCAATAGTTTTTAAGAACAGTGGTATTTCCCACCCTGCTGAGGATGGCAAGAGACAATTTTAATAACAGCTATTATTTAATGAGCATATATTATGTGGCAGCAGCTCTGTACCTTATATAATTATGTATTTGTTATATAATGTATAATATAGAATAATAATTATTTTGAGACATGGTCTTGCTGGGTCACCCAGGCTGGAGCGTAGTGGCATAATCACAACTCACTGCAGCCTCCACCTCCCAGGCTTAGGTGATACTCATACTTCAGCCTCCCAAGTAGCTGGGACCACAGGCATGCACCACCACACCCAGCTAATTTAAAAAAATTATTTGTAGAGATGGGGTCTCCCTATGTTGCCAAGGCTGGTCTCGAACTCCTGGGCGCAAGCAATCCTCCTGCCTCAGCCTCCCAAAGTGCTGGGATTACAGGCATGAACCCATTACACCCAGCCTATGCTAATTATTATTTTACTGAACTCTCACAATCCTATGAGGTAGGTATGATTACACACATTTTATAGATAAGAAAAGTTTTAACTTTTAATTTTAGAATCATTTCAAACTTAAGAATTATAATACTAGTGTAAATAATTCTCATATATGCTTCACTCAGAGTTAGTAGATTTTACCCTTAACTGGGATTGGTCTAATGTTTCCTCACAATTAGATTCAGGTTATACATTTTTGGGAGGAATACCACAGAAGGGCTATTTTCAGTGTAACACATCAGAAGGCATCTGATGCCTGCCAATTTCTTTTCTGATCATTATTTGAAAGGCAAGTATCATACATGGAGAAGGTAAGGGGCTACCTGTTCTCTGGCTGACAGAATCCCTGTTACTATCTCCACAGGATTTCTAAATTTTCGCTTTTCTGATAGTCTCTGCTCTCTCCAAGCAGAGCTCCTTGACCTTTTTAAAAGACAGATGCTTAGAGTTAGTGGCAGCATCTCTGAGGATCTGGGCTCCTCTAAAATAAAGTGTGGCATCAACCAGGCCATTCTTTGGAGACAGCTCCGAGATTGCAAGTGAGATGGTAGCGTAGAGGCTTACCAGGCTTGCAGGGCACAGATGGGGTCAATTTCAGTTACATACACAATGGAGCCCATGGCTTTCAGGGCAGCACAGCACCCTTTCCCCACCTGAAGAGGGGAGAGAGCACACATATTAAGGAAAGTCACTGAGAAAACCATTTCTCAAAGCTTCTGGTAAAGTGCACCCCCTCTTTCCACCCCCGAGAGGAATTTCACTGAATAGATTCATACTTGGGGAAAACGAGAAGAACAAATAATTGAATGCAGCTCATAAACAAACCCCTGGCTCCTGCTTATCGCATTCATGTGCACAAGAACACCCACACTCACGATTCATAATTAAAACACAAGCTAAAAAGAACATCACAAACGGTGGTACTGGAGCAAGTCAGAAAATCAACTTAAGGGAAAATGGCGGCAACGCAAAGGGAAAAAGAAAGTCTACTTCAACCAGAAGGCCTCTGAAATTCTTTTTCTCATCTAAAGTGGTAAAGGGTGTACTCATATGTCCATACAAATAAAAAATTCCAGAATATTTCAACAAAATCCATTTAAAACACCTAATAAACAAAAGGTTAAACTTCACCTCTCCATAGCCACAGACTACCACTTGCTTTCCACCAAACATCATGTCTGTTGTCCTTTTAAGTCTAGGGGAAAAAAAAACATTAAATCAGAAAAATCTTCTCTTGTTTCTCCCTTGAGGTTAGATTGAATCTCTTTGTTTTCATGGGGTTTTTTGGTTGGTTTTTCATTTTGAAAGAAAGTCTGGTTTCTTTATTTTTTTAAAGGGGTTTTCTGGTAAAGACCAGAAAACCTGCTAGACAAATTCTAAAAGACCTGTAACACTGAAAGTCTGGTTTCTATCCTAGAGAAACTAATGACCAGACAGGAAGGTTAAATAAAATACATATTTTCTCACTCCCTGCCATCTAACCAATCCTATATGTAAGGGTTTTTTTCCTTTTTTTTTCCCCTTTCTTGCAAGTGGTGCAGAAAGGAAGAAGATGTAGATAACACAGTAACTTTTAAACATAAAAGCAACATACATTTATTAGATAATATTTTGAAAATATAATATTTAGAAATAGAAAAGATACAAAGGAGAAAATAAAAATAATGTAATTTTAATTTATGAGGTGACAAAGCTCTGGCTTTATGGAGACATTATCCAGAGGTGCTACATGAATCCTTTCCAGAAATAACCAAAGCCAAAAAACTTAGAATCTCAACTGGACATCACAACTTCATCTCAAAGATAATAAACATTACCCATCAAGAATTGATTCACGGCAACAGTAGAGGTTGTCAAATTTCTGTTTGGTGACTGAGTCATTGACATTCATGGCTGGAACACACAGCTTCCCAGCTTTGGACAGTTGGTACAGCCTGAGGATGAGGGAAGCCAAGAACAAAAAACACCAGGACATTACAATCTACCATTGCTTTCATAGGAGGCCCCAGAAATACGTTGATTGGGTAGGCATGAGACCATGAGACATGACTAGTTTCATCCTGTTAGGTGGCCACTGAGAAATAAAGAATATCTTTCTAGAGCCTGCATATATAGCTTCACAATAAAGATTTTATTCAAAAGTCATGTGGGGGAAATCCTTGACCCACCTCTAAATTTTAAGGCCTTCACTGGAGACTATAAAAAGTGGGAGAGTGGGAGCGGGTTGAAGGTTGAAAAATTACCTACTAGGTACAATGTTCACTAAATCTGCACTGGTCTCCCTGCCTGCCAGAACTACAAGTGCATGAGACTACGCCTGGCTGTTTGTGCTTTTATTGTTTGTTTGTTTGTTTTGAGATGGAGTCTCACTCTTGTTGTCCCCGCTGGAGAGCAATGGTGTGATCTCAGCTTACTGCAACCTCTGCCTCCAGGGTTCAAGCGATTTTTGTGCTTCAGACTCCTGAGTAGCTGGGATTATAGGCGCCCGCCACCACACTCAGCTAATTTTTGTATTTTTAGTAGAGACGGGGTTTCACCACGTTGGCCAGGCTGGTCTTGAACTCCTGACCTCAGTTTTGTACATTCAAAAAGATGATAATGTATTGAAGCAGTGATGGTGGCTGGTTCAGAATTTACTTCCCTACAACTTTTTTTTTTCATACTTTTAGTTCTTTATGGGTGAAATAAATCATAGAAATGATCACAGAAATTGAACTGAAATAATTCCAATTTTACTCAGAGAATTATTACTCATTTGAGAAGCAGAACCCTACATCCTTGCTCTCCATGTAAGAATGTAAGCTCTAAGATGGCAGAGTTTTTTTCTGTCTGTTTTGTCTACTGCTAGATTCCTAGCATCTAGAGCAGTTCCTCATTCATTGTAGAAGTTCAATAAATATTTGTTGAATGAATGAATGAATATATGTGTCCAAAAAGGACAAGTTAATTGTTTACAATCACTAGAAAACATGAGGACTTCACTTGTTCTCCCACCTGCCCCCTTCTCACTATTTTAGGTTCATTATTTGTGTTGTTAATTAAAAAAAAAAAACAAGAGAGATCTGCTCACCTCATAGCAAGCTGAGATCTGGTCACCTCATAGCAAGCTGAGATGTGGTTACCTCATAGCAGGCTCCAATTTTTTTTTTTTTTTTTTTTTTTTTTTTTTTGAGATGGAGTCTCGCTCTGTCACCCAGGCTGGAGTGCAGTGGCATGATCTCTGCTCACTGCAAGCTCCGCCTCCTGGGTTCATGCCATTCTCCTCCCTCAGCCTCCCGAGTAGCTGGGACCACAGGCGCCCACCACACCAGGCTAATTTTTTTGTATTTTTAGTAGAGACGGGGTTTCACCGTGTTAGCCAGGATGGTCTTGATCTCCTGACCTCGTGATCCGCCCACCTCAGCCTCCCAAAGTGCTGGGATTACAGGCGTGAGCCACCGCGCCTGGCCCAGGCTCCAATTTTTAACATGTGTTTTATAGGTATGTGTTTATAAGATTTTATGTCTAGACTGCATAAAACCAGGTATGCCCATGTCAAATCTTACCTGTGAACTCCAGTAACACTCTCCTCTACTATGCCCTTGATTTTCTTAAACATGTTGGGATACTTTTTATAAATCCAGTGGGTAAGATCCCCTCCATCATCCAAGATCTGCAATAGTAAGCATCAATAACATCATTCACTTTGCTGAAGTCTCAAGGCTTCAGTGCTTCTCTGGGTCTTGCATCCCAATCTAATTAGCAATTTACAGATATTTAAAATTTCCCATATGGTTATGCAAAGTAACTTAAAGCCAGAGTAAATACAATAATCTGCCAAATAGTCATTATATTGAAGTAAAAGACAATGAGAGGAGAAAGGCCAATTGTAATTCGCGCAGCCAAACGACCCTCCCCGTGACATATCTACTGTATCAAAATATACAGCAACTAACCGAGGATTTTCTTATGGATTGGTAACTTGTAGTTACTAGGCCACTAGATCTTGAATCTACTATAGGTATTCAGAAAGCCTAAAGGGACTTTAAATATATTCAGTCAAGACTTAGTTTAAATAAACAGCCTCAGTTTACACAGCCTCTTGAGAAAAAAAAGAAAAATAAATCAATAAATGGTCAGATAATTAAGTCTCCCTGTCAGAACAATGGTTTATAAAACTGTATTCCTTAATCCTTTTCTTCTCCCAAAGTATAGGCACTCTCCCACCCAAAATATCAGGCAGCACTGTAGGGTTTTGCCTAGCACAACCTCACACTCTGTACAAACCAAATTAAAAATAACCAGGGAACCGTGCAGCATGTAGGTGTGCAAGCATGCCTCTGAACAGCTCATCTATCACTATTTCAGGTTGGGATTAAAGATAAACACAACGCTGTGCCCACTGGAGCTTTCATCAGCAGAGAAAAGCTTTTGAATTATAAAACTAAAGAAAAACCAGCTTAGAACATTGTTAGGCACGAGGCTGTGACACTTCAGTCCTTCCCTAGGCTGTCAGAAGTGTTTAGCAGGACTCTGCAAATTGTTATACCCATCCTCCTGGAAAGTCCCACAGAACTGGGTTGCCCTCTGCTGACATGCACCCATCTTGCAGTCTCATCAATTATCAACTCTACTATAAGTGCCAAAACTGCCATTCTGGACCCCAGAGTACACAAAATCCCCAACCTCATGTCTACCACCTGATCTCTTTTTTGCTTTTGCTCTTGCTGTTGACCTATTTTCTCTCACTCAAACCTTGCTTGAGAACCAGGATCCAAGTTAGGACTCTCATCAAAGCTCTTGTACTTGCTCCATACTACAAGTAGAAACCCCCAGAACAGATGCCCCAAGAAAGCAAAAAGCTCTTCTGAGTTTCTCTCTCCCATTCTCCATGTATGGAATCCCTGATGAAGTTTTCCCTTCCACAGAAAAGATAAGAGACAAGAGAGATTGAACAACTGGAAACTCTGTGTTGTAAGTTTCACTATTCTTATCCACTAGAGACAGTAGTTGCTGTCTCTAAGATTTACTTAATGAATGCTGCCCATAATTCTCACCATATAAATCTACTGCAGAAAATTATTGTCATCAGGAAATCTTCCAGAGGTTGGGAAGCAAGGAGAAGTACTAAATCTTGACAGAATCCAAACAGGTATGGGTCCTGTTTTCTGGGGTGACAACTGTTTTTGTCCTTGTCTTACTCTCTTTATTAACCTTCCTAGCAGTTTGTGCTGGTTCTACAGTTTGTAAAAGTTCTCCAGGTATAATCCTAATGTCCTCCCTGGGTTCCTGACTTTAAAAATCAATGTTTTATTCCCAGGAGAAACCCCCTGGCATATCTGCTTCAGCATCTGTCAGTCACACTCCCTTGTGTCACTATTAAAACTGTTGGAATGAGCTGACTCATCTTACAGCCACTGTCAACTCTGCTCCCCCACCCCTTTAGGATATGAAGCTCTAACCCAGCTTCCTCAAACAAGCCTGGTGCAGTGTGACCTGGATCACAGAATTCAGAAAGAAGCTACTTCTCTGCCATGCACCAAGTGAGGCCTGCTCTGCAGCCTTCAGCAGCAAGCAATGGTTGGACTAGAGCTTCAGGGATTCTTTTCTCAGTACATTCCCTAATTTCTGCCCCCTCCCCCTAGGGGAGAGGGCAGAATTATTTGCAAAATAGGAGCACCTTATACTTTGTGTAGCTTTTTTGGGGGGGGGCACTGGGATGGGGGCATGGTTTCACTCTCTCACCCAGGCTGGACTGCAGTGGTGTGATCTCGGCTCACTGCAACCTCCACCTCCTGGGCTCAAGTGATCCTCCCACTTAGGAGTCCCAGCCTCCTAAGTAGCTGGGACTACTACTACAGGTGCATGCCAACACATCCTGCTAATTTTTGTATTTTTTGTAGAAAGCCTATGTTGCCCAGGCTGGTCTCGAACTCCTGGGCTGAAGTAATCCACCTGCCTTGGGCTCCCAAAGTGCTGGGATTACAGGCCACCACACCTGGCCCTTTGTGTAGCTTTTTGCCTCTTTGCAAATCTAATGTGCTATGAGGCTTCAAGACTTGATCTTCTAAAAAATAAAACAAAAATAAAAATGAAGCAAAAATTAAAACCCTAAAACTTCATCTCGTCTTTTTTAATGTGGGGAAAGAATATAAAGAGAAGAAATTTGAACTTGTAAGCTCTTCAGGTTTACTATAAATTCATTATATGAATATTATTTTTATTTTTTTTCTAGTCCTGACTAACATTACAAGTATATGGATTCTAGAGAGAAGGCTAAGTATCTCCAGAGTTCTGGGGTGGTTTGTTTGGGTTTTTTGGTTGTTGTAAGGGGTGGGAAGTAGGCAGTAGCAGGGGATGGAAACTCATTACTATTGTTTTTTAACCAGCCACATGTGAATCCTGGGCAGTGCTTTAATGTTTCTAATGAATATAAATGCTTCCAACATTAGAACCAATAATTAAGGCACTCTGAGGTTATAAGAGCTTCAATACTCTTGGGGTACCCGTAGCATAAGAATCTAGTTCTGCTGGAAACCCAGGTATATCAGATAGAAATGAAGCCATTTTCCTTCCTTCTTGTTGGGAAACCCTCTCCTAGGCCATAACCTCCACCCATCCCCATTCCTGACCCCTACAGAATTGTGTTAGCAGAAATCTGACCCACCATGTTTGGCTGCCAGCCCTCCACATTCACACATCTATCGATACACCACCAAAAGTCATCTTCTGACTCTCCCTTCCAGGCAAAAACAGGAAATCCTGGGAAAAAAAGGAACAAAGGGAAACCATTAAAGACCAAAAAAGGCTGACCCCCTAATTTTAGTGAGAAGATTCTGGTTTTTCCTAATTTCCAACTCTCTCATTCTGCTATACTCCTTGGATTGACATTCTTCACTGATTGGCGTTGCCTTCAGCCCCTTTATCCATTCCTTTGTCTTTGTTGGTCATTCTGCTCTTATTAGCCCAAGGAGGACAAGCAGAATGGACAAAAGTATGACAGTTGTTTAAAATGTAATGAAAGGGGGCCAGGTGCGGTGGCTCACTCCTGAAATCCCAGCACCTTGGGAGGCTGAGGTGGGTGGATCACCTGAGGTTAGGAGTTCAAGGCCAGCCTGGCCAACATGATGAAACCTGTTTCTACTAAAAATACAAAAATTAGTTGGGCGTGGTGGTGCATGCCTGTAATCTCAGCTACTTGGGAGCCTGAGGCAGGAGAATTGCTTGAACCTGGGAGGTGGAGGTTGCAGTGAGCCAAGATCGTGCCACTGCACTCCAGCCTGGGCGACAGGGCGTGACTCTGTCTCAAAAAAAAAAAAAAAAAAAAGTGACTAAAGGGAAAACAAAAACCAGAAACAGGTACTTCTTGATCCACTCAAACTGGCATTCTCACCATTTCCCAATTACACTTTAATTTTTCTTGCTTCTATACTTTAATCATTCCACCCTATTATTAAGAAAAAAACCCTTACGTGTTTCTCCACTTGCTAAAACGTTACTAGAATTCATAGCCCAGTTAAGTGTCATGTTCCTAATGAAGTCTGATTAACCCAGCTGGAAATGAGCTCTCAAGGAATCTTAACTTTTCTTTTCTTTTTTTTTTTTGAGACGGAGTCTTGCTCTGTCACCCAGGCTGGAGTGCAGTGGCATAATCTCGGCTCACTGCAACCTCTGCCTCCTGGGTTCAAGCGATTCTCCTGCCTTAGCCTCCTGAGTAGCTGGGACTACAGGTGCGTGGCACCACGCCCAGCTAATTTTTGTACTTTTAGTAAAGACGGGGTTTCACCATATTGGCCAGGCTGGTCTCGAACTTCTGACCTCATGATCCGCCCACCTCAGGCTCCCAAAGTGCTGGGATTACAGGTGTGAGCCACCGCGCCTGGCCTCTTTTTTTTTTTTTTTTTTTTTTTGAGATGGAGTCTCACTCTGTCACCCAGGCTAGAGTGCAGTGGCGCGATCTCGGCTCACTGCAGCCTCCGCCTCCTGGGTTCAAGCGATTCTCCTGCCTCAGCCTCATGAGTAGCTAGGATTACAGGCCTGCACCACCACACTCAGCTAATTTTTGTACTCTTAGTAAAGACAGGGTTTCACCATGTTGGCCACGCTGGTCTTGAATTCCTGACCTCAGGTGATCCACCTGCCTCAGCTTCCCAAAGTGGGAATCTGAACTTTCCTAAGCCTCTTGTTTGTGTAGTGAATATGGATTTATAATCTGTCATGGCATTTATTATATATGTCCTTGTATCATCATTATTTATATATGTGTATTATCTCACCAAAATATAAGATTCTGAGGGTAAGGACATTGTCTCATTTGCCCTTACAGCTCTTAGCGTAGGTCAGTAAGCATTTGTTTAAAAAAAAAAATGGGGCAGCCGGGTGCGGTGGCTCACACCTGTAATCCCAGCACTTTGGGAGGCCGAGGCAGGCAGATCATCTGAGGTCAGGAGTTCGAGACCAGCCTGACTAACATGGTGAAACCCCGTCTCTACTAAAAATACAAAAATTAGCCGGGTATAGTGGAGGGCACCTGTAATCCCAGCTACTCAGGAGGCTGAGGCAGGAGAATCGCTTGAACCTGGGAGGCAGAGGTTTCAGTGAGCCGAGATCATGCCACTGCACTCCAGCCTGGGCGACAGAGTGAGACTTCATCTCAAAAAAAATAAATAAATAAAAATAAAAATAAAAATAAAAAATAAAAATTAAATTAAATTTAAAAAAAAAAACAGAAAAAAGAAATGGGCTGGGCATGGTGGCTCACACCTGTAATCCCAGCACTTTGGGAGGATGAGGCAGGAGGATCACTTGAGGCTGGCTGTTTGAGACCAGCCTGAGCAACACAGCAAGACCCTGTGTCTTCAAACATTTTTTTTAAATTAGCTGGGCATGGTGGCACATGCCTGAAGTCCCAGCTACTCAGAAGACTGAAGTGGGAGGATCACCTGTTCCTAGGAATTGAAGGATGCAGTGAAACACGACTGCACTACTGCACCCCAGCCTGGGTGACCCAGCAAGACTCCGTTTCTACTTTTAAAAAAAGGAAAAGAAATGAATGCGTATGTACAATTCACTGGGGTACACATTTAATATTTGTATTAATAAAGTATTAAATATTTTTCTATCATATATACAGCCATAAAATCTTATAAATAAGTAAATTAAAATGAAAGAACAAATGAAATGCTGAGAGTGCTAGCTGTACTGCCAAAGAGTAAAGGCAAGAGGCTGGCAAAGTCCAAATTTCTCTATTTCTTTTGTCCATCAAGTACCAGTGGATGTTGTGATCAAATATTAATCTGCCAGGTCAAGTCTTCTTTACTCCTGAAGCAGAAACACCAAACATTAAGTCAGGGCAAATTACTTGCTGGAAAACCAACAGAGTCACAAAACTATGGCTGAAGCATTTTCTCCTTTAATCCATGTTACCTCAGTGAGTAGTGTTCACTAGTGCTCTGCTATTAGTGAATTAGTGAGTTAAAACAAAGCATTACCTAACAATAGAATATTAGACATAGGTAGATATTTGTCAACTGTAAAATAGCAAAGTTAACTAGATCATATTTGACAAGCGAAGGCCAGAAAAAGAGCAAATTCATGAAGAATCGAGATCCATTTCTTCCAAGATAGTTCTTTTATTGTCAACCTTCTTTAAAGATTTATGCTGAAACATAAAGTAAGTCTCCAAATAGACTTACTTTAGCCAAAGGCACAGAGAATAAGCTCTTACCACTTTCTGCTAGAGCAGCAGCCACTTCATTGAGAGTGGAATAGATGTTGCAGGCAGCCCATCGGCACTGGGCCCCCAGAGCACCCAGAGTTTCCATAAGCACCTGTATTAAAGACAAAGCAGGGTATGAGCAAGCCTGGGCCAAACAACTAGTCAAGGAGATAAAGTTTATATATTTTACAATCAGAAAATACAACGGGAATGACTTAAGCCAGTGATTTTCAAATTGGGCTCTACAGAACCTCTTCAGTATTCTAAGAAGGCAAGTATTGGGGGAAGCCATGGGAAGAGGGAGGCTCCAGCTGACTCTATGTTTTTACCAATTTAAATTAAGCTTCCCCATAAGATTTAATAAACCAAGGACTTCAGAGCCAAAACTTTTCTGAAAAAACAGATTTACAGTTCTGCTTCTGCTTAGAACATACAAAGCTACAAGAGAAGCTCCCACCTTAACGACAGGAAAAAGCTGGGTAGCTACTAGGAAGGCTGAGGTGGGAGGACTGCTTGAGCCTGGGAGATGGAGGTTGTAGTGAGTCATGACTGTGCCACTGCACTCCAGCCTGGACAACAGAGTGAGACCCTGTCTCCAAAAAACCAAACACACGGCCAGGAACGGTGGCTCACGACTGTAATCCCACTTTGGGAGGCTGAGGTGGGCGGATCACCTGAGGTCAGGAGTTTGAGACCAGCCTGGCCAACATGGTGAAACCCTATCTCTACTAAAAATACAGAAAAATTACCCAGGCATGGTGGCGCATGCCTGTAATCCCAGCTACTCGGGAGGCTGAGGCAGGACAATGGCTTGAAACGGTGAGGCGAAGATTGCAGTGAGCTGAGATTGCACCATTGCACTCCAGCCTGGGCAACAAGAGCAAAGCTCTGTCTCAAAAACAAACAAATGGCGGGGCGCGGTGGCTCACGCCTGTAATCCCAGCACTTTGGGAGGCCGAGGCGGGCAGATCACAAGGTCAGGAGATCGAGACCATCCTGGCTAACACGGTGAAACCCCATCTCTACTAAAAATACAAAAAAAAATTAGCCGGGTGTGGTAGCGGGCGCCTGTAGTCCCAGCTACTCGGGAGGCTGAGCCAGGAGAATGGTGTGAACCTGGGAGGCAGAGCTTGCAGTGAGCCGAGATTGTGCCACTGCAGTCCAGCCTGGGCAACAGAGCAAGACTCCGTCTCAAAACAGAACAAAACAAACAAACAAATAAATGAACAAATAAACACACAAACACACACAAACCCCAAAAACTGGGTAATCTACAAAGCCAAACTTTTCTTGAGCCCATCAAAGATTTGAGGTCATAAAGCACAGAAGTGAACTGCCCTCCAAAGAGTGACAAATCCTTTTAAAGAGAGAGGGAAGACTGTTTCACCTTTGGCAGTGCATGGGGGGAAGAAATGGCTGCCACAGATAAGAATAAGAAAATATCAGCTAAACTTTTGAACAATTACGAAAGGCTGGGTGTGGGAAAGTGTGTCAATGTGGAATTTTTTGAAGCTCCAGACACAAGTAGATTTCCCATTCACATGCAGGCTGTTTTCCAGAGGCTTCCACCCAGTGCTCAAAACAAAGACTGGGGCAGGGAGCTGATTGGCTGTGCTCAGAAACAGACATGAAACCTGGGCACTTCCCTACACTCTTCTCTCATAGGAACCAAAGCCTCAAGCTGTAGGAAGAGCAGGAATTGGGCCTGCCATTAGGGACTAGGCAAAGATCCACTGTGTCTGGAGGAAGGCAGAAGCAAAAACTCTGCCTCTGGGAGAGGCACAGGAAAACCTCTTGGGCCCAGGACAGTTCACTGATACAAAGTAAGGATCTGCTACCTCTCCAGCTCTCCAGGAAGGGCAGGAAAATATGTCTTGCCCAAGACCCACCACAGATTCAAGGCAAAGTTTGGCTGCTACAGATAGGAGAGGCAGGAATATTGAGAAAACCCTGCCCCTCACAGAGGTCTGCCTAAGACTGAGACTGCACCAGAGATCCAAGAACCCCACTTGCCCTCACCGTGTGCTTAGCCCCAGGAAACAAAGAGCAGCAGTCTAGTGCGGCAGATGAGGCAGGTACTTGAAAAGAGGACACTTCTGTGGCACACATGTGCAGAAGTAGCTGAAGGCTGAGGGTAAAGCAGAAGCACTGAGGAATGTCCTTTGGTAACCTCAAATCACAAGGTTATAGCAGTCCACTGCTGGAGGAATTTGAAGCCTTTGTTGATATACAATGAACTCTAAATTCAGCCCAATTCATGACTATAACGAAAACTAATATACTACCACTCAATTAAAAATGTCAGGACATACAAAAAGTAAAAAAAAAAACCCACTGTCAGGAAATAAGTAAACAACAGAGGCAGGCTCTCAGATGAGCCAGATGTTTGATCAGACAGGAGATATAAAATAACTATGATTAATATGTTTATGTTATTTATTTATATTTTTTTATACACAGGATCTTGCTATATTGCCCAGGCTGGACTAATATGTTTATGTTAAAGGATCTAGTTGAGAAAGATAGACAACATCTATGAATAGATAGAAAATTTCAGCAGAGATGGAAACAATAAAAAGTCAAATACAGGCTGGGTGCAGTGGCTCAGGCCTGTAAAGGCCAGCACTCTGGGAGGCCAAGGTGGGCAGATCACCTGGGGTCGGGAGTTTGAGACCAGCCTGACCAACATGGAGAAACCCCATCTCTACTAAAAATACAAAATTAGCTGCTTGGTGCCACATGCCTTTAATCCCAGTTATTCGGGAGGCTGAGGCAGGAGAATCGCTTGATCCCAGGAGGTGGAGGTTGTGGTGAGCCAAGATTGCACCGTTGCACTCCAGCCTGGGCAACAAGAGCAAAACTCTGTCTCAAAAAAAAAAAAAAAAAAAAAAAAGTCAAATACAAATGCCAGGAAAAAAAAAAAGTCAGATTAAAAGTTCCTTCAACAGGTTTATCATCAGACCGGGCACATCCAAGGACAGAATCAGTGAACCTGAAGATAGACCAATAAAAATTACTGAACTGAGCCAGGCACAGTGACTCATGCCTGTAACCCTAGCGCTTTGAAAGGCTGAGGCAGGAGATCGCTTGAGGCCAGGAGTTTGAGACCAGCCTGGGCATCACAGCAAGATCTCTTCTCTACAAAAAATTAAAAAAAATTAGCCAGGCATAGTGGTATATGCCTGTAGTCCCAGTTACTTGGGAGGCTGGGGCAGGAGGATCGCTTGAGCCCAGGAGTTTGAGGCTGCAATGAGCCTGCAATGATTGTACCACTGCACTCCAGCCTGGGTGACACAGTGAGACCCTACTCAACAAAACAAAACAACAACAAAAAAAGAAATTACTGAACTGAAATACAAAAAGAAGAAGACTGGCAGAAAAAAATCACAACGGAGTGCTCAAAATCTATGGGGTCTATGGGAGTCTATGGATTCTTTCCCTCTTTGCCTTCTGGAACTCCAGTTACATGTATGGAGAGGGAAAAAAGAGGATCTGGGAACAATGACATTTCAAAAGCAAAGAGCACATTAGTGCCCAGATCCACTAAAAGGAGCTAGGCATTCTGGGAGAAATGGCTGGTTCCAAGAGTAGGGCATGGAATGTTCAAGATGAGCTTAGGTGATCTTGTACCAAAAGCAAGGAAATGTTCAAAGAATGAAAGGGATATATCAAAAGACAAAAGAAGTCACAGAAGCCACACTGAAGAGGCTCTCCCTGGTCAAACTGGGAACAAGATGATCATGTAAATAAGTAATGATAGTAATGGATTATAACCTATTAAATAAAATAGGAAACAATGATTCCATACAAATAAAAATAATGAATAAATCAAAGTAAGATAAAGAATGAGATATTTACAGTTTCATAGTACTATCTCACATAAACATATTAATTCTATTTTTATTTATTTTTGAGACAGGGTCTCACTCTGTCACCCAGGCTGGAGTGCAGTGCAATCTCAGCTCACTGCTCACTGCAATCTCGACCTTTCGGGCTCAATCAATCCTCCCACCTCAGCCTCCCAAGTAGCTGGAACTACAGGCACATGCCACCACACCTGGCTAACTTTTGTATTTTTTTGTAGAGATGGGGTTTTACCATGTTGCCTAGGCTAGTCTTCAACTCCTGGGTTCAAGTGATCTGCCAACCTTGACGTCCCAAAGTGCTGGGATTACAGGCGTGAGCCATCACACCCAGCCCAAAAAACATATTAATTATAAACTGGGAAAAAAACTTTTACAGAGGAAAATCCTGGGAGACACCACCTCAATCAAGGGATTAAAGTGAATATCATCAGTTCTGGGACAAACTGAAATCATGTGTCACCTGATAGGATATATCACTTCCCTGAATTCCCACCATAGATGTATAGCCTGAATCTCATAATGAGGAAGCATCAGAAAAATCCAAATTGAGGAAATTCTACAAAATAATTCATCTGTAATCTTCAAAAGTGTCAAGGTCATGAAAATCAAAGAAAGACTGAGAAACTGTTCTGTACTAATGAAGATTAAAAAGACATGACAACTAAATGTGACATATAACCATGGACTGGATTCTTTTGTTAGAAAAATATTATCAGAACAACAAGCGAAACTCCAGTGGGATCTAAGGATTGGATGGTAATAATGAATCAATGTTAATTTTCTACTTCTGATGGTTATACTGCTAGTACAGGAAAATGTCCTTCTTTGTAGAAAATACACACTAAAGTATTTGGGGATTGCTATGGTCTGAATGTATGTTCTCCTCCCCCAGAGTCATATGTTAAAAACTAACCCCCTAGGCGATGGTATTAAAAGGTGATTATGGAAGTGATTGGAAGGTGATTAGACATGAGATTTCTGCCCTCACAAATGGGATTAGTGTACTTATAAAACAAGCCTGAGGAAGCTTGCTTGCCCCTTTGGCCATGTGAGGGCACATAGAAAGCGCCATCTATAAGGAACAGGCCCTCACCAGATACTGAATCTGCTGGCGCCTTGATCTTGGACTTCCTAGCCTCCAGAACTGTGAACAATAAATATCTATTGTTTATTAATTACCCAGTCTAAGGTATTTTGTTATAGCAGCCCAAATGAACTAAGACAAGAGTGAAAGAGTATTAGGTTGGCAAACAAAGCATAATTTCTTTGTCGTTATTTTTTTAAAGGAAAAAAATGTGGGGTGGAAACAATAAATTAATATTAAAATTGGTAAGCTAATTGTGATCAATCCATTCAGGAAAAAAATAGAAAGGGAACCATGAAAGGTGGTAATGCTCACTGAGCCTAAGGGTAAAAAACAAACTAGATGTAATTCAGCAACATGAGACAGTAGAGAAGCACTTACTATTTTAAGCTACCACACTGAAGTCTCATGTCGCTGACTGAGCAGGCCAAAAAAGATTCAAGAGTGTTTCTGTCTTGATTCATTAGTTTGTAGCTCCAAAACAGATAGCTTTTCAATTTATTATATTAATTTTGAGCAGTCAGGGTACTCTTGTCCTCAGAGAACACATAACCCAGAAAAGTTTCATAGTGAAGATGCTAATAGAAGCTGTCTGTACCTTGAGGAATCTCTAATGTTCTTAATCAGGAATGTGACCACATAAGTGTTGTGCTTTGGGAGAGACAATCTTTGGAAAGCTGATCTAGCCACACAGATGACCCAGATCTTATGAATCCCCATAAAAGATTCCAGACCACTGCTCAATATAACAATTTCCCGATAGTGGTCTCATTATGGTTAGCAACTCCATATATATTGCATCTCTGGTGATAAAAGAGGAGATCTAGAAAATTGTGGGGGCATTTTTGGTTGCCACAATAATTGGAAGGGGAGTGCTATTGGCATTTAGTGGGCAGGACCAGGAATCTGGACATTTTGAAAGTGTCTCAACAAAAAACTGTGTTGCAGCTGGTACAATTTTCAAATGTCCCAATAAAAGTTCCCATGGGTGAAAAACCTATCTACAATTATCTGAGTTTAGAACCTAATTCCACTTTACAAATTAGCAAAAAGTAGTTTTGTAGTTTTAATACAAAACAATAGTTTTTCCAGGAATGTAACAGCTATGTAAATGAAGAGAAAACTCATACTTTTTGTTGTTCTTATTGTTTAGAAGATTACAAAAAGTTGTTTACTATTTCAGAAAATCATGGCAATGCTGCTCTGATGCTCTGGAATCAATAACACATTTATTTCTGTCTTCAAATAATACTATTTCAAATAATACTGTGAAATAGTACAAATATCTGATTGTTCTACTATAGTTGTCCTCAAGTATTTACATATTGAAATACACATTATTTTAAGTATTGTACTTTTTTTATTCCTCCTTCATATTTCAGTTAAGATTTTATATTGATTTATTTTTAAAGATTATATGTACCTGGACATGTTATATCTGAATTTCATTTCAGGATAGTTCAGGGACACTGCAAAAAAAAAGTTTTTTAATAAAAAGGGGACATTAAAACTGATGAGAGTAAGGTAGGAATCACTGGTGTAAGCAAATCATGGTAATTCCACGCCCCTCGGTAGGACTGGTGGAGCACAGATACATGATCCAGTTCTGCCCAATGAGACACGATGGAGTATCCTGGAGGGACTTCTCTTGAGTGAGGAAGAAATGGTCCCTCTTCCTTTTCATGTCAGTTTGTGATGACTAGAATAGTTGTAAGCATCTTGCTATCAGCTTTAGGGTGAAGTAAGCATACTGAGGAGGCAGCTCCAAGAGAATCAGAGAGGTGAAGCTGGAGCCCTGAGATCCTGCATCTGAAGTCTGCCTTCCCTTTGGACTTTCTGCTATGTACTGTGATAAATTCCTTTATGTGACATAACTTTTATTACAGTCTGTTGTTGTAATTGCTCTCTTTTATTTTGAGTTACTGTTGTTCATTTCTTACTGTGCTGAATTTATAGCTGTCTCTCAGTATCCTCAGGGGATTTATTCCAGCACTCCCATGGATACCAAAATCTGAGGATGCTCATGTCCCTTATATAAAATGATGCAGTGTTTGCATATAATCTGTGCACATCCTTCTGTATATTTTAAAGCATCTCTAGGTTATTTATAGTACCCAATACAGTGTAAATGCTATGTAAATAGTTGTTATATTTCTTGTTATTTTGTATTGTTGTATTATTTTATTTTCTGAATATTTTTGATCTGCAGTTGGTCAAATCCTCAGGAAGCAGAACTGGTGGACATGCAGGGCCAATTGCATAAATTAAACTTGATTATAGGTATATATGTATAGGAAAAAACATAGTATATATAGGGTTCAGTACTGTCTGAAGTTTCAGGTGTCCACTAGGGGTCTTGAAACTTATCCCCCACAGACAAGGCAGGGGGACTACTGTATATTGAAGTTAAAATCTTGACTCTGTGATTTCTAGCTGTATAACCTTAAACAAATATCTTAAGCCCTCTGAGCCTCAGCTTCTTCGTTTATAAAATGGAAACAAGAATACCTGCTTTATATGGCCATTATAAGGATTAATAAGCTAATACTTGTTAAGCTCTTAACTCGGTGCTTGGCATGTTGTAAGCTTTCAGTAGCTCGTGGCTATTATTAACTATTGTAATTAAAAGGAGAAAAGAAAAGAACTCACAGCAGTCTGAGCAGTGATGTGTGTGCAACCCACGATTTTGGCTCCAGCCAAAGGCTTTTCTCCTTGAGCTCTCTTCCTCAAAGCCATCAATGCAGGCATTTCTGAAAAGGCCCAATAAATACAGCAATATTAAAGAAGAAGGAATAAGAGATAAAAGAACAAACAGAAAAACTTGTTTTCTTAAGTTAAGATCCTTCCCCTGATCAGGTTAGATTAGGTTTCTCCAGGGATCAAGACATTAAACCTGTATTTTCCTTTATAAAGGGCTTTTGGAGGCAAATGCTCCAGGGTTCTGATTCTCTATATTCCAGTCCTTATCCAGTCTCTCTCCCTTTTTTTTTTTTTTTTTTAATACAGGGTTCCTTCTAGACTTGCCAGATTTCCCCAGTGTTTCTTGAACTCACATTTCTTTTGTTATAAGTATTCTTATCACATAGAAATTTCACAAGCTACCAGACCCCAGACATAAAAAGGGATTAATATGGACAAAAAGACACAGGTAGGTTAAGAAGGAAAAGGTGCTTGTTTTCTTTACCTTGTTCAGCAATTTCAATTTCTCTTCGTCCAAACTCTGCCTGTTTGATGTTCTTAACACAGAAGTCACTGCTTCCCTTAGAGTTCTTTTGCTGCTTGTCCCTGGGCGATGTCTCATCATCAGAGCTATCTGTATATGAAGCCGCTGGAATGACAGAATAAAAAACACTCGGAAAAAAAAAAATGCTTCCTCTAAAATTCCAAACCATGGAGCAAACTGAAGCTTCTCTAGCCACCTAGCACCATATAAATTTTTTTACCTCTGTTAAGTACCTGCAGGCTATACACATGCCAGAAGAGGGAAGCTGAAAGAGATTGCCAAAGACATTCTTCCTGGATAGCCTTAACTTGAAATGTAGGGCTAACTTTATCTTCAGAACACGCAGAGGTCCTTGAATACGCAAAAAGAAAAGGTTACACCATGGTAGCATTAGGTTAAAGTTCCTAATGCAAGATCGTGGTCATTAACATATGGGTTTTTGGGATTCTAACTACTCTGCTCTGTGTGCTGCTTAAATGTTTGATATAATTTGTGTTTTAGTACAATTACTGAACAGATAAGACCTAGAAAACAAGGAATCCATGGGAAAGTAATTAAGAACCACACAAAAAGTATTTGTCTGACCTAACAGAGCTTTCTTTTTTAAGACGGACTCTGATGAGGCTGAATTGTGCCTGCAGACCCAATTAGACATTGACAATGAAGTATTCAATGTGCTCTCCCTTCTTGCTGGCCTCAGTAGGTCTGGCGTTAGGCATTTTAGACTCCCAAAGAAGTGAATAAATCCTCCTTTGGTACAATAAAATGCTCTGATAACTAATCCATTTAGCAACATATACTAGAGTGTGAAAGGCCTAAAACTTTTTATCGTGGTTAACAGGCAGCTGCTGCTACTACTATTCACATGCTTAGCTGGGGTCTTTTTAGTCTTCATAGGATTCTGTAGTTACTAACCATTTGCTAGATTATTTGAAGCAGTGTCCTTCCCTGATTTGTGTTTGAGCTTCTGAAGATAGTTCTTAACCCCCAAGTTTTTTGGGGGGTTAAGAAACACTCTCTAGAAAACGCTTTGTATCTCTCAATGGAATAAGTACTGCCATCACTTTTAAGGGTAGAAAACTGTGAAAGCTCAGAGTGCCTACGGTCTACGATGCTCTGATCTACTTATATGCAGAGAATTAAGGCATTTCTGAGATTTCTTAGCAAAGGGTCTACCTCTGCGAGGGCTGTAAAAGGCAAGTCTGACCTTGCCCAGTTAATCAGGCATGGCACTACAAACCATTTGGGCAGCAGGGGCTTCAGAATCTCTTTTGGAGCTGGAGCAAAGTCCTAACACGAGGCAACAGGAATGAACATGGGCACCAGGGGAGGTGAGGGAATTAGTAAATCCCCAAAGAGACTTTTGTTCTTGAAAGGAGCTAATCTGTACAAAAAGTTTGTGGTTCCCTCTCCTAGGGTGAGTGAAAGCTCAAAGTACTTTTGGCAACAGAACCCAGACACAGCTTTCTGGGAAGTCATCTGTTTTACTAATCAATATTCAGAAATACCTAATAAATCAGAGGCTTAGGGGAACCATGCTTCTACCACCTGAGAGATAAAAAGATAACAGCCATCTCTAATCCCGATCCAGATTTATGGAAAATTACTTTTGAAGAAAGTGTTCATATTCAGAATATCCTGAAATCTCAAATTCTTTTTCAGAGTCATGATGATTTTTATGCTTCCCAATGGCCATTTAAATATAGCGGTCATGTGTTCTGGAGTCAGTCTTTGGTTTAAGTCTCAGTCTCTGTTTTTGGGTGTATAAAGTGGAGCTGATCCGTTTGAAAGAGTTGTTAATTTATTCACGTATTCAGTCATTCACACACTCAGGTGTTTATTCAAATTTTAGTTATGCATCTATTATGTACTAGGCATAGCCTAGGTGCTGGAAATACAGGACAGATATAGATGGTCCTTATCTTCATGGAGTTTTCAGTCTAGTCAGTGAGTCAAAAAAGAAATAACTAGTTACAAAATTAATTATTTAGAGCTTTAAAAAATACATCTGTAATGTGTGCTATAAAGCAGAAATCAGGATGTCATAAGACTATATAATAGGAGAACATGACTTGTCAGAGTCAAGTTGTTAAGCAGATTAAGTAAGATAATGTATGTAAAGTGTTTACTGCAATGCTTGGCATACAGTAATTAAGCACTCAATAAATGATACCTGATATTACCCACTTTAGCACATATTTTAAATTCAGTTCCAGATATAACATCTTTAAGGGTTCTTACTCAGCTTTAAGATTTTGAATGGGAAAAGAATGATATACATACATAATCATTTAGCAGTTTATCTTTTTTTATACCTCCATCATCTCCTACTAATCTACCCAAACAGCAGGTGGTTGGCTGGCAGTGATTTGAGAGGTTGAGACTGGAGTCCTAACTCTACCCAGAAGAGATTGCCCTTCCTATGCCTCTTTAGTTTCTAAGAATGAGTCAGAAGAAAACCAAAAAGCAAAACAAAATTTGAAAATTTCCCCTTAAGAGAAGCATTCCAATTTCTGGCTTTACCATTTCCCCACACCAACTCAAAGAAAAAAATCTTTACACCACTTCTCTATTCTAAAACCTGGAAAAAACAGTGTTTTACTTTCTTAACAGGAGTCAAGTAGTTACAGTTAATTCAACCAATGTTTTTCTTTGAGCCAAAATGTATTTGTTTTCAAAGATCCCTTTTTTTTTTTTTGAGCCAGGGTCTTACTCTGTCACCTAGGCTGGAGCACAGTAGCACGATCTCAGCTCACTGCAACCTCCGCCTCCTGGGTTCAAGCAATTATCCTGCCTCAGCCTCCTTAGTAGCTGGGATTACAGGAGCCCACCACGGTGCCTGGCTAATTTTTGCCTTTTTAGTAGAGACGGGGTTTCGCCATGCTGGGCAGGCTGGTCTTGAACTCCTGACCTCAGGTGATCCGCCCACCTTGACCTCCCAAAGTGCTGGGATTACAGGCTTGAGCCACCATGCCCGGCCTCAAAGAGCCCTTTATACGGACCTGCTATCAGGTAAGAACCAAAAATATCAGTTGTCTAGATTGTACTACTATGTGGATACGACATGGCTGACAGATCCAGACCAAGAGAATATATTATTAGTTCTGCAAACACAGTGGAAAGGTTATTGCTGAATTATAAATGAATGAATTATAAATAAATGAATAAATAAATTTACTCATTTATTCTTTGAATCCGTACTCATTTCTGCCACAGAGTAACAAACTCATGATGACAGTTGAGATAGTATTAAGGACTGTTCCTAGGAAAATTTAGAGAAACCCAACACGTATGTACAAACACACTTGAACAGAGTTTCTAAAATATTTGTAATTGTCAGCATACTCTAAAGCCCAGAGTCATAATTTAAATAAACAAGAACAACCAATAACCTACTAAAGTAGTCCTGAGATCCTAGATCTAGCTTCAACCCTAAGTGGTTAAGTGACCAATTTTCAATTTATCCAACTGTAAACTGTAACAGATTCCCTCTTTCCTCATGCTCTCTCTTTCCCCCAACTACCACCGGAAAAATCTTACGAATAAATGAGATGATAACCAAAAGGGTTCAGTTTCTACGTAGAAAAGTAGTATGAAGTACAATATAACTTTACTATGGGATGTTATCTTGTTTCATTATTTTCCAAAATCAAAAGACAGCATGATGAATCAAGAATCCACAATCTATCTCACAGAACATGTATACACATTTTATGATTCAAGCCTGATTAAGCTTTACCTCTCAGCAGCTGTGATACTGTGAGTTACTGCTAGGAGAAGCAGCAGTCAGAACCCTGACTGAATTAGTCCTATTAGACTATTTTATGTCAGGCAATTCCTCTTGGGCCTAACCTATTCATTTGGTAATGGAAATAACAGTAGGGACCTGTGTGTCGGGTTATAGCAGACTTCACTGATGAGTAACACTCTGGAAATGTGTAAAAAGCTATGCTAGCATCCCAAATACAAACACAAAATTTTGTTGTTTGGAAAAATCTGAAAATATCTCAAACTTTATAAGAATTGTAGAGTTTGGGAACAAAAAGAACCAATCGTGAAGAAGGGACTTCTGTCTTCTTTCCTCATCCTTAACCAAGTAACTCATTGCAAAGACAGCTTATTCAGAAATATATCACTGAGAACGGTCTGATTAAAAAAGAAGTCTCTTCTGTTCATTTGTTTTTATGAGGTTTTTTTCCTTAGGGGAAGAGTTTTTTAGAAGTTTGCTTCTTATAAAATAGTTTCGTGGATTAATGCAGCGTTTTTCAACCTGGGTTCTGCTAGAAATTAAGTCCTAATGCCTTGAAGCATCCATTGTACATAATGAATTAACTTCTCTCCTACGCATCTGGAAAGTACTAGTTATGTATCATCTTTTGGAAAATTAAGAAAAGTCTATAAAATCATTTTCTGTGTTCTGTGATTCAGATGAGGATCCCTGGTTGAGAAAAGCTGGCAGAGGTTCCTAAATGAAAGCATGGCAAAACTTAGTACTAGGAGCCTTAGGAAGGGAGACGAGGCTAGAGCCTATGTAAGCCTCTGAGTATCTTCAGCAAAACAAGCACTTTGGACAGGAAAGTATCTTTTTTTGAAATCTCATAAACCTGCTTTTGTTGTTCATACACACTGAGTATATTAGGGACCTCAACAAGGGTATAAAAGTATAACGTCTCTGAACACCTTTCACCAATATTTATTTATTGAGTACCTCTTCTGTGTCAAACACAGTTCTAAGTGCTGGGAATAGAGCAATGTAAAACAGAAAAAAAAAAAATCTCTGTTCTCATGGATCCTGCATTTAAATAGAAAGGAAAAGACCAAAACATATTAGCAACATATTAGCAACATAATATATATGATATATATTATCATATATATGATATATTAGCAAAACATATTAGCAACATAATATATATGATATATATTATCATATATATGTTATATGATAAGTGCTATGAAGAAAAATAAAGGAGGAAAATTTGACAGAGAATGTTGGGTGGAGTTCTGTATCATATTTACTTTTAATGAATTAATTTTTAATTGACAAAAATTGTATATATTTATGTGTATAACATGATGTTTTGAGATATGTACACATTGTGGAATGGCTCAACAGAGATAATTAACATATGCATTATCTCATATCCCTATCATTTCTTTGTGGTGAGAACACTTAAAATCTGTTGTCTTAGCAATTTTCTAGAATACAACACATTGTTGTAACTATAGTCACCATGCTGGGTACAATTTAAAAGAGTAGCCAGGATAGGATTCAGTGAGAAGTTGATAATTTTTGGTGAAGAACTGAAGGAGGTAAGGTAGCCAGCAATGCATGTATCTGGAAAAAGAGCATTCCAAGTAGAGGGAACAGGTACAAAGGTCTCGAAGCAGGAGAGTGCATGGCGTGTTTCAAAATAACAGTAGGAGGCTAGTAAGGCCAGAGTGAAATGAACATCTCGGGGAGGGAGGAGGTTTGGGGAAGTAGAGAGGTGAACAGAAATGTAGGCCATTGTAAGAACTTTAGGCTTTACCTAAGAGTGAGATTGGGAAGCCACTGGAAGGTTTTAGGCAGTGAAATGATATGACATGACTTATTTTAAAAGAATACATTTGGCTGTAGTGTTGAGAATAGACTGAAGATGGGTAAGGTTGGAACTGAGGAGTTCAGTTTTTAATACATGGGAGGTTTGAGATGTCTATGGGCTGGGTGCCATGGCTCATGTCTGTAATCCCAGCACTTTGGGAGGAGGATTGCTTGAGGCCAGGAGTTTGAGACCAGCCTAGGCAACAAAGTGAGACCCCTATCTCTACAAAAAAATTTTAAAAAATTAGCCAGATGTGATGGTACACATCTGTAGTCCTAGTTACTGGGGAGGCTGAGGTGGGAAGACTGCCTGAGCCCAAGAGTTCGAGGCTACAGTAAGCCATGATTGTGCCACTACACTCCAGCCTGGACAACAAAGCAAGACCCTGTCTCTTAAAAAAAAATAGAATAAAATAAAAAGAGATATCTATAAAACATTCAAGTGAAAGGACTCAGCAGGCAGTTGTATATATGAATCTAGTATATAGGAGACAGATTTGAGCTGGATAAAATATGAGAATCAAACACCAATACATGATATTTAAACCTATGAGATAAATGAGTTCATCTAGGGAGAAAGTATAAACTGAGAAGGGAAGAGGTCCAAGGATGAGTCTTTGGGGCTTTCCAGTGTTAATTTCTATAGTCATTTAAATTATTAATTTTTTTTGAGACATAGTTTCACTCTTGTTGCCCAGGCTGGAGTGCAATGGCATGATCTTGGCTCACCGCAACCTCTGCCTCCTGGGTTCAAGCAATTCTCCTGCCTCAGCCTCCCGAGTAGCTGGGATTACAGGCATGTGCCACCACACCTGGCTAATTTTTGTATGTTTAGTAGAGATGGGGTTTCTCCATGTTGGTCAGGCTGGTCTCGAACCCCCGGCCTCAGGTGATTCGCCGACCTCAGCCTCCCAAAGTGCTGGGATTATAGGCGTGAGCCAACGCGCCCTGCCTAAAATTATTTTTTTTTATTAAATAAAAAAAAGTCTCACTCTATTGCCCAGGCTGAAGTGCAGTGGCACAATCTTGGCCCACTGCAACCTCTGTCTCCTGGGTTCAAGCGATTCTCATGCCTCAGACTCCGGAGTAGCTGGGATTACAGGCATGCGCCACGACGCCTGGCTAATTTTTAAATTTTTTGTGGAGACGGGGTTTCACCGTGTTAGCAAGGCTGGTCTTGAATGCCTGACCTCAGGTGATCTGCCTGTCTCGGCCTCCCAAATTGCTGGAATTACAGGCATGAGCCACTGTGCCCAGCCTAGTCATTTAAATTATAACATATGCTGAAAATGGGCCCCAAGTTTTTATTGACACATATTTGCATATATGTCTTGTCATATTTAGAGAGTTGTGAGTCAGTTCCATTACTTTTGGCTTTTCATTCGATGCACATGAAACTCTTTTTCTATCATTGTATATAACTTTCCATTGTCTGTGTTACGAAGATGCCAGGTGCAAGAGTTTTCCAGCGTCACACAACAAATCAAACATGGATCAAAGACTAGAAACTAGGTCTCTCCTAACTCCTAGTCCAATAATCAGGATAGTAGGCATTTCTAGTCAGAGTCTGTTTAAAAGGGCTTGACAACCATTCACTCAAAGGGGAAAAGAAAAAGAAAGAAACAAAAAACAAAACAAGGTAACAGTGCATGTGATGCAGCTGCTAAAGAAGCAAACATTTTGGGTTTCATTTTAAAAGCACTGAGTTTACAGAACTAACACTTCCTGTAGATTAGTTCAGACCACTGAGAATATTATGTTGATAGGCATAATGTTTTTAAAATGATACCTAATCTG